>NC_000005.10:69484807-70109807 GCF_000001405.40 Homo sapiens
CACCCCTGGCACTGTCACCAGACCTCTCAGGCACAAAGGCCAATCTTTCTAATTAAGATACATGTAGGAAGATGAATAGGAGTCGTCTGCATTTCTCCAGATCCTATCAACTGGGTTTCAGATCACCCAGACTCTCTTTCTCAAGTTTAGTCCTTTCTATTCAGAAGCCACAAACTTTAAAGATAAAATGCTCAAGCATTACAAAACATTATTCTAAAAACAGGAAAATACTTAGGTTAACATGCAGAATTTCACAACATTCCAAACATAATTCATCACCCTTCAAAGCCTTCCTGTTGCAGTTAGAAGAAAACAGACAGTTGGCTGGGTGCGGTGGCTCATGCCTATAATCCCAGCACTTTGGGATGCGGAGGTGGGAGAATTGCTCGAGCCCAAGAGTTCAAGACCAGCCTGGGCAACAAAGTGAGACCCGTCTCTACAAAATAAATAAATAAATAAAATAAAAAGTTTGCCGGATGCGGTGGCGTGCACCTGTAGTCCCAGCTACTCAGGAGGCTGAGCAGAGGGGATCACTTGAGCCCAGGAGATTGAGGCTGCAGTGAGCCATGACTGTGCCACTGTACCGCAGCCCAGGGGAAAGTGAGACCCTGCCTCAAAACAAAGAGAAAGAAAAAGAAACCCAGACACTTTATGGCACAGCATCCAAGATCTGACCTCTGCCTTCCTTGCGTTTCATCTCCCCCATGCTCCCCTTCCTCTTCCTTCCTTTGCTTTGAATGTCCAAAGTGGTCCTAGATTCTAGCCCTAGAATGTTCTTGTCACAGATCTTTGCATGGCTGGTTCCTTCTCACTAAAAGTCTTGGCTCAAATGTCACCTCTTCAGAGCAGCCACCTGTGACCACTCTACAAGGCAGCTCTTCCTCCACCTGCCTCTCCTAGCCTTCTCTGTCCCCTTAGCTGGTTTAGTTTCTCCAAGTCATTTATCATTATCTTGTTTATTTTCAGTTTCATCATCTTTGTTGTATTTCCTCTCCTAACTATTTCCTCCCTAAACTTCCATAAAGGACCTTGTCTGTCTTGAGGCCACTGTTATTTCCAGGGCTTAGAACAGGGTCTGGTATACAGCAGGTACTGAGGTAAATATTTCTTGACTGAATAAATATTCCTTTTCACATACAATTCTCATATGTCCCACTTACGCTGTACCGTGTCAGCCAACAACAACATTTCAGGAACTGTAGTGAGTTTTTGCTTGTAGGCTCCTTGAGTTTATCCTAAAGAAACTCCAAGTAAAATCAGAAAAGCTGCCATATGGGGCCAGGTGCAGTGGCTCACGCCTGTAATCCCAGCACTTTGGGAGGCTGAGGAGGGCAGATCACTTGAGGTCAGGAGTTCAAGACCAACCTGGGTAACATGGTGAAACCCCATCTCTACTAAAAATACAACAATTAGCCAGGCGTGGTGGTGCGCGTCTGTAATCCCAGCTACTTGGGAGGCTGAGGTGGGAGAATCGCTTGAACCCAGCAGGTGGAGGTTGCAGTGAGCCGAAACTGTGCCACTGCACTCCAGCCTGGGCGACAGAGTGAGACTCCGACACTCTGTCTCAAACAAAAACAAAACAAAAACAAAAAAACAAGAAAAGCTGCTATTTGGAAACCCCTGTATCGAATAAAAGGAGTCCCGTACCTCAAAACCAAAGAATAACAAGAGAAATTTGTGATCTGCTTAAAGTGTATTGGTTTCACACTGACCCAGTTCAAGAGATTTTTCTAGGGTTAGGATTCCTTATGCTAAATTACGAGATAATTATTATTATCTTTTTCAGTTTGGGGACACAGGAGGTAAAGAGCCCCATGAAGTTAAAAGTAGGTAAGCGAAGACAATATTTGGTTAATGTTTACTTTTTCCTCTTTCCTTTTTTGAGCTTAAAAGATTCAGGAAGGCTAGTTCCTGAAAAAGCCTGCAAGGCCAGTTTTCCACTGCAATAGATGACTGATACAATTAAAAAAAAGCAGTCCCAAATCTCTTTCTCTGTATTATCCTTATAATTGTGCCAATATTCTGTCCCACACCAAACCCATTTACTCTCTCTTTAGATGCTGATCTCAACTTACTCTGATCCTATGAATGTATTTTCTGCTGGTATTTGAAAAATGTTATTCACAAAACAAAAATCCTAGATGTGGATCTCCAACTATTTTCTAAGACTGTCTCTAAACCCTATTCTTAGCAAATTTTGGCCGGGTGTGGTGGCTAACACCCGTAATCCCAGCACTTTGGGAGGCCGAGATGGGAGGACTGCTTGAGCCCAAGAATTTGAGACCAGCCTGGGCAACATTGAGAGACCTCATTTCTGTTTATTTATTTGTATTTATATTTATATATTTTTTAAGACAGAGTCTCGCTCTGTCACCCAGGCTGGAGTGCAGTGGCGCTATCTCGACTCACTGCAGTTTCCACCTCCTGGTTTCAAGCGATTCTCCTGCCCTAGCCTCCGAAGTAACTGGGATTACAGGTGCTTCCACCACGCTGGGCTAATGTTTTTTGTATTTTTAGTAGAGACGGGGTTTCACCATGTTGGCCAAGCTGGTCTGGAACTCCTGACCTCAAGTGATCCACCCGCCTCCGCCTCCCAAAGTGCTGGGATTACAGGCGTGAGCCACTGCACCCGGTCTGATCTCATCTTTATTTAAAAACAAAACAAAACAAAAATCAGCCAGTTGTGGGTGCGTGCCTGTAGTCTCAGCTACCCAGGAGGCTGAGGTGGGAAGATCGCTTGAGCCCAGGAGATAGAGGCTGCAGTGAGCCATGATCATGCTACTACACTCCAGCCTGGGTGACAGAGGTGACTCAAAATAATTTTTTTAAATTATGAAATACAAAATTCCTACAAAAATGTATATAAAACATATGCACAGCTTGATAAATTGTTGTAAGGCTAACAGCCGTGTAACTTGGACTCGGGAAGAAACAGAATATTGCCTATATTGCCTATAGACAAAAAGTAGTCCTAAAATATAGTAAAACTGTTCAGAACATTGGTTCAGGAATCAGATGACCTGTATTTGAATCCTGACTCTACAACTTAGTAGACAACTTGAGTAAATGATCAATACTTTCTGAGCTTTAGTTTTCCTATGTGTAAAATGGGGAAAATAATAGTACATCATAAAGTTCTTGTAAAGACCAAAAAAATAAAAATAAAAACCCAGCCGGGGCCGGGCGTGGTGGCTCACGCCTGTAATCCCAGCACTTTGGGAGTCTGAGGCAGGCAGATCACCTGAGGTCAGGAGTTTGAGACCAGCCTGACCAACATGGAGAAAGCCCGTCTCTACTGAAAATACAAAATTAGCTGGGCATGGTGGCTCATGCTTGTAATCCCACTTACTCGGGAAGCTGAGGCAGGAGAATCGCTCGAACCTGGGAGGTGGGGGTTGCAGTGAGCCAAGATCGCGCCATTGCACTCCAGCCTGGGCAACAAGAGTGAAACTCCATCTCAAAAACAAACAAACAAACAAACAACCCAGCCGGGCACGGTGGCTCAAGCCTGTAATCCCAGCATTTTGGAGGCTGAGGCGGGTGAATTGCTTGAGGTCAGGAGTTTGAGACCAGCCTGACCAACACAGTGAAACCCCGTGTCTACTAAAAATGCAAAAATTAACTGGGCGTGGTGGCGGGCACCTGTAATCCTAGCTACTCAGGAGGCTGAGGCAGGAGAATCGCTTGAACCTGGGAGGCAGAGGTTGCAGTGAGCTGAGATTGCGCCATTGCACTCCAGCTTGGGCAACGGAGCGAGACTCCGTCTCAAAAAAAAAAAAAAAAAAAAAAAAAAACCCAAAAACCAGAAAAAAATAAAAAAAAACATAAAACTGCCGGGCATGGTGGCTCACCTCTGTAATCCTAGCGCTTTGAGAGGCCAAGGCGTTAGTATCACCTGAGGTCAGGAGTTCGAGACCAGCCTGACCAACAAGGTGAAATCCCATCTCTACTGAAAATACAAAAATTAGCCAGGCGTGGTGGCAGGTGCCTGTAGTCCCAACTATTCAGGAGGCTGACATAGGAGAATCATTTGAACCCAGGAGGCGGAGGTTGCAGAGAGCTGATCACACCATTGCACTCCAGCCTGGGCTACGGAGGAGACTCTGTTTCAAAACAAACAAACAGAAAACCAAAAAAACACTTAGCATAGTACTTAGAACATGTTTTTCCCTGAGTAAATGGTGCTATTATTATTCTTCCACCTGTTGAAGTTCCTGTTCAGGTGCTGAGTCTCTTTGTTTAAATATGGATTCCTCCCAGGAGGATCTTGCTTAACACATAGGAATAGAGAAGATAAAGGTTTACTCATCTAGTGTAATCATCCTTTTAGAAATTGTCTTCCTAGTGGCTTCCCCATAAATTCTTCCATACACCTGTCCAAGGAAACTGTCCTGTGTGGACCAGAAGCCTCCCCCTCCTCATGACTGGGCAGAGAAACTAGAGGCCTTTCAGGCCAGGCCCTCAGCAACTCCAAACTGAGTTGCCTTGGACACATACCAGTCTTTGAATTCATTTACTAAGCAGGCAAGGCAGAGTGGAAACAGTGGAACTATGTTAATCTCCCGTCTTTTCTCCTCTAAACCCTAGTACTAGAGATGTAAGCCTTGAAATGCTACTAAGGAACGTGCGGGTTTCACAATAGCAGGAGGCCATCTGAGAGGAGGACAAGACTCCACAGGCATGTTGGATTTGGGAAGCAGGGCTATAGTCATTCATTCATTCATCCAACACATAGTTATGTAATTCCTATGTGACAGGAACTATTTCAGGCATATAGGATACAGCAATGGCTTGCTCAATTTATTGAGACTTGTTTCGTGGCTCAGCATATAGTCTGTCTTGGTGAATGCTCCACATTCCCACCAACAGACTTATAAAGACAGTATTGTTTATTATCATCTCAAATTTACGGTGGAAAAAAATGAACCTTACATAGTTTAATTTCCTTTAGTCCTACCCAGCTACCAAGTAGCAACACTGGAATTTGAACTGAGATTTCTGACACCATAATCTGAGCTCTTAAGTTTCTCTTTTACACATAGAAAAGGAGAAACAAATTGTCTTTTCATCTTATCCATTTGACTGCAGGTAAAGTCAACAAGTTTCTAATCATGGGGTTCTGAAAATAATATTTACATTGCTCTGAGTCACGGGGATTTTCATCAAATAATATTCAATAGTGGATACTACTCAATACTACTGTGAGTTGCCAAGAAGGAATATTTGGTAAAAAATATAGTAATTAAATTTTGCTATAATTTATGATTATGTAACATGATTAAATTGAGCATGGCATCATTTAACATCCAACAAATTTTGTTTTGGTATTGAAGAATGATGTGTTTAAGTTTTAAGGCTGGATTTTCTTTCTAGACACTTTCAACTATGAAATATACACAATATTGGACAATAGTTAACCGTTCTTTTGATGTTGTTGTTTAGAAAATTAATCTCAAGCGAATAAAATAGAATTCATACAATTAATGAATCCTATTATTCCATATGGATGAACTCAGAACTAACTAGAAAGTAAGTTTCACAGAGATTTTTGAGTTTTGTTCACTCGTGTGTGTACAGATTAGGCACTCAGAAAATAGTTGAAGGAATGAATTGGGAAAGCAAATAGAATATGAAAGCCTTCTACCCAACACAACATGTCTTTGAGTTTAGGTTTAGGGTGGGAATAAGAAAAATAACATGATATGCATAAGTTATCTTAAAATGATAAAAAGTTTAATTTAAAAACCTAATTTACCAAGAGAACCGAAAACATATGTCCACACAAAAACTTGTACACAAATGTTCATAGTAACATTATTCATAACATCCCCAAAGGAGAAACAACCCAAATGTTCATCAACAGATGAATGATTAAACGAAATGTGATACATCGATACAATGGAATATTATTCAGTTATAAAAAGGAATGAAGTACCAATACATACTACATCATGGATGAACCTTTAAAATATTATGCTAAGTGAAAGAAGACAGACACAAAGGGCACATATTGTATTATCCATTCATATAAAATGTCCAGAATAGGCAAATTAATAGAGACAGAAAGTACATTAGTGGTTGCCGAGGGATGAGGGGAGAGGGGAAATGGGGAGTGACTATTAATGGGCATGGGGTTTCTTTTGGGGGCGATTAAAATGGAATTAGATGGTGGTGATGGTTGTACAATCTGGTGAGTATACTAAAACCCACTGAATTGTACGTGCCCTTTAAAAGGGTGAATTTTATGGTATGTGAACTCTCTTTTATAAAGTGGAAAAAAACTCCTAAGATCTCTTCAGAACATGTCAAAATACATTATAAAATAATAGACATGTGTTTACAAATCTGAGAGTATTAGGAAATGTTCCCTTGTTTAATTATAAACCAAATGGAATGTTTGGAGATTTCAGTAATCTGACAGGGAACATTAAGGGGATTAACCTGACTTCCCCAGTGTTAACAATACCAATTTAAACTGCATCATTCAAAAACTACATAGTCATATTAAAGCATTTGTAGCAATGACTTCCACGAAAAAAATACCAATTAAATTAATTACCCATTAAAGCTGCCATCATCTGAAATACCTCATATTTATATAGTGCTTTTACTTCCTCAAGTATGAATTGTGCCTTAAGATCTAATGTATGGGAGAGTCACATCTCTAACCATTTAATTAAAGGTAGAGAAGTGGGTGGGATTGGATAGAAATTTATTAGCAATGCTGACATTCCAGATTGGAACACAAAGACAAGCAGGATGTAAGAAACCTAAAAGTTCGCTTTCAATGCAGATAGTTAAATGCCAAGAACTATAATTGCCACATCCTGGAGTACAATTAAAAAATATGTTGAAAAACAACCAACATACATAAAAATATACACAGTGTTAAGTGCAGACTATGAAATTTCCCTTGGAAACAGAATCCAGATCAAGAAATAGAATACAGCACCCGGAACTAAGGTGCTTTTTCGTTTTCTTAAAAAAAAAAAAAAAGTAAACCAAGTTTATTTTGCTTTTTAAGTAGTGTTGTTCTTAAAGCACTACAGGTTGGTAAACAACGTATAAGGTGCTTTTTCTCAGGCCAAAGAGCCATAATAGTTTAAATTTCCCGGTCCTCAAGAGCGGACCGGGTGGGCAGGAGAGGACCCTGGGGTGGTGATGTGTAAACTGTATTATGCACTTTAGCCTGCTGGATGGCAACTAACACCTACAGTAGTTCACCCTCATTTTAACCCCTCTAAGTAATTGTCTCTTATTCTGAATCTAGAGATTCAGAAACAGCGCCAATGTTTACACACGACTTTTGAAATTTTCCCAGGAGTCTTTCGTTGGAGCAATACATCTAGATGCCTTTTTCCAGCAACAGTTTAATCAAATTCTGGAAGCAGAAAAGTGTCCTGTGAGGACGTGCCTTTCCTATCAAAGTGCTGAGTGCCTGGACCCTCTTTCCGGAGGAAACAGTCCCCTCTGGACCTCGTTCGGCCTCTCTCCATCAGACACCCCAAGGTTCCATCCGAAGCAGGCGGAGCACCGAACGCACCCCGGGGTGGTCAGGGACCCCCATCCGTGCTGCCCCCTAGGAGCCCGCGCCTCTCCTCTGCGCCCCGCCTCTCGGGCCGCAACGTCGCGCGGTTCCTTTAACAGCGCGCTGGCAGGGTGTGGGAAGCAGGACCGCGTCCTCCCGCCCCCTCCCATCCGAGTTTCAGGTGAATTGGTCACCGAGGGAGGAGGCCGACACACCACACCTACACTCCCGCGTCCACCTCTCCCTCCCTGCTTCCTCTGGCGGAGGCGGCAGGAACCGAGAGCCAGGTCCAGAGCGCCGAGGAGCCGGTCTAGGACGCAGCAGGTGGGACTCGCGGCGCTGGCCCGCAGGCTTCCCGCACCCCCTTCCACGTTGGTGCGCATGCCCGGGGGCAGGGCCGGTTGTAGGGAGGAGGGAAAGGAGAGGGAGAAGGGGGAGGAGACGTCCCCAGCCCAGTCCCCGGCTGAGCGCTGGCGGTCGGTGCGGCGTCAGGTGCGCCCGCCAGGTGAGCGCGCTCCCTGGCACCGTTGGCCCCCGGAGGGTCGGGCCCAGTTGCGGCGAGCGGGTGAGTGTTGGGCGCGGCGTCAGGGGCGCACGGGAGCCCGAGGGTCCCCGTGGGGGGACCGCGGCGACTATGTTAGGGGAGGTGCCGGGGGGAGGACGCTCCGCGCTGGTTTCGGTGGCAGTTTCGTCCCCGAGCTGGGACTCGTGGGAACCAGAGAGGCGCGGGTCTGCGGAGAGAGCAGCACCGGCCAACTTGGGAGGCTGCCTCCTGGGGCGAGGGGTGGCTTGGAGCCGCCGATCAAGCTTTATTCCGCGGAAACGCTGAAAGCTAGCAGTGCCTCAGCGGCGCGGGCAACTTTTCACTTTTATGGGGCACGACATTCCTGAACAGCGACGATCCTGCATCCGCTCTGGGGCTGCAGTTTGGGGGGGCGGCCTTCATGGAGAGGGATCCTGCGCCCAGCTCCTTGGGGGTCCTAAGCCTGAGGCTGCAGCGAGGCGGCTGTTCGGCGGCCCGGGCGGCTTAGATCCCGGGGGGAATTTCATTCCTTCCGCTCCCACCCCACCCCTTTGGATATCCCGGGGAGACGGGGGCTGGATTCAATCTGTGAAATATTCCAGGAGTCACGGTGTGGGCCACACTGGCTACTTCGAATCCACTTGTTGCGAGTTGTGTGAACCCGCGTCGATTTAAGCTGGGGGGCGGGGAGTTAATTTCGAGTGAGGCTGGACTTCGAGGGAAGCTGCTCACGCTTCGGATTCTCATCCGTGACCAAAAGGGCTGCCCCCAGGGGGGCGGAACTGCCTCCGGGCGGTGCCTGCCCGGCGAACGTGGGCGCGCGCTGCCTGGGAGCGCCTCGGTGCGCACGGAAGCCGGGACCCGCGCCCAGCCGGGCCACGGAGTTTGGGGACCTCCGGGACTGGGCCGGCCCCGCGCGCCAGCCATGTTGCCTGCGTCGGAGGAAGCGTGCGGGGAGCAGGGGTCGAGGGCCAAGATGGCCTCTGCGCCTAGGGGTTGGGAGCGGCGCCGAGCCCCTCGCGCTCCTCGGGAAGCCACCGGGCCCGAGGGAAAAGCCGCGGCATCCTTAGGCCGGACCCGGGGCTCGCTGGCCACACTGCCCGCTTGGGGAATTACCCTGCTCGAGGAGGAGGCGGCGGCTTTCCAGGCCAGTCAGTGTGTGGCCCTTAGGCAACAGGTGTATTATTGGGATACCTGGAAAAGAGAAACGTTTCCCATGAAGGCACTTATGGTGTTTTTTGGTGATTCTTGGTGTGATAGAAAACTAGGCGTTCCCAAGTGTAACAATAGTAACAGTAGTTCTTTTGCACTGTACATATGAGGTGCTTGTGTGTGTGTGTGTGTGTGTTTTTCCGAGACGGAGTCTGGCTCTGTCCCCCAGTGCAGTGGCATCATCTGGGCTCACTGCAACCTCTGCCTCCCGGGTTCAAGCGATTCTCCTGCTCAGCCTCCCGAATAGCTGGGATTACAGGCACCCACTAGTATGCACAGCTAATTTTTGTATTTTTAGTAGAGACAGGGTTTTGCCATTTGGTCAGGCTGGTCTCGAACTCCTGACCTCAGGTGATTCGCCCGCCTTGGCCTCCCAAAGTGCTGGGATTACAGGCGTAAGCCACCACACCCAGCCTTTATGAATATTTTCTTAGTGGTGCTTTAAAATAGACATCTTAAGTGTGTGTGGGAGGCAGAGATATTTCCTCAAACAAAGCAACACTTTTTTTTTGGTCGTTTTGCAATTTATTTAGTTATTAGGGGCCTCCTTTGTTAGGTGACGGAGCAGAGGATAGGGAGATCGGTAAGACATGATTCTCCACCTTTTGGCAGTTTCCAGGCCATTTCGGGAAATAGTGGGCAGCAGTGCCTCCTGCACGTGAGGCACTGTGGTAAAAGCATTCTGTATTTTCTCATTTAATTATCCCAACAACTCTAAAAGGCAGGCCTTAGTAGAACTCCATTTTAAAAGTGGGCAAATGCCGTGGGGGAAACGTTGCAGGTGGGCTTGCTTGCAAACTGCTTCAGCTAATATGGGAAGGAGTATCAGAAGCAGCGGTCCTTGATATTCCAGAACCAGATTTGGGGAATTTTTCTGGACTTTTCTACCATTGACTAGTAACTGTAGCCTGATACAAGATTTCCCGCATTTTGCTTGATATCAAGGTAAAATTCTTGTTTTCTTCTAAAGGTAGTGTTGGAATTACTACCTTTTCAAAATAGTATATTACTTTTAACCACATAAATGATCTGATGTAATATCTTTCATCTTCCTAGGAACCTCCCAGAAGGAAGTTTTCTTCAGTTGCATTTTAAGGCTTATTTGATTGGAATATTAATGGATCTTTTTCATCAAATTACTATTTATGGAAATAAGAGAGTAAACAGACCATGCAGATTTATGTTAGGCTTTTTGTTTTAACCCCTAGGCTTGCCGCTGTTCCGTAACCCAGTGATTCCAGTCTTGGCTGTGGTATGAATCACTTAGGGATCCTATTAAAACACAGATTCTGATTGGGAGGTCAGGAGTGGGGCCTGGGATTCTGCCTTTCTAACAGGCTCACAGGTGATTCTCAGACTGTTCTGTCTTCTTTTTCTCCCTTTCTCTTAGACTCTACGCACTTAATTACATTTGACAAACTGAAGTTGGAAAAAATAACGTTTATTGAGTGTTGTGTGAAGAACTTCAAGGCATTCACTGCTGGATTGAAATCCCAACTCTAATAATTGACTGTTGGTTTTATTAATTGAGTACTCATTGACAATCACTTTGTGCCAGGGCTAGTTCCAGCGACCAGGGATATAAATGATGGTCAAAATAGACATTTGATGTCTGGGATATGGGCATTCCAGATGCGGTGGAGATGATACCTATATTTTAGGTATGAGGGCAGAGGGGAGTTTGCTCTGAAAAAAAAAACAAGTTTTGTGTGATGGAGTGAGGGACAGGGAGGGCATCTCCCAGAAGGTGACGTCTGAGCTGAGACCTGAACAGCAGGTGTCTGTTGTGTAAAAGATCTGGGCTTTCTAGACAGGAAATTGCAAGATCAATGTCCTTTTTGGATTGACACCTTTATTGTAGACAGCAATTCTCAAAATATGTGATGTGTTTAAAAATCACCTGGAAGATTTATTAAAAATACAATTTCTGACACAGAGTCTATTACAAAATCTGCCTAACTTCAAATTTTTAGACAATTTACTAATGATGTGCCTGTAGTCTAAATCATTTAATATAAGGCACAACTTAAACTTTTTTTTTTTTTTTTGAGACAGAGTCTCGCTGTCTCCCAGGCTGGAGTGCAGTGGCACGATCTTGGCTTACTGCAAGCTCCGCCTCCCGGGTTCACACCATTCTCCTGCCTCGGCCTCCCGAGTAGTTGGGACTACAGGCGCCTGCCACCATGCCCAGCTAATTTTTTGTATTTTTAATAGAGGCGGGGTTTCACTGTGTTAGCGGGGATGGTCTCGATCTCCTGACCTCGTGATCCTCCCGTCTCGGCCCCCCAAAGTGCTGGGATTACAGGCGTGAGCCACCGCGCCCGGCCACAACTTAAACTTTTTAAAGGCAAATTGACAGTTACTGCATGTGCTCTAAAAGGAACAGACTTCTCTTAAATACAATAAAGTTTATTTTTCACTTATTGACAGTTTTCTTTAAAGAATAATTTGAGGCCAAAGCATTTTCAGACTATTTTTTCTTTTTTTATACTTTTTTTTTTTTTTTTTTTTTAAGATAGATAACGGAGTCTTACTCTGTTGCCCAGCCTGATCTTGAAGTTCTGGGCTCAAACAATCCCTCTGCCTTGGCTTCCCAAAGTACTGGGATTACAAGTGTGAGCCACCTTGCCCAGCCTCAGCCTGTTTTTTTCATCTTAGCTTAGTTTTCCATTAAGACAGCTTTTGGTCAGTAAACATTGTCAAGGGGAGAACACTTTATATTTTATCATTAGCCCAAGATGCTGGTTTTCAGATTAACATATTTGACAAGGATCTATCTGCTGCTTCCCTTTTGCCCCCGACTCTAATTTAGCTGTCTGACTTCTGTCCTTGTCACTCTCCTGACATAAGTTCCTGTAGGTGATAAGTGGCCTCTTCATTCTCATTTTTTCCTTCACTCAACACATGTACAGATTGTTAATGTTGCTGTGCTGGGCATTGGTCCTCTTTCACCTTTGGCTGCTGGCCTTAAAGCACAGTCACAGATTCACTTTGAAAGAGACCTTAGAAGTCTTCCAGTCTGGTCTCCAAAAAAATATCAAATAACTTAAGCTTTGCATAAATTGCATGAGCTCAAATTGTTGTTAGTTATTTTCGGAGAGGGTGTGGGGTCAGGGTGAGGGAGAGGCTTCCTAACATTGAGATGAAATCAGCCTGTGGTTTTTGGAATTTTTTTTTTTTAACCATTTCTAGGATAACAAAGACAGCTCTTCATATATTTCAGGGCTGCTAAAGCGATTCTTCTGACGTTAAGTTCTCCAGGCCAAACATTTCCTGTTTTTCCAATCATTTGTCTTAAGACATGGTTTTTCTAGATTTTTTTTTTTTTTTTTTTTTGAGCCAGAGTCTCACTGTGTCGCCAGGCTGGAGTGCGGTGGCACAATCTTGGCTCACTGCAACCTCTGCCTCCTGGGTTCAAGCAATTCTCCTGCCTCAGCCTCCCAAGTAGCTGGGATTACAAGCACACACCACCATGCCCAACTAATTTTTGTATTTTTAGTAGAGACGAGGTTTCACCGTGTTGGCCAAGATGGTCTCGATCTCCTTGTGATCCACCCGCCTCGTCCTCCCAAAGTGCTGGGATTACAGGCGTGAGCCACGGTGCCTGGCCAGCTTTTCTAGATCTTTAATGATCTTAGTCACCCTCCTGGAGAGGCACATAGTTTAGAATGTGATGTACAAATCAGGTTTTGTTTGTTCTTTTTAATAGCATATTATTCCTAGATATGAGCACTATTTCTGTGAATAAAGTTTGGGATAGGTTGTTAGCTTTTGTTGAAATTCTTACCAAAGAAATGCACCTTTAAAAATGAACCACTTTGGGAGGCCGAGGCGGGCGGATCACGAGGTCAGGAGATCGAGACCATCCCGGCTAAAACGGTGAAACCCCGTCTCTACTAAAAATACAAAAAATTAGCCGGGCGTAGTGGCGGGCGCCTGTAGTCCCAGCTACTTGGGAGGCTGAGGCAGGAGAATGGCGTGAACCCGGGAGGCGGAGCTTGCAGTGAGCCGAGATCCCGCCACTGCACTCCAGCCTGGGCGACAGAGCGAGACTCCGTCTCAAAAAAAAAAAAGAACGATTATTAAATTAGTTCTCCTCTATACTGTACTATGGAATTGACTTTTTAAAAATTCAGTTTATGGCTGGGCATGGTGGCTCATGCCTGTAATCCCAGCACTTTGGGAGGCTGAGGTGGGTGGATCACCTGAGGTCAGGAGTTTGACACCAGCTTGGTTAACATGGTGAAACCCCGTTTCTACTAAAAATGCAAAAATTAGCCTGGCCTGGTGGCATGTGCCAGTAATCTCAGCTACTCAGGAGGCTGAGGTGGGAGAATTGCTTGAACCTGGGAGGTGGAGGTTGCATTGAGCCGAGATCACGCCATTGCATTCCAGGCTGGATGACAGAGCAAGACTCCTGTCTCAAAAAAAAAAAAAATCAGTTTACATTTTAAAAATGACTCATTTATGCCACCAATATAGTCACCCTTCAGTATCTGTGAGAGGTTGCTTCCAGGACCCCCATGATACTAAAATCTGAGGATGCTGAAGTCCTTGTTATAAAATAGCTTTGTATTTGCATATGGCCTAAATGCTCTTGTATACTTTTTTTTTTAATTGTTTTTTTGAGACAGAATCTCACTCCATCATCTAGGCTGGAGTGCAGTGATGCAATTTTGGCCCACTGCAAACTCTGCCTCCTGGGCTCAAGCGATTCTCCTGCCTCAGCCTCCTGAGTAGCTGGGATTACAGGCACCCGGCACAATCCCAGTTAATTTTTGTATTTTTAGTAGAGACAGGGTTTCACCATGTTGGCCAGGCTGGTCTCGAACTCCTGACCTCAAGTGATCCGCCCGTCTTGGGCTCCCAAAGAGCTGGAATTACAGGTGTGAGCCACTGCACCCAGACCTCTTGTAGACTTTAAATAATCTCTAGTTATAATACCGTATACAATGTAAATACTATGTAGAATTGTGATATTGTAGTTTTAAAAATCTATTTTTTGTTTTATTGTTTATTATTTTTTTAGACAGGGTATTACTGTTACTCAGGCTGGAGTATAGTGGCATGATCACTCCAGCCTCAACTTCCTCTGCTCAAGAGATCCTCCCATCTCAGTCTCTTGAGTAGCTGGAACTTACAGGGATGTGCCACCATGCCTGGCTAATTTTAAGAAAAATTTTTTGTGGAGATGGGGTCTTACTATGTTGCTGTGGTCAGTCTTGGACTCCTGGGTTCAAGTGATCTTCCTGCTTCAGCTTCCTAGAGTGTTGGGATTACAGGTGTGAGCCACTGTACCTGCCCTGTAATTTTTAATTTTTTTTTCCCCTGAATATTTTCTGTCTGAGGTTGGTTGAATCAGAATTTAAAACCCATGGATGTGGAGGGTCAGCTGTATTTGAAAATGGATACAATATACCTAAGTGCCTAAGCACTGAAATTTCTTACTTTCAGGATAACCACCTTATGATGAATGCAGTTGCCCATTTTCTTGAAGACTTTTTCTTGTGGTTTTTTTCTTTCTTTTTTTTTTGAGCCGGAGTCTCGCTCCGTCGCCAGGCTGGAGTGCAGTGGCGTGACCTCAGCTCACTGCAACCTCCTCCTCCTGGATTCAAGCGATTCTCCTGCCTCAGCCTCCTGAGTAGCTGGGGCTACAGGCGCGCGCCACCAAGCCCAGCTAATTTTTGTATTTTTTTAGTAGAGACAGGGTTTCACTATGTTGACCAGGATGGTCTTGATCTCTTGACCTCGTGATCCACCCGCCTCGGCCTCCCAAAGTGCTGGGATCACAGGCGTGAACCACTGCGCCCAGCTCTTTAAGACTTTTTCTTATCCCAGTGCAGAGGTCAGGATTATTCCCGCATTTGAGTGCACTTAGAGGAGATAAGGAATTTGTCTCAGATTGCGAGCCAGTAAATGGGGGCTGTTAAAACCACTAGGTTGTTTCAAACTCATCATTCTGACATTACAGAGATCTTGCTTAGTGTTGATGGCCCTAGCCAATGGGTTAGTTATCCTTTCCAGTGTGTTTGGTCAGCTGCAAATCTGGATAAGCGTGTCTCCTCCACTTTGTCTGTGTTTACCAGTGGAGACCTCCCACCAGGTGGACATAAATGGTTCATTCTTTTGTGCTAATTGGGTGC
The DNA here is from genome assembly GCF_000001405.40 of Homo sapiens. NCBI lineage: Eukaryota > Metazoa > Chordata > Mammalia > Primates > Hominidae > Homo > Homo sapiens. Next base: position 69,500,214 of record NC_000005.10, read on the forward strand.
CGTAATCCAGCCCCTTGGGAATCTGCCCACCCACACAAGGATGTGCTCAAGATTTTCAGGATTCTTTCTCTCTGCATTCCCTGAAGAGGAAATAATAAAGGAGAAAATAAAATCCACCAGTTTGGTAACCTTCCCAGAAAAGGAAATGAAGTTGGTGTGGCATGACTTGTTCTTAACGAGCTTTCTTTTCTTTTTTTTTTTTTTGAGACGGAGTTTTGCTCTTTTTGCCCAGGCTGGAGTGCAATGGCGCAATACTGGCTCACTGCGAACTCCGCCTCCCAGGTTCAAGCAATTCTGCTACCTCAGCCTCCCAAGTAGCTGGGTTTACAGGCATGCACCACCACGCCCCTCTAATTTTTTGTATTTTTAGTAGAGATAGGGTTTCACCACATTGGTCAGCTGGTCTTGAACTCCAGACCTCATGTGATCCACCTGCCTCGGCCTCCCAAAGTGCTGGGATTACAGGCATGAGCCACATGATTTGGTTCACAATTTAAAATCCGTGCTTTTGGGGAGACGTGACAACTCTGAATCCTGGAAATAGCAGTTTGAAAAGGGATCTTGTTTGAATTTTTGACAACTTAAGACTGAGTCTGGATTAATTTAGAGTTTCCAAAACTACCACTGAACCTAGAATTTGGGGATATTTGACATTCAGCTTCAGAACTAGGATCCCACATTTAATAGTGCTTAACTTCAGATTTTCTGTTTTACTTTTTTTTTTTAAAGGAGTCTTGCTCTGTCACCCACGCTGGAGTGCAGTGGCACAATCTTGGCTCACTGCAACCTCCACCTCGGGCTCAAGCGATTCTCATGCCTCAGTTTCTCAAGTAGCTGGGATTACAGGCACGTGCCACCATGCCCAGCTAATTTTTGTATTTTTAGTAGAGACGGGGTTTTGCCATGATGGCCAGGCTGGTCTCGAACTCCTGACCTAGGGTGATCCACCTGTCTCCACCTCCCAAGTGCTGGAATTACAGGTGTGAGCCACCTCACCTGGCCTAAATTCAGTATTCCTTAATGTTCTTTTTCTGAAGACAATCTGGACTTTTGCCTTTTTATAGTACCATAACATTTTCGCCTAAATTGCTCATTTGTATGTGTGTTTCACCATTACTAGAATATAGAGAAATTGGCCAGGTGTATTGGCTCATGCCTGTAATCCCAGTACTTTGGGAGGCCAAGGCAGGTGGATAGCTTGAGCTCAGGGGTTTGAGACCAGCCTGGGCAACATGGTGAAACCTTATCTCTACTAAAAATACAAAAATTAGCCAGGCGTGGTGGCATGTGCCTGTAGTCCAGCTACTTGTGAGGCTGAGGCAGGAGGATTGCTTGAGCCTGGGAGGCAGGTTGTAGTGAGCTGAGATGATGGCACTGCATTTCATCCTGGGCAACAGAATGAGACCTTGTCTCAAAAGAAAAAAAAAAAAAGTATAGAGAAATTGACTTGAGTGCTAGTTACAGGGCTGTGTACACTTATGATTTGTGCACTTTTCTCTATGGTATACTTTAAAAGTGGCTTTTAAAAATGTAGAAAAGTCATCTTCCTTCATGTCTTTGGAAAATTATGCTAATTGTGTTGGTGTTATTAACATTCTATATATTTCCATCTTTGAGGATTTATCTAATACATAGTTGGGCAGGGTTTAATTCTGAGAGATTTGAAATACACTGTCCTAAAGGGTATAGAAGAGAGTTGCCAGGTGGGGCGTGGTGGCTCATGCCTGTAATCCCAGCACTTTGGGAGGCCAAGGAGGGCAGATTGCCTGAGCTCAGGAGTTTGACACCAGACTGTGCAACATGGTGAAACCCCATCTTTACTAAAAATACAAACAATTAGCCGGGCGTGGCAGCGTGCGCCTGTAGTCCCAGCTACTCGGGAGGCTGAGGCAGGAGAATCGCTTGAAGCCGGGAGGCGGAGATTGCAGTGAGCTGAGATCATGCCATTGCATTCCATCCTGGTGACAGAGCGAGACTCGGCTCAAAAAAAAAAAAAAGAGTTGCCATTAATTTAAAAAAAAGTTTTAAGAGTCTGAATTGATGTACTGTTGTTAATATATTAATGTATGATTGTACAGACCGTATTAGAAAAGGAAAAAAAATCAGATACTTTAATGTACTCATTATAGATGTTACTCAAGTGTCATTCAGGGATCATACCTTTTAAAGTTACTCTGATACTTTTCCGTTACCTTCAACTTGAAAGCACAAGAGGTTTTGCAGGCAGAGATATCCATGGTCCAATCTGGTTCCTGTAAACATTCAACAAATTATCTGGACGTCTACTATGTGCCAGGCATTGATTTAATCAGTGAACAAAACATGCAAAAATTCCTGCTCACATGGAATTTACCTTCCAGTAGATCTCAAAGTTCCCTACTCTACTAATCACTGGTATAACCTGGAAAGAATTTATTGTTGGTTCAACATAGCTAAGGAGTGGCATGAAGTTCTGTAGCTGATGTGGGAAGTACCTTGCCAGTGTCTCCAGCACTGGGTTTTCTAGAATAATCCTCAAGCTTTATAGGTTAGGGGGTTGTGTGTTTACCACATCTTGCTGAGACTTGTCTTTTTCCTGGAGAGCTCTCAGTGCCCATGGATCCACCTACGGACGTAGGCAGATGACCTCCATCTTCACTTCCTCATGGATGCTAACACCAGATGTGCACTCCCCACAAAAACTGGTGTTTCCCAAATGGAACTCATTGTTTCAAACTAGCATAGTGAAAAGCACATGAAATCATCTGGGTTCAAGTTACATCTGAGTGACTCACTGACATCCATATAACCTTGAGCATATTACTTCACATCTCTTTCTGACCCTCTTTGCATCTGTAAAGTGACTAATCAACCATGGAGGGTCGTTTTGAGGATGAAAGGAGGTTTTATGTAAAGCACCCAGCACGTCGGTAGGTGTCTGATGAATGTTAGTTTCCTTCCTATCTTCTGTCTCCTAAGCTAGTCCTTCATTGTTGCCTCACACCTAGGTTTGCTGCTGCTGACTGTAGGTGCTCCTTTTTACTGTTGACTTTGTCTTTCAAATCTGGTTCAAATCAAACTTACACCTCCCTTGCCGAGAATCACGAACTGGCTCCCTGTTTCCTACCTGAAGGAAGTGAGACACTCCCACTAGACTTTCAAAGCCCTCCCTTTTCTTACTCATCCTCCATCCACTATATTCTTACTGTAACCTTATTTTAAAAGATGACACCATTCCACCATGCTCCCACTTCACTGTTCCATAAGCTAGCCACCTGTGTTATCAGCACCACACCAGCCTGGAAGAGCCAGGACCCCAGCGCTGGCTGTCATACGTCACTCCCACAGGCTCTCCTGGTCTAGTGTAGGCACTTAATAAATGCTTGTTGAGTGAAATTTCTCCTCAGATGTTTAGGAACTTGTGCTGAAGAATTTTAGGACAAAATTTCAGAAAATGACCAATTAATACCATGCATATTGTTTTTTCTCCCCTTGTATAAAAATTGTGCTCAGTTTCGAAGACTTGGAAAAGGAGATAAGGGAAAAATATCTACAATTCCACCATTTATAGATGCATTTTATTATCATTTTTAATGATAAAGGCATTTAACCCATTAGATGGTTACTTTGCATTGAGGAGCTAGTATGTGCTAGTGCGGCTATATGTGCACTTTCTTATACATTCTCATTTAATATGAACTTTCAAAAGTAATATGAAATTATATATATTTCAAATTTTTGTACAAAAAATACAGGAATTAGCCAGGCATGGTGGTGCAGGTCTGTAGTCCTAGCTACTTGGGAGGCTGAGGTAGGAGGAGTACTTGAGCCTGGTAGATCAAGGCTGCAGTGAGCTGTGATTGGACCACTGCACTCCAGCCTGGGTGACAGGGTGAGACCCTGTCTCGGGGTGGGGGTGGGATGAAGAAAAGAAAGAAACTGTGAGCTTAGTAGTAATGCCATAACTCTACTTTTGTTGCTTAGATTGGTTTATCTTGGAAGCTAAAGGGCATTGCTCATCCTGAAGATCAGCTGACCATTGACAATCAGCCATGTCATCCAGGCCTCTTGAAAGTCCACCTCCTTACAGGCCTGATGAATTGTAAGTAAATAATTCTTTAGTTATTCTCTTTTAAAAAGTCTATCACATGTAAACAATAAGTATGGTTGAAACTTTAAGTGTTTGCTTTTAAAAATAAAACGATATGTGTACTTGTAAATTTAAATTGTATCAAAGGGTCTGCACTGAAAACTGAATTTCTCTCAACTTTCAGAATGACAGTTTGTCTCTGCTAGGACAACTGCTGTCACCTATTCCTAATGTTTGTTTCAAGAGATTGCCAAGGTTTATATTTGTATGTTCCTTTTTGTTTTGTACAAATGATAATGAAGCTTCCATTTAAATGCCTCATTTAGGTGGCCATTGGGAACATATTGTCAGTTTTTAAAAATAACAGCTTTAGGCCGGGTGCGGTGGCTCACGCCTGTAATCCCAGCACCTTGGGAGGCCGAGGCTGGCGGATCACAAGGTCAAGAGATCGAGACCATCCTGGCCAACATGGTGAACTCCCGTCTCTACTAAAAATACAAAAATTAGCTGGCTGTGGTGGCGCGCACCTCTAATCCCAGCTACTTGCCTGTAATCCCAGCTACTTGGGAGGCTGAGGCAGGAGATTCACTTGAACCCAGGAGGTGGAGGTTGCAGTGAGCCGAGATCACGCCACTGCACTCCAGCCTAGAGACAGAGCGAGACTCCGTCTGAAAAAAAGAAAAAAGGCCAGGCCTGGTGGCTCATGCCTGTAATCCCAGCACTTTGGGAGGCCGAGGCGGGTGGATCACCTGAGGTCGGGAGTTTAAGACCATCCTGACCAACGTGGAGAAACCCCCATCTCTACTGAAAATACAAAATTAGCCGGGCATGGTGATGCATGCCTATAATTGCAGCTATTTGGGAGGCTGAGACAGGAGAATCGCTTGAACCCAGGAGGCGGAGGTTGAGGTGAGCTGAGATGGCGCCATTGCACTCTAGACTGGGTGACAAGAGCAAAACTCCGTCTCAAAAAATAAATAAATAAATAAAAATAACAGCTTTATTGAGATATAATTAACATACTTTACAATTTACCCATTTAGAATGGATAGTTTAATGGTTTTTAGTATATTCACAGAGTTGTAGAACCATCACCACAATTAATTTTAGAACATTTCATTACTCTCCAAAGAAACCTATCCATTGGCAGTCACCTCCCAGTTCCATCAGCCCTAAGCAACTATTGGTCTACTTTCTGTCTCTATAGATTTGTCTATTCTGCATATTTTGTATAAATGGAGAAATCACGTAATATGTGGCCTTTTGTAACTGGCTTCTTTCACTTAGCATAATACTTTCCATACTGTCAGTTTTAAGAGTGATTCCTGCCATGATCTAAAACAAGCAGTGTTGAGGGGTTTTGGGCTCCTTGGTCATGTGAAGACTTATCAGTGAATTTTTGAATTCCAAATTTGCTATCAAACATTGATAGGGATTTCCTCCTCTAAGTAGTTTGCAGCTTTAACCATGATAAGTGTAGTGGAGTGTGATATAGGCAAAAACAAACAGTTTCTCCTGCTGTTCTGTCACAACACATCTGTGACCTCTGATCACCAGAATTTGTGGGGATATTTCCCCACCAGCAACCAAGTAATCAGTTCTACAGTGGACAATAGCTGTGTGTCCTCTAATTATCAGTTCAATTCTGACACTGTCAGAGATAGCATCAGATCACAGGTTCAGGGCTCATTCCCACAAGACTGCCCCCACTTCACGTAGCAGCCACAAGCTCAGGTTGTGGCCTGTGTTTCTGACCCACCTACAGTAAATCAGGATTCCCACAGTTGTCTCCTTGGGTGCAATTAATTTGCTAAAGTGGCTTGCAGAACTCAGGGAAACAGTACTTACCATTACTGGTTTATTATAAAGGGTATTACAAAAGCCAGGTGTGGTGGTGCATGCCTGTTATCCCAGCTACTCAGAAGGCTGAGGCAGGAGGATTGCTTGAGCCCAGGAGTTTGAGGCCAGCCTGGGCAACATAGGGAAACCCTGTCTTTTAAGAATGAATGAATGAATGAACAAACAAATGATATTACAATGGATGCCAACAAACACCAGATGAAGAGGTGGACAGGGCGAGGTATGTGGGAAGCAGCCCTCCCTGGTTGTGCCACCCTCCAGGAACTTGCACATGTTCAGCTGTCCAGAAGTTCTGTGAATTCGGTCCTTTTGGGTTTTTATGGAAGCTTTATGACATAGGCATGATTGACTAAATCATTGGCCATTGGTGAGCAGTTTAAGCTTCAGCCCCTCTTTCCTGTCCAGAGAGGGTTGGGGCTGAAAAGTTCCAACCCTCTAATCCTAGCTCCCATCCTGAAGCTTCCTAGGGCTGCCAGGAACCTATCATCTCATTAGCATATAAGGGATACTTATCACTTTGGAGAGTCCAAAGATTTTAGGAGTTGTATGCCAGAAAATGGAGATGAAGACTAAATACATATTTTACAATATCACGTGAAGGTTGTGTTCCAGTTCTTTAACCTCCTTACTAGTGCCTAAAACATGGTGGGGACACAAGTTGTTTATGACAATACAGTTTTTAAAACATACTAGAGAATATAGTAATTGAGTAATGCACCACTAATCTGACACTTATTTTGTGTTGCTTTTGTAAATAATGGTGAACTGCAACATACATAAAGAAAAGGACACAGAACATATGTAGGAGATCATGAGGAAAGACCAAGCAAACATACATACTCATCACCCAGGTCAAGAAACAGAACACTTCAAAGTCCTTCCCTGTGTCCTCTCCTTTTCTCTGGAGACCACTGTCCTGACGTATGATCATTACCTGCTTTTATCATTTTATCATCTTGTATATCCTAAACATTTCAGTTTAGTTTTACCTGTTTTATTTATTTATTTTTGAGACAGACTCTCACTTTGTTGCCCAGGCTGGAGTGCAGTGGCACAATCTTGGCTCACTGCAACCTCCACTTCCTGGATTCAAGCAATTCTCCTGCCTCAGCCTCCCAAGTAGATGGGATTACAGGTAACCACCACAATGCACAACCAATTTTTATGCTTTTAGTAGAGACGGGGTTTCGCCATGTTGGCCAGGCTGGTCTCAAATTCCTGACCTCAGGTGACCCGCCCACCTCCTAAAGTGCTGGGATTATAGGTGTGAGCCACCACATCTGGCCAGTTTTACCTGTTTTAAAACTTTATGTAAATATAATAATGCGATATGTATTTTTTCATTTTTTTCAGCATTACCTGTAACTGCATGTATTCATAGTTCATCAGTTTTGGCTTCATAGCACTGTAGAAATATAACATGAGCCATATATGTAATTTTATACTTTCATTAAAAATAAAAAGATAATTTTTTTTTTTTAAGACAGAGTTTTGCTCTTTTTGCCCAGGCTGGAGTGCAATGGCACGGTCTCGGCTTACTGCAACCTCCACCTCCTGGGTTCAAGTGATTCTCCTGCCTCAGCCTCCCAAGTAGCTGGGATTACAAGCACACACCACCACGCCCAACTAGTTTTTGTATTTTCAGTAGAGATGGGGTTTCACCAGGATAGCCAGGCCGGTCTCGAACTCCTGACCTCAGGTGATCCACCCGCCTCGGCCTCCCAGAGTGCTGGGATTACAGGCGTGAGCCACCGTGCCTGGCCAAAAGAAGAAATTAATTTTAATATATTTCACTTAATCTTGTATATCTAAAACATTACTTCATCACGTGATTGATGTAAAAAATGAATGATTCAGGAAATATTTTACATTCTTTCTTCATATTATATCTTTGAAATCCATTGTGCATTTTTAAATTTTTTTGCCCTGTCACCCAGGCTGGAGTGCAGTGGGTGTGATCGCAGCTCACTGCAACCTCTGCCTCCTGGGTTCAAGGGATTCTTGATTTTCGTGCCTCAGCCTCCCAAGTAAGTGGGATTACAGGCATGTGTCACCATGCCTGGCTAATTTTTGTATTTTTAGTAGAGATAGGGTTTTACCATGTTCTCCAGGCTGGTCTCAAACTCCTGGCCTCAAGTGATCTGCCCACCTCAGACTCTCCACTGTGCATTTTAACAGCGTATCTCAGTTTGGACTAGCCACATTTCTTTTTTTTTGAGACGGAGTCTTGCTCTGTCACTCAGGGTAGAGTGCAATGGCACGATCTCGGCTCACTGCAACCTCCACCTCCCGGGTTCAAGCAATTCTCGTGCCTCAGCCTCCTGAGTAGCTGGGATTACAGGCGCATGCCACCACGTCTGGCTAATTTTTGTATTTTTAGTAGAGATGGGGTTTCACCATGTTGGCCAGGCTGGTCTTGAACCCCTGACCTCAAGTGATCCACCCGCCTTGGCCTCCCAAAGTGCTGGGATTACAGACATGAGCCACCGTGCCCAGCCGGACTAGATACATTTCAAGTGTATGATAGACCCAAGTGGCTAGTGGCTGCCACATTGGACAGTATAGCTATGGAGTATTCCATTGTATGGATATATTACAGTTACCCATTCCACTGTAGGTAATTGGTACAATCACTTTGGAAAACAGTTTGATACTGTCTAGTGAAGTTGAAGATATAAAAATATGTGATCCAGAAATTCTCCTGGTTATATACCCTAGAAAAATAAGTACTGTTCCGTACCAGAATACACATTCAAGGATGTTTATAGTTAAACTGTTTACAATACCCCCAAACAGAGATAACCCAAATGTCTGAGCAGAATGGGTTGTGGCTAGAGGCCAATAATCTTATGTTTTAACAAGCCCTCCAGGTGATTCCTGTGCACAGATAAGCTTTAGTTTCATTTACCCAATGGTTTAAATTATTCCAAATAAGTTGTGTTCTTTCTGCTTACTACCAAAAAATGCTAACTTGAAATTATTTTCATGTTCATTTCAGCAAACCGAATCATTATGCACCAAGCAATGACATATATGGTGGAGAGATGCATGTTCGACCAATGCTCTCTCAGCCAGCCTACTCTTTTTACCCAGAAGATGAAATTCTTCACTTCTACAAATGGACCTCTCCTCCAGGAGTGATTCGGATCCTGTCTATGCTCATTATTGTGATGTGCATTGCCATCTTTGCCTGTGTGGCCTCCACGCTTGCCTGGGACAGAGGCTATGGAACTTCCCTTTTAGGAGGTAGTGTAGGCTACCCTTATGGAGGAAGTGGCTTTGGTAGCTACGGAAGTGGCTATGGCTATGGCTATGGTTATGGCTATGGCTACGGAGGCTATACAGACCCAAGAGCAGCAAAGGGCTTCATGTTGGCCATGGCTGCCTTTTGTTTCATTGCCGCGTTGGTGATCTTTGTTACCAGTGTTATAAGATCTGAAATGTCCAGAACAAGAAGATACTACTTAAGTGTGATAATAGTGAGTGCTATCCTGGGCATCATGGTGTTTATTGCCACAATTGTCTATATAATGGGAGTGAACCCAACTGCTCAGTCTTCTGGATCTCTATATGGTTCACAAATATATGCCCTCTGCAACCAATTTTATACACCTGCAGCTACTGGACTCTACGTGGATCAGTATTTGTATCACTACTGTGTTGTGGATCCCCAGGAGGTATGAGTGGTGTTTTGGGTTTTTTCTCCATCTCCTTAGCAGAGGCCTTCAACTTGAGATATGTGATAGAATCACTCTGGAAACTCTTAAAAAATATTGATGACAAGGCTCCACTTCTAATTAAATCTGGGGGAGGGGCTGAGTCTCATTAAGATATGATTAACATACCATGTAATTTGATTACTTAAATAACAGTTCAGTGGTTTTTAATATATTCACAGAATTGTGCCACCATCACCACAATCAATTTTAGAACATTTTCACTATCCTAAAAAGAAACTTGTACCCGTTAGCGGTCACTCCTCATTTCCCTAACCATTCTTAGCCCTAGGCAACCACTAATCCTACATCTATAAATTTGTCTATTCTCTAGGTATTTCATATAAATGGAATCACACAATGTGGTCTTTGTGATGGGCTTCTTTTACGTAGCATAATGTTTTTAAGGTTTACCCATGTCATAGCTTGTGCCATTCTCTCATTCCTTTTTATTGCTAATATTCCAGTGTGTGGATAAACCACATTTTATTTATCAGTTGATAGACATTTGTGTCTACATTGGCTATTAAGAATCATGCTAGACTGGGCACGGTGGCTCATGCTTGTAATCCCAGCACTTTGGGAGGCTGAGGCGGGCGGATCATGAGGTCAGGAGATTGTGACCATCCTCGCTAATAAGGTGAAACCCCGTCTCTACTAAAAATACAAAAAAAATTAGCTGGGCATGGTGGCAGGCACCTGTAGTCCCAGCTACTCGGGAGGCTCAGGCAGAAGAAATGGCGTGAACCCGGGAGGCGGAGCTTGCAGTGAGCTGAGATTGCGCCACTGCACTCCAGCCTGAGCGACAGAGCAAGACTCCATCTCAAAAAAAAAGAATCATGCTATAGACATTCTTGTATACGTTTTTGTGTGAACCTATGTTTTAATGATTTCTTGAGTTGGGTTATACCTAGGGGTGGAATTGCTGGGTCATATGGTGACTCTTTAATCTTTTGGGGAGCTACCAGAGTTTTTCCAAAGAGTTTGCATCATTTTACATTCACATCAGAAATGTATGAAAGTTCCAATTTCTCCACATCCTCACCAACACTTGTTATTGTCTGATTCTAGCCATGCTGATGGGTGAGAAGTGAAGTGGTGCTTTATTGTGATTTTGATTCGTATTTTCTTTATAGCTAATGTTATTAGCTATATAGTCATGTACTTATTGGCCATTTCTCTCTTATCTTTGGAGAAATGGCTGTTTAGACTTGTCCATTTTTTTTTTCTTTTTGAGACGGAGTCTTGCTCTATCGCCCAGGCTGGAGTGCAGTGGTGTGATCTTTGCTCACTGTGAGCTACGCCTCCTGGGTTCACACCATTCTCCTGCCTCAGCCTCCTGAATAGCTGGGACTACAGGCACCGGCCACCACGCCCAGCTAATTTTTTTTTTTTTTTGTATTTTTAGTAGAGATGGGGTTTCACCGTGTTAGCCACGATGGTCTCTATCTTCTGACCTCGTGATCCGCCCGCCTCGGCCTCCAAAGTGCTGGGATTACAGGTGTGAGCCACTGTGCCCGGCCTAGACTTGCCCATGTTTTAATTGGGCTATTTTTGTTGTTGTTTTGTTTTTGAGACAGAGTCTCACTGTCACCCAGGCTGGGGTGCAGTGGTGCAGTCACAGCTCACTGCATCCTTGACCTCCTGGGCTCAAGTGACCCTCCTACCTCAGTCTCCTGAGTAGCTAGGACCACAGGGGCATGCCACCACACCCGGATAATTTTTTAAAAAATTTTTTGTAGAGACAGGGTCTCACTTTGTTGCCCGGTCTGGGCTGGAACTCCTGGGCTCAAGTGATCCTGCCTTGGCCTTCCAAACCGCTGGGATTATAGGCATCTTTTCACTTTCTTGATGGTGTCCTTTGCATAAAAGCTTTTAGTTTTGGGCCGGGCATGGTAGCTCACGCCTGTAATCCCAGCACTTTGGAAGGCCAAGGTGGGCGGATCACCTGAGGTCAGGAGTTCGAGACCAGCCTGGCCAACATGGTGAAACTCCATCTCTACTAAAAATAGAAAAATTACCTGGACACGGTGGCGTGCCTGTAATCCCAGCTACTCAGTAGGCTGAGGCAGGAGAATCACTTGAACCCAGGAGGTGGAGGTTGCAGTGAGCTGAAATTGTGCCACTGCACTCCAGCCTAGACAACAAGAGCAAAACTCTGTCTCAAAAAAAAAAAAAAAAAAAAAATTTTTAGTTTTGATGATGTCCAGTTTATTTAATTTTTCTTCTGTTGCTTGTATTTTTGGTGTCATATCTAATGCTTTGCCTAATTCAGGGTCACAAGGATTTACTCCTATGTTTTCTATTATTTAATTTTTCTATAGTTTCATAATTTTAGCTTTTACAGTTAGGTCTGTGATTCATGTTGTGTTAATTTTGGGCATGATGGAAGCAAGGGTTCTGAAAGCTTTCGCATGTTTATATGCAGTTGTCTCAGTGTTACTTGTTGAAAGGACTGTTCCTCCACTAAGTTTTCTTCATGCCTTTGTCAAAAATGAATTGATCATAAATGTGGACATTTATTTCTGGGCTCTCAGTTCAGCTGCATTAATCATATGTCCTAATGCCAGTACCATACTGTCTTGATTACTGTAACTTTATAGTAAGTTTTGAAATTGTGGAGTGGGAGTTCTCCAACTTTGTTCTTCAAGACTGTTTTGGCTAGATTCTGGATTCCTTGCATTTCCATATGGATTTTAAGATCAGCATGTCAATTTTGGAAAAAAATGCCAGCTAGGATTTTGAAGGGTTATATTGAATCTGTAGGTCAATTTTGGATGTATTGTCATCTTTACAATTACAAGTCTTCTGATTCATGAACGTAAGATTCTTTTGATTTATGTAGGTCTTGTTAAACTTCTTTTAATAGTGTTTTATAGTTTTCAGAGTGTAAGTTAGTATGTTTAAAAGCTAAGCAAGTGATTCAAATGTGCAGGTTGGAGTTGAGAAACCTACTTTAGTAACCATGAGTCATACTGATTATATTAATATCTGAAATGTTTCTGAGTTACTGATCTTTTTTCCCTTGTTTTTCCTTTTTTCTTACACTAACTCAGGAGTTCCCATTCCTGAATGAGTCACTCCTTTGGAGTTAGACCTCTAGTATCTGTCTACCATTATTTAGAAGACTGAAGGTTTTCCCTGCAGACGTAGGTTTTCACAGTGCTCGTTGTTGCCATTTAGACATGTCCATGGTAGATAGGGACTGAGGGTTGGTACTCCTATCCTACCACACCCCTATCCCTCTTAGTTCTCTTACTACTTACTCTTTGAAAAATGATGTCACTGTCAAGACAGCTGGAAGGAGAGCCTCTTGTTCCCATTAGCAGACATCCAGGGTAGAGGCCTGATATTTCCCTCAACTTCAAGTGCCTCCCAGGCCAATATACCATTTAATATCCTATCACCACTGGGAGAACTGTTAAGAGTAGGAAGTTTCTTTGTTACAGGGCCCTTTCTAGTAGTATGCAAGACTCCTGAAACAGAGAAACCTGCCAGACCAAATCAATCATTAGTCAATTTGCTATTTATAGCTTGATTAGATCCATGTCTTCATCATTTTTGGTAAGATAGAGATCTATGGACAGAAATTTACATTCAGTGTAAAAAGGCTTGCCAAGCATATGTTTTGAACAAGATTACAAGCATGATTGGCTATTTCAAAGCTGTGAATACTTTTGAGAGTAGCATTTTTCAGGCCCTTTAGAAGTATACCAATGATTGAGTTACTTTACTGGCCATTCTCGTAGGTGCACAAAGCTTGGCCCGTAGGTGTACAAGCTTTGGAACTAGTTTTTTACAGCTCTGAAATGAGGGTGATGATTGATAGTTCCTAACATTAGGCATTTTCTGAGGATTGAGTCAAGCAGTATGTACGTGTGTGTACATTTGCTGGCCTTAGCCCAGTTAGTGTGGGTTAGGTTTTATGATATGTCTGAAATGTAACTATTTGCTTCAGTTTTCTATCAATTAAACCACATGGATTTAGTAGGGCCTTAGGGTAGATAAGGGTTTTAATAATATGTAGAGGGTGAATTGTGATTAAGCAATTAAAATCTAATTATGCCAATATTTTCCACTCCTTTTTAGGCCATTGCCATTGTACTGGGGTTCATGATTATTGTGGCTTTTGCTTTAATAATTTTCTTTGCTGTGAAAACTCGAAGAAAGATGGACAGGTATGACAAGTCCAATATTTTGTGGGACAAGGAACACATTTATGATGAGCAGCCCCCCAATGTCGAGGAGTGGGTAAGTGTTAAAAAATAACTTTACATCTTTTATTAAAGCCCCAAATTTGTGTCTGAATTTTTAGTGCTTTGTTAAACTTTATTCTTAGAATTAATGTTTGTATATGTTGCAAAGGTTGTTGCATTGGTTTTTACTCAGAATTTTAAGAGGATGGGCTAAGTGGAAATGGTTTTACTAAAAGGTGAAAATCAGATTTCCATTTTCAAGGAGTGAATCTTGGTTTTGAAAAGAAATGGCTTCTAAAAAAATCATGCAGAAAGAACTTGGCCTTTGCAAAACAAAAACTACTTCTTCCCTCTACTCCCTTTTATTTTTCTGCTTATCATTTTGGAGATAAACAGAAACCATTGCCAAAGGTGCTCTCGTGGGTCAAGATTGGCAAGAGTGTTTTTGGAATAGCAGGTGGCAGGCCTTTTAAACTTTTTTTTTTTTTTATTGATCATTCTTGGGTGTTTCTCACAGAGGGGGATTTGGCAGGGTCATAGGACAATAGTGGAGGGAGGGTCAGCAGATAAACAAGTGAACAAAGGTCTCTGGTTTTCCTATGCAGAGGACCCTGCGGCCTTCTGCAGTGTTTGTGTCCCTGGGTACTTGAGATTAGGGAGTGGTGATGACTCTTAACGAGCATACTGCCTTCAAGCATCTGTTTAACAAAGCACATCTTGCACCACTCTTAATCCATTTAACCCTGAGTGGACACAGCACATGTTTCAGAGAGCACAGGGTTGGGGGTAGGGTCACCGATCAACAGGATCACAAGGCAGAAGAATTTTTCTTAGTACAGAACAAAATGAAAAGTCTCCCGTGTCTACCACTTTCTACACAGACATGGCAACCATCCGATTTCTCAATCCTTTCCCCGCCTTTCCCCCCTTTCTATTCCACAAAACCGCCATTGTCATCATGGCCCTTTCTCAATGAGCTGTTGGGTACACCTCCCAGACGGGGTGGTGGCTGGGCAGAGGGGCTCCTCACTTCCCAGTAGGGGCGGCCGGGCAGAGGCGCCCCTCACCTCCTGGACCGGGCGGCTGGCCGGGCGGGGGGCTGACCCCCCCACCTCCCTCCCGGACGGGGCGGCTGGCCGGGCAGAGGGGCTCCTCACTTCCCAGTAGGGGCGGCCGGGCAGAGGCGCCCCTAACCTCCCGGATGGGGCGGCTGGCCGGGCGGGGGGCTGACCCCCCCACCTCCTTCCCGGATGGGGCGGCTGGCCGGGCAGAGGGGCTCCTCACTTCCCAGTAGGGGCGGCCGGGCAGAGGGGCCCCTCACCTCCCAGACAGGGCGGCTGGCCGGGCAGGGGGCTGACCCCCCTACCTCCCTCCCAGACGGGGCGGCTGGCCGGGCAGAGGGGCTCCTCACTTCCCAGTAGGGGCGGCCGGGCAGAGGCGCCCCTCACCTCCCGGACGGGGCGGCTGGCCGGGCGGGGGGCTGACCCCCCCCCACCTCCCTCCCGGACGGGGCGGCTGGCCGGGCGGGGGGCTGACCCCCCCACCTCCCTCCCGGACGGGGCGGCTGGCCGGGCGGGGGGCTGACCCCCCCACCTCCCTCCCGGATGGGGTAGCTGCCGGGCAGAGACGCTCCTCACTTCCCAGACAGAGTGGCTGCCGGGCGGAGGGGCTCCTCACTTCTCATATGGGGCGGTTGCCAGGCGGAGGGTCTCCTCACTTCTCAGACGGGGCGGCTGGGCAGAGACGCTCCTCACCTCCCAGACGGGGTCGCGGCTGGGTAGAGGCGCTCCTCACATCCCAGACGGGGTGGCGGGGCAGAGGCGCTCCCCACATCTTAGACGATGGGCGGCCGGGCAGAGACGCTCCTCACTTCCTAGATGGCATGGGGGCCGGGAAGAGGCGCTCCTCACTTCCTAGATGGGATGGCGGCCGGGCAGAGACGCTCCTCACTTTCCAGACTGGGTAGCCAGGCAGAGGGGCTCCTCACGTCCCAGACGATGGGCGGCCAGGCAGAGACGCTCCTCACTTCCCAGACGGGGTGGCGGCCGGGCAGAGGCTGCAATCTTGGCACTTTGGGAGGCCAAGGCAGGCGGCTGGGAGGTGGAGGTTGTAGCGAGCCGAGATCACGCCACTGCACTCCAGCCTGGGCACCATTGAGCACTGAGTGAACCAGACTCCGTCTGCAATCCCGGCACCTTGGGAGGCCGAGGCTGGCGGATCAGTCGCAGTTCGGAGCTGGAGACCAGCCCGGCCAACACAGCGAAACCCCGTCTCCACCAAAAAAATAAGAAAACCAGTCAGGCGTGGTGGCGCGCGCCTGCAATCGCAGGCACTCGGCAGGCTGAGGCAGGAGAATCAGGCAGGGAGGCTGCAGTGAGCCGAGATGGCAGCAGTACAGTCCAGCTTCGGCTCGGCATCAGTGGGAGACCGTGGAAAGAGAGGGAGAGGGAGACCGTGGGGAGAGGGAGAGGGGGGAGAGGGAGAGGGCAAAACTTTTGACATAGATAACAGCATGACAAACCACAGTGACTAATTCTGAGTTAACATTATGAAATACTTCAGTGAGGCAAAGACAGATTAGAAAAATTTCCTTTTAAAAATATATACTATTAATCTTACCAAGCTTCCTATATGATGTGATTTGCTGAAAGCCTGGAAAGTTCCTCTTTAAAGATGCCTCCCAAATGAGTGTTAGTAAACTGTTTTTAGAGCTTTTTAGAGGCCAGGTGTGGTGGCTCACACTTGGAATCCCAGCACTTAGGGAGGCCAAGGTGGAAGGATCACTTGAGTCCAGGAGTTTGAGAACAACCTAGGCAACATAATGGGACCCTGTCTCTACAAAAAATAAAAAAAAAATTAGCTGGGCATGATGATGTATGCCTGTAGTCCCAGCTACTCAGGAGGCTGAGGTGATAGAATCACTGGAGCATGGGAGGTTGAAGCTGCAGTGAGCTGTTATTCTGCCACTGGCACTCTTGCCTGGATGGCAGAGTGAGACCCTGTCTCGGAAAAAAATAAAAATGAAAAGATGTTTGGAGTGAAACTTTTTCTAAGAAATCCTGTTAGGGTCCTGTTAGAAGCTACCTCAGAAACTGACATCACAGGGTTCTTTGAGCAGATTGATTTATTGTCATGAAGGTATGGCCACAGGTTCCCAGGAAGGTTTATTTTGGCCACTGGGAGTGGGGTGGCTAAAGATGGATGCTGGCTGCTGCTAGTCAGGTCTGGGGTAAAGACATTAATATATATATATATATATATTTTTTTTTTTTTTGAGACGGCTTCTGGCTCTGTCGTTCAGGCTGGAGTACAGTGGTGCAATATTGGCTCACTGCAACCTCCGCCTCCCGGGTTCAAGAGATTCTCCTGCCTTGGCCTCCCGAGTAGCTAGGACTATAGGTGCATACCACCATGCCTGACTAATTTTTTTGTATTTTTAGGAGAGATGGGGTTTCACCACGTTGGCCAGGCTGGTCTCGAACTCCTGACCTCAAGTGATCTGCCTGCCTTGGCCTCCCAAAGTGCTGGGATTATAGGCAAGACAATATCTTGAAGGCTTAGCTCTAACATTCTGTAAGTCTGATTTTTAAGGAAATCTAGGAAGATAGATGAAATTTTTTTCTGGTTAATTAAGGAGCAAAAATGAAGCAGTCTTAGGAAAGCCAGGAAGGCTGTGGTATGTATTCACCACTGAGACGATAGTTCTTATGTCCCTGCCCTTGACTTGAAGCCCTGTTTTTTTTTTCCCTCACTTTAAAGTGTGAAGGTGTTAGGAAGTGTTTTCTTTCGACATTTACCTCCAGGCAAGGCCACTTGTAGCTGGAATAGGACAGGTCTATATTATGAGCTATGAAGTAAATGTTTCGCTGAGAGTTTCTGGGTGTGTTAGTTTTCGTTGGCAGTTAGATTTGTTTACTTAAGGTTTCAAGAGGCTTAAAAACAACAAACCCGACTCAAGGGAGACCAATGCCAGTAATATTAGAGTCCCAGTGAACTTTGGCCTCTCATCTGATTTTACTGTCATGAAGGTTTAATCAGTTCTAGTTGCTTTTGATAATTTGGCAAAAGATAGCTGTTGTAACTTATGGAGGTGATGATGATTAAGGTGAAAGAACTACTTAGCTTTTAAGAAGGTATTATTTTAATAAAATTCCTCCTTGAACCTCTGGAAATTTGATAGCCTGTGGGTTGTTGCATGTGGACTTCATTGTTTCTCTCTAGTAACAAGTATTTTCATTGTATGTAAAAGAATTGTCTGTTGAATAGCAGATATATGATTTTGCCCAAACTAATGTTTTATGTGATTCTTAACCAGAGGCAAATTCCTCATTTCTTTTCCTCTGCCCTTCAGTTTTTTGAACTGAAATGCCTCAGAAAGCCTATTTAAAATAAATTATTTGGAGGTGGTTTAACCACAGATATTTTGCCTTTCTTTCTATTCTCCCCTCACCTGCCCAAGTTCATGTCGCGGAATTCAATACCACGTTCTCATTATTTCCTTAATTGATGGAACAGGCAGATGTAGCCTGTTACTCTCATTTCTGCCTGATTAGTTTCACCCTGATAATGTGGCCATCGCTGTGGAATTGTGTCATCCTGCATCTAAACTGTTCACAGTGGAGTAGATTAGGGAGTTTTCTTCCTTTTGGTCATGAGAAATTAATATCAAAACAATCTCTACTTAAAATAGTGGATGAGAATCTAGAATTAACTACTTGCACTAAAGGAGAATTAAAATTTGGGTTTGATTGATTGCAAAGAGCTGAGACAGGTTACTCCCCATATAGCTAATAATGGCTGATTCGGGGGGAAAAGAAAAACTCATGTCTGTAATCCCAGTACTTGCGAGGCCAAGGAGGATCACTTGAGCCCAGGAGTTTAAGACCATCTGGGGCAAGAAGGCAAGACCCTATCTCTACAAAAAATTTAAAAAATTAGCCGGACGTGGGCACAGGTGCCTGTAGTCCCAGCTGCTTGGGAAGCTGAAGTGGGAGGATTGCTGGAGCCTGGGAGGTCAAGGCTGCAGTGAGGCATGATCTCGCCACTGCACTCCAGCCTGGGTGACAGAGTGAGACCCTGTCTCAAAAAAGCAAAACAAAAAAGTACTACAGTAACAATTAGCTACTCAATATTAGTTTAATCCCTCCCTACAGATTGGGGTCGGTCTAGAATTTTATTATGTTACTAAATCTTACTGACTTCCTTCTTGGATTTTTAGCATCTTCAGGATTATAACACGCCTCCTGCCCTCCCACCTCTCAGAGCAGAGGGTAGTCAAAAGCTGTGCCTTCAGTGTTTAAAACAAGTTTTATCCCTTTTGTATAATCTGTGAGAAAATTTAGAGTTTTATAATTCCCTGTCCCTGTTGGCTCAACACAGTGGTTTCTCTGCCCTTCTTAGGGCTTTTTTTCCCCCTTCCTTTTTCTGGATATCTTGTTCCTTGTAAAATAAACAGCTCATGTTTGCACGCTGCTTGGTTTTTAACCTGGTCTTTTATAGTCACTCAGATGGATACCAGTTTGTATTTTAAATGTTTTAAGATTTGTTTAATTAAACTTTGCAGGTCTTTGTTTTGTTCTGCCCTCAAATTTCAGATCTGATTTTTTTAATTAAATATTTTATTTGGTTAAGTATGGATGATTTGGAAAATACAGTGAAGTGCAGTCATTCCTTGGTATACTCAGGTGGTTGGTTCCGGGACCCCCATGTATACCCAAATCCATGCATATTCAAGTCCTGTAGTCGGTGGAACCCATGTGTATGAAAAATTGGCCCTCTGGATACCTGGGTTTTGCATTCCGCCAATACTGTTTTCCATCTATGTTTAGTTGAAAAAAATCCACGTATATGTGGACCCATGCAGTTCAAACCTGGTTGTTCAAGGGCCAACTGTATAAAGTAATTTTTGTTTGTTTGTTTGTTTTTGAGACAGTCTCGCTCTGTTGCCAGGCTGGAGTGCGATGGCACGATCTCAGCTCATTGCAGCCTCCCGCTTCCAGGTTCAAGTGATTCTCCTGCCTCAGCCTTCCGAGTATCTGGGATTACAGGTGCCTGCCACCATGTGCAGCTACTTTTTGTATGTTTAGTAGAGATGGGGTTTTGTCATGTTGGCCAGGCTGGTCTCAAACTTCTGACCTCAGGTGATCTGCCTGCCTCGGCCTCCCAAAGTGCTAGGATTATAGGCGTCAGCCACCATGCCTGGCCTGTATAAAGAAAATTATGTCAACTTAAGTTACCACTATGGGGTACTTTTTTTTTTTTTTTGAGATGGAGTCTTGCTCTGTTGCCCAGGCTGGAGCGCAGTGGCACTATCTCGGCTCACTGCAACCTCTGTCTCCTGGGTTCAAGCGATTCTCCTGCCTCAGCCTCCCAAGTAGCTGGGATTACAGGCGCCTGCCACTGTGCCCGGCTAATTTTTGTATTTTTAGTAGAGACGGGGTTTCACCATCTTGGCCAGGCTGGCCTCAAACTTCTGACTACGTGATCCTCTGCCTCCCAAAGTGCTGGGATTACAGGCGTGAGCCACCATGCCTGGCCTGGGGTACTTTCTTTAATCATCTTTTTCCTTTCCTATTTCTTATTCTAAATTGGAAGTATGCTCATACTCCCTTAAATTTTTTTTTTTACTTTTGTTATTATTTATTTAGAGACAGGGTGTAGCTCTGTCACCCGTGTTGGAGTGCAGTGGTACAGTCATAGCTCACTGCAGCCTCAAACTTGTTAATATTTGTAAAATACTTAGTATAATACCTTGCACATGGTAAATAATGTAATGTTGTTACTTTTAATAATTTGGTGGGATTTTTGTTTTGAGATGGAGTCTCGCTCTGTCACCCAGGCTGGAGTGCAATGGCGCAATCTCAGCTCACTACAATCTCCACTTCCTGGATTCAAGTGATTCTCCTGCCTCAGCCTCCTGAGTAGCTGGGATTACAGGCACATGCCACCACGTCTAGCTAATTTTTGTACTTTTAGTAGAGATGGGGTTTCACCACGTTGGTCGAACTCCTGACCTCAGGCGATCCACCCGCGTCGGCCTCCCAAAGTGCTGGGATTACAGGCATGAGCCACCGTGCCTAGCCAATTTATTTTAAACCCAAAAATTGGTGTTATTTTAAAACCAAAAATAGGATCATAATGTACACGTTGTATGCAGTTTGCTTTTTTAAAAACTTTGTTTTGTGAACATCTTTCCAAGTCTGTCAGCACATAGACCTAATTGCTCTTGGCAGCTGGGTGGTATTTCATAGTATGAGTATACGATGATTCATTCTCCTATTTATGGACATTTTAATTGTGTTCAGTTGTTTACTATTACAGATAACGCTGCAGTGAACATTCTCTCACATGTCTTTATGCACTCTTGCTAGTGTTTGTGTAAGATAAATTTCTAGAACTAGTCATTGAGTGTGCACACTTAAAATTTTACTAGGTTAGCTGGGCATGGTAGCTCGACTCTAGTCCCAGCTACTCGGGAGGATGAGACAGAAGGATCTCTTGAGCTCAAGAGTTGAGGCTGCAGTGAGCTATGGTTGTGTCACTGTACTCCAGCTTAGGCAATAGAGCAAGACCCCTATCTCTTGAAAAAAAGCATTTTACAAGGGATTACCAAGTTGCATTGTTTTTGAAAGCTCTGCAGATTCTACTAACCCTGATGGTATATGAAATTGCTCAGTTCCCAACATTTTTTTCTGTTCTGGTTATTATCTGTCATTAATTTTTGTTAATCCAGTAAGTAAAAATAAAGTTTCATTTTCAAAATTTGGTGATTAAGCATATGCTTATTTCCTATTCTTCATCACTTGACATCTTCATAGCATGGCTTAGTTTTCCGTGATTGTTCGTTCTTTCCTGACTAGAGTTTTTTATATTATGGATATTAATATTTTGTCTTATTGATGATAACTTCTCCCACATTATTGTGGTCTTTCATCTTTGTCTACAGTGTTTTTTTGTTTGTTTTAAGAGAGAGGGTCTCACTATGTTACCCAGGCTCGTTTTGAACTCCTGGCCTCAAGTGATCCTTGTGCCTTGGCCTCCCAAAGTGTTGGGATTGTAGGCATTTGCCACCATGCCCAGACTTCTTATTTTTTTATGTACTTATATTTCCTGTCTCTTTATGGCCTCTACATATCTTTGTTCCTAGAGAGTTTTACACCCCCTTCAAGGTTTAAATAATACCCTCCTGTAGTTTCGTTGGTATTTTAAAGTTTTATTTTTTTTACCCCATGTGTACTAAATGTGTGCAGAGGGTTGAGTTAAACATATGTCAGTCCTTGGTACATTTTAACATCCTTGATTGGTGTAATGTTCCTCTCTCATATTTCTTGTTTTTATTTTCGCCCAACCTAGACCTTTAAGATCACCAGAAGCTTTAGACCACCAGAAACATATTTTTTTAAACAGCTTTATTGAGGTACAATTTATATACCATACATTGTCATCACCCATTAAAAATTTACAGTGATTTTTAGCAAACTTAGAAGTGTCGTGCACCCAATCCAGTTTTTGTGTTTTTGTTTTTGTTTTTAACATCCAGGATATACACTGGACCACCCCCCTTGTTTTTTAAGATAAATGTTTCATTTTAGAATAGTTTTATTAATAGATTTACAGAAAAGTTGCAATTATAGTATGATGGATTTCTGTATACCACGGCACTCAGTTTTCCCTTTTATTTTTTTTTTTCTTGAGGCAAGGTCTCACTCTGTTGCCCAGGCTGGAGTGCAATGGCGCAATCATAGCTTACTACAGCCTTGACTGCTGGGCTCAAGCAGTCCTCCCACCTCAGCCTCCCAAGTAGCTGGGACTACAGACATGTGCCGCTATGCCTGGCTGACTTTTTTTTTTTTAAAGTAGAGACAGAGTTCGCTATGTCGCCCAGGCTATTCTTGAACTCCTGAACTCATGCAGTTCTCCTGCCTTGGCCTCCCAAACTGCTGGGATTACAGGTGTGAGCCACTACCCACAGTGCAGCTAGTTGTCCCTATTGTTAACATCCTACATTAGTGTGGTGCATTTGTCACCACTAATGGACCAATATTGATATTTACTATTTACCAAATGTCATAACTTTATTCATATTGAGATGCTTGTTTTTTATTATAGTATGAGATAAACACTAACTTAATTTTGTTCCCAAATGGTCAACTTGAATAATACTGAAATTGTGTTTTCTGAAATTTTACAATTTTTGGTGAAAGTTGAGTCTTTTGATTATTCTTCCTTTTTTGAACACATTTTGGCCAGCATAATTGTGTAAAAGGGGGCTATTAAGCCATTTTCTAACAGTATATGATAATATTTTTAGAGAATAGACAAAATTGATGTTTACGTTAAATTTGGTTTTATATTAACAGAAAGCATTTTCATCCACATGCCTGGGGTCACATATGGGTGACAAAGCCAGGATTAGAACCCTAACTGAGCATTTCCATGCCAGTAGATTCTTAGGAAAAACCTTAATGATTACCTTTTTTTTTTTTTTTAATTATTTTTTGAGATGAAGTCTTGCTCTGTCACACAGGCTAGAGTGCAGTGGCATGATCTCGGCTCACTGCAACCTCCACCTCCCGGGTTCAAGCGATTCTCCTGCCTCAGCCTCCTAAGTAGCTGGGATTACAGGCATGTGTCACCACACCCAGCTAATTTTTGTATTTTTAGTAGACATGGGGTTTTGCCACGTTGGCCAGGCTGGTCTCAAACTCCTGACCTCAGGTGATCCACCCGCCTCAGCCTCCCAAAGTGCTGGGGTTACAGGTGTAAGCCACCGTGCCCGGCCAATGATTACCTTTTTAAAAACTGGACTTTAAGGCTGAGCACAGTGGCTGACACTTGTAATCCCAGCACTTTGGGAGACCAAGGTGCGTAGATCAGTTGAGGTCAGGAGTTTGAGACCATCCTGGCCAACATGGTGAAACCCTGTCTCTACTGAAAATACAAAAATTAGCTGGGCCTGGTGGCGCATGCCTGTAGTCCCAGCTACTCTGGAGGCTGAGGTGGGAAATCACCTGAACCTGGGAGGTGGAGGTTGCAGTGAGCCGAGATGTGCCACTGCACTTCAGGCTGGGTGACAAAGTGAGACTCTGTCTCTAAAAACAAAAACTGGACTTCAGGTGCACAGAAATAGATTAATTCAATTCTTAGTTTATGACATTATCACCTTTAGTCCATGCATAGCATTCCTGGTACATTTATTGTTTCATAATGAACACCTGCAGATCTACCATCCCACCTAATAATTACAATACATTACTAAGTTACATTATACATTTTTTACTCTCTCATCTACTTGCTTCTACCTGCCCCCAGAGGTAGCCTATCTAGAATTTTGAGTTTATTATAATTTGCTTTTTAAGTTTTTACCTGCATACATGTATAACTTAGCAACATGATTTTGTTTTGGGTGTTTTTTAACTTTGTAGAAGGTGTACCTGCATGTAGTGTCTTGGCATTTGCCTTTTTACGCAGAGTTAGGTTATAGATTAATACATGTTGATGGAGTTGAAGTCCATCTGATGTCGCCATTGTCTGGTCCTCTATTTTATCACATTTCACAGCAGTTTATCCAGTTTCCTTTTAATGGGGTTTTGGATTATTAAGACCATTACAACTGCCATGAACATTTTTATTTTTTATTTATTTATTTTTAAGATAGTGTCTTGCTCTGTTGCCTGGGCTGGAATGTAGTGGCATGATCTTGGCTCACTGTAACCTCCGCCTCCCGGGTTCAAGCAATTTTCCCACTTCAGCCTCCCAAGTAGCTGGGATTATAGGCGTATGCCACCACACCTGGCTAATTTTTGTATTTTTAGTAGAGACAGGGTTTTGCCATGTTGGCCAGGCTGGTCTCAAACTCCTGACCTCAAGTGATCCACCTGCCTTGGCCTCCCAAAGTTCTGGGATTACAGGTGTGAGTGTAATCCCGTGAATCCCGCCTGGCCCCATGAACATTTTTAAATCACCTATACTTGTGAACATTTCTCTTGGCTATGTACCTAAGAGTGGAACTTCTGGGATGCAGCGTTTGTGAGTGTACATTTCTTTCTTTTCTTTTCTTTTTTTTTTTGAGACAGGGTCTCGCTCTGTCACCCAGGCTGGAGTGCAGTGGTGCGATCTCGGCTCACTGCGAGCTCCACCTCCCGGGTTGACGCCATTCTCCTGCCTCAGCCTCCTGAGTAGCTGGGACTACAGGTGCCCGCCACCACACCCAGCTAATTTTTTGTATTTTTAGTCTAGACGGGGTTTCGCCATGTTAGCCAGGATGGTCTCGATCTCCTGACCTCATGATCCGCCCGCCTCAGCCTCCCAAAGTGCTGGGATTACAGGCGTGAGCCACCGTGCCTGGCCTGTGAGTGTACATTTCTATAAGACAATGTCAAATTATTTTTCATATATAATCTAAACCAGCAACTCTTGGTGGTGTTAGACTTTATAATATTTTCCAGTCAAACGTGTAAAAGTGTATCAGTGTTGTCTTGGTTTATATTTCTTCTGAACATGTCATGTTTATTGGCCTAATGTGTTTTCTCTTCTACTTTTTACCTTTTGGCAATTGCTGAGGTGGCAAAACTCAACCAGTTTCTCTGATACTCTTGATTTTTATAAGAGTTTTTATGGGGTAAAGGTCAACTTTTTATGAGGCATAGTCCTGAGGAAGTATAGTCTATTGCGTGATCATTAGTGTCCTTTTCACAAATGACTAACCCTTTATAGATATGACAAGCCAAAGTGCCTTCTCTCCTTTAGGGAAAGATGTGTTCCTTCCCTTTTCCATTGTGTTGATGGTATGATAGAGGTCCTTCTCAGGGCTGAGAATCAACTAATGTTTCCACTGTGATAAAAGTAGGTACCCTCAGCTGTTCTCATGCCGAGTGAACCTTCTCACCGTTTTTCTAGGTTATTTTATGACACCTGGACCAGAAAACCAGGCACTGTCAGGTTTGAGCATCACTGTAGGCAAAAGAGACCCTTAACTTGTAGGTCTTTACGAGGTACAGTGGTCTGCAACATAGAAGAGAATTGTGTCTACGTCAGTAGTTCTCAAACTTTTGCAGGCAACAGAATCACCTGGAGGGCTCATTGAAACAGCCCACTCACTCCCACCCTGGAGTTTATGATGTGTGCGCTAGGCCTGGCTGGGGCCTAGGTCGGTAATATTAATGTAGCTGGTCTGGAGACCATATTTCGAGAACCACTATTTTATAGATTCAAGCTGCAACCATTAAACTGTAAGCAAGTTATCATTACATCATGGCATACTTGGAAAATGGTGACTTAGTACAAAATACTGGAGTAAACTGAGGGGGATCTGGAACTGCAGATGATTGGCTCACAGGCTGGGCGACCAAAGACATCCTGGCACACCTGTTGAAAAACTCTGGCATGAGGTACAGGTATATTTAACAGTCTTCACAGGGATTTTTGTTTAAGTAAGGGGCCTTGAATGAGATCATTGGTAAGCCTCACTGAGTACAAGGTTTTTCTACCTCATCCCCTTCCAGAGCTCTAATAACTTATTGACTCTCAGGGAATTTCAGAATTTACCTTTGGTGGTGTCAACCTAAAGATTGACACAATTATAAATTTAGAAAGGATCTCCAGCTGTGAAAGAAAAAAGTAGAAAGGAGACTATTTATTATAAAGGGTTACAACCTGTAAGGTGGCCATCCTTGACAGTCTTGGAAGCGTAGCTTCTGGCAGACACTGAAAGGCACTTAGAAGGAGATGGAGTTGGGACAAGAGCTTAATGCTGAACAGGTTGGCCATACATTCCTATTCAACAGGTTATAGGAGGAGCTATGAATATCCGTGAATGGGGTCCTGATGCATGCGTAATGAACAAACATTCGTGTTACATACATCCCATGTTCACTTTGGGGTGGAGACTTAACATTTAAATGTATTACAATTAGGCCCTGTACATCAAAAGGTGAAGCAGGGGCCAGGCGCGGTGGCTCACACCTGTAATCCTAGCACTTTGGGAGGCCGAGGCGGGCGGATCACCTGAGGTCAGGAGTTCGAGACAAGCTGGCCAACATGGTGAAACTCCTTCTCTTCTAAAAATATAAAAATTAGCTGGGTGTGGTGGTGGGCGCCTGCAATCCCAGCTACTCAGGAGGCTGAGGCAGGGGAATTGCTTGAACCCAGGAGACGGTGGTTGCAGTGAGCCGACACAGTGCCACTGCACTCCAGCCTGGGTAACAGAGTGAGACTTCGTCTCAAAAAAAAAAAAAAGGTGAAGCAGGAACACAAGGCACTCACGTGCAGCCTCTGCAAGCTGGCCAGAACCATTCCACGGCTGCTAGTCTCTGATCAGGAGAAAGTTACTGAAATCAGTTTCTTGTCCAGTCAAAGCTGTATGGCTTGTGGAACAGGGGTCAGTCAGTATCTGTTGGTGGATGAGCTGCAGTTGTTTTCTTTTTGTATTTTTTTGTAAGTTTTTATTTTTAATTTTTGTGGGTACATAGTAGGCTTACGCAATTGCTTTAATCTTGCTTATCTTGAGGCCAGTGCTTGTTTGGCTGCTGGAGAAAAAGAGCAACCTTATGGTGGTTAGAACATAGTGTATGGTTAGGACAAATGTAGGGGTGTGGGATTTAACCCTTGTCTGGCATGGCCTTAGGTCTTATTTATAATTTGGTGTTTTATTGCCACAAAGAGTCTATTTCTATCAGTCTTGATGATCTCTATGTTAACATGAATGCTGGTCAGCTGTGTCTGAACCGCAGAAGGGAGGGAGTAAATGAGTTGTGTCTGACCTCCCATTCTGTCATGGCCAGGAACTCAGTTAAGATTTCTCTGGGGCACTCTTGGCCAAAAGGGGGTCTTCTCGGTTGGGGGCTTAGGATTTTATTTATAGTTCTCATTGGTCTATATTATTACTGTTTCTTTGGACAGCGTGCAGTTGGGTAGGGGCAATTTGTTTTCTAAATCCTAAATGCCATCTGAGCAAGGTAAAATAACCAGACATGTTCAAACCTGGTCCACGATCTCATTATTTGTGGGATTAGTAGATGTGGGACCGTCTGCCTTCAAGTGACCAAAGGTGGAGAAAAGTCTAAGAGAACTTTCCAGTCGATTTTGAAGCTTTTATTTGGGGGAGTATCTGAGGGTGTAAAATATCAAAAAACAGGAAAAACGAGTTAGACCACTTACTGTTGAGAACCTGTAGTACAAGGGCATAGGGCTGAGGAGGGTGGAATGGGCAGGTTGTAAACCTGGAGATGATCCTTAAGATTAAGATGCTCCTCCCTCTGATGCCTGAGGTATATCTCCACTTTAATCACCAAGCTGGGAAAATCCTACTCTTTCCTTTTTGAGAGAGGTGTTCCTAAACGCTGACCTAAACAAAGGCATGAAACATACTCATAATAATTTTGCATCAATAGCTGCTCTTACAAAGTTAAACTAATAGGCAAATAAAGCTTTTCAAAATGGGGAGGAGTTTAAGACAATGAGAATGGTCTCCTTTGTTACAAAGACCAGTCAAAATACCCATCCAAGATGGGTACTTCAAGCCATGTTTGAATTCTTGAGGTGGCAGTTTTTTATGCCAGAAAGAGCTGAGCTTTGGAGCTAGATGGACCAGGGTTCAAATCTCCCCTCTGCTACTTTACCTTCTCTGTGACTTTGAGCAAGTTAATTTAACTGTAGAAACTCAATTTCCTCATCTGAAAATAGAGATAATTGTATCTCCTTGGGTGGCGGTGAGAATAAACGAAGTCGGGTTTGCCTGGCACATGCTGAATACTCAACAGGTGAACTTCCCTTTCCTTCTTAGAGGTAGATGGCTTTTGCACATTGCTAGACCACATGGGTGCAGGTCTAGCCTGACTCTCTCCCATGTGTGAACTAGGGATGAAATTAGGGCGAGGAGAAAAATGAGGATTAGCTATAATTGCATATAATTTGCATATATTTTGCTTTTACTAACTCCAAATGAAATATGAAATTGATCTAAGTGGGGATAAGTGTTTTCCCCGATCTTTGTTTTGGAGGAGAGAAGATTTTCTTTCAAAGTGACCTAGAACATTCCTTCTTGACCTTTTTATTCCTTCTCTGACTTCAGGGAGTCAGGGTGGGGAAGGTGGGACCAACATGATGGTGTAGACCCATCTTACTCTCAGGTGAGGAAGAATCACGGTAGGTATTTGGAGAAGAGCACCTGAGCTGCTCTAAAGGAGAGCTGCCCTGTTTGTTTTCCTGTTGGCATCCCACAGGGGTTTAGGATGTTTTCATTAACTCTCCAAGGAGTGTTAGATGTTGTTTGTCACAAAGAATTTTTTCACAAGTGACATAATCAGAACACTTCTAATGAGTACAATTAAGCTTTGAATAAAAATTTATCCTCATAATTACCTCTTGTGAAGATCTTTTAAAATAATATTTCATTTTGCTATTTCGGAAATAAATTCTTTCTTGATTGGAATAAGAATCTTAATAAAATTTCCCTGCATATTCCCTAAATTAATAATTCATACTCCTTAAGCATGTTCAGTGTGAGTGCTTGTCCTTTTTGAATGTAATTTCAAGAGTAAGTCTGAGTTACTTTGTTGTTTTTTTCTTTTTTTTGAGATGGAATCTGTCACCCAGGCTGGAGTACAGTGGTGCAATCTCGGCACACTGCAACCTCCATCTCCCGGGTTCAAGTGATTCTTCTGCCTCAGCCACCAAGTAGCTGGGATTACGGGCGTGCGTCACCATGCCTGGCTAATTTTTGTATTTTTAGTAGAGATGGGGTTTCACCTTGTTTGCCAGGCTGGTCTCGAACTCCCGACTTCAGGTGATCCCTCCTGCCTCAGCCTCCCAAAGTGCTGGGATTACAGGCATGAGCTACCGCACCTGGCCTAGAGAAATCTTTGATTTGTGTTTTCATCCTGCTTTCTTCTGTCCTTAATTTCTTAGAGATATCCTCAAGTTACTTAAGGGAAAATTGTTACAAAGACACTTTGCTGTTTAGAATTATGCCTAGCTGGTTTTCTCAAGTACTCATTCTTTAAAAGTGAGATGTAGTGGTGTGACCCTGTAGTCCCAGCTACTCGGGAGGCTAGGGTAGGAGGATTGCATGAGTCCAGGAGTTCAAGTCCAGCTTGGGCAACATAGCAAGGCCTCATCTCTTAAGAAAAAAAAATCTTACTGTGAAAATTAAAATATTTTTCTTTTCCTTTTTAAGAGAACTTTAACTACATCATTGAGTTTTATGAGCTGACTGGGGCATTCTGTCAGTAATAACAGTGAAATTCAGAAGTCATTTCTCTCATAATAGGAAATACAGGTTGGGGACTCCTTGTAGAAATGAGCACCTGTTCACTTTGTATTGCCCCCTCCAACCCCCTTCTACTTTCCTACTGTCCTTCAAAAGCCGCAGATACTGGGTTTATACTTACTTGGCATTGGTACCATTAAGTGGGTTAGAGGAAAAAATATTTTAGCCTTTTTTCAGGAAAATTGCAGTGTAAAGAGGAAAAAAAATGATCGTACTCCTTGTTTTTCAAATATATTTTGCCTTTGCCTCTAGACTGTTGGAGTCTGGCATCAGCTGGCTCAGGATTTAAAAAAAAAAATGGAATGTTTCATGAATTTGGGTGCTGTTCTTGCCCAAAGGCCATGCTAATCTTTCCTGTATTGTTCAACTTTATATATGTGCTGCTGAAGGGAGCACTGCCTTGGAATTTATTATGCATGTGTATAGAAAAGGTTTAATCAGAGATCTTTGCTGAAGGGTGGAGTCAGTGGTCAAGCTAGTCCAGTTCTGCTGATGCTAAGAGAGAAAGGTCAGCTCAGTGTGCCTCATTGATAAAATACTTGGGTATACAGTGTAGAAATAGAACAGTTATCAATGAGGTAAACTTTATGCAGCAAACTTGGGGCTCCCGATTTGTGCCAGACACTGTGTGGTCCTTTGGAGACTCGAAGAGGAAAGCAGGAAACTGCCCGCCCTTGCATTTTCTACATCTAGGTTCTTGGGAAAGTTGTCTAACTGCCTGAGCCACAGCTTCCTCATTTCTGGAAAAGGAACGATATTTGCCTGTAAATCCATGCCTACAAAATGATCTGTCACTTCAATATTTGGCTAATTGTAAGCAGTCAGATAGTGGTGGCTTAAGCCCAGTCCGCTGCCTACTGAAGTGAGATAGGTGAGCAAGCCATTGTTCGGCAGTGCATAAGCGATTTGGTGGGAGGTTTGTATGCACAGGTGTAGGGAGATAGCACAGGTTGGTGCCTCATCCAGGAGGGGCTTGTATGAGGAGGAGGTGGTGGCACATGAGCCAAGAATTGAAACCCAATTAAGGAATAGCTGGCAAAAGGGGAAGGGCATTTTAGCCAGTAAGAAATCTCTGAAAAGATACACAGACTCTGCTAAAGCTCACGCTGTGAGGAGGAGGTGGGACCTAGAGAAGTATAAAATGGGTTTTTAAGCAAAGGAAGGATTTTTAAATTCTGATAAGGTATTGGATTAAGAATAGGCTTTGGTTTGGTGAAGCATTTGCCTGTGAAGCTTGGCAACTTCTGTTGTAAACTTTTGTTGTAAGGAATTCTGTGGGAACCAAGAGTGCTTCCCTCCCTTCCCTCCTGTGGTGGGGTCTGAGCACACTCCGTGGCAACCCACCCACTGGTTTCGCAGTTGCTGCCAAATTCCACTTTCAGAGGGAAATGATTCTATTCCTTTCTGTCTCTGAATGTTAAACAATCAAGAATACCCCTATGTACTTTGAGGGGTAGGTAAATATCTTTCTGTATGTGATACTGCCTGGATACGTCAGGAGAGTGCATCTCATGTTTTAATGTAATGCTACTAAGAATGGGAAACTTAAGATGTAAGGAATATGTATTGCAGAAGATACACTGCATTGAAGCTGAACCTAATTGTAAGGCTTTATAATAGCAAAATAATCCAAATAAAGGTCTTCTGCCACCTCCAAATTCTTGTAAAAATTATTTGATCAGATCAAGTGGCCTTAATTCCAAAATCCAGCATCTTTTGAATTTTTACTGTGTTTAAAGGCACTGTAGTAAATGTGATACCTTGTCACCTCATTTAATCATCAAAATAACTTTATGTACTAGGTAGTTTTCTCCTTTTTTTTTTCTTTTTTTCTTTTTCAGATGAAAACTAAGGCTTTATAGAATTTGTGGTTGGCAGACCTGGGGTGAGCCCAGATAATCTGATGCTATTGGTTGTGTTTGTATGTATTTGAGACAGGGTCTCATTCTGACACCCAGGCTGGAGTGCAGTGGCACAATCAGAGCTCACTGCAGCCTCCACCTCTCAGTCTCAAGAGGTCTTCCCATCTCAGCCTCCCGAGTAGCTGGCACTACAAGCACACGTACCAAACCCTAAAATGCCATTGATCCTATCACAAAGCTAGAGCGGTTCTACCCTTTTGAATAGCAGCTCTTTTTCACAGAAATATCTGTAGATTTATTTTGATTTTTTTCCCACACTTTATTTCTATTCCTTTGCCTTAAAACAACTAAATGATTCATCTAGGATTAGCACTTGTTTGAGGTCTTTGGTTTTTTTCCAATTTTTTTTCTCAATTACAGAGTGATATGTAATAATTTAAAGGCTATTAGGTAAAATGTCAAGAGTGTTGGAGCTGTTACATAAAACATAAAATCTAACAGTGGCCGGGCGTGGTGGCTCACGCCTGTAATCCCAGCACTTTGGGAGGCCGAGGTGGGTGGATCATTTAAGGTCAGGAGTTCGAGACCAGCTTGGCCAACATGGTTAGACCCCATCTCTACTAAAAATACAAAAATTAGCCGGGCATGTTGGTGGGTGCCCGTAATCCCAGCTACTCGGGAGGCTGAGGCAGGAGAATCACTTGAACCCAGGAGGCGGAGGTTACAGTGAGCCGAGATCGCACCACTGCACTCCAGCCTGGGTGACAGGGTGAGACTCTGTCTCAAAAAAAATATATATATATATGTATGCATGTATGTGTGTGTGTGTGTGTGTGTGTGTATACACACACACATGTATATATACACATATATACATATATATATACACACACATATATATATATACACACACACACACACACACATATATATATACACACACACACACACATATATATACATACAGTGTTGGGAGTCTAGTTGGCTGTGCTTTTTATGTTTAAATTTTTTATCCCAAAGGTTCTGTGGTAAGCCTTCCATGTTAATATTGACCTAGGGGAAGAAGCTGAGGCAAAATTAATATAGAAAATTTATTTGGGCCAAGGTTGAGAACAGCTGCCTGGGACATGCTTCCAAGCTGCCTTGGGGAGTGCGCCATGCAACCTTTTTTATAAGCAAGTTTTTAAAGGCAAAAACGGGGCACAAGGAGTGGATAGAAACAAAGTTGTTCATCAGGAATTCTCACTGGTTTACAGAAATAACGTTGTTACATCGTCGAGCTATAGCAGGGTTATGGTGCCCAGTGTGTAGCATTGTTAGATTACGCGGTTTCTGGAGATAACTACATAGCTCAAGGGGGAAGTAGGACTTGATTGCTGTTTCATTTTAATGCCTCTCCGGGCCTGATAGCTTTTAAGAAAGGGCTTACATTCCTCAGATAAGAAGAACCTGTATATGTATTTCACATTAAGGCATAATTTCTTTTTTTTTGACACAGTCTCGCTGTTGGCCAGGCTAGAGTGCAATGGCACTATCTCTGCTCACTGCAACCTCCGCCTCTCTGGTTCAAGTGATTCTCTTGCCTCAGCCTCCCGAGTAGCTGGGACTACAGGTGCATGCCACCACGCCCAGCTAATTTTTTTTGTGTGTGTATTTTTAGTAGAAACGGGGTTTCGCTGTGTCAGCCAGGATGGTCTCGATCTCCTGACCTCATGATCCACCCGCCTCAGCCTCCCCAAGTGCTGGGATTACAGGCGTGAGCCACCGCGCCCGGCCTATTAAGGCATAATTTCTAATGCATGTTACTTTTGTAGGATGAATTCACTTACACATCAGAATGAAATAAGGAAAGTGAAAAGGGAAGGCACTGATGTTGTGTGATATATTGTGTAGGTTATTAGTAATAGAGCCATAGAGAACGTACATTAAGGGAGAATAAACAAATCTCTTATTAAAAGAGTAGAAGTCAGCTTGAACTTCTTAATTTCTTCTGTGGTTTTAACATTCCACGTTGAGAGGTGAATGGATTAAGAACTACCAGTGTGCTTTGTTCTAGATTAGTGCTTTTCCAAGTGTGGTGCACAGACAGCAACATAGCATTACCTGAGAGCTTGTTAGAAATGAAAATTCTCCTAACCGAGACCTGGCTTAGGTTAAATGAGAGTGGTCTTTCTAATGTGGGCGTGAGATAATGAGACCAGTCTTCCTAATATGGAGGTGGAAAATTGCCATAGATAATTATGAAACCTAATCACATTAGGATGAGAACTAGGTGATCAGATTTTTCTTCTTGGTAATATACTTGTTTAAACTAGCAGTAGCACTGTTTATATGTCTATTACAATGTGGATTTAACTATTAACCTGTAATGATTGCCTTTTTATTATTAGTGTTAATAGTATTTAATGGGCCACATAAATATTAGATAATGTATATAAGATAATTTTCTTCAGTGTCTTCCCCCTTTTCATTACAAGATAAATAATAACTATCTCTTGGGGTTTTTTAAGGTTAAAAATGTGTCTGCAGGCACACAGGACGTGCCTTCACCCCCATCTGACTATGTGGAAAGAGTTGACAGTCCCATGGCATACTCTTCCAATGGCAAAGTGAATGACAAGCGGTTTTATCCAGAGTCTTCCTATAAATCCACGCCGTAAGTAGCATCTCTCTTAGTTTGATAGACTGAGTGTAAAAATGAGTATTTGCATATAATTGGTTTTTGTGCCTTTCTGCTTAAAAAAAATATCCAGCAGTGCACACAAAAGCTGGATCTGGATCTTGGTATTACAACAATCTTTGCTTTGTTGGTACAGAGGCCTACGGCTACTTGGAAGACCAGGATGAGGAGGGTGGGGTTCTATTTCCCTTCTAAGTTGAAAATGCTTCTTTTCACTTACTTGTTTAATTGAAAGGTTGGGTTGGGTTCTTTCACTCTAGGAATGTGGTTCTGCTATTTCTGGTTTTGAAGTTTAGGTGAGGGTGAGAGGAAGTTACTGAGCAGAGGTCAGTGCTGTGCTCAGCCTCTCCTTTTGCCTATAATTGTTGGATCTCATAAACAGAAGGGAGGACATTTCACATTAATCAACCCTGCCCACATACATTTCTGTTAAACTAGAAGACTTCATTTGAATCCAGGAATTGTGGTATTTCATTTGCTGTGCTAGGTCCTCAGTATTGCTGGGAGATGTGAAACCTCAGTGAACGTCTGGCCTAGGGTAGGTGTCATATGATAATTGAAATGGTATCTCTGTGGTGGAAACACTTACCCTAAAGCTCAATTCTAATTCCACCTAATGACTAGTGAGAGAAGACTATTGGAGATAATTGGTATGGACGGGGATGTAATTTTTGCCTAAGGATGATGAAGTCGTTATTTTTACATATATAGTCATGCATTGTTTAACGATGGGAATACTGAGAAGTGTGTCTTTAGGCAATTTCATCCTTGAGTGAACATCACAGTGTACTTAACACAAACCTAGATGGATAGCCTGCTACGAGCCTAGGCTATGTGGTATAGCTTCTTGCTTTTACGCTACAAATGCAGACAGCATGTTAATATACCAAATACTCTAGGCAGCGGTAATACAGTGGTATTTGTATATCTAAACACAAAAAAGGTACAGTAAATATAAAAGATAAAAAATGGTACATCTTGGCGGGGGCGGTGGCTCACGCCTATAATCCCAGCACTTTGGGAGGCCGAGGCAGGTGGATCACCTGAGGTCAGGAGTTCAAGACCGGCCTGACCAACATGGAGAAACCCCATCTCTACTAAAAATAGCCAGGCGTGGTGGCGCATGCCTGTAATCCCAGCTACTTGGGAAGGCTGAGGCAGGAGAGTCGGTTTAACCCGGGAGGCGGAGGTTGTTGTAAGTGGAGATTGTGCCATTGCACTCCAGCCTGGGCAACAAGAGCGAAGCTCCATCTAAATAAATAAATAAATAAATAAATAAATGGTACATCTTGTAAGGCACTTACCATGAATGAAGCTTGTAGGACTGGAAGTTGCTCTGGGTGAGTCAGGGAGTAAGTGGTGAGTGAATGTGAAGGCCTAGGACATTACTGTACACTTTATAAACACTATACTTAGGCTACACTAAATTTACTAAACATTTTTCTTTCTTCTATAATAAATCTTAGCTTTCTATAACTTTAATTTTTTTGACTCTTTTGTAATAACACTTAAAACACAATCACATGGCTGGGTGCAGTGGCTCACGCCTGTAATCCCCACACTTTGGGAGGCCCAGGTGGACGGATCACCTGAGGTCAGGAGTTCGAGACCAGCCTGGCCAAAATGGCAAAACCCTGTCTCTACTAAAAATACAAAAATTAGCCAGGCATGGTGGCTCACACCTGTAATCTCAGCTACTCGGAAAGCTGAGGCAGGAGAATCACTTGAACCTGGGAGGCGGCGGTTACAGTGAGCTGAGATCACACCAGTGCACTCCAGCCTGCGTGACAAAGTGAAACTCTGTCTCAAAAAAAAAAACAAAAGGCCGGACGCGGTGGCTCACCCCTGTAATCCCAGCACTTTGGGAGGCTGAGGCAGGTGGATCACGAGGTCAGGAAATTGAGACCATCCTGGCTAACAGGGTGAAACCCCGTGTCTACTAAAAGTACGAAAAATTAGCCGGGCATGGTGGCGGGTGCCTGTAGTCCCAGCTACTCGGGAGGCTGAGGCAGGAGAATGGCGTGAACCCGGGAGGTGGAGCTCCCAGTGAGCCGAG
This sequence comes from Homo sapiens, assembly GCF_000001405.40. Lineage (NCBI taxonomy): Eukaryota > Metazoa > Chordata > Mammalia > Primates > Hominidae > Homo > Homo sapiens. Next base: position 69,536,920 of record NC_000005.10, read on the forward strand.
ATCGCGCCACTGCACTCTAGCCTGGGCGACAAAGTGAGACTCCGTCTCAAAAACAAACAAACAAAAGAACAACAACAAAAAACACAATCACAAACCCTGGCACAGTGGTGCACACCAGCAGTCCCAGCTAATTGGGAGGCTGAGGTGGGAGGGATCATACTTGAGCCCGGGAGCTCAAATCCAGCCAAAAATAAAAGAAAAGCCAAAAATCCCATACCTACATTGTATAGATATATAGATATAGAGAAGTATTTTCCTTATTCTATAAGCTTTTTTTTTTTTTTTTTTTTTTGGTAGAGACATGGTCTCAATCTGTCACCCAGCCTGGGGTGCAGTGGTGTGGTCACAGCTCACTGTAGCCTTGACCTCCCAGGCTCAAGCGATCTTCCCACTTTAGTCACCTAAGTAGCTGAGACTACTTAGTCACCTCAGTAGCTGGGACTACACATGTGCTCCACCATGCCCAGCTATTTTTTTCTATTTTTTTTTGTAGAGACAGGGTCTTGCTATGTTGTCCAGGCTGGTCTCAAACTCCTGGGCTCAAGCGATCTGCCTGCCTCGGCTTCACAAAGTACTGGGATTACAGGCATGAGCCACCATGCCCTGCCACCAGGCTGTTCTTAGACTCCTGACCTCAAGTGATCCTCCCACTTTGGCCTCCCAAAGTGCTGTTTTCTATTTTTACCATGTAAATTTTATTTTAGTTTCTACACTTTATTGTTAAAAACTAAGATACAGACTGGGTGCAGTGGCTTATGCCTGTAATCCCACCACTTTGGGAGGCTGCAGTGAGCTGCGATTGCACCACTGCCCTCCAGCCTGGGCAACAGAGACCCTATCTCAAAAAAAATAAAAATAAACACACACACACACACACACAAACCCAAAACTAAGATACAAACATACACATTTGCCTAGGCCTACATCAATATCACTGTCTTCCATTTCCACATCTCGTTGCACTGGAAGGTCATCAGGGCCAATAACACACCCAGAGCTGTCATCTTCCATGGTGACAGTGCCTTCTTCTGGAATACCTCCTGAAGCACCTGCCTGAGGCTCTTTTAACTTTTTTTTCCTGTTTCAACTCTTTTTTTTTTTTAATAAGTTGAAGGAATCTAATAAAAAATATAGTGTAAATACATAAACCAGTAGCATAGTCGTTTATTGTCAAGTATTATATACTGTACATAATTGCATTTGCCGTATACTTTTATTAGTCCCTTATTGACTGAAATGTCTTTATGACTTTGTGACTGTAATTCTAGAACTCTAAGTTCCTTTGGAGACTGAAAAAGCCCAAAAAATTTCCTTTCAGCTAGTTTGAATGTCTATGTTAAAGGTGTATCTACTGGAAATAACTTTTTTGTTACTTCGAAGTGTTTTTTTGTTTGTTTTGTTTTTGAGACGGAGTCTCACTCCGTTACCCAGGCTGGAGTGCAGTAGTGCGATCTCAGTTCACTGCAACCTCCGTCTCCTGGGTTCAAGTGATTCTCCTGCCTCAGCCTCCTCCTAGTAGCTGGGATTACAGGTGCGCGCCACCATGCCTGGCTAATTTTTGTATTTTTAGTAGAGACGGGGTTTCATGATGTTGGCCAGGTTGGTCTCGAACTCCTGACCTCAGGTGATCTACCTGTCTTGGCCTCCCAAAGTGCGGGCATTACAGGCGTGAGCCACCGCGCCTGGCCTGCTTTGAAGTTTTATCCCCAATGCCCGACTCCTGATTAGTGGGCCATGATATATGAGATTTACTCTGAGTGCATAGTTGTTTTGGTATTCAGACTTGATCTTGCTGTTGATTTCAATTGTGAATGATTTGGAGAAAGCACATTTTCTCTGTTCTTCTCTTTGGATTTTGACAAAAACTAAAGCACTTGAGAGTGTTAGGGACAAGGGTACGCAAGAGAGATGCAATCCTTCTAAGTTTTTTTTTTTCATCATTTGTTTGAGATGCTGTTTCACTCTGTCGCCCAGACCTATAGTGCAGTGGTGTTATCATAGCTCACTGTGACCTTGAACTCCTGGGCTCAAGCAGTCCTCTTGCTTCATAGCTCACTTTAGCCAGGACCACAGGTATGTGCCACTATGGCTGGCTAATTTTTTATTTTTATTTTTGTAGAGAAGGGGTCTTGCTTTGTTGCCCAGGATAGTCTTGAACTCCTGGCCTTAAGTGATCCTCCTGCCTCAGCCTCTAAAATTTTTAAGCTATGATTTGCAGAACTTTTTTTTTCTCCTTTTTCATGTCAGATGGGTAATGTGCCAATATTGTAACAAGATTTGAGGGTGGGACATTTCACACATGCGTGTGAACACCCAATCATCATGCTCATCAACTATAAAAGGACCAATTTGCAGAACTTTCATACATACAAAATGTATATCTATACTGCATCTTGGCACCAGCTGTTCCTCTAAATTGTAAGGCCTGCGTGGTTACACAGCATTCCCTGGTGTTGTCCCTTTTCACAAAAACCAGGATAGTTTCACAAATTCATTTGAAATTAATTTGAAAGTCTTATTCCTTAAGTATTAATCTTTCTTATTCTTGAATACTTTATGTAGTGGAAAATTTAAAAGGGACAAAAGGTACCAGCTAGCTAGTTCCTCTCCCCAGAGGCAACTAATGTCATCACTTTCTATTTCTCCACAGATTTTAAAACATAAAGATACTGGCCAAAGTACATTGATTCCCCCACCCCCCCTTAAAATACTAGCATACCAGAGCTGGGCATAGTGGCTCATGCCTGTAATTCCAGCACTTCGGGAGGCTGAGGTGGGTGGATTGCTTGAGCCTAGGAGTTCGAGAACACCCTGGGCATTATTGCTAAACCCCCTCTCTACAAAAAATATAAAGATTTGCCAGGTATGGTGGCACATGCCTCTAGTCCTAGCTACTTGGGAGGCTGAGGTGGGAGGATTGATTGAGCCCAGGAGGTCAAGCCTGCAGTGAGCCAAGACCGTGCCACTCCACTTCAGTCTGGGTGACAGAGTGAGACCCTGTTTCAAAAAAAAGAAAAAGAAAATATTAGCATACCAAATGTATCATTAGCAATATATTTTATCTTGGATATTGTCCATATCACTATGCAATGAGTTGCCTGATTCTGTTTTATTTTTTTAATTATAATCAAGAAGAAGCACTATTGTGTTTTATAGCTGTATAATATTCTACCAAATAGGTATACTTTATTTATTTTATTATTATTATTTTTTGAGGCAGAGTCTCGCTCCGTTGCCCAGGCTGGAGTACAGTGGCGCGATCTCGGCTCACTGCAACCTCTGCCTCCCAGGTTCAAGTGCCTCCCGAGTAGCCTGCCTTAGCCTCCTGAGTAGCTGGGATTACAGGCACCCACCACCACGCCTGGCTAATTTTTAGTAGAGATGGGGTTTTGTCATGTTGGCCAGGCTGGTCTTGAACTCCTGACCTCAACTGATCTGCCTGCTTTAGCCTCCCAAAGTGTTGGGATTACAGGCATGAGCCACCGCACCTGGCTGGTATACTTAATGTATTAATCCTATATGATGCACACTTTCCCCCAATGTTTTGTTATTACAGACCACAAATGTATAAGGAATAACCTTATACATTTATCACTTTATACATATGTGAATGTATCTGGAGGCAGAATTGCTGAGCTAAAATAAATGTGCATTTTTTCATTTTGATAGATGTAGTAAAAGTTTTATTTCTTAAGGATTGTACTAGTTTCTGCTCCAAACTTATGCCCCAGAATTTTTTTTGAAGGTCTGGAAAGTGCAAACACGATGCTTCATTTTAGAACCCAGATGAATGGGTGAATGGGAGTGGTACTAAGAGATACTAATGCACAATATCTCCCCCAGAGCATGGTAATGATGGAAGGATTTTACAGCCTCTGGGGGGCAATAGAAATTGTAAAGTGTTGTTCATAGTAGAGTACTGAGTGCTATAGAGGATTCAGAGGACACCCACTTGAATGGGAATAAGAACACATAAGTCATAGCCTGTCTTTCCTAAGGCATTCTTGCAAGTGCTTAGTAACCCATGAGCACCTCTCTTCCTCACCATGCTAGTGGATAGAGAAGGAATTAGATGGAGAACATTGTGTCCATCCACCCATCCGTGCCAAGGATGAGGTAAATCAGTATTAAGATGTTTTTTTCTCCCAACGCGTAATGTACATTCCATAAAAAGAGCACTAATCTTGAGTATACAGCTTGATGAGTTTTCCCATCTATGACCACTTAACTCCCACCACCAAGATACATTTTGAGCCCTACATAAGGTCCCCATGTGCCCTTTCTCCATCAATACCCACCCACACCCACCCCAAGGTAACAGCTATTTTGATGTCTGTCACCATCTGTTAGTGAACGTGTTATTATTGGACTTTAAATAAAATGGAATAATGCAGTTTACTCTCATATCTGGTTCCTTTTGCTTATAATGTCCCATACCTTAGAATTTTAAGGCAGTCAGCTCTGAGAATTAATCCTGCATCAGGGGACACCAGAATTTAGCTGAAGATGGTTGCCTCTCCAAACCTACTAAACGAACTTGGGAGAGCCCTATTAGGTACACTCTCCACTATCCTGTCCACACCCAGGTTGAATTACCCTTCATAAATCAAGGAAGTTGAATGTTGCTGCAATGCAAAGCTTTCAAAGAAGGCTGACTCCTTGCATTGCTAAATGAGACCATTGTTTGGTAGTAATAGGCTGGTAGGATGATGTTAGGACTTTTATGCAAGTTAGAGGAGTTATAGAAGCCCAGTTTAAACTAGTTTAAGATGGGGCATGGTGGTTCAGGCTGATAATCCCAGCACTTTGGGAGGCCAATGAGGTGGGAAGATTGCTTGAGGCCAGGAGTTTGAGACCTGCCTGGGCAACATAGGGAGACCCTGTCTCAATTAAAAAAAAAAAAATCATGAAAAAAAATAGCTTAAGTGAAAGGAGGAATTATCTGAGTCACGTGAGGCCCAAGGACGTCTGTAGCTTCAGTCATGGCATAATCGAAGGATTCAGAAGATAGCAGGGCTGTTATGTGCTCTCTTTCATCTGTCGGTATGTTGGCTTTCTTCTCAGTTCAGCTTCTGTTGTGACAGGATAGCCATCTACATTTATTTATTTATTTATTTTTACTTTTTAGAGATAGGGTCTCACTGTTTCACACAGGCTGGAGTCCAGTGGTGTGATCATAGCTCACTGAATCCTCAAATTCCTGCACTCAAGTGATCCTTCTGCCTCAGCCTCCTGAGTAGCTAGTACTACAGGTGCATGCAACCATGCCTGGGTTTTTTTTGTTGTTTTTGGTTTTTTTGAAATGGAGTCTTGCTCTGTCATCCAGGCTGGAATGTGTTGGTGCAATCTTGGCTCATTGCAACCTCTACCTCCCAGGTTCAAGCGATCCTCCCACCTCAGCCTCCTGAGTAGCTGGGATCACAGGCTTGCACCACCATGCTCAGCTAATTTTTGTATTTTTAGTAGAGACAGGGGTTTCAACATGTTGGCCAGATCGGTCTCAAACTCCTAACCTCAAGTGATCCCCCTGCCTCAGCCTCCCAAAGTGCTGGGATTATACAAGTGTGAGCTACCGCACCTGGCCGGCTTGTTCTTTTTATTCTTCAGTCATTTGTTTTATTCTCTCTCACACTCCTTCACGCTGCCTTTATTGCTCCTACCTTGCCCTGACTCTCAGCAGAATTGTTGTGCACTTTCCTCCACCCCTGTTTTGCAGCCTCCGTGAGAACATGGACCTGGTCTTCCCAGGGTCACCTGGCTCAGTACTCTATGCATGTCAGGTGTTCAGGACAATTACTGAATTGAAAACACATGCATAAGAATCCTTCTTTTCTGATTACACACAGCATCAGTGAAGGCAGAGAAACAACCCATGATCAACAATGCCATGACTATTAGAATGACGTTTGTTGTACACACTGTATTTTAGAGCTGCTACCATTATTGGGAGGCATATCTAAGTCTTGCTAATCAGAGAACATTCTCCTGGCTTCAAGGATGACAGTGACCCAAAAAGGGCCAATCAGAATCTTTTTGCTATGTAAGCTTTGGGAAAGAAAACTTCATGCTGGGCTGGAAAGATCAACGCAGCTTGGGAAATGTGGAAGGCTCAGCCTGGGCAACAGAGTGAGACCCTGTCTCTACAAAAAAATTAAAAATTAGCCCAGTGTGGTGTTGCTCACACCTGTAGTCAATACTTTTCTTGTGAAACATTTTGCTTTTAGCTTTCATGCTAGATCAAGTATGTTAATATTTTAAAGGGGTGTAGGAGGAGGGGAGGAAAACTTCGAAGTTAAAGATATATCAATATCTAATATCATAAAAATTCTGGCAGGAGGCCTACTTTGATGTTTTACTTTTTGTTTTTATGTTTTTTTCTAATTTCTTTTGCCCTTTAGTTCCCTCCCTCTTTGGCCCCACCCCTAAAATGAATCCACTGCATTCTAAAGGTTTTGTTTTTCTACCTCAAAGAAGAGGCATAGTACCTGGCAGTTTTGGCAGAGTGTCTAGGAACTTGTTAATCATTGACTCATGGAGAAAGTCACATTTTCTCTCCATTAGAAGTAACATTAGCATAGCACACAAAGCCATATTACCTGAATAATTTTTTTTTTTTTTAGACAGAATCTCATTCTGTTACCCAGGGTGGAGTGCAGTGGTGCGATCTCAGCTCACTGCATTCTCTGCCTCCTGGGTTCAAGCAATTCTTCTGCCTCAGCCTCCCGAGTAGCTGGGATTACAGATGCCTGCCACAGTGCACTAATTTTTGTATTTTTTGTAGAGATGGGGTTTCACCATGTTGGCCAGGCCGATCTTGAACTCCTGGCCTCAAGTGATTCGCCCACCTCGGCCTCCCAAAGTGCTGAGATTACAGGTGTGAGCCACCGCCTCCGGCCATAAATCTTGAAAGAAGAAATAAATACTACCCCCACCTGCATCTACACACACATACCCCAAAGTTTAGAGTCTGCAAGAAATTGTGTGCTTAGAAATCTAAGACTCTGACAACAGTTACAGCAAAGCACATGTGGATCACCTAGAAAAGGGACTAAACCTGGAAGAGCTCAGTATGATAGTTTATGTAAATTGGCAGCAAAAAGAAACGCTTCAGACATTTTAAATAGTTGATTGGAATGGCAAGGCTGATGCTTGGAAAGTCTTAGGCCCATTCTTTGGTGTTTTCATTTCTGTTCTTGCCCTTTTCTACAAGAAAATGAAACTTCGTATTTCTTTTACTCAGAAGTAGTTCCCACTTTCAACTTTGGTATTTTATTCCTCAGTTAGGGTTATTTTCATGTTTGTGTCCGAAACATGCAATTGTGATGCAACTTTAAATAATTGTATTAGAAGAAAATAGTAAGTGTGTAATGGTAACCCTTCTATTCATTCTACGTGGCTTCAGGATTAACAGCAATTTTAAAAAGAATCCTAAAGGAACTCTTTAATTTATTGCAATGTAAAGCTTTTTACTTTTTTAGTTTAGATATTTAGTTTATTTTGCAAGATTTTATCTTAATATGATAATTGATATATGGTAGTATAAGATCAATATTACAAAGAGCATGTGTGCATTCTTCCCCATGCAGCATTCCAGGGAACTAGAAGAGCCTGTAGAAAAGAATGATCACTGTTTTCCTGACAGCCTTTGTAGAGTAAGTCCCTGGCACAGGTCAAGTAAACACCTCTTATAGATCAGCCTGAACTTTTTAAAATGAAATCTGAGATCCATTGTACTTAGAAGGTATAAAAATGGCTACTCCCCTTTAAATTGGAACCTACTACTTGTGTGTATTAGAGGACTCTGAACTGCTGTCAAATTGAATGCAGAAAACGAGGCATCTGCTCAGTGTTGAACATCTGAAGTCCTCGCGTGAGTGCACCTGCGTGCAGATGTCTGCTGGTGTTTATTATGGCTGTGCTCTGTGATTACAGTGCACTGGCAAAGGGCTGTAGTGTACTGAACAATGATGCCTGTTTTTATTAGGGTTCCTGAAGTGGTTCAGGAGCTTCCATTAACTTCGCCTGTGGATGACTTCAGGCAGCCTCGTTACAGCAGCGGTGGTAACTTTGAGACACCTTCAAAAAGAGCACCTGCAAAGGGAAGAGCAGGAAGGTCAAAGAGAACAGAGCAAGATCACTATGAGACAGACTACACAACTGGCGGCGAGTCCTGTGATGAGCTGGAGGAGGACTGGATCAGGTACCGACTCAGCTCTCCTTTCCTGGCCCACGTGCTCCTTCTGATAATTAAAGGAGACCAACCAGGTGTTGGAGTTATTGCCTCCCAAATTGAGGTCACTGGTGTAATTTCATTCTTTGCCAACCAGGACTGGAGACAGTTTTTTGTGTGGTGTTGGCTGGTTTTTTCCTTAGCACCCTTTTGTGACAAAGTTTGAAGTGGAGAGAATGTTTGGCAGTAACCATGTCTTTGAACTTTGGCAGTAACCACTTTGAACTTTCCACAGTGTGGCTGGTGAACTTCACCAGTGCTCTTTCTTATACCAATAGTCACGGAAGAAAGATGTCCTAGCACTTTGGGAGGCTAAGGCTAAGAGTTCAAGACCAGCCAGGCATAGTGGTGTGGGCCTGTAGTTCCAGCTACTCGGGAGGCTGAGGCTGAGGCAGGAGGATTGCTTAAGCCCAGGAGTTCAAGGCTGCAGTGAGCTATAATTGCATCATTGCACCCCAGGCTGGGTGATAGAGCTAGACCCTATCTCAAAAAACAACCAAAGGCCTTTCAAATAAATAAAATCCAGGTATAGAAGAACTTTGTTTTACTAATTATAAAATTCCCAAACCAGTGCTATGGTTTTCCTTTGGCATTACTTTTTTTTTTTGAGACGGAGTCTTGCTCTGTCGCCCAGGCTGGAGTGCAATGGCACGATCTCGGCTCGGTGCAACCTCTGCCTTCCGGGTTCAAGCAATTCCTGCCTCAGCCTACCAAGTAGCTGGGATTACAGGCGCCCACCACCATGCCCGGCTAATTATTGTATTTTTAGTAGAGACGGGTTTCACCATGTTGGCCAGGCTGATCTTGAAAATCCTGACCTCAGATGATCTCCCTGCCTCGGCCTCCCAAAGTGCTGGGATTACAGGAGTGAGCCACCGCGCCTGGCCGGCAATTATTTTTTAAATTAAGCTTAAAATGATAAGACGAGAGTTTCTTTTAAAGTTTAATCCAAAGAGTTCCGTAAACAATTGAGGTAACAATTTAGTGTTCAGCCACAGTTGTGGTTAAGTTTCTTTGTGTTTTGGTGGTTTTGTTACAATCCATCCACCATCACCAAATGTATTTGTGTATGATGTGTAGCCTTCCTATGCCCAAGTATTCTGAGGACTAAGACGCACATCAGAAACATTTGCAATGTGAATGGTAATCAAAACATCGCTTCTCAGAGAGTGAGGAATGATAGGCGGGGCATGGGTAGCTTGAGATCCCCTATTCACTGATGATTCTGATACTTTATCTTCCCCTCTCCCCTCAAGAGTTTTTGGCCTGGCTTAGCCATCTATCTGTAAAATATTCACCTAACTTGTATCACGGAAGATTTAACTGAAAACTTTATATATTTTTTTGAGATAGAGTCTCACTCTGTTGCCCAGGCTGGAGTGCAGTGGCACGATCTTGGCTCACTGCAACCTCCGCCTCCCAGGTTCAAGCAATCCTCCTGCCTCAGCCTCCCGAAGAGCTGGGATTACAGGCATGCGCCACCACACCCGGCTAATTTTTGTAGTTTTAATAGAGACAGGGTTTCACCATGTTGGCTGGGCTGGTCTCAAACTCCTGACCTCAGGTGATCCACCCACCTCGGCCTCCCAAAGTGCTGGGATTACAGGGGTGAGCTACCATGCCCAGCCTGAAAATTTTCAAAATCTGAAATTCTTGTTTCCCTTTTGATCAAATCATTTAAATTTCTCCCCTCTGTAAAATGAAGATGTTAGATTGTTAGATCTAAAATTTGAAATTCCACATCATTGTGAAACTCCAGTCCTGTGAAAGGATTCAGAGTATTTTCTCTATGGATTATGGGTTAATGGCATCGTCTTCCTATGTAAGGAGTGGCTGGTATATTGAGAAATAGATGTGATACAAAATTTCAGTTTTTCTTCTTTATACTTTAATGAATTGCCAGATTATTTTAACAGTGAGCACATGTTTTTATACATGTACATTTTTAATGTCTATTTTTATTGTGAAAGAAGTAGATAAGCTATTTCCACTTCGGAAAAACAAGAGCAAAAAAATAAATAAACCAGTCTGAAAACTATGGGTGGTAGCAGGAAACAGCCACTTCCAGTCAGCTGTGCTGCCACTGTGGTGATCAAAGCGGACTTTGTGTTCCAGAATTCCAGTTTTAAGACTTTAAACAGGCCAGGCATGGTGGCTCACTCCTGTAATCCCAGCACTTTGGGAGGCTGAGGCAGGTGGATCACCTGAGGTCAGGAGTTTGAGACTAGCCTGGCCAACATGGTGAAACCCTGTCTCTACTAAAATACAAAAATTAGCCGGGCGTGGTGGCAGGCACCTGTAATCCCAGCTACTGTGGAGACTGAGGCACGAAAATCGCTTGAACCCGGGAGGTGGAGGTTGCAGTGAGCCGAGATTGTGCCACTGCACTCCATCCTGGGTGACAGAGCAGGCTTTGTCTCAAAAAAAAAAAAAAAAGAAAAGAAAAACTTTATAAACATAAGTAGTCCATTATTGATATTGTGTATGGGAAATAAGTGAGTTCCTATGACTTGTACCTTCAATTTTGTAAATGATTTTCAAAATTATTTCTGCAAATTACGTAGGCATAGTTTTTATTTTTTAAAAAATGAGCAGTAATATATAGTCACTCTTAATAGAACTTATTTGTATTCTCTCTCTCTTTCCCCATAAGAAACAAAAACGAAACAAGAAAATGTCATTCTCCATACCCAACCAGCTTTATTATCTTTGAGGAAGGAGCATTGAATTTTATGTCTGCTAAGGATACATATGTAGTCATTTTCTCTCTCACCTTTTAGGGAATATCCACCTATCACTTCAGATCAACAAAGACAACTGTACAAGAGGAATTTTGACACTGGCCTACAGGAATACAAGAGCTTACAATCAGAACTTGATGAGATCAATAAAGAACTCTCCCGTTTGGATAAAGAATTGGATGACTATAGAGAAGAAAGTGAAGAGTACATGGTAAATTCAACCTGATATTTATATATTAAACAGAATTTGAATCTAATCTGTGGAGGTACAGCATCCTTTATATTAATGTTGATAAAAATGTGCTAGTAGTTATCAAACTGCAGTTTCATTGAAGAATAGTTGAGATTGGGTTTTGGATGAAATTCTTTCCTAATAGAAGATTGTACTAATGTATAATAGTTAATAATTACAAAGCACTATTCTGTTTTTTTTTTTTTTTTGAGGTGGAGTCTCGTTCTGTTGCCCAGGCTGGAGTGCAGTGGCGTGATCTCAGCTCACTGCAAGCTCTGCCTCCCGGGTTCACGCCATTCTCCTGACTCAGCCTCCCAAGTAGCTGGGATTACAGGTGCCTGCCACCACGCCCGGCTAATTTTTTGTATTTTTTTTTTTTAGTAGAGACGGGGTTTCACCATGTTAGCCAGGATGGTCTCGATCTCCTGACCTCGTGATCTGCCCGTCTTAGCCTCCCAAAGTGCTGGGATTACAGGCGTGAGCCACCGCGCCCAGCCCCTACAAAGCACTATTCTATGTACATCTATCCTTTCCTATTTAAAATAAAATAGCCAGGCTGGGCATGGTGGCTCATGGCTATAATCCCCACACTTTGGGAGGCCAAGGCAAGTGGATCACCTGAGGTCAGGAGTTAGAGAATAGCGTGCCTAACATGGTGAAACCCCATCTCTACTAAAAATACAAAAAATAGCAGGGCATGGTGGCAGACACCTGTAATCCCAGCTACTCGGGGAGGCTGAGACAGGAGAATTGCTTGAACCTGGGATGGGGGAGGTTGCAGTGAGCCAAGATTGCGCCATTGCACTCCAGCCTGGGCGACAGAGTGAGACTCCATCTCAAAAATTAATAATAATAATAATAAAATAGCCTTATTATCTTTCCTATTTATAAAGCCATTCATTCTTTCTGTAGAAAAGAACTTAAGCGGCCGGGCACGGTGGCTAATGCCTGTAATCCCAGCACTTTGGGAGGCCGAGGTGGGCGGATCATGAGGTCAGGAGATCGAGACCATCCTGGCTAACACAGTGAAACCCCGTCTCTACTAAAAAAAAAAAAAAAATACAAAAAATTAGCCAGGTATGGTGGCGGGTACTTGTAGTCTCAGCTACTTGGGAGGCTGAGGCAGGAGAATGGTGTGAACCCAGGAGGCGGAGCTTGCAGTGAGCCAAGATCGCGCCACTGCACTCCAGCCTGAGTGACAGAGTGAGACTCCATCTCAAAAAAAAAAAAAAAAAAAAAAAGAACTTAAGTAACACAGAACTGTATACAGAAAAAGAAATCATCTTAAATCCTACCATCAAGAAATCCTTATCACCAAAATATTAGTTAAAACAATCTCTCCAAGCAGGAGTCACCAAGGCACATACACCTTTCTTTAAGGAAACATCATCTTCCATGTTTCACTTATTTTCTTCCTGTCTTTTAAATCAACAGTTTATGGGTTTTTTTTTTCCCTCCCTTGATCACCTGGCTGAGATAGAATTTGTCCATGTAAAGTTACTGGATTTTTTTTTCAATCCATCCTTTTCATACTGTATTTTGTATACATACTGAAATTAATGTAGTTACACCACCTTTTAGAGGGAGATTAATCTCTTCTTGTTTATTTGTTCCTTTATTGATCAGTCAATCACTTACGTAAGTATGGACTTTACAGATACCTGTTTTATACTGTGAATTATAATCCAAGGCTGCTTTATTTTGTAGCTCTAATTGTTCTCGCTTTGACGGTTGGGAACTTTCAGTTGCTTCCCGTGTCCCTTTGACATACTCTTATTGTGGGGTTTTATCTTTAAAAAAAAAACAAACAAAAAAACTTCCTTGCACTGCTTATTTCTGGCTTTTCTTAACAGCAAGTTTTTTTTTTTATATCAATAATAAAGACCTACTTACTTTTAAGTTTTTTATGTGTAAAATTAGGTAAACAACTTTCAAATTTATGGTTGTATCATAATTTAAGAGTCATTTTCTATGGATAGACATTTAAGTATGTCTCCCCCTACTCCAGTAGTACCAGTATATACTGGTGAACCTCTCTGTTTTTGCACTCTTGTCTACTTATCTAATTTTTTTTTTTTTTTTTTTTTGAGACGGAGTCTTGCTCTGTCGCCCAGGCTGGAGTGCAGTGGCGCTATCTTGGCTCACTGCAACCTTCGCCTCCTAGGTTCAAGTGATTCTCCCGCCTCAGCCTCCCGAGTAGCTGGGATTACAGGCATGTGGCACCACACCTGACTAATTTTTGTATTTTTAGTAGAGACGGGGTTTTGCCATGTTGGTCAGGCTAGCCTCGAACTCCTGACCTCAGGTGATCTGCCTGCCTTGGCCTCCCAAAGTGCTGGAATTACGTGTGTGAGCCACAGTGCCCAGCCTGCTTATCTAACTAAAACTAATTCCAGAATGTGAAATTGCTGAGAGTCAGAGGGTACGTACCTTTGCAAAGTTGCAAAATTGCCCTCCAGAGAGACTGCACCAACTGTGTCTCCCTCTTGATACAATACAGGACTCATTTGATGCACATCTCATTAAATATTCTGCCATTTTTCAGTTGAGGTGATCTACTTTTTAGTTTTGACGTATTCACATCTTTATATAGTTAGATTTATGTATTTCTTTTATGGTTTCTATAGGGTGTTATAGATCTTTCTTAATTTAGTGAACATTTATTGATCACTTATTTTTCTTTGATGATGTGGAAATGCTGGAGCTAGAGACATAAAATCTTGTCCCCACCCTAAAAGAGCTTATATTTTAAGAAAAAAAACCTGACATCTAAACAATTTAGACAGTATGATTAATGCTGTATTTGCATCATGTGTAGAAAGCACTATAACTAACTGCTCATAGAAGAAATAAAGTCTTTGGAGGCTTCACAGTGAGGGAATCGTTAAGAGCTTTCCAGACAGAAGGGTGCGGGGAGGTGCATGATTACAGCCATAAGGAAAACATGATTGAAATCCTGAAGCATTTAACATGTCTCAGTTTTTAAAGGAGTTGCTGATGATGGGTACTGAGACTGGAAAGGTAGGAAACTGGATGAGGGGAGAAGTTAATGGGAAGCTCAGACCAGTTGTGTAGTGGGATATTACCTGATCAGCGAGCGCTCTGTGTTATAAAAGATCTTCCTGGTGTCAATGTAGCATGGGGACTGGCATGAGGAGAGATGAGAAGTAGCAGAACAGATAGTTACCTGCCTATGTGAGTGAAATGTGAAAGATACAGTATCATAAATGTCTCTTCACTGAATTCCTTCAGACCTTCCTGCTGATCATGAGTTTTAAGAGCTTTACGACTTCATTCTTTTAATTGCTTATATTTTTGTCATAAGCTGTCATTTTTAGCTCCAAAGTATAACATCAGGAATGTTACTTTTAAAAGAGAAAATGCCCCAGTAAACATATTCCTTTGTGTCTGTCGTTAATAGGCTGCTGCTGATGAATACAATAGACTGAAGCAAGTGAAGGGAGTAAGTATCCGAGATTGTTCTTTTAGGAAGAACTTTCTTTCTTCTTCTTTTTATTTTAATTCCCATACCTACTCATCTGGAGGAAGAGCTTTTCTATTACATGTTTTTCATTTTTTATTTTATATATTTTTTAAAAGTTGAAGTATACATACAGAAAAGTGTATAAATCAAAGTGTATAACATGGTGAATTTTCACAATGTGACCACATACCTGCGTATGCAGATCAAGAAATATATTTCCCAGTACCTCCCCACCCCCAGCACCCCCACCCTCACTTGTACTACTTTCCAGTGTTTACACTCTCTCCAGAGGGGTCCATCATGCTCACTTCTAACATCATAGAGTTTTGTCTATCTTGCACATTACATAAATGGAACCACACAGTATGTATTTTGTGTGTGATTTCTTTTGCTCAGTATAGTGTTTGTAAGGGTCCATTTGTAGTTCATTACTATTATTTTTTTTAGACGGAGTCTTGCTCTGTTGCCCAGGATGGAGTGCAGTGGCGCAGTCTCAGCTCACTGCAACTTCCGCCTCCCAGGTTCAAGCAATTCTCCTGCCTCAGCCTAGCTGGGATTGCAAGCACGCACCACCATGCCTGGCTAATTTTTGTATTTTTAGTAAAGACATGGTTTCACCACATTGGCCAGGCTGGTCTTGAACTCCCAACCTCAGGTGATCCCCCTGCCTTGGCCTCACAAAGTGCTGGGATTACATGCATGAGCCACCATGCCCGGCCATGGTTCATTAATTTTTTTTTTTTTCCTGAGACAGTGTCTCGCTCTGTCGCCCAGGCTGGAGTGCAGTGGCACAATCTCGGCTCACTGCAACCTCTGCCTCCTGGGTTCAAGCAATTCTCCTGCCTCAGCCTCCCGAGCCACTGGGATTACAGGCAAGCACCACCACACCTGGCTAATTTTCCTATTTTTAGTAGAGATGGGGTTTTACCATGTTGGCCAGGCAGGTCTCAAATTCCTGGCCTCAAGTGATCCACCTGCCTCCGCCTCCGAAAGTGCTGGGATTACAGGCGTGAGCCACCACGCCTGGCCGGTTGATTAATTTTTATTGCTTTGTAGTGTTGTATATAAAATGCAACTTTATTCATCCATTCTATTGTCAATGAACGTTTGGGTTGTTCCCAATTTTTGGCATTTAAAAATATTGCAGCTTCATACATATTTGTAAATGTTTGAGCGTAGAAGTGATGGGCATTTGTCTATCCAGCCTTAGTAGATACTGTCAAATGGCCTTCCAAAGTACTTGTACCAGTTTACATTCCCACCAACCACTACAGACTCCTGTTGCCCTATATCCTTGCTAACACTTGGCATGACAGTCATTATTGACTTAAAACATTAAAAAAAAATTATATTAAAATTTTTGTAAATTACTTATCCAGGTGCTGTGGTTACATGCCTGTAGTCCTAGCTACTAGGGAGACTGAGGCAAAAGGATCCCTTGAACCCAGGAGTTCAAAGCTGCAGGGAGCTATAATTGTACCACTTCACTCCAGCCTGGGCAATAGGATGAGACCCTTTCTAAAATAAGAAAAAAAAATTATAAATTACAGGCATCATGATTTGAAATAAGAGTTTAAAGGGTATACAGTAAAATTTCCCATCTCTCTTATCCCCTATTCAGCTTCCCTTTCCCCAGTCAAATGAGATCACCAGTCTCTTGTTTTACTTACAGTTTTAGATGATGTGTTAGCAAAAAGGCTGGTAAGTTTTCTTGGTCATTTTACAGATTTTTAGAAATGAGGGTATCCTTTGGAAAAACCCAGGTTAGAAGACAGAACTGAGCAAATAGAATCAGCTGCCTGTGTGGTTAGTGATACTGCCAGGCACCTTGCGTATTTTACTTCAATTAACACTCCCAGCAATTCTCTTGACTAAATATTCCATTTCTGTGTTCAATTCTGCCTTCCCAGCAGACCTGTTTTCATTTTGTTGAATTTATGTGATTCATTTTCTCCCTTTTTAGTCTGCAGATTACAAAAGTAAGAAGAATCATTGCAAGCAGTTAAAGAGCAAATTGTCACACATCAAGAAGATGGTTGGAGACTATGATAGACAGAAAACATAGAAGGCTGATGCCAAGTTGTTTGAGAAATTAAGTATCTGACATCTCTGCAATCTTCTCAGAAGGCAAATGACTTTGGACCATAACCCCGGAAGCCAAACCTCTGTGAGCATCACAAAGTTTTGGTTGCTTTAACATCATCAGTATTGAAGCATTTTATAAATCGCTTTTGATAATCAACTGGGCTGAACACTCCAATTAAGGATTTTATGCTTTAAACATTGGTTCTTGTATTAAGAATGAAATACTGTTTGAGGTTTTTAAGCCTTAAAGGAAGGTTCTGGTGTGAACTAAACTTTCACACCCCAGACGATGTCTTCATACCTACATGTATTTGTTTGCATAGGTGATCTCATTTAATCCTCTCAACCACCTTTCAGATAACTGTTATTTATAATCACTTTTTTCCACATAAGGAAACTGGGTTCCTGCAATGAAGTCTCTGAAGTGAAACTGCTTGTTTCCTAGCACACACTTTTGGTTAAGTCTGTTTTATGACTTCATTAATAATAAATTCCCTGGCCTTTCATATTTTAGCTACTATATATGTGATGATCTACCAGCCTCCCTATTTTTTTTCTGTTATATAAATGGTTAAAAGAGGTTTTTCTTAAATAATAAAGATCATGTAAAAGTAACAAATGTGTGAAATTTAAAGATTGTAAATATATATTTACTTTTTTAAGATCAAAGTTTAAACCCCGTGGTTAGAATTTTGTGTGTTTTTAAATACTTTTTATCTTTTTGCATGCCTTTTTTAAAAAACCAACTAGAACTTTTCATTATATCAGAATATCTGATTACATTTATAATTCAATTGTGACTTGAACTGTATCTTACAGGAATGTTCAATTTCTATACATATTTTATAAGGTATTAAACCTGGTGTTTTCTTTCCATAATAACCTGTTTGATGTTATTAGTGCTGTTAACATACAGCAATGGAAAACCACACTCAGGAGTTGTATCTGTTGTTGTTTATACTCCTTTGGATGCTGTGCTGGTTAGTCGTTTCCCATTCCTTTGGCTGTAAGAATGCTGATATGTCTGGGAATAGAATGCTATACCACGAAATACCAAATAATTTCAAATGGTGCCCTTAAATTGTATCACTTTTTTAAAAATTCAGATTCTTATTAGTAAAATTAGTTGATAGCACTGTGCTGACCAAGTTGATTGTGATCATCCCAGCTTAGACTTTTCTAAAAACTTTTTTTTAGAATAATCTATAAACTGAACTTTAGTATGCATTTCAGATATTTAGGTATATAATTTTTTTTTTTTTTTGAGACAGAGTCTCACTCTCACCCAGGCTGGAATGCAGTGGTGCTATCTTGGCTCACTGCAACCTCCACCTCCCGGGTTCAAGCAATTCTCCTGCCTCAGCCTCTCGAGTAGTTGAGACTACAGGTGCCCATCACCATGCGTGGCTAATTTTTGTATTTTTAATAGAGACGGGGTTTTACCATAGTGGCCAGGTTGGTCTTGAACTCCTGACCTTGTGGTCTGCCTGCCTCGGCCTCCCAAAGTGCTGGGATTACAGGCGTGAGCCACCATGCCTGGCCTAAGTGTGTGTGTGTGTGTGTGTGTGTATTTTTTTTTTTTTTTTTTTGAGATGGAGTTTTGCTCTTGTTGAACAGGCTGGAGTGCAATGTCGCGATCTCAGCTCACCACAACCTCCGCCTCCCAGGTTCAAACAATTCTCCTGCCTCGGCCTCCCGAGTAGCTGGGATTACAGGCATGCGCCACCACACCTGGCTAATTTTTTTTTTGTATTTTTAGTAGAGATGGGGTTTCTCCATGTTGGTCAGGCTGGTCTCGAACTCCTGACCTCAGGTGATCCATCCACCTCGGCCTCCCAAAGTGCTGGGATTAGAGGCGTGAGCCACTGTGCCCGGCCTATAATTTTTGATAGATGATTTTGAATTATTTTCCAGAGATAAAATTTTAAATGTTTCCATTATATCACTGATTTATTTCTGCAAATTGAATAAATTCTTAATTTTCTGCATGCACATAATACAAAAGGTATTTTCATAGTTTTGGATTTATACCAAATGAAAAGGATTCTCTTGATGAGCACCTTTAACTGATTTTTCTGTTAAAGTTTTAACAATTTGTTCTTGGAAGTCAGTTCGTGAAGGCAAGTTTGTCAGTATTTTCACAAAACTATTCAGCTGAATCCAGAAAGTGAAACAGCAAGAATTTGCATTGTAAAATTGTGTTATAAAATTGGACTTTGAAATTTCAAAAATAAGAAAAATTTTCATGTGTATTTATACTAAATACCGTTTTAGGAAACTAGGATCAGGGTGTTTCTGTTGGCGTTGGCATTAACTAGCTGGATGTAAATTTGAAAAGCCACTCAAGCAGCTTCCTAGTCTAGAAAGTCAGAGGTTTAGATTAGATTTCCGACATCCCTTCCATTTCTGACCTGTAGTTCTTGTCTGGAATTCTGCTTTGTTATAAACTATTGTTCTAAGGAGTTTGTTGTGATAGCACATAGTTCATTTTGTAAAGATTCCCTGCGTATAAAGTGATGCCCTACATATGTGATTTTGTATTAAAAGTATATAGGATCATTATTTTATTTTGAAAAATTTAAATACAGAAAAGTATAAAATATAAGTACCATCCGCCCAGAAATAACATGTGTTAATGTTTTGTCATATGTGCTTTATATTTTTTGAAATAAAGTGAAGTCAACTAGTATTTATAGTAAATAAGTTACATACACATAAGTACATATATGATATTTAATCCTCACAACGATCTTTTGACATGTGACCATTTCTTATTCTTCTTTTATAGACAAGGAACTAATGATATGATAGATTAACTGGCTGTTGTCACACTAGCAAGTGGCAAAACAAGGGATTAGGATCTTAGTCTCTTCAACTGTTAGATTCTATACTTCCATCCTGTGTTGACTTTGTTAATGGATTGGATAATGTGAGATCACTCTGATGTAAATAAAGTATCCTATATTAATTTCGAGTGCATTTTAAGTACTTGTAACATAAATGCTTCCTGTGAAATATCTGTAAAGACCTGAATGGGTACATGTGTGTAAAGAAGAATCAGGGCAGAAAAGTGCTTTTATCATGGCTCCGGGGACCTTAGCTTCAGTTGGTGTTGTGAGAATTCCTCACAC
Organism: Homo sapiens; assembly: GCF_000001405.40. NCBI lineage: Eukaryota > Metazoa > Chordata > Mammalia > Primates > Hominidae > Homo > Homo sapiens. Next base: position 69,556,823 of record NC_000005.10, read on the forward strand.
AAGGACATTCTCCTTGCTTCAGCATCAGGATGGAAGTGTTTCTCATCTGGACTTTTTCAAAGACTCAGCTGGAGGAATCAGAATTCATAATTTCCTGGCAGCTCATGATTCTGCTACACTACACCATGCCATCTCTTGTGTGAAAGGACAGATTTGATGGAGGACTATGTCATCCCTCATGCGTTTCTTATTGTCTACATTTATTCTAATGGGAAGAAGTGAGCAAAAACACCTCAATAATTTGGGTAGTTTTTAGAAAACCTTGTTAGTAAATTAGAATAGTGCCACTTTGGCATTATGAGAAAGAAGCATGGATACATAACTAGGGTTTTGTGTATGACTACAACGAAATGCAGAATGGTGTCTCCAAAAGGTTTCCAATTGCTGCCACAAGAACTGCTTGGTATTGCCTACATGTGTTGTCCTATTTTTGCTTTGCCCTTCTGCAGTTACTTGCTGTGGGACCTTGGAGAAATTAACTTAGCCTCTCTGTACTTCAGTTTTTTGTATTTGTAAAATATATTTGTAATAATCTCATAGTTAAGAAGGTAGTTAATGTGTGACTCAGTCCTTGTCTAAAAGTAAATATGCCTAGCTACCCCCATCTTCCAAAGCCAGAAGGTGAAACTTTAACAAGTTTTCTAAAAGCAAATTGTGTTTTTTAAAAGTGCATGTGTCATCCAATCCCATATGATTGATCTGTGCTGGGTGCAGCCTTAGAATGTAAATTCTTTTGAATTCTAGGCAGAGAATGCAGGATTGGCATTCTAAATATTTGTACATGATAAACAAATGCTTCTTTAGGTTAGAGCAAATAGTTTACTTATCAAGATCACAATTGTTAGATACTGTTGTCAATTACAGAGGTTTTAGATGAGGCTTTCTGGAATGATTTAGTTTCCCTGTAAGGGAGCCTGTCTATTGGAATAGACAGGTTCACTTCTCCCAGTCTTTCAAGTTGCATGCTTTTTATATCTGATTCCACTGGCTGAGCTGATTGTGAATGTCCTAACCCTGTTGATTGTGTCTGGCCACTCATGGGCAAAGAACAGATTATCCATTCTTTATAGTTGTCTTTTAGTTTTACAAGTTGAAAAAACATCTGAGTAGGTTAGATAATTTATTCTACCACTTTGTAAATGATTAGAATATGTCAGTCATAATCATGCCAAGAGATTATGGATTTATGCATATTTTGTTTTGCTGTAGTACCATTCCTAGTTGAATCTTAACATCCATGTCTAAAATCTATACAGAACAAATATTACAGTTGGGAAAACTGTTTCAGTCTCCTCTCTTCGCAAATATGCTTTATATTTATTGGGGAGTCCTCTATCTTTTTCCTGGTTTTCCTTAAAGCCTTCCCAGGCTGATGGATAACAAACATATGCAAGAAACTTGGGGCTTGGGATTCCTCTAGGCTGTTTGTCCTAGAGGAATGCATCCCGTCTTGCAAATAGGATGGTCAATTAAGATGGAAGGAAGCAAAAGTGTGGATAGGAAGGAAGGGCACAAAAGGAAAAGTGTGGAATTTGTGTGTGAGTCCTCTAATGAGGTCAAAGGTGGGAGGGAGGCAAGCATGGAAGCTTCCTGGCACTGCGATACTAATTTCCCCTCCTCTCCCTTTTAAAATCCTGTCTTCTGGGAGGAAATGAGACTGATTATGGAGTTCCCACTAAGCCCTGCAGGGTTGGTGGAGACAACCCCATTTTACACATTAGTTCATAGACTTGGGTTGTGACTTGCTTGAGGTCACCCAGCCAGTGTGTCAGAGCCTGATTTTAAATCCAGGGCTGTTCTTTCCACTGCTATGCAAGATACCTTCTGTTTATATTTTTGAGGGAGACAACAGAGATGGGAAAAATTTTTAACAATAAAATAAAGGCAATGGAGGGGATGAGTATGCTGATGGGGAAGGAAAGAGGCCCTAGCTTCTGCAGTTCCTTTGTGTTATTCCTAACCCTTTTCTCATCTGGGGGTGCACTGCCTCTCCATTTCTCAAGTATGGGAAATGCCAGTAATTCCACTTGTGTTAATTGGCAGTCATACAACTTGTCCAAAACTGAATTGATCTTACCCACCCCGCCAACATTTTAATAATTGCAACCCCAACCTTTCAGTTGCTCAGCTAAAGACTATGGAGGTATCCTTGATTCTTTTCTCATAACACACATCCAGTGTATTGGTAAGATTTAGAATTCAGTCACTTCTCACCAGCTGCTGGTCCAAGCCATCACAATTCCCCCAAAGTTCTTAACAGTGCTCACAGCCTCTCCTCCCCACCTTACCCTTCTGATTGCAGCTTCCACCACTCATCCCCTGCTCACTCCTGCAGTCGTCAAAGACCCCAATGCACTTCTACCTCAGGGCCTTTGCACTTGCAGCTCTCTTTGTCTGAAGAGCTTTTCCCCTAGGTATCAGCAGGGTTAACACCCTTCCTCATTCAGGTCATGGCTTAACTGTCTTCCCAGCGAGGACTCCTCTGGCCACCCTATTTTATTTTTTGAGATGAAGTCTCTGTCACCCAGGCTGGAGTGCAAGGTTGGCTCACTGCAACCTGTGCCTCCTGGATTCAAGCGATTCTCCTGCCTCAGCCTCCCGAGTAGCTGGGATTACAGGCGCCTGCCAGCACGCCCGGCTAATGTTTTTGTATTTTTAGTAGAGACGGAATTCACTATGTTGGCCAGGCTGGTCTCGAAGTCCTGCCCTCCGATGATCCACCCCCGCTCGGCCTCCCAAATCACCATGCCTGGGATTACAGGCGTGAACCATCGCACCCGGCCTGGCCACCCTATTTTAAACTGCAAACTTCTCCCCTTCAGTGCTTAGTTTTTCTCCACAGCATTATCACCATTTCATATAGTATATGTTTTTCTTCATACTGACTCCCCTTGGAGAAGGAAAACTCCACGAGAGCAAGGATTTTTGTCAGTTTTTCATTGTTATTTCCTCAGTGCTTAGACATGCATCAGGCTCAAAGTAGATGCTCAATGTTTGTTGAATGAACAGCAAGAGCAATGGAGGAGTCCTGAAATACACAGCAAGAAGCAAGGATAATTCTGGCTTTACTTCTGTGGCCAGGGTCCTTCATCCCAACCTTTTAGAAGTAGAAAGACAAGATCGAGCTCCTCAGAACCCAGGTCGATGGCTGCAGAGCCTTCGACCTTCCGAGAGCGAATGGCGATCACTCTTTCCGGTTCTCTGCGAATTCCAGCTGGAACACCGTCCCTTTCCGCGCCCCAACTCAGCGGAGGCCATGCCCTGCACCTGAGCGCCCCGCTCCGGCAGCTGCACTCTGCAGCATCCGGAACGTTTCGGCGTGGCCGCAGGGCGCGGCGGAATGACTTCCGGGGCGCCCCTAAAGCGGCGGAGAGGAGTGTCGGGCTGAGTTTCCGGCTGAGAGTCCTTCTAGCGGCGCCGGTGAGTCCGCGTGTGGAAGTCTGTGAGGCGCAGAGGTGGGGCAGGCCGTCTGACTAGCTAGGCGGCTGGGAGCGTTTTCGTGGCGGGGAACGGAGGTTGAATTGCCCTGCCTGGGCTCATAGGGAAGGAGGATGTGAAGGAGCTTGTGAAGGCAGAGGAAGGTAACTTTCGTCTGGGGAGCCGCAGAGTAGGGAGGGAAGCTGCAGGCCGTCTCTCCCTAAGTAAAAGCGCGACTTTTAGAAATGATGGTTCAGGGTTCGAGTTTGTGACCCGCTTGAGAAAGTGACCAACCTCTGAGCCTGAATCCCATACCTGAAAAACAAGGACAGTAATCACCCTTGCCAGTTTCACATAGCTTGGTAAGGTGTGAAGAAAAGCTTCTTAAATTGGGATGTTTGGTGCTCTCATTTGTTGGCAGATAGCATTCCGAGCTCATGTAACGGGAATCACACCAGTAGGCTTATGCTGAGGAACGTGGATTGTTTGGGGTTGGATTCCAGGAAACAGATCACTTAAAAAAATTTTTTTTTCTTCGAGACGGAGTCTCGCCCTGTCGCCAGGCTGGAGTGCAGCGGCGCGATCTCGGCTCACTGCAACCTCCACCTCCCGGGTTCAAGCGATTCTCCTTCCTCAGCCTCCCGAGTAGCTGGAACTACAGGCGCGTGCCACCACGCCCAGCTAATTTTTGTATTTTCAGTAGAGACGGGGTTTCACCATGTTGGCTAGGATGGTCTTGATTTCTTGACCTCGTGATCCTCCCGCCTCGGCCTCCCACAGTGCTGGGATTACAGGTGTGAGCCACCCACCTGGCCTCGGTGATATTTTTAAGAAGAAAATGGACTGTTGGGAAGTGACAGGCCATTGGAGATCTTTACAAAGTCCATCTTCAGGATGCATGAATCCTTTAAACAGCATGCATGTTTACAATCAGACTTCCCATTGAACGTCTGCAGTTTTAGGGACCTTAATACCTCCTGTCCAGTCGGATTTCCCATTGCAGGCAGCTCTAATTAAGAAGTCCTTTTAGCCGGGCGTGGTGACTCATGCCTGTAATCCCAACACTTTGGAGGACCGAGGTGGGCGGACCAGTTGTGGTCAGGAATTCGAGACCAGGCCTGGCCAACAGGCTGGTGAAACCCCGTCTCTACTAAAAATAAAAAGGTTAGCTGTGGTGGCGTGTGCCTTAATCTCAGCTATTCGGGAGACAGAAGAGACAGTAGAATCGCTTGAACCCTGGAGGCGGAGGTTGCAGTGAGCCGAGATTGCGTCACTGCACTCCAAGCTTGGGCGACAGAGCAAGACTCTTGTCTCAGAAAAAAAAGAAAAAAAAGAATTCCTTTGATATGGTCAGCCAAAAGTCTCTCAGTTGCTATTTACTTTTATATTTATAATATTTATTATATATTTGTAATTATTTTATTTATTTTGAGATAGGGTCTCACTCTGTCACCCAGTCTGGAGTGCAGTAGTGAACATAGTAGCCTCGACTCTCCTGGGCTCAAGCCATCCTCCCACTTTTGCTTCCCAAGTAGCTGGGACTCAAGTACTCGCCACCTCGCCCAGCTAATTTTTTGATGTTTTGTAGAGACAAGGTTATTGCCCAGGCTGATCTGAGCGCCTGAACTCAAGCAATCCTTTTGCCTTGGCCTCTCAAAGTGCTGGGATTACAGGTTTGAGCCACTGTGCCCTGCGAAGAATTTGAGTTTAAAAACGTTGAGAACGTTATGCGAGTTTTTCATTTTTAAAGTTCACAATACGTAACAGAAAACAGGGAGGAGCAAAATGTTCAGTTGAGGCTGGGTGTGGTGACTCACGCCTGTAATCCCAGCACTTTGGGAGGCCGAGGTGAGTGGGTCACCTGAGGTCAGGAGTTCGAGACCAGCCTGGCCACCATGGCAAAACCCCATTTCTACTAAAAACACAAAAGTTAGCCAGGTGTGGTGGTGGGCTCTTGTAATCCCAGCTACTCGGGAGGCTGAGGCAGGAGGATCACTTGAACTCGGAGGCGGAGGTTGCAGTGAGCCGAGATCGCGCCATTGCACTCCAGCCTGGGTGGTGAGTGAAACTCCGCCTTAAAACAAAAAAAGAAACAAAAATATTCTGTTTACAGGCAGATCACTTGAGGTCAGGAGTTTGAGATCAGCCTGGCAAGTCAGGCGAAACCCTGGCTCTACAAAAATATAAAACATGGCAAAACCCTGACTGTACTAAAAATACAAAAATTAGCTGGGCATGGTGGCACGCGCCTGCAATCCCAGCTCCTTGGGAGGCTGAGACAGGAGAATCACTTGAACCCGGGAGGTGGAGGTTGCAGTGAGCCACGAGGTGGTGGAGTTGGGAGGGAGATTGCATTGGGGAGGATGGAGGTGTGATGAGGACATTTATTTGTGCATGAATGAATGAATGACAGAGTCTCGCTCTCTCACCCAGGCTGGAGTGCAGTGGCACAACCTTGGCTCGCTCCAGTGTCTACCTCCCAGGTTCAAGTGATTCTCCTGCCTCAGCCTCCCGAGTAGCTGGGATTACAGGTGTGCACCACTAGGCCCTGCTGATTTTTGTATTTCTAGTGGAGACGGCATTTCACTATGTTGGCCAGCCTGGTCTTGAACTCCTGACCTGAAATGATCTGCTGGCCTCGGCCTCCCAAAGTGCTGGGATTACAGGATGAGCCACCGTGCCCGTTTCTCTCTCTCTCTTTCTTTCCTTTCTTTTCTTTCTTTTTTGAGGCAGGGTCTCATTCTGTTGCCCAGGCTGGAGTGCAGTGACCTGATCTCGGCTCACTGCAGCCTCCGTGCCTCCTGGGTTCAAGCAGTCCTCTTGTCTCAGCCTCCCCAGTAGCTGGGATTACAGGGGCCCGCTCCCACCAACCTCCTAGCTAATTTTCAAACTCCTGACCTCAAGTGATCACCTGCTTTAGTCTCCCAAAGTGCTAGAATTACAGATGTCAGCCATCATACCCGGCCTGGTTTTTTTTTTTTTTTTTTTTTTTTGAGACGGAGTCTTGCTCTGTCACCCAGGCTGGAGTGAAGTGGTGTGACCTTGGCTCATTGCAGCTTCTGCCCTCCAGGTTCAAGGAATTCTCCTGCCTCAGCCTCCCTAGTAGCTGGGATTACAGGCACCTGCCACCATGCCCAACTAATTTATGTATTTTTAGTAGAGACGGGTGTTGCCATGTTGGCCTGACTGGTCTCGAACTCCTGACCTCAGGTGATCCGCACCTTGTCCTCTCAAAAGTGCAGGGATTACAGGGATGGAGCCACTGCACCTGGCCCTGGCCTGTGTTTGTTTGTTTTGTTTTGTTTTCAACTTTTATTTTCACAGAGTACGTGTGCATGTTGGTTACATGGATAAATTGCTTGTTGTTGAGGTTTGGTATACAAATGATCCCGTCACCCTGGTAGTAAACATAGTACCTGATAGGCAGTTTTTCAACCCTCACTCTTTCCCATCCTTCCCTGTCTAATAGTCTCCAATGTCTGTTGTTCTCATCGTTATGTCCACGTGTACTCAGTGTTTAGTTTCCACTCGTAAATGAGAACATGCCGTCTTTGGTTTTCTGTTGCTGTTTTTTTTAGGCCAGAGTGCAGTGGCACGATCTCGGCTCACTGCAACCTCTCTGCCTTCCGGGTTCAAGCAATTCTCCTGCCTCAGCCTCCTGAGTAGATGGGATTACAGGTGCTCGCCACCACATCTGGCTAATTTTTTTCTATTTTTAGTAGAGACAGGGTTTCACCATGTTGGCCAGGCTGGTTTCAAACTCCTGACCTCAGGTGATCCACTTGCCTTGGCCTCCCAAGTGCTAGGATTACAGGCGTGAGCCATTGCGTTGGGCCTCTGTTCGTGTTAATTCGATGAGGATAATGGCCTCCAGCTGTATCCATGTTGCTGCAAAAGACAGGATTTCATTGTGTTTTTTTTTCGTTGTTTTTTTGGCTGCTAGTATTCCATGATATATTACGTACCACATTTTCTTTATCCAGTCCACCATTTATGAGCATCTAAGTTGATGTGATGTCTTTGCTATTTTGGATAGTGCTGTGATTAATATGAGTGCTCTTGTACTTTTGGTAGAATGGTTTTATTTTCCTTTGGGTTTATACCCAGTATTGGGATTGTTGGATCGACATACATGTGTCCAATAAATGTATGAAAAAATGTTCAACATCACTGATCATTAGAGAAATGCAAACCAAAACCACAATGTAAATCAAAACCACAAACCCATCTCACCACCAGTTAGAATGGATATTATTAAAAAGTCAAAAAATAACAGATGTTGGCAAGGTTGTGAAGAAAAGGGAATGCTTATCCACTGTTGGTAGGAATGTAAATTAGTTCAGCCACTATGGAAAGCAGTTTGGAGATGTCTCAAAGAACTATGTTTAATTTTGTGTCCTTTTTTTTTGAATTATGAGCTATAGCATTTACCCATTTATAAATAATAAATGTGATTTAAAAACTTTTGATTATGAGAAAATTGAGACATACACAGAGAGATAGTACAATGAATCACATGTCACTCAGCTATAATAGTTCAACTACGCCCATACTGACTCCTCACAAGTCTACAGTTTGTCATGTGACACATCTATAAAGCATTTTTGTTCTTTTACAAATTGTAAAAAGACACTTATTTTTATTGGTACCAAGTTTGTGTATAAGTTCATATTATTTCTTGGAAATGAGAAATGGAGTTCTATGAAGATTTTTAAGACAATTATTGAGTAAAATACAAAGAATAAGATGACCTGGCATTCCATTTTTTTTACTTTATATATGTGTCTAATTTTCAAATTTAATTGGATGAATTTTGTAACAAACATCTTTAGATAACTTACATTCTAATGGTTTTTACAGATTATTGAATAATAAAATACAGTTTTGAAAAAAATGGATGAAGAACCTGAAAGAACTAAGCGATGGGAAGGAGGCTATGAAAGAACATGGTAAGGAGAGCTTTATTGCCCTGTCTTTTCTTTTAGACAATGTCTTTTTTTTTCTTTACAACTTTATTAAAGTATATTTTACATATGTTAAAATTCACCCATTTCCAATGTACAATTCAGTGATGTTTTATTAATAATTTACTGAGCTGTGCAGCCATTATCATAAACCAGTTTTAGAATATTGTAACCACTCCAGTAAGATCCTTCACATTCATTTACAATTAATTTAAATCTTAATTTAATTCCACCTGTGGGCAATCATTAGTCTACTTTTTGTCTCCAAATTTTAACCTTTTCTGGACATTTCACAAAAATGTGATCATATACAATCATGTGCCACATAATGATGTTTTGGTCAAAGACAGACTGCATATATGACAATGGTCCCATAATATTATAATACTGTATTTTTACTCTACCTTTTCTATGTATGTTTAGATATACAAATACTGAACATTGTGTTACAGTTGTCTTAAGATATTCAGTATAGTAACGTGCTGTACAGGTTTGTAACCTAGGCGTGGGATAGGCTATACCATCTAGGTTTGTGTAAGTATACCCTGTGATATTCACACAATAATGAAATTGCCTAACAATGCATTTCTCAGAATGTATCCCTGTCAGTAAGCGATGCATGACTATAATAGTTGGTCTGTTGTGGCTGGCTTTCACTTATTTTTAAGACTCATCCATGTTGCAGTGTGTATTAATACTTCATTCCTTTTTTATTGCTGAATAGTATTCCCATCTATGGTTATGCCACATTATTGTTTATCCATTCACTAGTCTGTGGATATTTAGGTTCTTTACAGTTTTTGACTGTTAGGAAAATGCAGCCATGAACACTTACATGCAAATCTTTGTGTGGACATATATTTTCATTTCATTTGGGCTAGTAATCATTTTAGCTTGTCTTTTCAAACAAATAATTATGACTTATAGGGAGATTCTTAAAGAAGATGAATCTGGATCACTTAAAGCTACAATAGAAGACATTCTATTCAAGGCAAAGAGAAAAAGGTATGTAACCTTCCTACGTATCTTAAAAAGGTAAAATATATTCATTTTAAGCCTTTCTATCTATAAATACTCCTCAGTACTTCATTTTAGCTGTGTTTCAGGGAAACTGACCTATTGCCTTCTGACTATGGGGAAAGAACTAGCCACCTACCCTTGCCCCAGCAGGAAATGGTCTTTAGAGACTGTCTACAATACCTATAATTATGTGTATTGTATTCCATAAGTTAATTATTTACTCCACTAAAAATGCACGTTATGACATTCTTAATCAGAATTAGAAAAAAAGAAAAACAAAGGAGGTCAATTGGAAAGTTGTATTTTTTTTTGTGGGGGGGGATAGTATATGGAATTACATTAAAATGTTTGTATAATTTTAACAGAGTATTTGAGCACCATGGACAAGTTCGACTTGGAATGGTATGTCATTATTTTTTCTTTTACTAGTACAGAACTAGTTTAGGTTAGAGAAACATTCTGTCTTGCTAGAAAAAACAATAGCAAAACAACAAAGTTTTTAAAAGAATATGTTAAAAATACGTGCATAGAATATGTAATTATTAAATGCCATTTTTACTAGTCAAAATGGCACTTGAGGCTGGGCACAGTGGCTCATGCCTATAATCCCAGCACTTTGGGAGGCCAAGGCAGGAGGATTGCTTGAGCCCAGGAGTTTGAGACCAACCTGGGCAACAGAACGAGACCCAGTTTCTACAAAACAAAACAAGTACTTGAAATTGGCCCTTTCTTTTTTCCGATAGATGCGCCACCTTTATGTGGTAGTAGATGGATCAAGAACAATGGAAGACCAAGATTTAAAGCCTAATAGACTGACGTGTACTTTAAAGGTAAAATTTAAGTTTATACTAAATCATTTAAATTTGTACCAAAATCACTTAAACTTTTACTAAAAAAGTGGGGAAGAACACTGGATTCTAAAGGATATTTTTAAAGAATGCAATATTTTTTATTTTTTGCCTTGTATTTTTAGTTAATGCTAATGATAGCTAAGTAGAAGTACTGCCAGGTTATTTAGGGAAATTTTAAACCAACATAGCTAATTATTTGTGTTTTTAATTTCTATCCTCCCACCCCACATCAGGATCTTGGTTTATCAGTTATCCCTTTTCTTTCTTGAATCTTCATTCTCCTTTGCCTTACTTAACTCTGTCTCCTCAGATTACAAATATGTTCGTATTCCTAATTTATCAAAACCTATTCTCAATTCTGCTCGTTCTCCCATCTCTCTTCATTGGATCTTTTCCTCATTGAAATTTCTTCTGACACATCCAAATGGTTCCATCTTTTAAAACCTAGCTCAAACCTATCTCATCACCCACCATTTCAAATTAACGTTTTTACTGTTTAATATTTTTATTACTTAACAGTTTTTGAAAATCTGTAAGTTTAAAAGTCATGAGAAGTGACGCTTGATTAACAGGTTTCACAAACATCAGTTGGACATGTTCTTTATGATTGTTATTTTGCCTTTATCTAGTATGTCTTTTTTTGTTTAAACAGTTGTTGGAATACTTTGTAGAGGAATATTTTGATCAAAATCCTATTAGTCAGGTACGTATCTAAGTGATAGAATTCAGAATTAGATTCCTATTTTGCTTCCAAATGTAATTTATTTTTAAAAATTGGACATGTATTTTGTGAATTACCCAAATTGTTTAACCAGTTTCTGGTATACTTAAAAATGAAAAGCGTAATAACTCTAAAAGTTAAACGTAATGTGAACTCATAGCTAAATTTATTTGCCAAAAACAGCATGAGAAAAAGTTTCTCACCTGTTGCTTCTTTCTTTTGTAATTACTAGTTTATTTTAGCTATATAAATTATTTTTTTTTCTGCTCCAATATCATCTACAGGAATAGTTATATATATTCTTAATGGGAGGAAATAACTTGTTATATTAATAATAATTTTTGTTTTTATTTCAAGATTGGAATAATTGTAACTAAGAGTAAAAGAGCTGAAAAATTGACTGAACTTTCAGGTATGCATAAAATTACCTTTACATGACTCAAGGACTTTGCTTTATTTACCCAACCTCGTAGCCCTGTTTATATGGCTGCTTAATAAGTAACGTGAAGGGTGGTTCCTCTGTCTTCTCTAGGTGAAACAATTTAATAACATCTCCCCCACCATTATATTCTTAGGATACAAGGTTAACTATTCTAAATTGAGTTCTGCATCATAGTGGTAAATAATACTACATTGAATATAAATGTTTTTATTTAAATTCTATATGTGCTTATCCTGAAATTTTTTTTTCTTTCCTTTTTTTTTTTTTTTTTTTTTTTTGGAGATGGAGTCTTGCTCTGTCGCCAGGCTAGAGTGCAGTGGCACAATTTCGGATCACTGCAAAGTCCGCCTCACGGGTTCAAGCGATTCCCTGCCTCAGCCTCCTGAGTAGCTGGAACTACAGATGCCCGCCACCACGCCCTGCTAATTTTTTGTATTTTAGTAGATACGGGGTTTCACCATGTTGGCCAGTATGGTCTCAATCTCTTGACCTTGTGATCAGCCCGCCTCAGCCTCTCAAAGTGCTGGGATTACAGGCTTGAGCCACCGCATCCGGCCTTATCCTGAAGATATTAAAATACAGTTATTGTAATCATTTATAAAATCCAGTTAATCTTAAAATTAAATTCTTAAAAAGTTAAGCATCTAATTTAAAAGGGAAAAAGTATAAAAATTAAACTGTAGCTATTGCTAATGAATCAATTTTTCTGCTTCCATGACATACCTAACTGAATTTTAGTTTCAAAACGTAGTAATGGCATTTTTTATTTGCTTTGATATATATGCTGTTACAAATTTGCATCACTGATTCTATTTTATTTTCTGTGAAATACACTCTCCCTTAAATCTGGTTTTCAACCTTTTATCCTTGCCGGCACACATAAGGGAAATGACATACTTTCTTCATTAGTAGTTTTTCATTAAATGCAGTGAGGAGTGAAATGTACATTGGCCTGGAGTGATTCAAGAAACTCAGTTGTGAGTAACCAAAAGAATGTCACACTAGCTTAAGTGCAGAAGGAAAATTTTGGGCTATGTTCAAAGGTGGGCCAATTCCATATATAGTTGCTGCATATGTTGGGGTCCTGGCTTTGTCTGGCTTCATTCTCTGATAGATTTTCTGGAAGTTGAAAAGATGTCTCTTAATTGTCCCAGTTCTACATTGTACCCGTAGCCTATAGCTTCAGCACACGTCTAGGGAGAACTCTGATTGGCCTGAGTTACGATCTGCCCATCCATGAACAAAGTGGCCAGGAAATGAAGTATTTTGTTTGTACGCTTCGATTGCCTGCTGATGCCCAGAGCAGGATAGAAGTAGGGTCAGCACCACATGAACTAAGCAGGATTATTATATAGTGGAAGAAGGATGGTTCCTCCAAGGTAGGAATATAAGGTCAATATTTTCCTCTCACTTTACCCACCCCGAGTTACCAGCAGTTTTCTATTGCTTCTTTTTTTTTTTTTTGAGAAGGAGTCTCTCACTCTGTCGCCCAGGCGGTGCTGTCTTGGCTCACTGCAACCTCCGCCTCCCGGGTTCAAGAGATTCTCCTGCCTCCCCCTCCCGAGTAGCTGGGATTACAGGTGTGCGCTGCCACACCTGGCTAATTTTATTTTTAGTAGAGACAGGATTTCACCATGCTGGCCAGGCTGATCTCGAACTCCTGACCTCAGGTGATCTACCCACCTCAGCCTCCCAAAGTGTTGGGATTACAGGCATCAGCCACCATGCCCGGCCCCAGCAGTTTTCTATGGATGTTAGTGAAGTCATGTATAAAGATGAAAAATATTCTGGAGATTCTGACAGGCCTCTTGAAGCCACCTTTTTTTCCCTCCAATCAGACCACTGCTGTAAACCACACTGACACTATTGTAGTATGCTTTTTTCCTATACCCATAACACAGTGGGAGATTAAAAATAATTTTGTAGGGTAGGAAGAGAAGTGGATAGAGAGCCAGGAGATCTAGGTTTGGGTGCTGCTGGTCCTGCAGTTAAGCAGGCATATGTCTTTGGGCAAGTCATTTCACTTGTTTAGATTAATTTTCTCACTTATGAAGTGAGGGATTTGGACTGCTTAGCGAGGTACTTTTCATCTCTAAAATTTATGAATCTAAAATACTTGCAGTAAATATTAAATATTACAAATGGTTAATATTTTAAAACTTACTCAGATGAGTAAAAACTCAAGGGAGCTCCAAGTTGATGAATAGACAAAGAAGACATGATTCACACAGAAAAAACCCAGAAATTAAATCAGGGAAACTAGTAATCCAAAAACACTCTACCCAATTACATAACATTTTATTTTTTAATATATTTTAAATGAGCAAAATTAAGTTTCCAAAGCAATATGTTGCTTGTGGAACCACAGAGAAACTGTTATTTATAGTGCTGATAGTCTTACAAATTAGTTCAATATTTTTTAGAAAAGCATAAAAATTGTTCCTGAAATTATATTTAGGGAATGTTATGGAAGGAGAATGATCACTCTACAAAGATACTCTTTGTAACATTATGTATAATAGTGACAGATTAAAAATTAAATGTTTAATAGTATGCTTTGATGGATTATATTTTATGACAAAATCAATTTAATGATACTTAGGTTATTGATTGATACGAAGACAGTGCTGAAATGGAAAATGTTTACGGAATACTATATTTCATTGAAACTCAGATTCCATCAATTACAAGATACTTTTATAAGCCATTAAGAAGGAAAAGTCCTAGTAGTTAAACTTTGACACAGTATCAAATGATATATGAGTTGGCTATACTAGCTTCTTGGTAATTTGACATGTACAGACATCTCAAATTTGGGGGCCAGGTGTGGTGACTTACACCTGTACTCCCAGCACTTTGAGAGGCTGAGGCGGGAGGATTGCTTGAATCCAGGAGTTCAGGACTAGCCTGGACAACATGGTGAAACCCTGTCTCTACCAAAAATATACAAAAAAATTTAGCCAAGTGTGGTGCTGGGCACTTGTAGTCCCAGCTACTTGGGAGGTTGAGGTGGGAGGATGGTTTGAGCCTGGGAGGTGGAAGTTGCATTGAGCCAAAATTGCCCCATTGCACTCCAGCCTGGCAACAGATATATATATAATCTAAATATAAATAATATAAAAAAATATTATATTAAAAAGAAAAAAAAGGATTTGGCAGCTTCTCCCCCCTTCATTTGAATTGCTTAGCATAAGATAGACAATCTTTTCAGATGCTATTTGGTAAGATAACACAGCCTCGTCTGTTTGTGGGAATATTCGTTTCTTAGGTCTTGTAAAGTTCTTGATTTCTTCCCTCAAGAAAAATACGGAATTGCATGCATTCTTCCATCAATATTTGATTCATTATAATAAATTTATGCCTCACTGCTGTGTTCCACACCTTTCTACATAAAAATATAGCCTTTTGTATTAACAACATTTCTAAAAACATTTTATTGTTTGTTTTTTGAGATGGAGTTTCGCTGTTGTTGCCCAGGCTGGAGTGCGGTGGTGCAATCTCAGCTCACTGCAACCTCCACCTTCTGGGTTTAAGTGATTCTTGTGCCTCAGCCTCCCTAGTGGCTGGGATTACAGGTGTATGCCACCATACCCAGCTAATTTTTGCATTTTTACTACAGATGGGATTTACACCATGTTGACCAGGTGTGTCTTAAACTCCTGACCTCAGGTTATCTGCCTGCCGTGGTCTCCCAGAGTGCTGGGATTACAGGCGTGAGCCACCGCGCCTGGCCTTAAAAACATTTTAAATGGCAGTTAAACTCACCATGAAGAGGACAATGTACATAATGCAATTGAAGCAACAACATATGAAGACCTATTTGTAGGTTCACATATGAACAGGCAAAGACTATGTTACAAGTGCTGCTGGCTACCAGTAATTATTAAACACATGCTGATTTCAGAGATGTTAAATGTGAAAATGTATTGGTCTTAAAAATGATGAAATATGGAAATATTAAGAGTAAAAAAATGCACTCTAGGTTAGCATTATTTTAAAATATGTATGCTAGTCTATAAGGAGATTATTTGTATTCTGTTTTTCAGTATGAAGTGAGAGTGTTTACAAAATATTGCAGATAAAATTCCAACAGAAATATACATTGAAAGGATTCTGTTCTTTAACATCATAGATATGTAAATTTTGAGAGAAACATAAACTTTTTTAATATATAGGATTTTATTTAAAGACCTTATTTCTATTTTAGGAAACCCAAGAAAACATATAACGTCTTTGAAGGAAGCTGTGGATATGACCTGCCATGGAGAGCCATCTCTTTATAATTCCCTAAGCATGGCTATGCAGACTCTAAAGTTAGTATTATACATTATGTATAATTGAATTAGAAGTTTTTTAAATGAGTTAAGTTGAAGTGATGTGTTAATATGGGGCCCATAAACCCAGCTATAACAAAATTGTTAAGTACGAGAATTATGTAGTGTTATTTATGATGTTTAGTGTGGTGTTGGTTAGTAATTTTTATTTTACATTTTAGTAAGATATTGTTAAAGGTTTTATAAAAATATAATTTAAAACTGTCGGCAGTATCAATAGTACAAAAATAGGTTGATGAAAAAATATTTTATTAAAATGAGATTTAATATAGTATAATAATTGTAAGTTGGTTGTACCTTTATTAACATTTATTATTTTATTTTGAAAGTAATGGCCAAAACCACAATTCCTTTTGCACCAATGTCATATATCTGTAAATTAATAGATATGGCAAGTTCAGCTATATGGAATAGAGCTAAGACCCCAAAGGAAATACTTGGTATAGTTAAAGCTTATATATATATATAAGCTTTATATACATATTATATATATAATTTATTATACATATATATAAAGCTTATATATATGTTAAACTTACATATATAAGTTAAAGCTTATATATCTATTATATATACACACACACACACACACACACACACACACACACACACGTATATATATATATTTTTTCGAGACAGAGTCTTGCTCTGTCACCCAGGCTGGCATGCAGTGGCGTGATCTCAGCTCACTACAACCTCCACCTCTGGGTTCAAGTGATTCTTGTGCCTCAGCCTCCCTAGTGCTGGGATTACAGGTGTGTGCCACCATGCCCAGCCAATTTTTGTATTTTTAGTACAGATGGGGTTTCATCATGTTAGCCAGGCTGGTCTTGAACTCCTGGCCTCAAGCGATCCGCCCACCTCAGCCTCCCTAAAGCTTATATATTTTATCTCTGGATAGTCTGCCCTGGCTCAGACTTATACCTTTATATAATAGATATTTTTCTAGTTTTGAAGTGGATGAGAAGGAGGCAACACATGTAATAGAGGTAAGTACAGTAGTAGGGTCTACCAGTGAGAGCTGAGACGATAACAATGAAAATATAAGCAGGAAAGCTATAACTAATTGATAAAATTGCTGCAGAAAGCATAAAAACGTCTATTTAGTGTAGGTGAAAACTGGTCACCACAACTTAAAACTCTACAAGCTATCATTTTAATTAAATGGTATGCAATATTAATGTTCATGATTATTATGACTCTGAATTACTGTGAGGTTAAATTATAGTAATCCCCCCTTATCTGCAGTTTCACTTTCCAGTTTTAGTTACTCTTGGTCTGAAAATATTAAATTGAAAACTTCAGTAATAAATAATTCATAAGATTTAAGTTGTGTGCCATTCTGGGTAGCGTGATGAGATCCTACACCTTCCCTCTCTGTCCTGCCCAGGACGTGAATCATCCCTTGGTCCTGTAGATCCTCACAGTATATGCTGCCCACCCATGTAATGGCCTAAGTCATCAGATTAACTGTTGTTATTGACTGTCAAAACTATTGCAGTGTTTGTGTTATTTTACTTAATAATGACCTCAAAGTGCAGGAGTAGTGATGCCGGCACGTTGTTATAAATGTTCCATTATTAGTTATTGTTGTTAATCTCTTATTGTGCCTAATTTATACATTATTGATCATAGGTGTGTATGTAAGGCACACCTCATTTTGTTGCACTTTTATTGCACTTTTCAGATAACTTTTTTTTTTACAAACTGACAGTTTATGGCAACTCTGTTGAGCAAGTCTGTTGGTGCCATTTTTTTTTAACAGCATGTGCTCACTTCTTGCCTCTATATCACACTTTGGTAGTTCTTGCAATATTTCAAGCTTTGTAAATTATTGTTATATCTGTTATGGTGATCTGTGATCAGTGATCTTTGATGTTACTATTGTAATTATTTTAGGGCACCACAAACTGCGCCCATATAAGACAACAGACTTAATTGATAAGTGTTACGTGTGTTCTGACTGCTCCACCAACTGGCTGTTTTCCAGTCTCTCTCCCTCTGTTCGGCCCCCCCATCTCCTAAGACACAAAAATATTCAAGTTACACCAATAATAACCCTCCAGTGGCCTCTGAGTGTTCAAGAGTAAGGAGGAGTCGCATGTCTCACTTTAAATCAAAAGCTAGAAATGATTGAGCTTAGTGAGGAAGGCATGTCAAAATGCAAGACTGGCTGAAGGCTAGGTCTCTTGTGCTAAACACTTAGTCACATTGTGAATGCAAAGGTAAAGTTCTTGAAGGAAATTGAAAGTGCTGGGCTGTGCGTGGTGGCTCTTACCTGTAACTGCAACACTTTGGGAGGCTAAGATGGGAGGATCACCTGAGGCCATGAGTTTGAGACCAGTCCTGGTAACATAGCAAGACCTCCATCTCTACAAAAAAAAAAAAAAAAAAAAAATTAGCCAGGCACAGTGGCGAGCACCTGTATGTAGTCCCTAACTTCTCAGGAGGCTGAGGCAGGAGGATTGAGCCCAGTAGTTTGAGGCTGCAGTGAGCTACGATTGTGCTACTGTACTCCAGCTTGTATGATAGAGCAAGATCCTGTCTCAAAATAAGAAAAAAATAATGGAAATTCAAAGTGCTGCTTCAGTGGACACATGAATGATAAGAAAGTGAAACAGCTTTATTGCTGATACAGACAAAGTTTTAATGGTCTAGATAGAAGATTAAAGTAGCCACAACAGTCCATTAAGTCAAATCCTAATCCAAAGCAAGGCTCTAATTCTCTTCAATTCTATGAAGGCTGAGAGCAGTGAGGAAGCTGCAGAAGAAAAGTTTGAAGCTAACAGAGCTGAGCTCATGAGGTTAATGAAAGAAGCCATCTCCAAAACATAAAAGTGTAAGAGGGGCTGGGCGCGGTGGCTCACGCCTGTCATCCCAGCACTTTGGGAGGCCAAGGTGGGCAGATCATGAGGTCAGGAGTTCAAGACCAGTCTGGCCAACATAGTGAAACGCTGTCTCTACTAAAAATACAAAAAATTAGCCAGGTGTGGTGGTGTGCGCCTATAATCCCAGCTACTCGGGAGGCTGAGGCAGGAGAATCGCATGAACCCAGGAGGCAGAGGTTGCAGTGAGCCGAGATCGCGCCATTGCACTTTAGCCCAGACGACACTGTGAGACTCCGTCTCAAAATAAAAAAAAAAAAAGTGCAAGAGGAAGCAGCAAGTGCTGATGTAGAAGCTGCAGCAAGTTATCCAGAAGATCTAGCTAAAATAATTGATGAAGGTGACTACACTAAATATCAAATTTTCTTTTTCTTTTTTGTTTTTGAGAGAGGGTCTCGCTCTGTCACCCAGGTTAGAGTGCAGTGGTGCAATCATGGATCACTGCAGCCTCAAACTCCCAGGCTCAAGCTATTCTCCCAGCCCCACAAGTAGCAGGGACTACAGGCATGTGCCACCACACCCAGCTAATTTTTGTTGTTGTTGTTGTTGTAGAGGTAGGGTTTCGCCACATTGCCCAGCTGGTCTTGAACTCCTGGGCTCAAGCAGTCCTCCGCCTCTGCCTCCCAAAGTGCTGGGATTACAAGCATGAGCCACTGCACCTGGCCTCATATTTTCAATGTAAATGAAACAGCCTTCTGTTGGAAGGAGATGCCATCTAGGATTTTCATAGCTAGAAGAAGTGAATGCCTGGTTTCAGAGCTTCATGGGATAGGCTTCTTCTCTTGTTAGGGGCTAATACAGCTGGTGACTTGATGTTGGCACCAATGTTTGTTACCATTCTGAAAATCCTAGAGTCCTTAAGAATTATTCTAAATCTATTCAGTCTGTGCTCTGCAAATGGAATAACAAAGCCCAGATAACAGCACATCTGTTTACAGCATGGGCTTACTGAATATTTTAAGCCCATTGTTGAGATATATCTCAGAAAAAAGATTTATTTCAAAATATTATTGCTCATTGACAATGCACCCAGTCACCCAAGAGCTCTAATTGAGATGTACAAGAAGATTAATGTTATTTTCATATCTACTAACATAGCACTCATTCTGCAACCCTTGGATAAAGGAATACTTTGAACTTTCACGTCTTGATTATTTAAGAAATACATATCATAAGGCTGTGACTGCCATAGATGGATCTGAGCAAAGTACATTGAAAACCTTCTGGAAAGAATTCACCATTCTAAATGCCATTCATAGAAAGAGGTCAAAATATCTACACTGGCTGGGCATGGTGGCTCATGCCTGTAATCCCAGCACATTGGGAGGCCGAGGCGGATGGATCACTTGAGGTCAGGAGTTCAAGACTAGTCTGGCCAACATGGTGAAACCCGTCCTCACTAAAAATACAAAAATTATCTGGGCATGGTGGTGCATGCCTGTAATCCCAGCTACTGGGGAGGCTAAGGCAGGAGAATTGCTTGAACCCAGGAGGCAGAGGTTGCAGTGAGCCGAGATCGCACCACTGCACTCCAGCCTGGGTGTCAGAGCAAGAATCAGTCTCAAAACAAAAAAAGAATAGCCCATAAACTTAGTTGGTAAAGCATCAGTGGGGTTTCAAAGGAATGACTCCCATTTTGAAAGAGGTACTACTATGAATAAAATGCTACCAAACAGCATTTGCATTCCTTTCATGAAAGGAAGAGTTGACCCATGTAACAAACTACTTTGTCTTATTTTAAGAAATTGCCATAGCCACCTCACCCTTCAGAAAGCACCACTCTGATCAGTCAGCAGCCATCAATATCAAGGCAAGACTCTCCTTCAACAAAAAGATATTATTCACTGACAGTTCAGTCGATTTTTAGCAATAAAGTATTTTTCATAAAGGTGTGTACTTTTTTTTTTAGATATAATGCTGTTGCACACTTACTAGACTACAGTATAGTGTAAACAGAACTTTTCTTTTTCTTTCTTTTTTTTTTTTTGAGACGGAGTCTCGCTCTGTCGCCCAGGCTGGAGTGCAGTGGCGCAATCTTGGCTCACTGTAAGCTCCGCCTCCTGGGTTCACACCATTCTCCTGCCACCACGTCCGGCTCATTTTTTTGTATTTTTAGTAGAGACGGGGTTTCACCGTGTTAGCCAGGATGGTCTCGATCTCCTGACCTCGTGATGTGCCCGCTTCAGCCTCCCAAAGTGCTGGGAATACAGGCGTGAGTCACCATCCCTGGCCGTAAACAGAACTTTTATATACACTAGGAAACCTGAAAGTTCATGTGACTTGCTTTATTGCAAATATTTATTGTGATATTTGCTTTATTGCTGCGGTCTGGAATCCAACCCTGCAGTATCTCCAAGGTATGCCTGTATAGGGAAAAACATGGTATAATCAGCCCTCTGAATCCTGGGAATTCGATCAACCACGCATCAAAAATTTTTGGAAAAAAATTGTACCTGTACTGAACAAATAGACATTTTTTCTTGCCATTATCCCCTAAATAATAGAGGATAACAATTACTTACATAGTATACATTGTATTAGGTATTATCAATAATCTAGAGATGACTTAAAATATATGGGAGGATGTACATAGGTTATATGCAAATACTACGCCCTTTTGTATCTGGGACTTGAACATCTGCAGATTTTGGTATCCATAGGAGGGCCTGAAATCAATCCCCCAAGGATACCGAAGAACGACTGTATATATAGGGTTCAGTACTATCCTTGATTTCAGGTATCCACTGGGGGTCTTGGAATGTATCCTCTGCAGATAAGAGGGGACTACTATAGTCTTTGAGAAAGAAGTGTGTGTTACTGTTTTGAAGCCACATCTCTGCACTTTAAAGCTGATCCATATGATATTGCCACATTTTAGTTTAAAGTTTATCCATATATTGTTGTATTTTTTATTGTATACTCTAGACTTTGTATGAAACAAACCTACTAGAATGTAAGCTTAATGATGTCGGGAACATTGTCAGTCTTGTTTATCACTCTACCCCCAGAACTTGAGAGTACTTGGTAAATATTAAATGAATCAATTAACAATTTTTTGAAGTGCATAGCTCATTTTAGAAAAATTTGCATTAAAGTGTTTAAAATATACTCACAACCTTTCTTTGCATTGTTGAAACAAATGAGATATTCTATAGTCTAAATGTGTAATCCTATGTTTACTGTTCTTTCTGGGTAAATTTTTTGGTAGTATAATTTGTTGTACCTAATTGGAGTGTATTTTATCTTTCTTTTAAGACACATGCCTGGACATACAAGTCGAGAAGTACTAATCATCTTTAGCAGCCTTACAACTTGCGATCCATCTAATATTTATGATCTAATCAAGGTAGACCAAAAAATCAAAACCAAAGTTATAACTGTAAAGAGAATTCTGTAGCAAATTGATTTATATATATATGTATTTTTGTATGTGTGATTCATCTTTGTGTTAGATGTATTGAATTTATTACTAGTTTTCAGAGCATTCTTTATTTTTCAAATACATTAAATCTTAAATGTTTTTCTTCTTTCCTAAAACTATCTATCTACTTGGATTTTATGAAGACCCTAAAGGCAGCTAAAATTAGAGTATCTGTTATTGGATTGTCTGCAGAAGTTCGCGTTTGCACTGTACTTGCTCGTGAAACTGGTGGTATATATATAATTTATTTAATATTTGCTTATAATTACTGTGTAGGAAATAATTTATTAATTAAATTAGGATGTTTTAATCTGTTCTGAGCTACTAAACTTAAAGTAGTCTAAAATATGGGCAGTCATCTTAAATATATCATTGATTCCATAAGAAATCATCTCCAAATGCAAAGAGTTTTCAGTACTTATGTCAGTATTTAGAGGAGGTATTATAACTCTTGGAAAGCTGGAAATTTTACTGTATGTAATTCTTTATAAAGATTTTATAACTTGTCTTTAATTAAATTGTAATTACAGGCCAGGCATGATAGCTCATGCCTGTAATCTCAACATTTTGGTAGGCCAAGGCAGGAGAATCACTTGAGGCCAGAAGTTTGAGATCAGTCTGGTTAACATAGTGAGACCTGTCTCTATTTATATGTTAAAATAATAATAATAGTAATAATAATCAATTGTAATTATAGTTATTCCTAGAGAAGTTGATTTAGATATATTACTTAAATAAGGTTTTAAAAGTGATAATTTAGCTAAAATCATTATTTTAAAAATGTACATTTTCAGATGATACAACTTTTACAGAATTACATAGAACGTACAGTTCGTTATGTCTATGAAGGTGTTTTTTTTTCCCTTTTCATCTTGTTAGGCACGTACCATGTTATTTTAGATGAAAGCCATTACAAAGAGTTGCTCACACATCATCTTAGTCCTCCTCCTGCTAGCTCAAGTTCTGAATGCTCACTTATTCGTATGGGTAAGTGTTTTTATGTTTTTAAAAAATACATATCTAGGCTCTCTATTTTCATTTGCACAAGTTATTTTAATATTTAAGAATTTTTAAAGAAAAAATATGCTTGTTGAAGCAATTTTGGAAAGTACAGAGAAGTGGAAAAAAAAAATTAAAACTACCAGTAGTCCTGTCACCCAGAAAATACTGTTGGCTTTCTTTATTTTTAAGGCTAGAAAGGTATAAACTGTGTTTATAGAAAAATACTTATATTAAGCCGGGCTCGGTGGCTCACACCTGTAATCCCAGCACTTTGGGAGGCCGAGGTGGGCGGATCTTGAGGTCAGGAGATCGAGACCATCCTGGCTAACACGGTGAAACCCCATCTCTACTAAAAATACAAAAAATTAGCCAGGCGTGGTGGCGGGCGCCTGTAATCCCAGCTCCTCGGGAGGCTGAGGCAGGAGAATGGCATGAACCCGGGAGGCAGAGCTGGCAATGAGCCGAGATCACACCACTGCACTCTAGCCTGGGCGACAGAGCGAGACTCTGTCTCAAAAAAGAAAACAAAAGAAAAACACTTATATTAAAAATTTTTTAAAATAAGCTACAAAGGCCGGGCGTGGTGGCTCATGCCTGTAATCCTAGCACTTTGGGAGGCCGAGGCTAGCGGATCACCTGAGGTCAGGAGTTTGAGACCACCCTAGCCAACATGGCGAAACCCTGTCTCTACTAAAAATTACCAAAAAATGGCTGGGCATGGTGGCAGACATCTGTAATCCCAGCTACTCAGGAGGTTGAGACAGGAGAATTGCCTGAACTCAGGAAACGGAGGTTGCCATGAGCTGAGATTGCGCCACTGCACTCCAGTCTGGGTGACAGAGCAAGACTCTGTCTCAAAAAAATAAAATAAAATAAAAATAAAATAAGCTACAAAATTCTCTGTACTGGATGATCAAAGCTGTGTAATACAAACTGTGCAAAGACAAAGCTTGCAGGGAAGTACACCAAATTGCTCAAAGGAGGGGAAATTATTGGTTTTGGATCACTTTTTTTTTTCTTTTTTTTTTTGAGATGGAGTCTCATTCTATTTCCTAGGCTGGAAGTGCAGTGGTGCGATCTCAGCTCACACTGCAACCTCCGCTTCCCAGGTTCAAGCAATTCTCCTGCCTCAGCCTCCCGAGTAGCTGGGATTACAGGCGGGCACCACCATGCCCAGCTAATTTTTGTATTTTTAGTAGAGACGGGGTTTCACCATGTTGGCCAGGCTTGTCTTGAACTTCTGACCTCATGATCCGCCCGCCTCGGCCTCCCAGAGTGCTGGGATTACAGGCTTGAGCCACTGTGCCCGGCCTTGGATCACTTTTTTAAAATGTTATTTTCTTCTATTTTACAAAAATGTTACAATGAAAATTTATTACATTTAGATTGAAAAAAGTATAACTTTTAATAGAAAAATAATCTCCTTATTTAATATGTATGTTTTTAAATGTTAATGAAATAAAATGCTTTTCTACTTTTGGCCTTTTATATTACCAGTCGACCTCTCTTTTCCACGGTCTTCTCATGTGTTTAATGATGTCAGTAACTATCAACCTTATTGTGTGTTTCAAGGATTGAGTTAATACAGATGATGCGTTTAGAATAATGCTTGATGTAAACATTCAATATATTTTAGATCTTATGTTTGGCTAATCTTTTTGATTTACTGATATATTTTCTTATTTCATTTTAAAGTTATTTAAATTTATAATTTATTTATTAGAGTCCTTTAGGAATGTTAACCCTTCTCAGTCACCCGATGCAAATATTTTTCTTGTTGGTTATTTGCCTTTACTTTTATTTATTTGTTTTGATATGTAGATACATTTACATTTTTTATGTAATATATCTTTTTAAAAATGGTTTCTGCTTTTCCTGAACATGTTTTCAGAATTTAAAATTGTATATGGAAAACAAATTACATGAAAGATTTGAGCATTTCAAAATTTTAAACATAAAAGCATAAACGTAGATAAAATGAAGGTGTACTATGATATCTTCAGTTTTATCAGAAATGATGTAAAAATTACAACCTCTTTAAAAAGTAGTGTTAATCATTAAGTTAGAAAATATATAGCTGGGCATGGTGGCAGATGCCTGTAATCCCAGCTACATGGGAAGGTGAGGTGGGAGAATCGCTTGAACCCAGGCAGTGGAGGATGCAGTGAGCCAAGATCATGCCACTGCACCCCAGCCTGGGTGACAGAACAAGACTCCATCTCAAGAAAAAAAAAAAAGAAAAATATATATATGAACTTCAGAATCTGAGGTCATATATAGACAGGTCTTTCCCCCGTTTCCTCTACTTTTTCTTGTAGCTTGGAATTAGTCAGTTTCATCATGCTATAATAAGCTTATCTGAAAGGCAGTAAAGTGATATTTTGTACAACTTCATTGGCTTTTTGAGAAGAACATTTTTAGGTTCTTAGTCCTAGAATTCTGCTGTTTGCTTGGAAAAAGAAAGTAATACATTTTCTTCTATGAAGGATTTCCTCAGCACACCATTGCTTCTTTATCTGACCAGGATGCAAAACCCTCTTTCAGCATGGCGTAAGTAAAGACCTTGAAAATATCAGTAATAATGTTTTTACATTTTTAATTCCTTCTTTTAAGTTATAAATTCAAAAGATAGGCAATGAAGACTATCTCTATATACTTGTATGGAGTGATCTTCAGGATAAATTACTAAGTAAAACAGTAGTTTGAGAGAATTTTGTAGTATGCTGCTAATCACCTAAGAAGAAAGTAGAGATGTAAGTGGATGTATATACTTGTTTATGTTAATAATAAAAACAATAGTATGGAAATAATAAAAACTTAAAAGGGGTGGAGGGGGAAATTTTTTTTTTTAATGTTTACCTCAGTGAGTGTGTAGGGAAAAGCAAAGGGTT
Organism: Homo sapiens; assembly: GCF_000001405.40. Classification (NCBI taxonomy): domain Eukaryota; kingdom Metazoa; phylum Chordata; class Mammalia; order Primates; family Hominidae; genus Homo; species Homo sapiens. The sequence goes on from NC_000005.10 coordinate 69,582,771, forward strand.
AGACCCTAGACTTTTCTGAATGCATCACTTAATGATAGGGACACATTCTGAGAAATGCGTCATTAGGTGATACCATCATTGTGCAAACATCACAGAGTGCACTTACACAAACCTAGATAGTGTAGCCTACTAACATCGCAGTTATATAGTATAGCCTATTGCTCCTAGGCCGCACACCTGTACAGCATATTGTGTACTGAATAATGTAGGCAGTTGTAATGTAACACCTAGTGTTTGTTTAACTAAACACAGAAAAGGTACAACTAAAATGTATTATTTTATGGGACCACTGTCATATATGTGGTTCATCACTGACCAAAATGTTATATAGAATATTACTGTACCTTGTTTTAACTTCAGAGCTTTGTATTTTACATAATTATAAAACAAAATTAAATTTAAGAGAGTAATTCTTAAAAATCACAAACAAGATTTCTGCCTCCAGCCAAAAAGCTGTAACAGGGACTAGATTTACCCTCCTGTCAAAAAAAGCAGACAAAATATATAAAACAGTGGTTTTCAGACGTTGGACAGCAAGCCTTGCTGATAATGATCCCTGAAAGAAAGGAAACAAATGAGATGGGCCCTAAGAGCACTCCACCTTACTGCCTGGATGGAATTTCCAGGCTGCACACAGAGGCTGGAGATGTTGTTGAGTTGAAGAAACAAAGTTCATCTTTCAAGGAGGCTGAGATGGCGATAATTTTGCAGGTCAGAGTACTGGAGAGGAAAGATCTGCACAGAGAGAACTCTCTGGGGAGCTGCATAGACTTGCTCATGAGTCAGCAGCTGAGCGTTGATCAGCCCTTTTGTGTGAGGAGACTACTGGAAGTCAGGGAAAAAATCACTGGAAAGCAGCAGACAGAACAGTTTCCAGAGCTCACACAGAGAACATTCATGTTCTCACCAGTCTGTATGGAAATACCTCTTAACATGACAGGCATTGAATAGAGTCCACAGTAATGGGATCAAATTAATTCTATCACAAGAACTGGAACCAGAGGCAAAAAGAAAAGAAAAGAAAAGAAAAATCTAGACTAACAGCTGTTCTAGACCAGCCTACCAAAGTTTAAAAGCAAATTTTGAAGAGATTAAACTATTTCCAAGTTAATGAAGTATATTTCAGAACAAACCCTTAAATATTTGAGGGAATACAAAAAAAAAGAAAAAGAAAAAATCCAGCCCCCAAAACAAAGCAAAATTCACAATGTCTGGCAAAGCAAAATTCATAGTCCCTGGCAGAAATTACCAGGGATGCAAAGGAAAATATGACCCATAAAATGGAGAAAAATCACAGAATGGAAACATACCCAGAAATAACCCAGTTGGTAGAATTAATAGACAAAGGGTTGGGTGCGGTAGCTCATGCCTGTAATGCTAGCACTTTGGGAGGCTCAGGTGGGCAGATCACTTGAGCCCAGGAGTTCGAGATCAGCACAGCCAACATGGCGAAACCCATCTCTACTAAAAACACAAAAATTAGCCAGGCCTGGTGGCACACGCCTGTAATCCCAGCTACTTGGGAGGCTGAGGTACAAGAATGACTTGAACCCAGGAGGTAAAGGTTGCAGCGAGCTGAGATCGTGCCATTTCACTACAGCCTGGGTGACAGAGCGAGACTCTTATCAAAAAAGAAAAAAAAGAATTAGTAGACAAAGATGTTAGGACAACAATTATAAATGTACTCTGTATGTTCAGGATGTTAGAGAACATGAGAATGGTAAGAAGAGATATGGAAGGTATAAAAAAGACCCAAATCAAACTTCTAGTGATGAAGAATACAGTGTTTTAGATGAAAAATATATTGGCTGGGATTAACAGCAGATTAGACACTGCAGAAGAAAAAATTAGTGAATTCAAAGATAGTAATAGAGACTTTAAAAATGAAGAGAAGGGCTGGGTGTAGTGGCTCACATCTGTAATCCCAGCACTTTGGGAGGCCGAGGCAGGCAGATCACTTGAGACCAGGAGTTTGAGACCAGCCTGGCCAACATGATGAAACCCCATCTCTACTAAAAATACAAAAATTAGCTGGGTGTGGTAGCACGTGCCTGTAATCCCAGCTACTCAGGAAGCCAAGGCACGAGAATTGCTTGAACCTGGGAGGCGGAGATTGTAGTGAGTTGAGATTGTGCCACTGCACTCCAGCTTGGGCAACAGAGTGAGAATCCGTCTCAAAAAAAAAAAAAAAAAAATGAAGAGGGGGAAAAAAATGAATGTAGCATAATTGAGTTATAAGACATACTCACAGATTTTAAAATAGACTTTTAGACCAGGCATGGTGGCTCACACCTATAATCCCAGCACTTTGGGAAGCTAAGGCAGGTGGATCACTTGAGGCTAGGAATTCAAGACCAGCAATATAGTGAGAGACCCCCATCTCTACAAAAAGTTATAAATTTTTTTTTTAAATATAGACTTCTTTTGTTTTTTTTTTGAGATGGAGTTTCACTCTTGGCACCCGGGCTGGAGTGCAGTGGTGCAATCTCAGCTCACTGCAACCTCTGCCTCCTGGGTTCAAGCAATTCTACTTCAGCCTCCCAAGTAGCTGGGATTACAGGCGCCTGGCTAATTTTTGTATTTTTTAGTAGAGATGGGGCTTCACCGTGTTGGCCAGGCTGGTCTTGAACTCCTGACCTCAGGTGATCCACCCGCCTTGGCCTCCCAAAGTGCTGGGATTACAGGTGTGAGCCTCTGCGCCCGGCCAAAAATACAGACTTTTAAATAGATTTTTAAATAGTGTCAAGATTTTAAGGTCAAGATAGCATGCTTTCCCGCTCTAACTTTTCAGATCATTATATATTACCCTTTTTCCCCCTACAGGCATTTGGATGGCAATACTGAGCCAGGGCTTACATTAGGAGGCTATTTCTGCCCACAGTGTCGGGCAAAGTACTGTGAGCTACCTGTTGAATGTAAAATCTGTGGTAAGAAAACAACTATTCATTATTCAGTAAATCTTGAATGACTTCTTAATCTGTATTGCTGCTAAAATTAATGTAAATGTTAAGTTATTCCTATGTTTCTGGATTTAATCTGTGCAAAGAAAAATAGATTACTTTTTAAATTGAGTGCCCAGTACTCCACTTCCACGTATAAATGTAGCATTCTAGTTTCCTGATCCTCTTTCTGAAAAAAGTATATTCTTTAAAGGCAGTGCAGTAGATGTAGTAGACATTTTTCCATCTCTTACCTTTATAAAGTAAATATATATAAGAATGAAGAATTAAACTAATAGAATTGTCGAATTTTATTTCATTTATAATATAAGTAAGCAAATAGACCGAGACAGGTTGGTTACACACTTAGTGACAGAACTAAGACTCCATCCTACAATCTTCTGTTATAGCCACAGGTAAAATTAATAACTGCCATCCTAAAAGAAACTGAACATATTCTGCTGAAGTTACATCTTTTGGCTTTTCAGCCGTTGTCTTCATGAGGTTTGGACTACTCAACATGTCTCTCTGCTTAATGTGTTAGGTCTTACTTTGGTGTCTGCTCCCCACTTGGCACGGTCTTACCATCATTTGTTTCCTTTGGATGCTTTTCAAGAAATTCCCCTAGAAGAATATAATGGAGAAAGGTATTTCAGTTTGGACTAATTTATATCTGTTATAAGTGGTAAGCTAATGTTTGAATAGATTGTTACTACCTTAAAAAATAATCTGATTAACTTGGACAAGAGTACTTCTAATATGGAAGATGAGATAAAGAATGCCATAGTTATGATTGAAATGACTCGTTGCTAAATAGATCTGAATCTCCAGAAACCAAATAATTTCACTAAACCCACCTATGTATAAATAGGGGTGATGATTGTACTACTAAATCAGTTTTCCAGAAGGAAAAGAAAAAAAGCCCTGATTGGTAGTATTTGCTGATTTCCATGGTTTGAATACTCCCACCATGGCCAATTTTTAGCTACAATTAACAACCAGCTTTCTTGAATACATATTTAACAATATATCCTTTTGATCCAGTACAATCCAGTCCTAGCACACTACTGAAAATAAGAGGCTCATTCAGCACTTTGGGAGGCTGAGGTGGGAGGATCACTTGAGGCCAGGAGTTGAAGACTAGCTGGGGCAACATAGTGAGACACTGTCTCTTAAAAAAGAAAAAAAAAGCTGGACATGGTGGCTCATACCTGTAATCCCAGCACTTTTGGAGGCCAAGGCAGGCAGATCACCTGAGGTCAGGAGTTCAACACCAGCCTGAATGACATGGAGAAACCCCATCTCTACTAAAAATACAAAATTAGCCTAGTATGGTGGTGCATACCTGTAATCCCAGCTACTCGGGAGGCTGAGGCAGGAGAATCGCTTGAACTCGAGAGGCAGAGGTTGCGGTGAGCCAAGATCGCACCACTGCACTCCAGCCTGGGTAACAAGAGCGAAACTTCGTCTCAAAAAAAAAAAAATCTGGCATAACATAATTTATCTAAAATCTTTAAGTATTTTTACGAATGCTATTTGTGTGAAATACAACAAATAAGGTCTGAAATAGAGGTAGTCAATCCTTTAGAGAATAGTTTTCAGAAAATAAAGATTTACTACTTTTAAGAACATCTAGGATCGGCTGGCACGGTGGCTGACGCCTGTAATCCCAGCACTTTGGGAGACCGAGGCAGGTGGGTCACCTGAGGTCAGCAGTTCGAGACCAGCCTGGTCAACATGGTGAAACACCGTCTCTACTAACAATATAAAAATTAGCCGGGTGTGGTGGGAGGTGCCTGTAATCCCCAGCTACTCAGGAGGCTGAGGCAGGAGAATCCCTTGAACCTGGGAGGTGGAGGTTGCAGTGAGCCAAGATCACACCATTGCACTCCAGCTGGGCGACAAGAGCGAAACTCCATCAAAAAAAAAAAGAACATCCAGGATTTAGGAATCACATTAAACACTTACTGGCTAGCCAAAAACAATTATGTATCCATCTTGCTTTTCACACTTAAGTCATTTAGAAGTCATTCAATATCACCATATCTAGATCAATGTTGTTTTTGAAATTGTTGCATATTTCAGGTATAATTATGGTTTATATAATCAATTGCTTCCTGTTGGATATTTAAGATTTTCTTTTTTTGCTATTAACAAATAATGCTTATATCTATATTTTTGAACATTTGTACAAGTATAAATGCATGGTAAATTCCTAGAGGTAAAATTACTGAGTCAAGAGTTTTACATGTTTTGTGAATTTTGATAGATATTGTAAAGTTGTTCTTCAAAGAAGTTTCATTTATTGTTTTCCCACATTTAGCCAACATTAGGTATTATGAAACTTTTTTATATTGGCCAAAACTCACAGGCAAAAGAAAAAGAAAAAAGTCTCATTGTTTTAGCTTGGTATTTATTTGCTTATGGTTGAGGTTAAATGTAGTAAAAATGAAAAACCCAGTACTATAGAAGATAGAGTTGAAGAAATATTCCAGAAAGTACAATAAAAGGAGTAAAATAAAGAGGTTCAAATAGGAGAGTAAAGATAAGAATACTGGTGGAATTATCCAGAAGGTCCAATATGAGAATGATACGAGAAAAAAAGAAAAAAAGTAGGATAGAAAATCATCAAAGACATAGTTCAAAGAAATTTTATATTGAAGGACAGAACTTTCTAGATTGAAAGGGCCTGTTGGCTGGGAAGGGTGGCTCATAGCTCTAATCCTTGCACTTTGGGAGGCTGAGACTGGGGGATAACTGGAGGCCAGGAGTTCCAGGCCAGCCTGGGTCACACAGCAAGACCTCATCTCTGCAACGAAGATAAAAGAAAGGGACTGCCAAGTGCCTAACGTATTGAAGGAAGGCAGACCCCATAATTGTGAAATTTCAGAATACACAATAAACCATTAACCCTAAACATTTCCAGAGAGGAAAAACTAGGTCACACACAAAGGATCTGGAATTAAAATTGTTTGGCTTCTCATTAGCAACACCGGATGCAGAGAGGGAGCAGTCACCTTCAAAGTTTGTGGTGAAAATTGTTACCAACTTAGATACCCAGCCAAACTATCAGTTAAGTGTAGGTAGAATAAAGACATTTTCAGACTTGTAAGGTCTCAAAAAGAGATTTTTCTGGGGAAGGTCTGGAAGAGGTAGGTGATTCAAAGGAACTGAGAAGGAGAATGACATGGGATCTAGTAATATGTATCTAATTCAAAACAGGCTGAAGAACGGCCTAGGATGATGGTAAGGAGAAATTCCAGAATGATACCTGTGTGTCACATATGGGGAACCGTCCAGTTTGGAGACAGTCAGGATGCTCCAGGAGAGAGATCACCAAGGGGATGAAAACTGCAGAACTCCTGATGTATTTGAACATATCGAGAGGACAGTTAGACTATTCCGGAGAAGATTGGGCCTGAATTAGTGTCAATTATATAGGAAACTAACCTTGGGAATAGCAACACAGTATTTCCAGGAAAAAAAAAATGTTTTAAATAGGGGAAAACTTATGGCTTAGCTGAGAATATTTTTATAGGCATAGTAAACTAAACATTGATTATTGTTCTATCCAAAAGGAAGACTTCACTATGTAGAAAGAATTGAGAATGACACTAGTTAAATATTTATGCATTACTGGGTTCAAGATGATTGAAAGATAATTAAATTCTCTTCTTTCATAGTTGGAGATTTATAGCCAATAACTGTGAAGAATCACAAAGTAGCACTTATTAGAATAAGTGACTATCAAACAAACGTTAGAAAGTGCTTCTGGCTGGGCATGGTGGCTCATGCCTGTAATCCTAACACTTTGGGAAGCCAAGATAGGAGGATTGCTTGAGCCCAGGCATTCGAGACCAGCCTGGGCAATATAGCGAGACCCTGCCTCAATAAAAAATTAGCCAGGCATGGAGATACATGCCTGTAGTCCCAGCTACTCAGGAGGCTGAGGCAGGAGGATCACTTGAGCCCAGGAGGTTGAGGCTGCAGTGAGCTGTGATAGCACCTCAGCACTCCAGCCTTTGAGACAAAGCAAGACCCTGACTCGAAAACAAAGAAAAATAAAGCATGCTCACAGTTAACCTTAATGAAAATAAAAACTAAATTTTGGGCTGTCAGATGACCTTGTATATACTGTGGAATTTTTTTTTAAATTATTGCTATTCTTTTTTTTTTTTTTTTTTTTTTTTGTGAGTCAGAGTTTTGCTCCCGTTGCTCAGTGTGGAGTGCAATGACACCATCTCGGCTCACTGCAACCTCCGTGTCCTGGGTTCAAGCGATTCTCCTGCGTCAGCCTCCTGAGTAGCTGGGATTATAGGCGCCTGCCATCACGCCCAGCTAATTTTTGTATTTTTAGTAGAGACGGGGTTTCGCCACGTTGGCCAGGCTGGTCACGAACTCCTGACCTGAGGTGATCCACCCGCCTCGGCCTCCCAAAGTGCTGGGATTATAGGCGTGAGCCACTGTGCCTGGCCTATTGGTATTCTTAACTCTTTTTCCTGAAAGTCATGTGTAAAGACAAGTACATATTAATTAAAGGATTCTAGTTAGTGAGATTTTGTTGAACTATTTTAATGAGTAAATTCTAAGAAAAAACATTGTTAAACTTTTTTTTCAGATTTTGTTATGGATGTCAGGGGGAATTGAAAGACCAACATGTAAGTTCTTTGGCTTTCTAAATATTAAGTAATGTACAAGAAATATTGAAATCAATGGTACTATAAGTTTTCAACAGGTTGTTAAAGACCAGGCTCATATCAGTTTATTTCTTGTAAAGATAATGACAATAGGTGAAGGTAAAATAGGAACAAAATAGTTTAAATAGTAGTTTTGTTATTCTGCATTCTAATTTTTGCTATAAAGTATTTTGTAATTCATCTTTTTAAAACTTTTTATTAAAAATTTTTTAATTTTTTTCCTCTTTTTTTAAATTCTTTGATTGTTTTGTCTACTTTGGTACACCCTTGTAAAACATGTAATTTGTCTTTAGCTTTCAAGCTAAACTGCATTTAGTCTGAAAGTATTTAAAATATTTTCTTCATATTATACTTTAAGCTGTGTGATAACACATTGAAATTGTTTAAGGTGGCCACAGATAATAGGTGATTCTTCCATTATGCCAATGAGAAAATACTTTTTTAAATTTTGAAGAGGGCCAACTTTAATAAATAAATTTGTATAGATGTAAATAATATGGATCACTGTCTAGCTTTAATTTTTAATTTAGTTACATGTTCATATTTAAAACTATATATATTATATAAAATAATAATTAGAAGTATTGCTCTTCCACTGTCACAATTTATAAAGTAATTTTATTAAATTTTATATACCTCTTTGACATCAGTAGTTTACTCTTAACTGGAACCACTTTTTGAATCATTTGACAGTTTTTTGGTTTTATTTTCTGAGACAGACTCTTGCTCTGTCACCCAGGTTGTAGTGCAGTGATGCAATCTTGGCTCACTGCAACCTCTGCCTCCCAAGTTCAAGTGATTCTCATGCCTAGCCTCCCAAGCAGCTGGGATTATAGGCGTGCACCACCATGCCCAGCCAATTTTTGTATTTTTAGTAGAGACTGGGTTTCACCATGTTGACCAGCTGGTCCTGAACTCCTGGGCTCAAGCAATCCACCCGCCTTGGCCTCCCAAAGTGCTGGGATTACAGGCGTGAGTCACTACACCCGGCCTCATTTGAGTTTTTAAGAATAGGTCATTGTCTGTGTTGTTTGAAATTTATTTATTCATTCTTTTTTTTTTTTTTTATTCAAAGCCAAATACTTCTGAGATTTAGTGATTTTTGAATCTGTGTATGAAGCTGCCCTGGAAATTTTATCCCAAGGAGCAAGTACTCATATATGTAATGCTGAAAGAACAAATGTAGTTTTTTCCTTTCTGCTTGTCTTATCTGTGTCATTTGACATATTTTTTTAAAGGTTTACTTGAAAGGGAAATATGTTTGCAATTGTGAGGTCATTCCCTAAGAATAATTAAATCGATGTTAAATTTTTATGCTTCTCTTTTTAATTGAATCAATCAGGTGGTCTTGCTAAGCATTCAAAAGTAGCGCTGGTTTGAAGCTCATATGTCTTTCCTAAACCTTAGAATGAAATAATTGAGAGCGAACTGTAATAGAATAGACTTTAAAGACTCAAAAACAAAACCATTCCCTCATTTCTAAGGGATAGTTTTGGGGAAAAAATTAATTGCCTTAGATTTGAGAATATAGAGTACATTGGAAGTAATAAAGTAGGTAGTGGGAAAAAATTGGTAGAGATATAAAAGAGCAAAGCACACCTTGAATGTCATCTAGCTGTGCTGTAATTAACTTTTGGAAACTAGTTTATCACTTTTCTTCTTTTCACTACAGGTTTATGTTTGTGCTGTGTGCCAAAATGTTTTCTGTGTGGACTGTGATGTTTTTGTTCATGATTCTCTACACTGTTGCCCTGGCTGTATTCATAAGATTCCAGCTCCTTCAGGTGTTTGATTCCAGCATGTAGTATACATTGTATGTGTTAAAAAGAAATTTGCAACTGTGAATAAAAGGACTTCTTTAGAAGAAGCTTCATTTAAAACATGAAAGGATAATCTGACTTAAGAAACTTTTTGCTAAGAAAAGGTAATATTTTATTAAATTTTAAATTTGTGTTGTCACAGAAATACCTGAAATTCAGTAGTACTTCATTCAATTAATTTTGTTTTCTATTATTTTGAGTTATACTGTTTTCAAAGTCATTATGCAGTATGTATAAACTTATAAGAATTAAATTGATGTGATAATTTTATGTTTTTATAATTAAATATAGAATCTTTATGATTTATGTTAATTCATTAATTTAGTGTAAGAAGAAAGTTAAGTCTGAATGTAAATTCAGTGTAAGATGAAAATTTATCAATACTTATGAAATTAGGCTGGGCGCTGTGGCTCACACCTGTAATCCCAACACTTTGGGAGGCTGAGGTGGGCAGATCACTTGAGGTCAGGAGTTCGAGACCAGCCTGGCCAACATGGTGAAACCCCGTCACTACTAAAAATACAAAAAATAATTAGCCGGGCATGGTGGTTCACGCCTGGAGTCCCAGCTACTTGGGAGGCTGAGGCAGGAGAATCGCTTGAACCCAGGAGGCGGAGGTTGCAGTGAGCCGAGATTGTGCCACTGCACTCCACCCTAGAGTAAGACTCCCTCTCAAAAAAAAAAAAAGTTATGAAATTAATACATATGAAATGATGTACTGCTACATCCACCAGAGAGGTCTTTTTAGGTTTAACCAAACATCTGGAATATGTTTATCAAGTTAGTACATCTGAAATTATTTGTGGCTATGACCAACAGAAGTCACTTTACATTAAACATTCAAACTCACAAGACTGCCATGGCCATACTTGGTACCCGCTTACTCAGAAGGATATTAAACAGAAACAACAGCCTGCCAGCACAGCATCAAGCAGTCCTCATTAGCAGTGGAAGTCCTTGTAGCAGTCCACTAGTACAATTTGGGTGCAAGGAGATAAGATCCTCCACAGGCATCAAGGAACCAATATCTCTTAACAATTCCATAAACACAGCTTCCAGGTATCCACAAGGGATGTGTCAATTTCAAGAGTCACTACACTCAGGAAAGCCTAAAGCTTGAAGACTCCATTTATTTATAGTGCATCCCAATCCAGATACGTAACAATTAACGAGTTATTTTTACTATAAGCAAAGTTGCCTAAAATCATAGTTGATACTAACCATGGTTAACAGAGCTCTAAAGTTTGACAGAAAGTGAGATTCAAATCCTTTCACTCTCATATGCTAAACCTTTTGCCTTACTCTGGGTCATCAGAGAAATTTAGGTGAGAATGTATGATGAAGTCTGTGTTTTAGATTCAATGCAGATATATCATTGTGGGCAGAACTCTTTCTGGTTATATCCAGTTAAGAGTAAATCAGGCTTTCAGCCGGGCGCGGTGGCTCACGCCTGTAATCCTAGCACTTTGGGAGGCCGAGGCGGGCAGATCACGAGGTCAGGAGATCGAGACCATCCTGGCTAACACGGTGAAACCCCGTCTCTACTAAACATACAAAAAATTAGCTGGGCCTGGTGGCGGGCGCCTGTAGTCCCAGCTATTCGGAAGGCTGGGGCAGGAGAATGGTGTGAACCCAGGAGGCGGAGCTTGCAGTGAACCGAGATCGCTCCACTGCACTCCAGCCTGGGCGACAGAGCTAGACTCTGTCTCAAGAAAAAAAAAAAAAAAAAAAAAAAAAAGAGTAAATCAGGCTTTCATAGCAAAGGTATGTCTATTTTATGTATATAAACTTCAGGTACTCTAACTTGAGTTTCACTATGAAATTTGTGATTTTTTTTTTTTTTTTTTTGAGATGGAGTCTTGCTCCATCGCCCAGGCTGGAGTGCAGTGGCCTGCTGTTGGCTCACTGCAACCTCCGCCTCCCAGGCTCAAGCCATTCTCCTGTCTCAGCCTCCTGAGTAGCTGGGACTACAGGCGCCTGCCACCACGCCTGGCTAATTTTTGCATTTTTGGTAGAGACGGGGTTTCACCTTGTTGATCAGGCTGATCTCCAACTCCTGACCTCAGGTCATCCACCCACCTCCGCCACCGTGCCCGGCCGAAATTTGTGATTTTATAACTAAGAATTTTTAGTTAAGAACATTATCAGTAAAGACAACGTAATCCCACCCTGGAGAGTTTATTGGGAGCCCAGGAATATTCATTTTTAATACACACACACACACACACACACACACACACACACACACACACTGATCAGAGTAACGGGAGTTTCTCTCAGGAGTCATACTCCATGAGCCTGGACCCAGTGGTTCTTTATGTGGAAACAAATTTCACCTATAGGTAACCTGGTAACTGCTATTTTCTTCTGTGTGCTCTGTCAACAAAGGTATCAGTGGCTTGCAGGAGATGCCTTTAATACTCAGAGCATTCTATCTCCCCCTATCTGGTTTAGAAGGAAGGCCTTCATTAGTTACCTTTTGAGAAGTTACTAGAACTCTCTATTAGAGACTTACCCTCCTGACCTGATAAAAAGGGATACCCATGTCTCTATTAACAGCTTTATCTCTTTCTACAGTTTTGGGTATTTGATAAGGTTAAGGCAAAATTTTAGTTATGCTTAAGGAGGAGTTCTTTTTTCACAATTACAGAGAAAATTTTGGTTTGTTGAAGATTGCAGAAACAGCAATGGTAATGTAAGACAGTTTTGGCCTTTAATTTTTTTCTTGAAACTCTACAGTATACTACAATAGTGAAGGAAACTATTATCATGAGAGATCCTTCTGAATAGGATGTCTTTCTGAGTTCCACTATTCAGTTACAAAACTCCTTAATGCTTAAAATTCATTATGAAAATTAGATTTATTTTAAATACTTTCAAGTGTATACATTTTTATTTCATAATTTTTATTGTCTTTTAACTAAAGCATTTAGTTCATTTATATTTACTGTGTACCTTTTATATTTAATAAATATATTTACTTATTAAAAGATTACCACTGATATATTTTATTATAAATATTATATTTATAAATATATTATTTATATTTATATTTATATATTTATATATATTTATATATAATATATATTTTAATATATTATATATTAAAATATATAAATATATATAATAAATATAAATATTTATTAAAAGATTACCACTGATATATTTGGGTTTAAGTCTATTATCTTTGTGTTATTGGTTCCAACAATTCCATCTTTCGTTTTTTTAAATTTTTTTAACTACATATTTGATACGATCTTTTCCTTCTTGCCTTCTTTTTGATTACTTACTTTCTACCATTCTATGTTTTTCGTCACTAGTTTGAAAATTGTATACTTTGTTTTTATTCTTTCAGTGGTTACCCTAGAAATTACAACAAACAAAAATTGCAACAACAATAAATTACAACAAGAAGAATTTTTTTTTTTTTTTTTGAGACAGAGTCTCGCTCTGTCGCCCAGGCTGGAGTGCAGTGGCGCGATCTCAGCTCACTGCAAGCTCCACCTCCCGGGTTCATGCCATTCTCCTGCCTCAGCCTCCCGAGTAGCTGGGACTGCAGGTGCCTGCCACCACGCCTGGCTAATTTTTTGTATTTTTACTGGAGACGGGGTTTCACTGTGTTAGCCAGGATGGTCTCGATCTCCTGACCTCATGATCCATCTGCCTTGGCCTCCCAAAGTGCTGGGATTACAGGCGTGAGCCACCACGCCTGGTCAACAACAAGAATTTCTTAACTTAGGTCCCCTAGGAAGTAGAACCTGAGGCAAAGATGAAAGTATTGTTACTTTATTAGGGAGGGACAGATCTAGGGGGGTGAGAGTGTGGAAGAAAAGGGAAAGCAAAGCAAGGAAAAACGTGATGCATTGTGTTACTGCAGTGACCAGGCTTCATGACAAGCTGTGACGAGATACAGGAGCCTTCCAGCAAGTGTGTTCACTTAGAGTGTGGGGCTTCTCCAGAAGGTTTATAAGGAGAAACTGCCCCTCTGAGCAGTCCATTGAAGGGAGGAAGGAGAAGTAACTTAGTTTCCTAAGTTCTTCCATTTCCCGTTGATCCTAGTTTGCCCACAGGGCTGTGTCATCTCGTCCTTTGGTAACTGCTCAGGAAGCCAGATCTCGTGCTCAGTGGTGTGGCATTGCATCTACTTCTAGAAGGATTTCTCAATACTTTATAACTTCCTCATGTTTCTGGTCATGTCTGTGTTCAGCTATATCTCTAGAACGGTTGGCCAATTCATAGCATGAAATGATTTCATGAGTGGTGACAAAGAAAGGGTGCAATCAGCCCTTGGGGAGTGGGTTAGTGGAATCCCAGTCCTGAGGCCATTAGTGGGTGGCAGAGTTTAGGAGAAAAGGTAAGAAGTTTCAGTCCTTGGGCCCTGTAGTAAGGAGAAAAAGGGTACAGGAGGTTGTCACACTTCTGAGAAGTAGTCTTAGAGTGCCCTAGTGCCTGCTTTGGATCCAGTTCTGTAAGGGCAGAGGATTCATTATTTCCAGGTAATTTAAGTATGTTCTGGGGAGAAGTGTTACAAGATGGACTGGGGACTCGGCTGGGATCCTGATGGGATCTAAATTATTGATTTCACCTGACTGAATTGCTATTTGCGTCACACCTCAGGACCCTGGAAACAATACACAATTTGCCCATTCATTAATTTATTAATTCACTCAACAAACTTGTACATCTGCCATAAGTCTGACACCATCCTAGTTATCAGGGATGTAGATAGTCAAAAGAAGATGTAAACCTAACCTCATGCATCTGTGAATCTCCCCATCTAAAAAGACACAGCCTTGTAAAGAAGCTTGTGTGAAAGTGCTAACGACAGACATGCCAAGTGTTAAGGGGATGCAGGAGAGGCGTGGTAAAATGGGTTGGGAGGCAGCTCAGATGTCTAAAGGGGTCAGGCAGACAATGCAGATAAGTGAAAGAGGGCCAGTTGATGCAGAGTGGGGACATCTGGAAAGCACCCGCCCCATCTAAAGGAGGCAGCCTCTGAGAGTCTGGGGATCAGGGATAGAAGGGAGATGTACTTTTCACTGTACATCCTTTTGTATTTTTTAAATTTTGTTACTTAATTCAAAAAAATGTAAAAATAAAGTGAGGTAACCATTATTTGGCCCCAGCCTATTTTTTTCTTCTGGGAATGATACTTAAAGAGAAACTAAATCTGGATTTTTTTTTTTTTTTTTTTTTTTTTTTTTGAGACAAAGCCTTGCTCTGTTCCCCAGGCTGGAGTGCATTGGTGCAATCATGGCTCACTGCAGTCTCGACCTTCCAGACTCAAGTGATGGTCCCACTTCAGACTCCCTAGTAGCTGGGACCACAGGTGTGTGCCATTGTGCCTGGCTAATTTTTAAAAAGTTTTTTTTTGTAGAGACAGTGTCTTCCTATGTTGCCTAGGCTGGTCTTGAACTCCTGAGCTTAAGTAATCTGCACACCTCAGTCTTCCAAAGTATTGGAATCACAAGCGTGAGCCACCATGCCCAGCCGTAAAAACTGGATTTTTAAAGTGAATTCTCCCAAGTTTGAGATGTTAGCCTCTAATTTAGAAAAACACAGAGGCTAAATAAAACTTATCTTCAGTCCACCAGTTGACAAACTTTGGCCTGGCCTGTCTCTTTTCTATCGTTTATCATCAGGGCAGATAATCTTTTAAGTTTCAGGTGTTACACTTTCCTGGGATATACTCCTCTTAGGGGATAATTTATTTACTTTTTGTTTTTGTTTTTGTGACAGAGTCTTGCTCTGTCAACCAGGCTAGAGTGCAGTGGCATGATCTTGGATCACTGCAACATCTGCCTCCCGGGTTCAAGTGATTCTCCTGCCTCAGCCTCCCGAGTAGCTGGGACTACAGTCATGTGCCACCATGCCTGGCTGATTTTTGTATTTTTAGTAGTGACGTGGTTTCACACCATGTTGACCAGGCTGGTCTCGGAACTCCTGACCTCAAGTGATCCACCCACCTTGGCCTTCCAAAGTGCTGGGATTACAGGTGTGAGCCACCGTGGCCAGCCTTAGGGGATAATTTAGGTTTTTTGTGTTTCTGTTTTAAATTTAAATTTTTATTTTTTTGAGGCAGTATCACTCTGTCTCTCAGGCTGGAGTGCAATGGCACAATCAACTCACTGCAGCCTTGAATTCCTGGGCACAAGTGATCCTCCCAATTCAGCTTCTCAAGTAGCTAGGACTACAGGTGTGCACCACCATGCCTGGCTGAATTTTTTTTTTAAGAGATGGACTCTTGCTGTGCTGTCCAGGCTCGTGTCAACTCCTGGCCTCAAATGATCCTCTCTCCTAGGCCTTCCAAAGTGCTGGGATTACAGACGTTAGCCACTGTACCCAGCCTAGTTCAAGTTTTAAGCATTAAGAATTGACTCTTTGGAGGAATAGGGATCTTTTAAGGATCTCTACAGTCAGTGACTCTAAATGTAGTGTTTGGACCAGTAAGTAGCATTAGCATCACCCAAGAAGTCATTAGAAATGCAAATTCTTGGCCAGGCGCGGTGCCTCATGCCTGTAATCCCAGCACTTTGGGAGGCTGAGGTGGGTAGATCACGAGGTCAGGAGTTCGAGACCAGCTTGACCAACATGGTGAAACCCTGTCTCTACTAAAAATACAAAAATTAGCCGGCCGTGGTGAAGGGCATCTGTAATCCCAGCTACTCAGGAGGATGAGGCAGGAGAATCACTTGAATCCAGGAGGCGGAGGTTGCTGTGAGCCAAGATCGCACCACTGCACTGCAGCCTGGGCAACAGAATGAGACTCCATCTCAAAAAAAAAAAAAAAAAGCAAATTCTTGAGCCCCATCACAGGCCTGTTGAATCAGAAACTCTGAGGATGGGTCTAGCAGTCCGCTTTAACAAATCCTCCAGGTGGTTACCATAAATGTTGAAGTGTGAGAGCTACTGCCTGTAATCCCATTTAGAGAGGTACATAGGTAACTTAAAAACAGGTCCTGATAAAAGAATTCTACTAAACTTAAAAAACAAATTCAGGTAACTTTATAAACAAACAAATCTCGGCCGGGCGCGGTGGCTCACGCCTGTAATCCCAGCACTTTGGGAGGCCGAGGCGGGCGGATCACGAGGTCAGGAGATCGAGACCATCCTGGCTAACACGGTGAAACCCCGTCTCTACTAAAAATACAAAAAATTAGCCGGGTGTGGTGGCGGGCGCCTGTAGTCCCAGCTACTCGGGAGGCTGAGGCAGGAGAATGGCGTGAACCCGGGAGGCAGAAATTGCAGTGAGCCGAGATCACGCCACTGCACTCCAGCCTGGGTGACAGAGCAAGACTCCGTCTGAAAACAAACAAACAAAAAAAACAAATCTCAAACATGGAATTATTTTTTCACTTCTCTCTTTTGTTTTTTTTTTTTTTTTTTTTGAGACAGAGTCTCGCTCTGTCACCCAGGCTGGAGTGCAGTGGCGCGATCTCGGCTCACACTGCAATTTCTGCCTCCCGGGTTCACACCATTCTCCTGCCTCAGCCTCCCGAGTAGCTGGGACTACAGGCGCCCGCCACCACGCCCGGCTAATTGTTTTTTTGTATTTTTAGTAGAGACGGGGTTTCACCGTGTTAGCCAGGATGGTCTCGATCTCCTGACCTCGTGATCCGCCCGCCTCGGCCTCCCAAAGTGCTGGGATTACAGGCGTGAGCCACTGCGCCCGACCTTTTTCACTTCTCTTAATGCTCTGTAAACATTAATGTATTTATATATGTACTTAGAATTTTAAAAAATCAATTTTATTGAGTTATAATTAACATACAGTAAAAATGCTCCCATCTTGAGTAATTCCATGCCTTTTGACAAGTGTTCTGTACCCATGCCACGACCACCACAATCGAGAGAGAACATCTTCATCACTCCAGAAGGGCTCCTTTGCAGTGAGTACTCCCTAGGAGTTCCAGCGGCCGGTGACATTGATCTGTTTTCTGTCACTGTAGATGAGATTTGTCTGTTATATACAATTTTTAAAAATTAAATGATATGTATGGCTTCTTTTGCTTAGCATAATGTTTTTGAGCTTATTCATTTGTTGCATATATCAATACTTTGCTTCTTTTTACCACCTGTACTTCATTTATGGATACGTTGTTTATCCATGTGTTTATCCCCAATGGACATTGGGTTGTTTCTGATTTTTTGGTTATTATTATGAATAAAGTTGCTATGAACATTATTGTATAAATCTTTGTGTGTTCATGTGTTTTCATTTTTCTTGGGTAAATATGTAGGAATGGAATTGCTAGATTGTATGGCAAGAGTATACTTAGCTTTCCATGACACCAGTGAACTGTTTTTCCAAAGACATTGTATTAATACCATTTTACATTCCCACAACTAATGTATGAGCTTCCAGTTGCTCCATATCCTCAACTAACAGTTGATATTGTACAATACAAATGTTAACTTTTAGAATATCTTCACAACTTTAGAGTAGATAGTGATTTCTTAGGACACAAAAACTATCAATCATAACAAAAATTAAAATTGGACTTCATCAAAATTAAAAACTTCTTTTTGAAAGACACCATTAAGAAAATGAAAAGATGGTTAACAGACTGAGAGAATATATGTGCAATGTAAATATCTAACAAAGGACTAGTATGCAAAATATATAAAGAATCCTTATAATTTAGTAATAAAAAGGAAAACACGCACTTTTTAAATGGGTCAAGAATTTAATTACGGCCAGGTGCAGTGGCTCACACCTGTAATCTCAGCACTTTGGGAGGCCGAGGTGGGTGGATCACGAGGTCAGGGGTTCGAGACCAGCCTGGCTAACATGGTGAAACCCTGTCTCTACTAAAAATACAAAAATTAGCTGGGCATGGTGGTGGGCGCCTGTAATCCCAGCTACTCGGGAGGCTGAGGCAGGGGAATCGCTTGAACCCAGGAGGCGGAGGTTGCAGTGAGCTGAGATTGTGCCACTGCACTCCAGCCTGGGCGACAGAGCGAGACTCTGTCTTTTAAAAAAAAAGAAAAAAATTTAATTACCTTACCAAAGAAGATACATGAATGACCAATAAGCCATTAAATTAAAACTTCAGTGAGTATACACATATGCCCTGAAGTAGCTAAACTTTAAAACACTGCCCTATGTGTGTGTACTTTTTAGCTAAAAAAGTGTTTGAAAACAGTATTATTTTGAAACTCAAAATTCCAAATCCTCTCTTCAAATTAGGTAGTAGTGTCACTGGAAGTAAAAGAGAAGTTACTTTAACTGCTAAAGAGTATCCACTAAGAATCTACAACAAACATCATGTTTAATGCTCAAACTTTAGAAGAATTTATACCAAAAGTCAAGAATAAGATAGGATATCTATCTTCATTATTAAGCAACATTATATTAGAGGCCCTAATCAATGCAACAAGGCAATAAATAAAAGACAAAACTGTCATAATCAGATACTACAAACATCTAAGAAAATTCAGGGGGATTTACAGTCATATATTAAACAGTCCAGAAGGAGTCCTATACATCATCAATGAATATTGAGAATAAAAAATAGTTTTTAAAACCCCTCCAATTTATAAGGGCAACAAAATGTACAAGGTACTAAAATAAATGTAATGTGTATTTGGGTATAAATACAGCAACATAATGAAAAGGTTTATTGGGGAAAAAATTACAGGGAGAAGGGTCAACAACGTGAAGAGGTTCCCCTGCCATCTGGACTTCTGGAAAAAGACCTGCTGGTCTAGGCACAGCTGGATGCACCATGGAAAGTGGTTCCAATAAACACTGGCACTGTAACAATTGTGTATGTTGATACAAAAAGAGGGAGCCAATGAATACTTGGTCGATTATTTAACAATTGCTTCTCTGCTGAAGAAATGGCCTTGTTGGACTAGAGCTTAACTGTGGTTCACATACTAATGCTGCTATAACAGCTAGAAGCCTTACTAAGAAATTTACTAAACCACCAAAAAGAGGAAATGAACCTTCTAGGACATCTGGATTGCCTTTTCTTAAAAATCTAGTCTTGGCTGGGTGCTGTGGTTCACGCCTGTAATCCCAGCATTTGGTGAGGCCGAAGTGGGCGGATCACGAGGTCAAGAGATCGAGACCATCCTGGTCAACATGGTGAAACCCTGTCTCTACTGAAAATACAAAAATTAGCTGGGCGAGGTGGCATGTGCCTGTAGTCCCAGCTGCTGGGGAGGCTGAGGAAGGAGAATCACTTGAACCCGGGAGGCGGGGTTTGCAGTGAGCTGAGATCACGCCATTGCACTCCAGCCTGGCAACAGAGCAAGACTCAGTCTAAAAAAAAAAAAAAAAATCTAGTCTGTATGGCAGCACAACATCAGGTAAAAGTACAGACTAGCCAGATCACTGGTTAACCTTAACCCCTATGTGCTTGAGTTTCCTTATCTGTAATATGGAGATGATATAGCAATAGCTGATTTTGGACTGTTAAAGGAATTAAGTGGACACATGTAAAGTGCTTAGAATTGTGCCTGGCAAGTAGTAGGCTGCAATATTGTGATATAATAAATATATATATTTGATCTTCATCCAGTTCCTGGCACAGATCTCCAGAAACCCTTGTAATTTCCTGAGTGACAGGGGTGATAGAAACATCTTTTATTAGAATACTTGGTCTTGGTTCCTGACACAAGAGCTTCTAAGACCTTTGGAATCTCCAAGTGATAAGAGTGTATGACAGTGAGCTAACTGGTGGCTGGGATCCTTTAGACAACTTCAGGATGGGGGCTATCCCGTGAAAGACTAAGGCATGATTAGAGGTCTGGGATTTGCAGCCCCACGCCTCGACCTCCAGAGAGGGTAAAAGGGCTGGCGATTGATTAACCACCAGTTGCCAGTGATTTAGCCAATCATGCCTAAGTGATGGCACCTCCATTAAAAAATAAACCACAGGTTTGGAGAGCTTTCGGTTTGGTTAACCCCAACCACATACCAAGAAGGCGATGCACCTCAAACTGCATGAAGACAAAAGGTCCTGTGCTCACCTGGGACCCTTCTGGACGTTGCCCTGTGTACCTCTTCGACTGCCTGTTCATCTGTATCCTTTATAATAAAGCAGTAAACATAAGTAAAGTTTCTGAGTTCTGTGAGCCATTATAAGAAACGATCGAACCTGGGATTTTCCTTTCGGAAGCCGCTCTCTCTCACAAGGGAGAGAGCTGTTCTCCTTTTTCTTTTGCGTGTTAAACCTCCGCTCCTAAACCCACTCTTCGTGTGTATCGTGTCCTTAACCTTGTTGGTGCGAGACGACGAACCCCGGGTATTGACCCCAGACAACAATGCCACTTCATATTGGGGACTTCGTCTGGGATTCCAAGGTGCATTCATTGCAAAGGTGAGTAAAGGGGCGGACCTCAACTCTGTCCTTTGATTTCGAGGCTCTTGGCCTCCATTTTAGAATCAAACCAAACCAAATACTGGGCCCCCTTCTGCTTCTGTGAATGAGAAAACTCTGCCTTCACCAATTAGCCATTTAAAAATTATGAGCGTGGCTGCCAGCCTTACAAGTTTTGGGGGACAGGCTTGCTGGGGAGAACATGGAGAACCCCCCAATACCCACGGGCTGCTGGGCATATTGGCCATGTTTGAACCAGTTTCCTTTCACGGAGGACCAAGCTGTCGTGTGGGGCTGGAAGAGGTCCTGGAGCAACTGAGGATTTCTGGCTGGGGCTACCTCCTGGTGCCATCCGAAGGCTTCTGGACTGACCCCAGCCTCCGGCCACCCTAAGGGGTGTCGGCAACAGGACCTCCAACTTTCCTATCATAATTCCCTCATTTCCTATCCACGACCACCATGTCTCCTAACCTCTCTCTGTATGCAGTACTGAGGGAGTTTTACAGTTCAGGGAAGTAATCTTGTTAGGCAAGAACAAAGACTGCTGTAGTAACCAGGGATATAGCACAGGGGCATGCTGTTGTGATTTTCTAGGAACAGAGGGTCTCCTCTCCCACCACAGTGAGCGTCACTCTCTGCCCTTGCTCTGGAAAGCACATGGCATGTCAAGGTCACTCTGCCCTTTGTCATAGTAAGATTAGGGTGGGGCGCCCAACCTTCCCCGCGTGCTATGTAAACGTCACACCTGTTCAAACCAACCTGTGGGCTCTGCGCAAATCAGACGCCGCCTCCTCAGGCCTACCTATAAAATCTGGTGCAGTCCACCGCAGGCCGGATTTTCCTTTCGGAAGCCCCTCACAAGGGAGAGATCTGTTCTCGTTTTTCTTTCTTTTGCCTATTAAACCTCTGCTCCTAAACTCCCCCAACCCCCAAGAAAGAAATTATCGAACCTGAGGGGGTTGCAGATACCCATGATTTGTAGTGAACTCAGACAGAAGTGTGGGTACCCTGAGGTCCTAATAGTTGTGGCTGGCATCTGAAGTAGGGGGCAGTCTTGGGGGCTGAGCCCCTAACCCGTGGGGTCTGCACTAACTCTGGTTAATTAGCATCAGAATTGAGTAAAATTGTAAGACACTCAGCTGCTGTCTGTGGAGAATTGGAGAATTGGTTGGTGGAAAACCCATATATTTGATGTCAGAAATGTGAGTAGAGAAATGGTTTTTCCTTGATAGGCTCTATGTAAATTTTAGTTCATGTTTTTGGTAATAAATACACAATATTACTGATTCTTAAAAGTATAAACCCAGGAAAATTAAGAAAACAAGAATGTCAAGTCCAACAGAGTTTAAAGGTAAAAAAAAATAAAATAGAACAGAAATGGGACCAGTAGCACATAGAATATTTTAACACATTCTTGGAAAGTAGAAACTATATGGACTAGTAGTCAGGAAGGAAGCAGCTCAAGGAAACCGCTTCCTGAATATGGAGTCTCCTATGAGAGACTATCTGCCCTATGGAGAAGCTTGGAGTAACTGCGGACACAGGATGCCAGATAGGAAGGAGGGCTGGAGTGACATGAAGGGCTGAAAATTGAGGGACTAATTGGAAGCCCGTGCACGGGACAGTCAGCTCTCTCTACCCCATGATCAGAATATTTGACACACAAGTGTTTACCCTGGGGCAAAAAATTACAGGAGTCTTCCCTGCTTCCCCCAAAATTGAACACATTGCTTTCTCTTAGCTGACCTAGAGAACCAGTGTGGGCACTGGCACCCCAAAACTAAGAATCCTTTTAAGAAATGGTGATTTTATGTCCAAGGAACGTTCCAAGTAAGTTTTCGGCTGCTAGCTTTGTCTTTACAAGTAACGGGCCAGGCCCAGTGGCTCATGACTGTAATCCCAGCATTTTGGGGGACTGAGGTGGGCAAATGGCTTGAGGTCAAGAGTTCAAGACCAGCTTGGGCAACATGGCGAAACCCTGTCTCTACTAGAAATACAAAAATTAGCCAGGTGTGGTGGTGCATGCCTGTAGTCCCAGCTATTGTGGGGCTGAGATGAGAGGATCACTTGAGCCTGGGAGGTAGAGGCTGCAGTGAACCGAGATTGTGCCACTGCACTCCAGTCTGGGTGACAAAGTGAGACCCCATCTCCAAAAACAAAACAAAACAAAAAAAACCCCAAGTAACTTGAAATCATTTTCTGAAATCTTTCTCTGACATTCTGACATTAGGGTAATTCTTGTTCTCCATAGAGTGAAAGGCTCAGGTTCAAGTCCCACTCCTGTGGCTCCTGATTTTTTAATGATTAGTTTGACCAATGTGTTTTTAAATGACTTAATTTTTAAACATGAGTTGAAAACCCAGGATCACTACACATTTGAGGAAAGTTGATAATATGAAAAGTAAACACCAAGGTAAGTGGTAAAAACCTTTGAGGAAACATAATTCAGGAAACAGGAACTTAAACATTAGTATCGTACAGCAGATTCAGGAAGATGGCACTGGTTAAAAAAATTGACACTATGAAAATAAGGCACAGAGAAAAGAAAGAGCTGTGGGAAATTATAATTGCTGAAATTTTAAACTAGATTGGAGAGCCGGAATATAAAGGAGAGGACAGCTGGGTGCGGTGGCTCACACCTGTCATCCCAGCATTTTGGGAGGCTGAGGCCGGCAGATCACTTGAGCCCGGGAGTTTGAGACCAGCCTGGGCAACAAGGTGAGACCCCCATCTCTACACAAAATAAAATATAAAATCAGCTGTGCATGGTAGCACACGTCTGTAGTCCCAAAACTTGGGAGGCTAGGTGGGAGGATCACTTGAGTCCAGGAGGTGGTGGCTGCAGTGAGCTGTGATTGTGCCATTGCACTCCAGCCTGGATGACAGAGCGAGACCCTTAGAAAGTAGGAAAAGAATATATGAAAAAAAAATAAGTGATCAATTAATTACTCACCTGAATAGTGGGAATACCAAAAGAGTAAAAAGAGAGTAACAGACAGTAGGAAGTTATCAAATAAATAATAGAAGGTAATTTCCCAGGCTTGATGGGAGACCCAAGAGCTCAGATTGAAAATGCCCATTGAATACCCAGCCCAATGAATGTAGAGAGGTCTACACTTAGGAGAAAAGATCCTAAAAGCTACCAGAAAGATAGAAACTGTTACTATAACAGAAATAAGACACTAGCACCTTAACTATTAACCAATCTTAACAAACTAGAATAAAGGCCGGATGTGGTGGTTCATGCCTATAATCCTAGCACTTTGGGAGGTCGAGATGGGAGGATCGCTTCAGCCTGGAAGCTTGAGGCTGCAGTGAGCTAGGATCGTGCCACTGTACTCCAGCCTGGGCGACAGAGTGAGACACTGTCTCAAAAACAACAGAAACAAAAAAACTAGAATAAAATACTTCTGGTGTGAGACTCTGTAGGTTTCATTACTCCTTTTGGGTCCTGATTAAATCCTGTTGACTCAAGACCTTAGAGCATTTACTGGTAAAGTCTCTGACTGCGCGATTTTTTTTTGCATTTTAGTTCCTTAAATATTTTCTCACTGCTTCCTACTAAAGGACGGACAGAGCATTTGTTCTTCAGCCACATACTTTCCTTCCACTGGCCAGCATTCTCCTCTATTAGACTAGAACTGTGGATAAACCTCAGGTAAGTAAATTACTATCCCTGGCAAAGGTGCTTTTCTTCCACACCTAAACCTATGGTCCCTTCTTTGTCTTGCTATTGTTTCTCTCTTTGGAGGCAGGATGGTATGGAGGAAAGAGGACAGACACTGGAGTCACACAGACTTGGGTTTAAATCCTAGCTCCATGGCACAGTTGCCTCAATGGCACTCTTAGCACTGTAGTCAAAGAATATTAGACCTGGAAAGGGCCTTGGAAATTACTTCTCCTCCCCCAGAAACAGCCTCTAGACTGGCATGATTGACCACCAAACTTCGTTGTGTCAGACAGGATCAATGTCTGCTGGTCTGCTGCAACTCTGTACTCATTTATCTCTGGGGAGGCCTGAAGCCTTGGTGCTGTTCCTTGGCCAAACCTAAATGAAATGTACTAGCCAGTGATTAATAGAGTCCTGTGCTGGGGTGGGAGACAGACCAGGGAGCAGCCTGTTTCTTGCTTCTTTCTTTCTTTTTGGAGATGAAATCTCATTGGCTTTGAACTTCTGGGCTCAAGTGATCCTCCCACTTCAGCCTCCCAAGTAGCTGGGATTACAGGTGCATGCCACTGCCCCAGCTTGACTATACCAGCTTGTTTCTGGTTTTGAGCCCTGGTATGCAAGCTAGTGTTGGCTACCTGATCAGAGGAGTATAAAAGAGCCTCAGATGAGGTTACAGTTCTCTTGAGACCAAGGTGTCTTGCATGTATCATCTAGCTGGTTCATTGCTTAAAGATGAAGCACATCTTCCACATCCTCTGTGGCTGCAAAAGGACCCTAGGAACTGGGTGTGGTGTTTCACTTGCCTTTTGGTTTGTTGGGTTTTTTTTTTTTTTGTATCTATCCTTTACCTTTATTAAAGCCTTATGTGAGGATACTATGCGGAGTCTTCTAAGTCTTTTCAATGATCCAAACCTGTGTAATTGATGAAGAGGGTACTGTGAATAGGATCATTACTTTTTTTTTGTTTTTGAGACAGGGTCTCTCTCACTCTGTCACCCAAGTTGAGTGCAGTATCTTGATCACAGCTCACTATAGCCTCAACCTCCTGGGCTCAAGAGATCCTCCCACCTCAGCCTCCCGAGTAGCTGGGTCTATAGGCGCACACCATCACGGCTGCCTAACTTTTAAAAAAATTATTTTGTAGAGCTGGAGTCTTACCATGTTGCCCAGGCTGGTCTCGAACTCCTGGGCTCAAGTGATTTGCCTGCCTTGGCCTCCCAAAGTGGTGGGATTACAGGTGTGAGCAACTGCGCCTGGCCCCAGGTTTTTTTTTTTCTTTTTTTTTTTCGAGACAGGGTCTCACACTGTTGCCCAGGCTGTAGTGCAGTGGCACTGAAGCCTGAAACCTCTGCCTCCTGGGTTCAAACAGTTCTTGTGCCTCAGCCACCCGAGTAGCTGGGATTACAGGCATGCACCACCACGCCCGGCTAATTTGTTTGTATTTTTAGTAGAGATGGGGTTTCGCCATGTTGGCCAGGCTGGTCTTGAACTCCTGAACTCAAGTGATCCGCCCGTCCCAGCCTCCCGAAGTTCTGGGATTACAGGTGTGAGCCACTGCGCCTGGCCCCCCAGTTTTTTACTTTATAATTTAAATGATAGCTAAGGCTTTGTTTGGGAGAAAGATGAAAAGTGGGGAAAGATTTAGAGCCACTGGTGCCAGGCTAGTTGCTGGGGAATCCCTGTTTGAATTTGCTGAAGTGCTACAACTCTCAATGGGAAGAAAGGGATGACAATGGAACTTGAAGGTGGTTGATGCAGAGCAAGAGGAAATCGCTAAATAGATTTAAAAAGAAATCCAGACACAGAGGAAGTCAGCCAAGAATACAGTTCCCTGGCTGGTTAGGCTGCTTTGGCAAAAATGAAAGTAACTAAAAAAGAGCCTGTGTTGCCAAGTCCACCAATTTCCTTCTGTAAAGGGAAGGAACATGATGCCAAAGAGGAGTTGGGCAGATATTTCTTCTGATGGGAATGTGACCCTCATCGGGTAGATAATCACCAACGAAACTACAGTGGGAGGGCATCAAGAGACAACTGAAACAGGGAACTACACAAGAGTGAAGTTGCCTGTGGACTGACAGAGCTTCCTGCAGAACCACTGCTGGGTTGGATATACATGAATGACAAAGGAGCTCTTTTCCTTGTATTAGGTACTGTCAAATGTACCTTCAAATGAAAGGGTGTGTTTGGTCTTAATTAGCTGAATTCGTTGAAGATCTTCAATTAGCTGCAGCTTTTGCCGGAATGTGGTTAGCTGGGCAAATTCCAAATCGGTTGAGCTGCACAAAGGTGGCAGTACATAAAACATATCTTGTAAAGGGGAACTGCCCAATTCCACCCATAATTGTTAGAAGAAATACTCCCTAGAGGTTACTGAAATGTTGAGAATGCAAACAAACACATTTGGACTGGTTCTGTGATGAAACTAAGGTATCCCTTAATTTTATGTCTTTGACTTAAGTGATGATTGTTGCTGTGATAAGAGGGCCTCTACCTTCGTAGACTTTTTGTATGACCCTACTACTGGGGGAGCAGGATGAAGTGAAAGCCTGTTGAAGACTTACTAGTTCCTTTGCTCCAAATTGTGCTGAATGATGAACAGATTAATATCATTCAAAAGAAAGGAGGCCGGGTGTCCTGGCTTACACCTGTAATCCCAGCACTTTGAGAGGCTGAGGCAAGAGGATTGCTTAAGCCCAGGAATCTGAGGCTACAGTGAGCTAGAATCATGCCACTGCACTTGTACTACAGCCTTGGCAACAGAGTGAGCCCTTGTCTCCTATTTAAAAAAAAAAAAAAAAAAGGAAAGGGCTGGGCATGGTGGCTCACACCTGTAATCCTAGCACATTGGGAGGCCGAGGCGGGTGGATCACCTGAGGTCAGGAGTTCGAGACCAGCCTGGCCAACATGGTGAAACCCTGTCTCTACTAAAAATAAAAAAATTAGCCGGGCATGGTGGCACATGCCTGTAATCCCAGCTACTCAGGAGGCTGAGGCAGGAGAATTGCTTGAACCTGGGAAGCAGAGGTTGCGGTGAGTCAAAATTGTGCCACTGCACTCCAGCCTGGGTGAACAGAGCAAGACTCCATCTCACTTTGTTGCCCAGACTGGTTTCAAATTCCTGGGCTCAAGCAATCCTCCCACCTTAGCCTCCCAAAGTGCTGGGATTACAGGTGTGAGCCACTGTGCCCAGTCAAGATTCTAATGTATCCTAGTCTTGATGAATTAAACAAATAAACCTTTAGGATGATGCAAAAGCAGAATCTACAGTCACTTTAAAGCAGTGTGATGTAAAGAAAAGGGTGGCAGAGTCTCTTGGTGCTATGGGACCCAAGGACATTTACATTGGTGTGGATAAAATGCCCGGAGTGGTGAAAAACTTTATTGTCATTGTTGGACCATGGTGCATAATGTATTGTTATACCTGCTAATAAAAAATTAAACGGCAATTAACTTAGTTTAGTATGACAATACAACTGTAAGTTTAAGAGTGAAAAATGGGCCAGGTGTGGTGGCTCAGGCCTGTAATCCCAGCACTTTAGGAGGCTGAGGTGGGAGGATCACTTGAGCCCAGGGGTTTGAGACCAACTTGGCAACATAGTGAGACCCCCCCCACCAACACCCCCAACACGCTTGTCTCTATAAAAAATGGTGGTGTGCTCCTGTCGTACGAGCTGCTTGGGAAGCTGAGGTGGGAGGATCGCTTCAGCCCTTGAGGTTGAGGCTGCAATGGATGGTGATCAAGCCACTGCACTCCAGCCTAGGTGACAGAGCAAGACCCTGTCTCAAGAAAAAAAAAAAGTGAAAAATGTCCATATAAAAACTTGCACACTAATGTGCACAGCGGTATTATTTATAATAGCCAAAAAGCGTAAACAATCCACACATCCATCAACTGGGTTGAGGAATAAAATATGGTATATGTGATAATAAAGTGTGGTATATCCACATAATGAAATATTATTTGACAATGAAAAGGAATATGAAGTACTAAAACAATACAACATGGATGAATTTCGCTTCCTTTTTTTGTTGTTCTTTTTATTTTATTTTTTAAGCACCTCTACCAACATGAACATTTTGCAAAGTGAAAGCAACCAGACACAAAGGACCACGTACTGTATGATTCAATTTATATGAAATGTCCCCAGTAGGCAAATCTATAGAGACAGAAAGTAACATAGTAGTTGCCTAGGGCTAGGAGGGTAATGGGGGACATGGAAAGCAACTGCTAATGGGCACAGCGTTTCTTTCTGGGGGGATGAAAATGTTCTAAAATTGATTGTGGTGGTGGTTGTGCATGTTTATGAATATGCTGATATTTATTGAACTGTACATTTTATTTACTTTTTTTAGAGACAGAGCCTCACTCTGTTGTCCAGGCTGGAGTATAGTACTGCAATCATAGCTCCCCGCAGCTTCATATTCCTGGGCTCAAGAGATCCTTCCACCTCAGCCTCCCACGTAGTTAGGACTACAGGCACATGCCACCATGCCCTGCTAAGTTTTCGTTTTCTTTAAAAAAAAGTTTTTTAGAGACAGGGTCTAGCTATGTTGCCCAGGCTGATCTCAACTCCTGGTCTCAAGCAATCCTCCCGCCTTGGCCTCAAGAGCATTGGGGTTATAGGTATGAGTCACCGCACCCTCAGTTGTTCATTTTAAATGGGTGAATTTTATGATGTGTGAATTATATTTCTTTCTCTTTTTTTGAGATGGAGTTTCACTCTTGTCGCCTAGGCTGGAGTACAGTGGTGCGATCTCGGCTCACTGCAACCTCTGCCTCGTGGGTTCAAGCAATTCTCCTGCCTCAGCCTCCCGAGTAGCTGAGATTATAGGCATGCGCCACCATGCCCAGCTATTTTTTTTGTATTATTAGTAGAGATGGGGTTTCACCATGTTGGCAAGGCTAGTCTTGAACTCCTGGCCTCAGCCCCCCAAAGTGCTGGGATTATAGGTGTAAGCCACCACAGCCAGCCCCAACTAGCTGGGACTACAAGCACGTGCCACCACACCTGACTAATTTCTTTTTTTTTTTTTTTTTTTTTGTATTTTTAGTAGAGATGGGGTTTTGCCATGTTGGCCAGGCTGGTCTCAAACTCCTGACCTCAGGTGATCCACCCACCTCGGCCTCCTAAAGTGCTGAGATTACAGGCATGAGCCACTGCTCCCGATGGATTATATTTCAATATAATTCAATTATGCAATATAATTGCATAATTGTTATCATCTCTCCCTGATATATTATCGGAATGGATGTGACATCTGAATGGGGATGCTGTTGAGGAAAGAGATTTCATGAAATGTACAGTGAGTGGCATAATTGTGGCTCACTGTAACCTTGAATTCTTGGGCTCAAGTGATCCTTCTGCCTCTGCTCCCCGAGTAGCTGGGACTACAGGCATGTGCCACCACATCTGGCTAATTTTTGTAATTTTAGTAGAGATGCGGTTTCATCATGTTGCCCAGGCTGGTCTGAAATTCCTGGCCTCAAGTGATCCACCTTGGATTCCCAAAGTGCTAGGATTACAAGCATGAGCCACCTGTGCCTGACCAAGATTTGTTGTTTTCTTTCTTTTTTTTTTTTTTTTTTTTTGAGAGTGAGTTTTGCTCTGTTGCCCAGACTGGAGCCCAGACTGGAGTTTAGTGGTGCAATCTCAGCTCACTGCAACCTCCACCTCTCAGACTCAAGCAATCCTCCCACCTCAGCGTCCTGAGTAGCTGGGACCACAGGTGCCTACCACCATGCCCAGCTAATTTTCATATCTTTTATAGCGACAAGGTTTCACTTTGTTGCCCAGGCTGGTCTGGAACTCCTGGTTCTACAAACTCCTGGACTCAAGTGATCCTCCCACCTCAGCCTCCCAAAGTGCTGGGATTACAGGCATGAGCCACTGTGCTCAGCCCCTTAAGATTTTTAATTCGTAGATTTCCTCTTTATCCATCTCTTTTTTCTTGTCACTTATTTGTTAAAGAAGCCATGTAATCTGTCCTGTAAAATTCCCTCTACTCTAGATTTGGCAGAATGTGTTCCTCTGGCATAGTCTAACATGTTCCTCTACCTTCTGCATTTCCAGGAACCTGACACTTGGATCTAGCAGTTTGGTCAGGCTCAGATTCTATTTTCTTTCTTTCTTTTTTTTTTTGTGACAGTCTCACTCTGTTGCCCAGGCTTGAGTGCAGCGGTGCAATCTTGGCTCACTGCAACCTCTGCCTCCTGGGTTCAAGCGATTCTCCTGCCTCACCCCACCCAGGTCTGGGATTATAGGTGCGCACTGCCACACCTGACTAGTTTTTGTATTTTTAGTAGAGACGGGGTTTCTCCATATTTGCGAGGCTGGTCTCGAACTCCTGACTTCAGGCAGTCCACCTGCCTCGGCCTCCCAAAGTGCTGGGATTATAGGCATGAGCCACCGTGCCCAGCCTCAGATTCTATTTTCTTTAACAAATATTTGTCACACACCTACTACATGCAAAGTTGTTGGTTGGATACTAAATTAACTACAAAACTGGACACAGTTATTTACATTTATAAGTCATCTTGCACATGGACAGCCATGCCCACAAAAGTGAATGGAGGCCCGGCATGGTGGCTCATGCCTGTAATCCCAGCACTTTGGGAGGCTAAGGTAGGCGGATCATTTGATGTCAGTAGTTCAAGACCAGCCTGGCTAACATGGTAAAACCCTGTCTCTATTAAAAATACAAAAATTGGCCAGGCGTGGTGGCAGGCGCCTGTAATCCCAGCTACTTGGGAGGCTGAGGCAGGAGAATTGCTTGAGCCCGGGAGGCAGAGGTTGCAGTGAGCTGAGATCGCACCACTGCACTCCAGCCTGGTCAACACAGCGAGACTCCATCTCAAAAAAAAAAAAAAAAAAAAGGCTGGGCACAGTGGCTCACACCTGTGATCCCAGCACTTTGGGAGGCCAAGGCGGGCAAATCACTTGAGGCCAGGAGTTCATTCAAGTGATGAACTCTCCTCTCCCCTCTTCCCTCTCTCCTCTCTCCTCTCCTATCTCCCCTCTTCCCTGGCCAACATGGTGAAACCCCATCTCTACTAAAAATACAAAAATGAGCCGAGCGTGGTGGTGCGTGCCTATGGTTCCAGCTACTCGGGAGGCTGAGGCAAGAAATTGCTTGAACCTGGGAGGCGGAGGTTGCAGTGAGCCAAGATCACTCCACTGCACAGCAGCCTGGGCAACAGAGTGAGACTCCATCTCAAAAGAAAAAAAAAGTGAATGGATATCTTTGGTATGTTTTGATACGTTGTGTGGGAAAGCAATATGCACAATAAGTGCAGTGTGAGACTTTGAAAATGTTTAAAACCACTCAAACTATATATGGAGTTGCTTGAAAATATATAGAAAACCTTATGAAAATATGTAAACCAAACTGTAGATACTTCTGGATCTGGATTTGTCAGGGGGTGAAGTAGTGATGGATTTTCACATTTATTTTGTTCATTGCTGTCTTGTTTAAATTTTTGGAAACAAGTATATATTACTTTCATAGTTGAAAAGAAAGTGAGGAGATTAGGAGGGAGGAAGTAAACAAGGGAGGAGAGGAGAAAGGCAGGAAGAGGAGAGAGAGAAAGTTAGACAAGTAGATGAGATGGTTATAGGGACGAATGAAGCTAGAATTGAGAAATCATTTGACAGTCACTCTGGCTCCCTGACGAATCAAAACAGCCACCCAGGCAGTCCTTGTCCATGCTGACAGTGCACCATATATGCATATGTAACAGGGAACAGCAGCCCCGGCTGGAGCACAAGCCGCTGCTCGTGGGCACCTGTCTCAGCTCTAGCCTCAGCTCAGGCTTCACTTAGCCTCAGGGTCACTGTGTTTAGTGTCGCTGGGTTATACACTGGACAAGTACCAGTGGCACCACTCACACATGATCACATTATCATGTGACTAGCACCTACTAGAGCCGCACATCCTGTCTGCAGGGGCCTTCATATGCCTTCTCTAACATAGTCAGAGGGTAAGGTAATAAGCACAGGGAGGGGAGACAGCAGTCCAGCAACCACTCCTAGAGAGGAAGGAGTTCAGGCCAGCAAACAAGGGCAGGGGGTAGTGCAGAGGCTTAGGAGATAGAGCCAGGCTTGAATCTGCTGCTACCTGACTACCAGACCCTAGGCAGGTGACTGACCTTGTCTGAATCTCATATGTAAAATGCAGTGTCAACAACAACAAAAAAATTAGAGACAGATATCCCCAAATATGTCAAATTTATTCAGGAATAAGAAAAGAGGGTTATGATTTGGAATGCACTACTGTAAACCACAGGCACGTGCAGTGAGGGAAGAGTAAAGGGAATTTTTCTTGGCAAAAGGGAGAAGTTCACATAAGCTGCTTAGAAACAGAGTTCATAGCTGGGCATGGTAGCTCATACGTGTAATCACAGCTATGTGGGAGGCTGAGGCGGGAGGGTCTTTGGAGGCCAGGAGTTTGAGACCAGCCTGGGCAATGTGATGAGGCTCCAGTTTCTTTAGAGAGAGAGGAGAGAGGGGAGAGGGGAGAGGAGAGAGAAGACAGGGGACGGGGGAGAGGGGAGAGGAGAGAGGGCAGAAGAGAATTCCTTGGTTCTGAAGGCTCAAAGCCTTCTTGTGTGTTCTTGTGTGTTCATTGGTGGAGATGCTGTTCCTGGGCAGGTGTTCTTTTGACAGCATCTCATCTCATGTTATCTTATCTGAATTGCTGCAGTCCAAAAGAATGTGCAGTGATAAACCTTGCCATAGAAATATGTGCGTACATGCAAGCAATGCAAAGCAGGAGATGCGTGACAGGCGTGAAGGGATTTCTTATGGGATTCTTAGAAAGTCTTTGGAACCGTTCCTGTCTTGGACATGAAAGCCTGAACCCCACTCCTTCGTGCCTTCCCAGCCCTATTTTGTGTGGGTCTGATAAAAGTGATTTCATCTTGGTATCTGCGACTTCCACAGCAGATAATAATGTACAGCTTGTCTGGTGGTTGTAAGGATGAGAAACAAAGTATATGGATCAAATGCTTTGTAAAAATTACCATGTATAATGTGAGGATGACAGATGACCCACTGTTTTGCCTTTCATTTGTTTGTCGTCATAAGCACATGGTCAGTCAATAAAATCTAAGAGCTGGAATTAGAGCAAGAATCCCCAAGTTTCTTGTTGGGTTACTCTGTCTTTAGCTTTCTGGACTTCAATTTGTTGCTTCTTTTTATCAACTGTCAACAAAATGAGTATACCCTTACACTTTTTAAAATGTGGCACTCCATAAATGTAAGATGATTTTATGGTAACTTTTTAAGGTACTGAGTTCCTCCTCAATCCATATAAATCATGAGGACAGGGAACCACCCCGTGCATTGTGTGCCATGTAGGTTATGTGCAGACTTACGGCAATCCTTGGAAACATTTATACACCTGAAAACTGGGGACCCTGGCTGCCTATCACATAGAATCATGGCCCTGGGGAAATATGCAGATCATCTGATGGCATCCATGTTCTCCTGTGATTATAAGAGAACATGGCAAGGTTGGTCACATCCCCACTGGTGGAAGAGCGGGTACTAATGCTCCAGCCTTTGGGTTCCCAGCCCATTCTTTGCTACAGCACCATAGAAAGAAAACTTAAATTTGAATTGGAGGGATTTTTATTTTTATTTTTATTTTTTTTGAGACAGAGTCTCTCTCTGTTGCCCAGGCTGGAGTGTAGTGGTACAATCATGACTCACTGCAAACTCTGCTTCCCAGGTTCAAGTGATCCTCCCGCCTCAGCCTCCCAAGCAGCTGGGATTACAGGCGCCCGCCACCATGCCTGGCTAATTTTTGTATTTTCAGTAGAGATGGGGTTTCACCATGTTGACCAGGCTGGTCTCAAACTCCAGGCCTCAAGTGATCCACCCGCCTCAGCCTCCAAAAGTGCTGGGATTACAGGCATGATCCCCCATGCCCAGCTGAATTGGAGGAAATTTTAAAAGTTAATTTTAAAACTGCTTCTCTTTTATGGGAAAGGAATATGTTTTTAAATGGTATTCAGTGTGCTCTTTTTTAAAAAAATCAAAAATTATCCATTAACATCCGTTACTTTTTTTGTTTTTGGTTTTTTTTGAGATTGAGTCTTGCTCTGTTGCCCAGGCTAGAGTGCAGTGGCATGATTTCAGCTCACTGCAACCTCCACCTCCCAGGTTCAAGCGATTCTCCTGCCTCAGCCTCCCAAGTAGCTGGGATTACAGGCGCCCGCCACCACACCCAGCTAATTTTTGTACTTTTAGTAGAGACAGGGTTTCACCATCTTGGCCAGGCTGGTCTCGAACTCCTGACCTCGTGATCCACCTGTCTCGGCCTCCCAAAGTGCTGGGATTCCAGGCGTGAGCCATCACGCCTGGCCTAATAGCCATTACTTTTTAATGCATGGTAATTTTTTGTTCAGTAGATAAATATATTGTTATCTTAAAAAGATTTTTTGTATTTACTTTTGAGACTGGGTCTCAGTCTGTTGCCCAGGCTGGAGTGTAGCAGCCTGATCATGGCTCAGTGCAGCCTCTACCTCCCCGGGCTCAGGTGATCCTCCCCCTTCAGCCTCCTGAGTAGCTGGGACTACAGAGGTGTGGCACCATGCCCGGCTAATTTTTGTATTTTTTGTGGAGATGGGGTTTTGCCATGTTGCCCAGGCTAGTCTTGAACTCCTGGATGTGAGCCACTGCGTCTGGCCTATTATTTTAAATATAGTTCTCTTTACTGCCAGTAGCTTTCATATAACCCTAGCGACTAGATTTAGTCACCACTGCTTAATTCCAAAAAACAAAAGCTCCATCCTATATTTACTGTAAATCAGTCTCTTTGATTGTATTGCATGTTTTATTTCAAGAAAAAAGTTAACCTGAAGATTTAATTTTAAATAACTACACATGTTGTCACTAATAGAAATAACAAATAATTATATGAGAATAATGGTAATTCTCCTAAGTTTTGTGGTAAATTTTTTGGCAATTTTATTGAAGTATAATAAAATTCAACAATTCAATACGTCTTTATAAATGTTCATTGTGATATAGGACAGCTCTATCACAGTACTGGGGTAAATTTTAATTATATTTATTAATTACAGATGTGAATTTCTTCGGAGTAAGAAATCCTCAGAGGAAATTACCCAGTATATTCAAAGCTACAAGGGATTTGTTGACATAACGGTAATGTATAACAGCAATTTTTTTCTCAAGTTTTTGGATTACCTGTAAGTGTCTGACTCAGAAGGGCATAGGCATTCTTTTTATGTCATGGGTTTGATTTCTTTCTTCCTTTCTCCTTTCATTCCCCTGGCTCCCATCTTCAAAGTGAAAAATATCACATTCACTTGCTGACCTAGAGCCTTTTTCTTTTTCCAGGTCTGGCTTCTGACGGGCTCTGCTTGCCTTCCTGATAGTCTTCCCCTTTATGAATGAAGCCACTTGCCCCAGCTTCCCTCTGCTGCCCCTATCTGCAGGCTTGCTAAGATCTCCTGACCTAGGCGCTGTCACCCACAGTGGGCTGCAGAGCTGGCTCTTCCTAGCTGGCTAACTATCCTGAATCAGTAAAAATTTCCTA
The DNA here is from genome assembly GCF_000001405.40 of Homo sapiens. Lineage (NCBI taxonomy): Eukaryota > Metazoa > Chordata > Mammalia > Primates > Hominidae > Homo > Homo sapiens. Next base: position 69,618,789 of record NC_000005.10, read on the forward strand.
GTGGAGAGTGATGGGAAATCGAATCCAAACTGGCTTAAACAAAAATGAGAATTTATTGATTAACATGACTCAGGAGACCAGAACTCTATAGAGAACATGGCCTGACAGTGGGGGAAGAGAGGTGTTTCCTCAAAAAGAAACTGGGTGCAGCTTTCCCAGAAGAATCAGTTGCTCAATATATAATACCCTGATGAATTTAGTTACCATTCTATGTCTCTTACTTCCTCATTCGTCAAAGTACATCTGTGATATTTAAATGCAGGTCTGTTTTCAAGGTCAGTTTCCGGAAACAGTGACCCTGAGAAGGCTTCCTCCTGAGTATGCATAAACATTCACAGCTTGCATGCGTGTGTGTGTGTGTGTGTGTGTGTGTGTGTGTGTATGTTTGCTTGCACTGCATAAAAACAATTGCAACATCAACAGAAATAAAAATTAAAGGAATAATTCTCCTCCGACTCTGCCGTTCCATCCAGTGAAACTCTTCATTCTGGGGTAAAGTTCCTTCAGTTCTTGTTCATAGATAGGTATATACTTCATAAGTCAAACAATCAGGCTGGGCGCAGTAGCTCATGCCTGTAATCCCAGCCCTTTGGGAGGCCGAGCTGGGCAGATCACTTGAGATCAGGTGTTCGAGACCAGCCTCAAGACCTCCAACATGGGCCGGGTGCAGTGGCTCACGTCTGTAATCCCAGCACTTTGGGAGGCCGAGACGGACGGATGATGAGGTCAGGAGATAGAGACCATCCTGGCTAACATGGTGAAACCCCATCTCTACTAAAAATACAAAAAAAAAAAAAATTAGCCCGGCATGGTGGCAGGCGCCTGTGGTCCCAGCTACTCGGGAGGCTGAGGCAGGAGAATGGCGTGAACCTGGGAGGCAGAGCTTGTAGTGAGCCAAGGTCGTGCCACTGTGCTCCAGCCTGGACGACAGAGCGAGACTCTGTCTCAAAAAAAAAAAAAAAAAAAAAAAAAAAGACCTCCAACATCGTGTCTGTCTCTACTAAAAATACAAAAAAAAAAAAAATTAGCCGGGTGTGGTGGCACATGCCTGTACTACTCGGGAGGCTGAGGCAGGAGAATCACTTGAACCCAGGAGGCGGAGGTTGCAGTGAGACGAGAACCTGCCACTGCACTTCAGCCTGGGCAACAGAGTGAGACTCTGCCTCAAAAAAAAAAAAAAAAAAAAAGTCAGATAATCAACAACTTGAATTTTAATTTCCCTCAGGGAGAACATTTTGTGAATTCCTGGGTCCAGAGAGAATTACCTATGGCATCAGGTAAAAACTCAAACATTTTCCAAAGGCTTTGCTTGTTTATTTCTTCTTTTGATTTTTTGTCCCTATCTCTTTTTGTCGTCCCCCCCGCCCCGCCCCGTTTATTTTGAAGCAAACTCTAGACATCATTCCATCTGTAACTGTGAAGGGACAACTTGAACGCTGATACTTGCAATATCAAAGCCTACTGGTCTCTTTAATTTGTGCAGCAGCAATAAAGATATAGAAAAAAAAAAGACTAAAGCCTGCTGGTCTCACCTTGTGCTTTTTATTCAAGCTTATTGCAATGACAGCATCTTTGCTTACGAAGAACTACGGCTGGACTCTTTTAAGGACTGGCCCCGGGAATCAGCTGTGGGAGTTGCAGCACTGGCCAAAGCAGGTCTTTTCTACACAGGTGAGTCAGTAGGTTGTGCCCACTTGCTTGCTTGACCTTTAATTCCCACATAGACTTTATGCTCCTGGGCTTACGTTTAGCTACACTCAGCAATGTCCACTAGCTTCAGCGTTTCTTTTTCTTTTCTTTTTTTTTCCCCCTTGGAGACAGAGTTGCCCAGGCTGGAATGCAGATCTTGGCTCACTGCAACCTCCACCTCCCGGGTTCAAGAGATTCTCCTTCCTCAGCCTCTGGAGTAGCTGGAACCACAGGCGCCTGCCACCACGCCCAGCTACTTTTTTGTATTTTTAGTAGAGACAGGGTTTCACCATGCTAGTCAGAATGCTCTTGATCTCCTGATCTCGTGATCTGCCCGCCTTGGCCTCCCAAATGCTGGGATTACAGGTGTGAGCCATCGCGCCAGGCCTCTCTTCAGCATTTCTTATAGATTCGTTTTCTTTTCTTTCTATTTTTTTTGAGACATGGTCATCCAGGCTGGAGGGCAGTGGCGAGATCATGGCTCACTGCAGCCTCAACCTCCTGGGCTCAAGTAATCCTCCTGCCTTGGCCTCCCAAAATGCTGGGATTACAGGTGTGAGCCACTGCACCTGGCATACATCTCTTTTCTTTCCTGCATCATAAATCCTCTCCCAGTTTTCTATTCCTCCCTTAGGTGGTAAACCTTCAAATTTGAAACCTTAAGGTCTGGACTAACAATGAATACAAGTATTCTATTTGTGATAATTATCATGTCTTTTCTTTCTACACATTACTCTCCTCACCTCTTGTCCCCTGACAAAGTGCTCCTAGAAACTGTCACAGGACACTTCTGCTTATATTTCTTTAATCAGAACTTAGTTGGATGGGCCGGGCATGGTGGCTCACGCCTGTAATCCCAGCACTTTGGGAGGCCGAGGTGGGTGGATCACCTGAGGTCAGGAGTTTGAGACCAGCCTGGCCAATATGGTGAAACTCTGTCTCTACTAAAAATACAAAGAATTAGCCAGGCATGGTGGCGGGTGCCTGTAATCCCAGCTACTTGGGAGGCTGAGGCAGGAGAATCGCTTGAACCTGGGACGTGGAGGTTGCGGGGAGTCAAGATCATGCTATTGCACTCCAGCCTGGGCAACAAGAGTGAAACTCTGTCTCAAAAATAATAATAATAATAATAATAATAATAATAATAATAATAATTATTATTATTATTATTAGTCAGATGACCATACCTAGCTGTAAGAGGAGCTGGGAAACCTAATCTTTTTCCTGGGTGACAATGTGCCCAGCTAAATATTGGGATTTCTATTAGTATGGAAGGATTTGAGATAATAGGAACATGGATAGCAATCTTTGCCACATTCTGCCTGCAGGAGAAAATCAGGAAATTAATTTTCATGATTCCTAAACACGTAGAGCCTTCCACCAGATTGTGGCATTTTCTCTTTAGCTGCTGGTCATTAGGAAGCACCTCTGCAATCTATAAATGATGGGCTGGTTCCTGTCAGCTAAATCTCTGCCTGAAATACAAGATGATCAGGGAAAGGTTCCTAGGTACCTTGCTGGTCTTGCTCAAACCGAACACATGCATAAGTTACAGTGGAGGTTAATGCAGATCTTTAACTGAGAGATCAAGTAGTTGTCACAAATACCATAGAGCAACACAGAGAAGCAGAATATAGTTGTCACTCTACCTAACAGACATGTGCCATTGGAAAAAAAAAATCTGACTGCCTCACAATCTTAAGCCTTTGGAAAGAGTGTTTGCCATTTCTCCCTACTCTACTGTGTCTTCCTCTTGTCAGCCTTCCGCAAGACCCCTCTGACCAGTGTGCTCCCCCTCTTCCTTTCCAATCCTCCACCACTCCACACAAATCCTAATCATCTCTGACTGTTTTCAGATCTTGCAAGCTCTAGGATCTCATATTTCTGGGAGGCTTTCCTCTGCCCCAGCTTTCCCAGAGTGGAAGGAAGATGAGAAATGCTCTGTTTCTAGTTTGATCCTTTTGCAGAGCTAAATACCAATTTCTTTCCAAAGAAATATAATTTCACAAAGAGACTTAATCCTATTTCTGGTGTAATAAACATGGCAATAATGTGGTAAGAGGCAATTAATTCTTCATGCATTCACTTACATAAGGGCTGCTAGATTTGCTGGTATTTTTTTTTCCGTGAGCTCTAAATATATTCTTTCTGATTCATTCATTAAACGAATACTAATTGAGTGCCACATGAGTGTCAAGCACTTTTCTAGGTTCATGTCATTCATTAGTGAGCAAAAACCTCTACCCTCATAGAGCTTATTTTTATTTTTATTTTTTGAGACAGAGTTTCACTCTTGTTGCCCAGGCTGGAGTGCAATGGCGTTATCTTGGTTCACTGCAACCTCCGTCTCCTGGGTTCAAGCGATTCTTGTGCCTCAGCCTCCTGAGTAGCTGGCATTACAGGCATGTGCCACCATGCCCAGCTAATTTTTGTATTTTTAGTAGAGACAGGGTTTCACCGTGTTGGCCAGGCTGGTCTCAGACTCCTGACCTCAGGAGATCCGCTGGCCTTGGCCTCCCAAAGTGCTGGGATTACAGGCATGAGCCACTGCGCCCAGCCCCCTCATGGAGCTTCAATTCCAGATTCTGGTTGCCAATCTGTTTGTTGATCAAAGGAGAATGGGGCAGAGGGATGGTGTGCATCAAAGTGCATGGTGTGTAGGAGCATTCAATGACTACTTGCCAGTTACCCCATTGGTGGACAGAGTCTTATATAGAAAATTGCCTCACTGGTAACCAACTTCTGACTGTCACAAAACCCAACTGGAGACTGAATAGGCTTTCACTATTACAGGTCTGGTGGTTATTATCTGCATGTTAATGGACAGATGCCCATGCCAGTGGCACTGATCAAGTTTCCTTACTTTTAGGTATAAAGGACATCGTCCAGTGCTTTTCCTGTGGAGGGTGTTTAGAGAAATGGCAGGAAGGTGATGACCCATTAGACGATCACACCAGATGTTTTCCCAAGTGAGTGGAATGAATGTTAACCATCTGCAACTTTGGATGCACTTCAACAGTTTTTTTCTTTTTCCTCATTTCCTGCCTTATTTTATCTTTAGATTGAGTCTTTATCCACTCCTCGGATTCAGGCTATGAAGGATGAGTCTTCATGTCTTTCATCCCTTTGCTCCATGACCCCCTTCCTGTACTAGCCTTCCCCTCTTTATAGTTATGGCATAGTTTTGGCTAGATTCATATATTCACATTACATGTTTACATTATCATGACTATACAAATGCTATGTGGAGCTGAAGCTTGTGGTAAATTTTTATTTATTTTTCCCTTCCTGTATATCCTTTTATTTTTTTAGGAAGTAATAACTGTCCTGTTGGTATGTTAGCTTATTTTTTTTTCCTGAGGTAAAATTCAGGTAGTAACCATTTTATTTATTTATTTATTATTTTTTGTGACAGGTTCTCTCTCTTGCCCAGGTTGGAGTGCAGTGGTGCAATCATGGCTCACTGCAGCCTTGACCTCTCTGGCTCAAGCAATCTTCCTCGCTCAGCCTCCCAAGTAGCTGGGACTACAGGCACATGTCTTCACACCCAGCTAATTTTTTTTTTTTTTTTTTAAGAGACAGGGTCTCTCTATGTTGCCCAGGCTGCTCTCAGACTTCTAGGCTCAAGCAGTCTTCCCATCCTGGCTTCCCAAAGTGCTGGGATTATAGGCGTGAGCCACCATGCACAGCAATTAAACCATTTTAGAGTACACAATTCTGTGGCATTTATTATAGTACATTCACAATGTTGTGCAACCACCCCCTCTATCTAGTTCCAAAACACTTTCATCGCCCCCAAAGGAAACTCTGTATCCATCAAGCAGGCCCCCCTCCTCTCTCCACCCCACTCCATGCCCAGCCCCTGGGATACACCAACCTAATTGGTGTCTATGGATTTATTTGTTCTGACTATTTCCTCTAAATGGAAGCATACCGTTTGACCTTTTGCATTTGGATTCTTTCACTTGGCATATTGTTTTGAAGTTTATCCATGTTGTAGCTTGCATAAGTACTTCTTTCCTTTTGAGACCAAGTAATATTCCATATGGATACACTGCATTTTATTTATCCATTCATCTATTTGTAGATATTTGGGTTGTTTCTACCTTTTGGCTACCATGAGTAATACCGATAGGAACATTTGGGTACAGGTATCTGATGGAGCATGTAACTGTATTCAAGTCTCTGGGGCATATACCTAACAACGATATTGCTAGCTGTATAGTAATTCTATGTTTTTACTTTTTTTTTTTTTTTCTCACACAGAGTCTCACTCTGTCACTCAGGCTGGAGTGCAGCGGTGCGATCTCAGCTCACTGCAACCTCCGCCTCCCAGGTTCAAGCAATTTTCCTGCCTCAGTCTCCTGAGTAGCTGGGATTACAGGTGTCTGCCACCATGCCCGGCTAATTTTTTGTATTTTTAGGGTTTCACCATGTTGGCTAGGCTGGTCTCAAACTCCTGACCTCAAGTGATCCACCTGGCTTGGCCTCCCAAAGTGCTGGAATTACAAGCGTGAGCCACAGCGCCTGGCCTGTTTTAACTTTTTGAGGAAATGCTAAACTGTTTTTTCCACAGTGCTTGCACCATTTTAAATTCCCACCAACAACAATGTTGTGCAACCACCCCCTCTATCTAGTTCCAAAACACTTTCATCGCCCCCAAAGAAAACTCTGTATCCACTAAGCAGGCCCTCCTTCTCTCTCCACCCCACTCCATGCCCAGCCCCTGGGATACACCAACCTAATTGGTGTCTATGGATTTATTTGTTCTGACTATTTCCTCTAAATGGAAGCATACAGTTTGACCAACAATGTATGAGGTTTCCCATTTCTCATCAACACTTTTCTATTTTTAAAAAAATTATAGCCATCTGCTTAATTTTTTTTTTTTTTTTTTTGAGATGGAGTCTCACTGTGTTGCCCAGGCTGGAGTGCAGTGGCATGATCTCGGCTCACTGTAGACTCTGCCTCCCAGGTTCAAGCAATTCTTCCTGCCTCAGCATCCCAAGTAGCTGGGACTACAGGCATGCACCACTATGCTTGGCTAATTTTTGTATTTTTAATAGAGATGGAGTTTTGCCACGTTGGCCAGGCTAGTTTCAAACTCCTGACCTCAAGTGATCCGCCTGCCTCAGCCTCCCAAAGTGCTGGTATTACAGGCGTGAGCCACTGCGGCTGGTCCATTTTCATCTTGGAGGAGTCATCCATCATTTTCACCTCCTTGAATGAGTTTCCCTGGAAGTCTTCTGGCCTGCTGGATTATGAACAACTTGTCCTATAATCATCCTGGGATCCAGGGATCTTTCTTCACAGGCATCCTGGAGATTATCTCCTCTGTTGTATCTCCTGGATCTAATGTCATCCTCTTCTTGGTTCACTCGCTCATTTTGTTGGAACACTTCATCGGAGTTCCCTGGGAAAGACTGCATAAGAAATACACACTTTTAGTTGCATATAATGCATATACAGACATATAGATCTATCTAGATATATGTTTTTCCTGTATTCTCACACTTATTTGATAGTTTAGCTAGGTGTAGAATTATAGGTTGGAAGTCATTTTAATTCTAAATTGTAGAGGCACTGCTACATTTCTACTGGTTCCTAATGTGCTGTCGAGAAGTTCCATGCCTTTCTGCTTGTCAATCCTTTTACTGCAAACAAAATTTTTTTTTTTCCTGTGCTGGAAGCTTTCAGAAAAATATCTGTTCTAAAATTTTACGAAGAAATATTTCTTTTCTATGAATCTTTAAACTTAATTTTTTTTACCCATCAAACTCTTTAGAAATGTTTAATTGCAAGAAGAAATTTGTGTTTTCACTATGTAATTAGTAAGAGTTTTTTTTTTTAGAAATGAATATGAACACATACAGATTTTAAAATGAATGCTTCCTGCTCATTTGTATAGTGGTAAAAACAAAAATAAAACAAAATGAATACTTCTATCTAATTTTATTGCCTTGAAGGTATTTTGATAGCAGTAGTTACCTCATTTTTCTTTCTTATTTGGGCTTAGTGTATAATAAATTATTGAGAACAATGGGGACATTCTACTTAATTCTTGGAAGGATAAGCTAGGATGCAGTCTAGTCTTATTTAGAACTTACTCTGGAATCGATCAACTCCCTTTTATACTATTATTATTATTATTAGTTTTAGTGTTTTGTTGTTGTTGTTTTTGAGATGGAGTCTCACTCTGTCACCCAGGCTGGAGTGCAGTGGCGTGATCTCGGCTCACTGCAACCTCCGCCTCCCGGGTTCAAGCGATTCTCCTGCCTCAGCCTCCCAAGTAGCTGGGATTACAGGTACCTCCCCACCATGCCTGGCTAATTTTTTGTACTTTTAGTAGAGACGGGGTTTCACCATGTTGGCCAGGCTGGTCTTGAACTCCTGACCTCAAGTGATCCTCCTGCCTCAGCCTCCCAAAGTGCTGGGATTACAGGTGTGAGCCGCCACACCTGGCCTTTAGTGTTTTTTTGTTAAGAGACTGGGTCTCGGCTCTGTCACCCAGGCTGGAGCAAGTGCAGTGGTACAATCCTAGCTGACTGTAGCCTCAAATTCCTGGGCTCAAGTGATCCTCCCACCTCAGCCTCCCAAGTAGCTAGGACTACAAGCATGTGTCACCATGCCCGACTAATTTTTTAAAGTTTTTTTTTGTAGAGATGGGGTCTTGCTTTGTTGCCCAGGCTGGTCTCAAACTCCTGGCTCCAAATGATCCTTCTGCTTCAGCCTCCCAAAGTACTTGGATTACAGGCATGAGCCACTGCTCCCAGCCAACTCCTTTTTGGATTTTTACTCTTCCTTTGCCTCTTAAAAAAACTGCAAACCAGTATGTCTCCAAATGATTACCTAAAATTTTTATGTATGCTTTAAAGAATGAATAAAAAGCAACCTATGAACCTCCTAGTAAAGTCAAGAAATTGGACATTATCAATGCCTTAAAAGACCCCTGCGGCCGGGTGCAGTGACTCACGCCTGTAATCTCAGCACTTTGGGAGGCCGATGTGGGCAGATTGTCTGAGCTCAAGAGTTCGAGACCAGCCTGGGCAACATGGTGAAACCCCATCTCTGTTAAAAAGCAGAAAAATTTAACCGGGCCTGGTGACACACACCTGTAGTCCCAGCTATTAGGGAGGCTGAGGCAGGAGAATGGCTTGAACCTGGGAGGCGGAAGTTGCAGTGAGCCAAGATGGCGCCATTGCACTCCTGGGCGACAGAGCGTGACTCTGTCTCAAAAAAAAAAAATAAAAAAAAAAACAACTCTGCATGCCAACCACCCCCTAATTCTGATTATATCCCTGTCCCTCCAATCCAGAGGTAAATGTGATGCTCAGTTTGGGTTAATTATTCCCTTGCTTCTCTTTGTGGTTTTACGAACTACATATACATCCTTAAACATATTTAGCTTTGTCTATTCTTGAAGTTCAAATAAGAAGCATACTGCATGATTCTTCTTGTAATTGGCTGGTTTTACTCCACGATGTTTTTGAGATTCATCCATATTTATATGTACTACACAGTTGTAGTTCACTTGTTTTCATTGGTAAATAGTGTATTATTTTATGAATATATAATAACTTATTTTACTGTTGATTAACCTCGTGGGTCGTTTTCAGAGTGTTGCAAATTCAAATAATGCCCTATGAACATTCTTGTACATATTTTCCAGTGCTCATGTGTGTTTCTCTAGGATACATAACAAAGTAAAGAATTGCAGAGTCATAGAACTTTGCGGGTGTTCAACTCCACTAGATAATGCAAAGCTTTTTCCCAAGTGGTTGCACTGATTTACATTCCCATTGGCCTAGATGCGTTGCTATTGATTTGCTTCCTCACTAACTTGGTATTGCCCAAATTTTAATTTTTGTCAGTGTAATTACTAATAATGTTAAGCTTATTTTCTTCTTCTTTTTTTCTTTCTTTTTTTTTTTTTTGAGACGGAGTTTCACTCTTGTTGCCCAGGCTGGAGTGCAATGGCACGATCTCGGCTCACCACAACCTCCGCCTCCCAGGTTCAAGTGATTCTCCTGCCTCAGCCTCCCGAGTAGCTGGGATTACAGGCATGTGCCACCACGCCCAGCTAATTTTGTATTTTTAGTAGAGATGGGGTTTCTCCATGTTGGTCAGGCTGGTCTCGGACTCCCAACCTCAGGTGATCCACCCACCTCAGCCTCCCAAAGTGCTGGGATTACAGGTGTGAGCCACCGCGCCCGGCAGTTGAGCTTATTTTCATATTTTCCTGCAGAATAGTCTTGTTCTTTCTCTTCAAGAGTGTGTCTTAGCTATTTTTTTGCCCTTTGGTCTTTCATATTCCAGAGAATATATTAAATATCCCAAGCAGGCATGGTGGTTCACACCTATAATCCCAGCACTTTGGGAGGCTGAGGTGGGAGGAGTGCACAAGGCGAGGAGTTTGAGACTAGCCTTTGCAACATAGCTAGACTCCATTTCTACAAAAAATTTTTAAAACAAACAGGGTGTGGTAGCATGCATCTGTAGTCCCAGCTACCTGGGAGGCAGAGGCAGGAGAATCGCTTGAGCTCAGGAGTATAGGTTGCAATGAGCTATGATTGTGCCACTGTACTGTGGCCTGGGTGACAGAGTAAAACTTTGTCTCTAAAAAACAGAAATATCCCTCTTTATCCTTGATAGTATTTTTTAGGCCTTTATTAGTTTTTTCATGTTACATCTTTTAGATTATTTTCTTTTTAATCTATCTGTGACTATATTTAAAGTCAATTCTTGTTTTTTCCTTTTCCTTTTTGTGGGTAACGGGGTCTCACTATGTTGCCCAGGCAGATCTCAAACTCCTGGGCTCAAGCTGTCCTCCCACCTCTGCCACCCTAAGTGTTGAGATTACAGGCATGAGCCACTGCACCCAGCCTTAAAGTGAATTGTTATAGGCAACAACACAGTGGGGTCTTTTATTTTATTTTTTATTTGTTTATGAGACAGACTCGCTCTGTTGCCTACGCTGCAGTGCAGTGGTGCAGTCTTGACTCACTGCAGCCTGGACTTCCCAGGCTCAAGCAATCCTCCCACCTCAGACTCCTGAGTAGCTGGGACTACAGGCACATGCCACCATGCCAGGCTAATTTTTTTTTTCTGGGCCTAGAGATCTGTGGAACTTTGAACTTGAGAGAGATGATTTAAGGTATCTGACAGAAGAAATTTCTAAGCAGCAAAGCATTCGAGAAGAAGCAGAGCATAAAATTTCAGAAAATTTGTAGCCTGATGATGCAACAGAAAAGAAAAATCTATTTTCTCAGGAGACTGGGTTGTAGAAATTTGCATAAGTAATGAGGAGCCAAATGTTAATCACCAAGACAATGGGGCAAATGTCTCCAGGGCATGTTAGAGACCCTCACAGCAGACCCTCCCATCGCAGGCCAGGAGGCTTAGAAGGAAAAATGGTTTTGTGGGTCCAGAACCCCCTGCTGTGTGCAGCCTAGGAACTTGGGGCCCTGCATCCCAGCTGCTCCTGCCATAGGTAAAAGGGGACAAGGTACACCTCAGGCCATGGCTTCAGAGGGTGCAAGTTCCAAGCCTTTCAGGTTCTAGGTGGTGTTAAGCCTGCAGATGCACCGAAGTCAAGAATTAACGTTCATGAACCTCCGCCTACATTTCAGAAGATGTATGAAAATGCCTGGAAATCCAGGCAAAAGTTTGCTGTGGGGGGGAGGGGAGGGGGGGGCCCTCATGGATAACCTCTGCTAGGGCAGTGTCAAAGGGAAATATGGGGTTGGAGCTTCCACACAGAGTCCCCACTGGGGTACTGCCAAGCAGAGCTGTGAGAAAAGGGCCACCATCCTCCAGACCCCAGAATGGTAGATCCACTGACAGCTTGCACTGTGTGCCTAGAAAAGCTGCAGACACTCAATGCAGCCAGAAGGGGGGCTGTACCCTGCAAAGCCACAGGGGCGGGGCTGCCCAAGACCCTGGGAACCCACTTCTTGCATCACCTAGATGTGACACATGGAGTCAAAGGAGGTCATTTTGGAGCTTTAAGATTTGCCTGCTGGGTTTTGGACTTGCATGGGGCCTGTAGCTCTTTCGCTTTGGCCAATTTCTCCCATTTGAAACGAGTGTATCTACCCAATGCCTGTATCCCTGTGTATCTAGAAAATAACTAACTTGCTTTTGATTTTACAGGCTCATAGGTGGAAGGGACTTGCCTTGTCTCAGATGAGACTTTGGACTATGGAATTTTGAGTTAATGCTGAAATAAGAGTTTGGGGGACTTAGGGGAAGGCACGATTGCTTTTGAAATATGAGGACATGAGATTTGGGAGGGGCCGGGGAAGAATTATATGGTTTGGCTCTGTCCGCACCCAAATCTCATCTTGAATTGTAACAATTCCCATGTGTCAAGGGTGGGGCCAGGTGGAGATAACTGAATCATGGAGGCAGTTTCCCCCATGCTGTTCTCATGGTAGTGAATAAGTCTCATGAGGTCTGATGGTTTTATAAATGGATGTTCCCCTGCACATGCTCTCTCCTGCCCACCATGTCTGACTAAATTTTGTATTTTTACTAGAGACGGGCTTTCACTATGTTGGCCAGGCTGGCCTCCAACTCCTGATCTCGTGATCCGTCCACCCCGACCTCCCAAAGTGCTAGGATCATAGGCATAAGCCACCACACCCGGCCTCTTTTTTTTCTTTTTCTTTTTTTTATCTGGAGACTGAGTTTTGCACTCGTTGCCCAGGCTGGAGTGCAATGGTGCGATCTCAGCTCACTGCAGTCTCCACCTCAGCAGGAGAGCAGGAATCTTCAGTGATCCACGGGCAAATATGCAGCCATTGTGGGCACCTGTTCCTCCCGCGACCTTTGTGCCCACGTCTCTCCCTCCAGTACCTACTGCACGACCCCCCACGTCCGCCTCCTGCCATTGCCAGCAGGTGCCTTGCGCGGGTACCTGGCTGCGCTTATTCATCCATTATGGTCGCTCTGTCACTGGTGCCATTATGTGCTCACATGCCCACTCCCTCAGGTTTAGAAGTCGCGTTGCCCGGCAACAGAACAATCTGCTGGCTTAGCCTTTGGCCAAGTTGGCAGCTGGACGAGGACGCTCAGAGCCCAGCTCTTGAGAGTTCAAGTATCCGACAGTTCCCCACTGCTCCCAGGAGCGGTTACCCGGGCACTCTGTGCCCCTCATTCCTGTTTGGGCCAAGGCCGAGGACCTGCGAGTAGGGCTCAGTTGCCTGGAGCCCCTTCAGCCCATCCCCCAGTTCACTTTGCTTGTGGGATCTCCCCGTTGCTCCTGCCCCTGGACTGAGTGGCAGGCCATCCTACAAACACCCGCACACTCGACATCAGTGGTGTCAAGACAACTCTAAGAAGGTTTTCCGTGATCCTGCAAGACCTGTGTTCCATCCTGGTGATTCTGTCTTCAACTTCACTGCACAGGTACCACAGTAAGCCAGTGCTGTGTGCTCTGAGTTCCAGGGCATCCCCCAGCTCAGCCACTACACTGAGCACAAGGACTCTGTGGGGCCCAGGAGCAGGTAGTCACCCCTTTGGGGTCCACAACACCCGGCTGTCCCCAGACTTGTGTCCAGGGAAGATAGTGTTGAGGGCCCTCAAGGAGAGCGGGGCAGGGATGCCTGAGCAGCACAAGGACCCCAGAGTCCAAGAAAATCCTGATGATCAGAGAACGGTCCCCGAGGTCACCGGGGATGCACGGTCTGCATTTTGGCCCCTGCGGGACAATGGAGGCCCCTCTCCCTTTGTGCCCAGGCCCGGGCCTCTGCAGACAGACCTCCACGCCCAGAGCTCAGAAATCAGATATAACCACACATCCCAGACATCCTGGACGAGCTCGAGCACCAAACGAAATGCCATCTCCAGCTCCTACAGCTCCACGGGAGGCTTGCCGGGGCTAAAGCAGAGGAGGGGGCCAGCCTCATCCCGCTGCCAGCTGACCCTCAGTTACTCAAAGACAGTGAGTGAGGACAGGCCTCAGGCTGTCTCTTCGGGTCACACACGGTGTGAAAAGGGGGCAGATACAGCACCAGGGCAGACAATCGCCCCAACGGGTGGCTCCCCCAGATCCCAGGACTCTAGGCCCCGTAGACGCAAGATTCCCCTGCTGCCACGCAGGCGAGGGGAGCCTTTGATGCTGCCACCTCCCTTAGAGCTGGGGTACCGGGTCACGGCTGAAGACCTGCACCTGGAAAAAGAGAAGGCATTCCAGCGCATCAACAGTGCACTGCACGTTGAGGACAAGGCCATCTCGGACTGCAGACCCTCACGGCCTTCCCACACTTTGTCCTCACTTGCAACAGGGGCTTCGGGTGGGCCTCCCGTTTCTAAAGCACCCACTATGGATGCACAGCAGGACAGACCCAAGTCCCAAGACTGCCTGGGCCTAGTGGCCCCCCTAGCATCTGCAGCAGAGGTCCCCGCTACAGCTCCCGTGTCTGGGAAGAAGCACAGACCACCAGGACCCCTGTTCTCCTCCTCAGATCCCCTTCCGGCCAACTCTTCCCACTCCCGGGACTCAGCCCAGGTCACCTCGATGATTCCTGTCCCCTTGACAGCTGCAAGCAGGGATGCCGGCATGAGAAGAACAAGGTCGGCTCCTGCAGCTGCCGCAGCAGCCCCTCCCCCCTCCACATTGAACCCCACGTCGGGGTCACTACTCAATGCAGTGGATGGAGGCCCCTCACATTTCTTGGCCTCAGCCACAGCTGCAGCACGTGTCCAGAGGTCAGAAGTGAGATATAACCAGAGATCCCAGACCTCCCGGACCAGATCGTGCCTCAAACGAAATGCCAGCTCCAGCTCCCACAGCTCTACGGAAGGCCTCCAGGAAGTAAAGCGGAGGAGGGGGCCAGCCTCATCCCACTGCCAGCTGGCCCACAGTTCCTCAAACACAGTGAGTGAGGATGGACCTCAGGCTGTCTCTTCGGGTCACCGCTGTGAAAACAAGGCAGGTACAGCACCAGGGCAGACACTTGCCCCCAGGGGTGGCTCCCCCAGATCCCAGGCCTCTAGGCCCCACATCAACACTGCACTGCACGTTGAGGACAAGGCCATCTCGGACTGCAGACCCTCACGACCTTCCCACACTTTGTCCTCACTTGCAACAGAGGCTTCGGGTGGGCCTCCCGTTTCTAAAGCACCCACTATGGACGCACAGCAGGACAGACCCAAGTCCCAAGACTGCCTGGGCCTAGTGGCCCCCCTAGCATCTGCTGCAGAGGTCCCCTCTACAGCTCCCGTGTCTGGGAAGAAGCACAGACCACCAGGACCCCTGTTCTCCTCCTCAGATCCCCTTCCTGCCACCTCTTCCCACTCCCGGGACTCAGCCCAGGTCACCTCGCTGATTCCTGCCACCTTCACAGCTGCAAGCAGGGATGCCGGCATGAGAAGAACAAGGTCGGCTCCTGCAGCTGCCGCAGCAGCCCCTCCCCCCTCCACATTGAACAACACGTCGGGGTCACTACTCAATGCAGTGGATGGAGGCCCCTCACATTTCTTGGCCTCAGCCACAGCTGCAGCACGTGCCCAGAGGTCAGAAGTGAGATATAACCAGAGATCCCAGACCTCCCGGACCAGATCCTGCCTCAAACGAAATGCCAGCTCCAGCTCCAGCTCCCACAGCTCTACGGAAGGCCTCCAGGAACTAAAGCGGAGGAGGGGGCCAGCCTCATCCCACTGCCAGCTGGCCCACAGTTCCCCAAACACAGTGAGTGAGGACGGACCTCAGGCTGTCTCTTCGGGTCACCGCTGTGAAAACAAGGCAGGTACAGCACCAGGGCAGACACTCGCCCCCAGGGGAGGCTCCCCCAGATCCCAGGCCTCTAGGCCCCACATCAACAGTGCACTGCACGTTGAGGACAAGGCCATCTCGGACTGCAGACCCTCACGGCCTTCCCACACTTTGTCCTCACTTGCAACAGGGGCTTCGGGTGGGCCTCCCGTTTCTAAAGCACCCACTATGGACGCACAGCAGGACAGACCCAAGTCCCAAGACTGCCTGGGCCTAGTGGCCCCCCTAGCATCTGCTGAAGAGGTCCCCTCTACAGCTCCCGTGTCTGGGAAGAAGCACAGACCACCAGGACCCCTGTTCTCCTCCTCAGATCCCCTTCCTGCCACCTCTTCCCACTCCCGGGACTCAGCCCAGGTCACCTCGCTGATTCCTGCCACCTTCACAGCTGCAAGCAGGGATGCCGGCATGAGAAGAACAAGGCCTGGCACCTCGGCTCCTGCAGCTGCCGCAGCAGCCCTTCCCCCCTCCACATTGAACCCCACGTCGGGGTCGCTACTCAATGCAGTGGATGGAGGCCCCTCACATTTCTTGGCCTCAGCCACAGCTGCAGCACGTGCCCAGAGGTCAGAAGTGAGATATAACCAGAGATCCCAGACCTCCCGGACCAGATCCTGCCTCAAACGAAATGCCAGCTCCAGCTCCCACAGCTCTACGGAAGGCCTCCAGGAAGTAAAGCGGAGGAGGGGGCCAGCCTCATCCCACTGCCAGCTGGCCCACAGTTCCTCAAACACAGTGAGTGAGGACGGACCTCAGGCTGTCTCTTCGGGTCACCGCTGTGAAAACAAGGCAGGTACAGCACCAGGGCAGACACTCGCCCCCAGGGGTGGCTCCCCCAGATCCCAGGCCTCTAGGCCCCGCATCAACAGTGCACTGCACGTTGAGGACAAGGCCATCTCGGACTGCAGACCCTCACGGCCTTCCCACACTTTGTCCTCACTTGCAACAGGGGCTTCGGGTGGGCCTCCCGTTTCTAAAGCACCCACTATGGATGCACAGCAGCACAGACCCAAGTCCCAAGACTGCCTGGGCCTACTGGCCCCCCTAGCATCTGCTGCAGAAGTCCCCTCTACAGCTCCCGTGTCTGGGAAGAAGCACAGACCACCAGGACCCCTGTTCTCCTCCTCAGATCCCCTTCCTGCCACCTCTTCCCACTCACGGGACTCAGCCCAGGTCACCTCGCTGATTCCCGCGCCCTTCACAGCTGCAAGCAGCGATGCCGGCATGAGAAGAACAAGGCCTGGCACCTCGGCTCCTGCAGCTGCAGCAGCAGCCCCTCCCCCCTCCACATTGAACCCCACGTCGGGGTCACTACTCAATGCAGTGGATGGAGGCCCCTCACATTTCTTGGCCTCAGCCACAGCTGCAGCACGTGTCCAGAGGTCAGAAGTGAGATATAACCAGAGATCCCAGACCTCCCGGACCAGATCCTGCCTCCAAGGAAATGCCAGCTCCAGCTCCCACAGCTCTACGGAAGGCCTCCCGCAACTAAAGCGGAGGAGGGGGCCAGCCTCATCCTACTGCCAGCTGGCCCACAGTTCCTCAAACACAGTGAGTGAGGACGGACCTCAGGCTGTCTCTTCGGGTCACACCCGCTGTGAGAAGAAGGCAGGTACAGCACCAGGGCAGACACTTGCCCCCAGGGGTGGCTCCCCCAGATCCCAGGCCTCTAGGCCCCGCATCAACACTGCACTGCACGTTGAGGACAAGGCCATCTCGGACTGCAGACCCTCACGGCCTTCCCACACTTTGTCCTCACTTGCAACAGGGGCTTCGGGTGGGCCTCCCGTTTCTAAAGCACCCACTATGGATGCACAGCAGGACAGACCCAAGTCCCAAGACTGCCTGGGCCTACTGGCCCCCCTAGCATCTGCTGCAGAGGTCTCCTCTACAGCTCCCATGTCTGGGAAGAAGCACAGACCACCAGGACCCCTGTTCTCCTCCTCAGATCCCCTTCCTGCCACCTCTTCCCACTCCGGGGACTCAGCCCAGGACACCTCGCTGATTCCTGCCCCCTTCACACCTGCAAGCAGGGATGCCGGCATCAGAAGAATGTTTCGTGTTCGAAATTGTTTGAGGGGTTTGGGTTTATTTTTGTTGGTTTTTTCTTTTTTTTTTTTGCTTACGTGGGCATCCTTCAGCTTTTAATAATCTGAAAAATTGTATTTACCCATTGTCAATGTGTATAAATTAATCTCAGTCAATTTTATACAATAAAAGGTGAACTTTTATCCATCAAACAATAATTTAACAAAAAATGTACCGGAAGAAGAATGTTCATTACAAATATAGGAAACATAAATATTACCAAATATTGGCAAGCACTAAAATGTTCAGAAATATAAGTCTATTACAGTTATAGCTCTCTCAAGCAAAAAAACAGCAGAGAAAAACTTAGTTTTCCTGAGGGGCTATTTATTTACTTAGGGATTTGTTAAAAGGTCAAATGGGGTCACACAGAATACTAAGAAGAGCTGTTCACCCAGGCCTCACTAAGAACTCTTCTTCATGCAGTAGCTATATAGGAATATGACAACTGCTCCTACGACCCAAAGAGGAACTACAGCAACTACTCTTTAGCATCTGTTGCTCCCAACTCTGCTTTGCAATTATATGACTCAAGCATTCTGGCTCCGTTAACTATTACTGCTGTTACTCCCAAGTAAATTCCCTCTAAAAAATAAAAATTTTTAAAGCTGTAATTTAAGCTCTCTGCTGCCTCATGACTTCAATTCCATCAGAGTTACGCATTGTTTCCTCTGTACATCTTTGCTCTGCTTCCATTGCTAATTCCCTAGTAAAGTGTTGTATATTCAAAGTTCCAAAGAAACAGAATATCCAAGACATCACCAATCATCCAAAACACAGTGTAGGAGGCCACAGTTAAGAGAAGCAAGACCATTAGCTCTTTTTATAGGCTCGAGAACAACAGGATGCTTTGGTCCTGTATCAGCAGGACGCTTTTTGGGTAGATCCTACTGCCACCCTACTATCGGGTAGATCCTACTGTCACCCTAGCTATGGGCACATGTCAGAGTCCCATGTAATAAAGGAGACAAAAGGAAACCACCACGAGTATAAACTAAGAAAAGTACTCCAAGGTTTCTAAGAATGGAGCTGTATAACTCACTTTGCCCCGTTTGTTACTTCTCCACGGTACTTACCACCACCTATTACATATATTTTGTTTATAGTCAGTCTTCCCCCATTAGAATGAAAGTTCCGTGAGGATAGGACTATACAGTCAGCCCTCAGTATCCATGGGGGACTGGTTTCAGGATCTCCTGAGGGTAACAAAGGATACTCAAGTCCCTGATATAAAATGACATAGTATTTGCACATCACCTTTGCACATCCTCCCATATACTTCATATCAACTCTAGATCACTCATAATATCCGATGTAAATGTCATGCAAATAGTTATTGTACTATATTGTGTAAGGAATAAGGACAAGAAAAAAGTCTGTACATGTTCAGTACAGACGCAATTTTTTTTTCCAATATTTCCAATCCTTGGTTGCCTTAACGGATGTAGAACCCAGGAATAAGTTCTGGTGTCCTATTGCATAGTAGGATGAGTATAGTTAACAATAACATATTATATATTTGAAAATAGCCAGAAGAGTAGATTTTGAATTTTCTCCCTACAGAAAAATCATTATGCAAATTACCCTGATTTGATCATTACACATTGAGTACATGTATTAAAACATCACATTCTACCCCATATATATGTACAGTTATTATGTGTCCATAAAAATTTAATGTCAATGTGTGAAATAAAATGAAAAAATAAAAATTTTTAAAGCTGTAATTATCTCCATCTGGTAGGAATATATACAATCTGAAATAAAAAATATATTTGTAATTGTTAGGACAAAATAGATTATACATTAAGTCTGCAAATTATAAATTATAAAATTCTCACAGAACCTGAAAAATTATTGATACTGTTAAATATTTAAAAAGCTGTCCTTGGAGAGAAAGAAACCTATCAGATTTACATCAACAAGTGTAATATGTCAGCCTATTACCATCTGCTACAGACTGCATGTTTGTGTTCCCTCAAAATTCATATGATAGGCCCGGCGCGGTGGCTCATGCCTGTAATCCCAGCACTTTCGGAGGCCGAGGCGGGTGGATCATGAGGTCAGGAGATCGAGATCATCCTGGCTAACATGGTAAAACCCCGTCTCTACTGAAAATACAAAAAATTAGCCGGGCGCAGTGGCGGGCGCCTTAGTCCCAGCTACTGAGGAGGCTGACGCAGGAGAATGGCGTGAACCCAGGAGGCGGAGCTTGTAGAGAGCCGAGATTGTGCCACTGCACTCCAGCCTGGGTGACAGACAGAGCGAGACTCTGTCTCAAAAAAAAAAAAAAAAAAAAAAATTCATATGATAAAGCCCTAACCCCCAAGGTGAGGATACTGGGAGGCGTGGCCTTTAGGAGAGAATTAGGTTTAGATGAGGTCATGAGAATAGAGCCCCTATGGTGGCATTACTTCCTTTATAAGAAGAGACACTAGAGCTGCTTTTCTCCCTGCCATGTGAGGATACCGAGAGAAGATGGCCATTTCCAATCTAGGAAGCAGGCCCTCTTTAAGAAACATAATTTGCCAACACTTTGATCTTGCACTTCCAGTCTGCAGAACTGTGAGAAATATCTGTTTTTTTTTGTTTGTTTGTTTTTGTTTTTTTTGAGACAGAGTCTCATTCTGTCATCCAGGCTGGAGTACAGTGGTGCGATCATGGCTCACTGCAACCTCCGCCTCCCAGGTTCAAGCAATTCTCCCACCTCAGCCTCCCAAGTAGCTCAGACTACAGGCGTGCACCACCACGCCCAGCTAATTTTCGTAGAGACAAGGTTTTGCCATGCTGCCCAGGCTAGTCTCAAACTCCTGAGCTCAAGTTATCCACCTGCCTCGGCCTCCCAAAGTGTTAGGAATACAGGCATAAGCCACCACGCCTGGTCAAAATATCTACTGTTTAAGCTACCTAATTTATGGTATTCTGTTTTAGCAGCTGAAGCAGACTAAGATACCATCCTATAAGCTACAGACCAGCACTATCCAATAGAACTTTATATGACGAGGAAATGTTTTATATCTGTGCTATCCCTTATGTTAGCCACTAGCCACATGTATCCATCAAGTATTTGAAATATGGCTAGTGCAACTAAAGAACTTAATTTTTAATTTTCTTTTTTTTTTTGAGATGGAGTCTCGCTCTGTCCCCCAGGCTGGAGTGCAGTGGCGCCATCTCGGCTCACTGCAAACTCTGCCTCCCAGGTTCACGCCATTCTCCTGCCTCAGCCTCCTGAGTAGCTGGGACTGCAGGCGCCCGCCACCACGCCCGGCTAATTTTTTGTATTTTTAATAGAGATGGGGGTTCACCGTCTTAGTAAGGATGGTCTCGATCTCCTGACCTAATGATCTGCCCGCCTCGGCCTCCCAAAGTGCTGGGATTACCGGCGTGAGCCACCACGCCCGGCCAATTTTTATTTTATCTTATTTAAATAACCACATGTGGCTAGTGGCTAATGTATTGAACACTACAGCTGTAGACAATACGAAATAAATATAAAGCAGTCTCAACTTTGGAAAAACAGAAGACTCTTACTGCCTCATAATATAGATGAAAAATGAAATACTAAGATAAGTAAAACGTTCTTTAAAGAACAAAAACAAAAGAAAACCTAATGAAAGCTATAAAAGTCCATTGGATAATAATGCTACCAGTACTAAGGAAGTACAGCCCCTAAGAGTGACTTGCAGTCACAAATATAAAAATGACTATTCAACTGAACTCCTAAGGTGAAAATTTCTTATTCACCATGCTCCAAAATGGTCTGTAATATTCTTCAGAGATGGCATGGTGGGGGAGGCAAGTGGCATCTCTGCCCAGAGAGAATACACAAGCAGAAAGTTCAACACCGCTTACCTGGTGAAGCCCTACAAGCGTTTCCACTCC
Organism: Homo sapiens; assembly: GCF_000001405.40. Taxonomy (NCBI): domain Eukaryota; kingdom Metazoa; phylum Chordata; class Mammalia; order Primates; family Hominidae; genus Homo; species Homo sapiens. The sequence goes on from NC_000005.10 coordinate 69,640,222, forward strand.
ATACGCGCTCTGAATAATGGGATTGTGATGTCTTACACCAATTCTCAAACTGGGCGGCCAGCTGCAGCTGAATCAACTCCAGGTGCCCGTAGTTGCGATACCAAGAGTAGTAGCTGTTCACACGGATCACATCCACATACAGAGCCTAGGACCAGAGCAGCAGAGCCCGTTCAGCAACCACAAGACCGCATGACTCAGTACTCACATGCTGTGGGGGCTCCTCTGACAGAGAAGGTAAGAAGGGGATGTAATCCCAGCACTCTGGGAGGCTGAGGCAGGAGGGTGGCTTGTGGCCAGGAGTTCGAGACCAGCCTGGGCAACACAGCAAGACCCCAGCTCTACAAAAAATAGTATCAAGAAAATCAGCACGGCACAGTGGCTCATGCCTGTAATCCCAGCACATTGGGAGGCCAAGGTGGGAGGATCACTTGAGCCCAGGAGTTTGAGACCAGCCTGGGCAACGTCGTAGGACTCCATTTCTACAAAACAAAACAAAAAGCCTAGAACGGGAAGAGCTGCCTCTCGGGGCTGAGAACATCCAACTGCACCAATTTAGATCCTGAAATTACCCTGCCCCACAAGCAAAAAACATGGTCACAAAGTGGCCCAAAGGAGGCAGGCCTGTGATTGCACACTGACGCTCACGACGTGTGCAGCTGGGAAGGGCTGTGAGAGGCAGAGCAGCTGCCAACACGCAGTCCTCAGCCAAAACCCAGGGCCCCCGCCACTGGAACTGACTCCTCTCCAGGCAGCACTCCCAGCACTGGGCATCCCCTCACCTTGCCCTGGAGAAGCCCTCCCACCCAAGGGGCCAATGCAGTCATTCTCGCAGATAATCTTTTTCCGCTTTGTTTGGAAGACAGAGTCTCGCTCTGTTGCCCAGGCTAGAATGGAGTGGCACAATAATGCAAGCTCTGCCTCCCACGATCAAGCGCAGGCGTGGTGGCATGTGCCTGTTATCCCAGCTACTTGGGAGGCTGAGGCAGGAGAATTGCTTGAACCTGGGAGGCGGAGGTTGCACTGAGCTGAGACTGTGCCACTGCACTCCAGCCTGGGCAACAGAGCAAGACTCTATCTTAAAAAAATAATAAAAAATAAAAAAGAATGCTAGTATCAGCCAGGCACGGTGGCTCATGCCTGTAATCCCAGCACTTTAGGAGGCTAAGGCAGGAGGATCACTTGAGCTCAAGAGTTTGAGACTGGCCTGGGCAACATAGTGAGATCCCATCTCTACAAAAACATTTAAAATTAGCCGGGCACAGTGGTGTACCCCCGGAGTCCCAGCTACTTGGAAGGCTGAGGCAAGAGGGTTGCTTAGGCCCAGGAATTCAAGGCTGCAGTGAGCTGTGATCACACCACTGCACTCCAGCCAGAGCAACAGAGTAAGACCTTGCCTTCACACACACACACAAAAAAACAAAAAACTCAGGTTCCAACCCTGGAGTTACTAAATCAGGATCTCAGAACGCAGAGATCTGGCATTTCAATAAAACTTCCCCTGGAGATTCTGATCAGCCAGGTTTGGGCCAGATCAACTCTAAGCTCACTTAAACCTTTGACATTTTATGAGTCTATTAAATCGAGTACAAAAAATGCTGAGTCCAAACCGGGCAAACAAATCCCATCTCCCTATGCCCAGCCTCCTTGGATTCAGAAAGCCACACTGCCTGGAGAGTAAGCAGAGAGAGAATTGTCATTAACCCAAAGACCATCTTTGAAAACAGACTGGCTGCGGCTGAGTGCGGTGGCACACGCCTGTAACCCCAGCCCTTTGGAAGGCCGAGGCAGGAGGATCACTTGAGCCCAGGAGTTCGAGACCAGCCTGGGCAACATGGCAAGACCCTGTCTCTATCTTTCTAAGTAAAACAAAATAAAAAGCTCAGACTGGCAGCACATGGTTCTTTCCAGCTGTTCCCATGAGCAGGCTTCAGGACAAGCCCAGGCAAAGGCAGGGAGAAATGGGGTGGGGACCCCCAGGCTCACCCCCTTGTCTGCTGCGTAGGTGGAGTTGGTCACAAAGGTCACAGGCTGGGAGGGGTCCAAGGCTTTGGTGTGAGCAATCACCATCCTGTCCACAAAAGAGAGAAGACACAGGTTCCGTCAGTCCGGGAAAGGCTCAGACACCCTCCCATCCTCTCTGTCCCATCTTCCCCTGCCAGAACACAACTGGGGGCCAGGCACGATGGCTCACGCCTGTAATCCCAGCACTTCAGGAGGCTGAGGCAGGCAGATCACTGAGGTCAGGGGTTCAAGAACAGCCTGGCCAACATGGCAAAACCCCATTTCTACTAAATATACAAAAATTAGCCAGGCTTAGTGGCACGCATCTGTAACTCCAGCTACTCGGGAGGCTGAGGCACAAGAATTGCTTGAACCCGGGAGGTGGAGGTTGCAGTGAGCCGAAATCACGCTACTGCACTCCAGCCTGGGCCACAGAGCAAGACCCTGCCCCAAAACAAACAAACAAACAAACAAACAAAAAAAAAAAAAAGAAAGAAAGAAAAGAAAAAAAAAAAAAAAAACAAAGCACAGAGCCGCTGCTTTCTTCCCTAACTTGAGATGTATTTTACATAAGGGCACGTTCCTCTAGTCCTAGACCGAGCTCTCTAACAACACTCTTTCTCCCCCACCCCTGAATCCAACTCCCCCAGAGGCGTAGCCACCCTGCCGGGTACACAGAGCTGAGGTCACTGGACTGAACACTGCCAGAAATGAGGTTCACTTCCTGAAATAGCTCTTGAACACAGGAGTGAATGGGCTGTGGATTCAGGTGGAATATTTATTAATGCATCAAGCAAACAGGTAGTGCGAGGTGGGAGGTAGGCATGAGGCTGGGTGCTAGGTGCTCAGTAATGACTCAAATCTAAGTCCACAGGTCCTGGGCAGTGGGAGTGGAGATGCATGCACAGAAAAACGGTGCAAGTGCCAGGCGAGGTGGCTCAAGCCTAGAACCCCAGCACTTTGGGAGGCTTACTTGAGACCAGGCGCTTGAGACCAGCCTGGACAACATAGCAAGACCTTGTTTCTACAACAAATTTAAAAATTAGGGCCGGGCATGGTGGCTCAAGCCTGTGAGCACTTTGGGAGGCCAAGGCAGGTGGATCACGAGCTCAAGAGTTCGAGACCAGCCTGGCCAACATGGTGAAACCCCATCTCAACAAAAAATAAAGAAGAAAACTAGCTGGGCATGGTGGCGTGAGCCTGTAATCCCAGCTACTCGGGAGGGTGAGGCAGGAGAACTGTTTGTACCCAGGAGGTAGAGGACGCAGTGAGCCAAGACCGCAACACTGCTCTCCAGCCTGGGAGACAGAGCAAGACTCTGACTCGTGGGGAAAAAAAAATATTAAAATTTAGCCTGGCAAGGCAGCGCACGTCTGTGGTCCCAGCTATTTGGGAGGCTGAGTGGGGAGGATCGCTTAAGCCCAGGAGGTCGAGATGGCAACGAGCTATGATTGCACCACTGCACTCCAGCCTGGGCAACAGAGTGAGACCCTGACTCTGAAAAACAAACAATGAAAGAAATGTTGCGAATGGAAATGACAAGTGGTGGCAGGAATTGGGCACTCTATGAGACAACAGACACATCCCCGATTGGAGAGTCAGGGACAGGCTCTTAGAAGAAATGGCCTTTATGCTGAGTCAAGTTAACCAGGAGGGATGAAGGGAAGAGGCTCCCAACAGAGGGACCAGTCCGTGCTCAGAGCTCCCAGCATCTGCCCAAGGCCTCCACAGAACAGACTGTTGTGTTTTTGTTTTGTTTTGTTTTGTTGAGATACAGAGTCTCATTCTGTAGCCCAGGCTGGAATGCAGTGGCATTATCTCAGCTCATTGCAATCTCTGCCTCCTGGTTCACCTGAGGCGATTCTCCTGCCTCAGCCTACCTGGTAGCTGGCATTACAGACGTCCACCACCATGCCCAGCTAATTTTTGTATTTTTAGTAGAGACAGGATTCACTACCTGTTGACCAGGCTGGTCTCGAACTCCTGACCTCGGGTGATCCACCCACCTCAGCCTCCCAAACTGCTGGGATTACAGGCGTGACCCACCGCATCCGGCCTAGACCGTTGTTGAAGCTGGTTTTCTTCTTCTTTCCTCAGTTCTTTTCTTTTACATCTTCCCCCCATCATTGCTCTGCCCATCCGAAGGCTGTGGCTGGCACAGGACAGAATAGAACCTCCTAGCCTCAAGTTCCAAACCCACACTCTCCAATAGCCAGGCTCTCAGATGGGAAGCTTCAAAGCCTTGTGACAGCCTGGCTGAACCTCTCCAGCCTGGGCCCTCCCTCCATTTCCTGCCCCGGAAACAGGCATCTCCTCTGGCCACCTCCCAAAGCCTGTCTGGAAGCCTCAGGCACCCGCTCCTGGAAGCCTGTACGATTCACAACAAACGGCCTGTCCACCCAGTCGTGCTGAGCACACCCCTATTCCCCCGAGCTCTGAACTGTCCTTTGCCCAGGCTAGGACAACATCTCAGAGCCTTCTGCCTGCTGCAGACTCGGCTCAGCCCAAATCACTCCATGAAATTGGGGTGTGGCATCTGCCTCAAGGAGCATTTCTACAACCTCTGCTGCCTCTACCGCAAATGAAACTGGCTCTCACCCACTGGCTCTCGGTGACGGGCACAGTGCGGAGCCCCACAGGGAGTGTGTAGAAGTCAAAGGCCCCAGTGACTTCTGTGCAGTCAGCCGCACCTACGACAGCCAAAGCGCCAGGTGTGAGCGCCCCGACAGCCTGAGCCCCATCTGGCCTGCCCTACAGCAGGAAGACCCCTCGTGCATGCACCCCAGAAGTCGCCACTGGGCCTGCAGAGAAGCAGCAACCAGAGGCTCTGCCCTTCACTGGCTGACCCTGGGACCTGCCCTTCAAAATCAGGCCTTCTCCTTGACCAGACGAGGTGGCTCATGCCTGGAATCCCTACACTTTGGGAGGCTAAGGCAGGAGGATCACCTGAGTCCAGGAGTTCAAGACCAGCCTGGGCAACCTAGTAAGACCCCAACTCTATAAAAAGGAGTTTTTTTTTTTTTGAGACAGTCTCACTCTGTCACCCAGGATAGAGTGCTGCGGCATGATCTCAATTCACCGCAGCCCCTGCCTCCTGGGTTCAAGCAATTCCCCTGCCTCAGCCTCCCGAGTAGCTGGGATTACAGACGTGCACCATCATGCCCTGCAAATTTTCATATTTTAGTAGAGACGGGGTTTCACCATGTTGGCCAGGCTGGTCTCCAACTCCTGGCCTAAAGTGATCCGCCCGCGTCAGCCTCCCGAAGTGCTGGGATTACAGGTGTGAGCCACCATGCCCGGCCTACAAAAAAAATTTTTTTAATTAGCCAGGCATGGTGGCATGTGCCTGTAGTCCCAGCTACTCAGGAGGCCAAGGTAGGAGGATTGCAGCTCAAAGCTGCAGTGAGCTGTGATCAGGCCATTGCATTCCAGCCTGGGTGACAGAGTGAGACCATCACAAAAACAAACAAATAAATAAATAAATAAATAAATAAATAAATAAATAAATAAAAAATCTGGGCCTCCCACCAAGGGTGGGAAACATCAGAAAGCTCAGAGGACCACACCTGCCCGTTCACCTGTCCTGGGCTCCTGCTGAAGCCAGGGCTACCAGATGGGGGCAAAAGACCTCCCTTACGCAAGTCCCAAACCACCATTACCTCCCACGAGTACAGGTAGGCGGGGTGTTCGTGCATCAGGTACGGCCACCAGAGGTTGGCACCCAGCACCTTCAGCTGGCCCTGGGTCCCAGCCTGGTTGTCCACGACTTTGTTTTCTGCATTCAAAAGACACACTTCCAACTTGAACTGGTTACTGCACTTGACGGAGATCTGGTAATTCACCAGCCCTGCAGGAGGCAAGAGAGACCAGGGCTTAGGGAGGGACATGACCTGGGTCACACAAACGGGAAGGCCCCACAATGACCACTCCCAGGCACTCTCATTTGCTTCTGTTGCTTTTTTTTTTTTTTTTTTGAGATAGAATCTCGCTCTGTCACCCAGGCTGGAGTGCAGTGGCATGATCTGGACTCACTGAAACCTCTGCCTCCCAGGTTCAAGTGATTCTCCTGCCTCAGCCTCTGGAATAGCTGGGATTACAGGCACCTGCCACCACATCCAGCTAATTTTTGTATTGTTAGTAGAGACGGGGTTTCACCACATTAGCCAGGATGGTCTTGATCTCCTGACCTCGTGATCCGCCTGCCTCGGCCTCCCAAAGTGCTGGGATTACAGGCTTGAGCCACCGTGCCCGGCCCTGAACCAATGCGCCCAGCCCGCTTTTAATTTAATTTTTTAATTTTTTTTTTTTTTTTTTTTTTTTTTTTTTTTGAGATGGAGTCTCACTGTCACCCAGGCTGGAGTGTAGTGCTGCGATCCTGACTCGCTGCAACCTCCACCTCTGGAGTTCAGGTGATTCTCCTGCCTCAGCCTTCCGAGTACCTGGGAATACAGGAATGCACCACCATGCCCGGCGAATTTTTCTATTTTCAGTAGAGACGGAGTTTTGCCATGTTGGCCAGGCTGGTCTCGAACTCCTGAACTCAGGTGATCCACCCGCCTCAGTCTCCCAATAGATTACATATATTATTAATGAATTGCTTCCTTTAACACCCTATTCATTGAATTTTCCAGTAAACCACAATTACTAATTACTCCTGAAATCAGAAAAGAGGTTAAAAAGATTTTATAACAGTATCCTATGAAATCTACTACTTTCAAGTAATAGTAGTTGAATTACCAAAACCCGTCACTCAAGCCAATGACTACAATTAAGATATGAGTAACATTTCCTAGATAAATAAAGTCAATTAATTATATTTGCATCTGGGAAATAGAGAAAGTACATATAAGCCATGATTTTGAAGTCAAAAGAGAGAGAATATTTGCCAAGGAGGGGTGAGTTATAGTATGTAATTATAACATACAGAAGTTTTTTGTATGCTGGTAACTAATTTTAATTTCCTACATTTTTATGTAGATTTCTGCTATTCTTGTCCTATTTTCCTAATCATCTTTCTATATGAATGACTACATAATTCTGAGAATACCAAAAGAGACAGACACAGAACCAATCGGATTCCTTTCTTCTTGAAGCTTCTGCACAGCAAAAGAAACTATCAACAGAGTGAACAGACAACCTACAGAATGGGAGAAAATTTTTGCAACAATGCATGTGACAAAGATCTAATGTCCAACACTGATAAGGAACTTAAACAAATTTACAAGAAAAAAAAAAAATCTCATTGGAAAGTGGGCACAGGACATAAACAGACACTTCAAAAGAAGACACACATGCGGCCAACAAGCATATGAGAAAAAGCTCAATATCACTGATCATTAGAGAAATGCAAATCAAAACCACAATGGCATACCATCTCACACCAGTCAGTATGGTTATTATTAAGAAGTCAACGCCGGGCATGGTGGCTCACGCCTATAATCCCAGCACTTCAGGAGGCCAAGGCAGGCAGATCGCATGAGGTCAGGAGTTCCAGACCAGCCTGGACAACCTGGCGAAACCCCGTCTCTACTAAAAATACAAAAATTAGCCCAGCGTGGTGGCGGGTGCCTGTAATCCCAGCTACTCAGGATGCTGAGGCAGGAGAATCGCCTGAACCCGGGAGGCAGAGGTTGTAGTGAGCCGAGATCATACCACTGCACTCTCCAGCTTAGGTGACAGAGCGAGACTCTGTCTCAAAAAAAAAAAAAAAATATTTGAATTTTGTTTAAATCGCTAACACATACTGGGCATTTAATAACAAAAAAAAAGGACATGAGATTGTGATCCTTATGAAGGTTTGAGAGGCATTTCACTAGGGTTCAACATACAGCAGTCTGAAACATACTGTAATAATTTAATCCAATGGCTCATCTACAGCACCTAAAAAGATTACAGCAGATTCTCATTATTCAGTGTAGTTACGGTCTAGAAAGTTCCATGAACAAATAAAAAGTTAGGTTTCAGCAAGCTACTGGTCACACTTTTGTAAGCTTACCAACACCTACTTTTGTTGTATGTGTGCTTATTTAATATATATTGTTGGCCAGGCACAGTGGCTAACGCCTGTAATCCCAGCACTTTGGGAAGCCAAGGCGGGCAGATCATTTGAGGTCTGGAGTTCGAGACCAGCCTGGCCAACGTGGTGAAACCCCGTCTCTACTAAAACTACAAAAAAAAAAAAAAAAAATTAGCCAGGCATGGTGGCGCATGCCTGTAGTCTTAGCTACTTGGGAGGCGAAGGCAGGGGAATCGCTTGAACCCAGGAGGCAGAGGTTGCAGTGAGCCAAGACTGCACCACTGCACTCCAGCCTGAGCAACAGAGTGAGACTCTATCTCAAAAAAAATAATAATAATAATTAATTAAATGAAGAATAAATAAATAATATACATTGTTCATTCATTAACATTGAACTCACAGCCAACGGCACTACAGCACTCACGCCTGAATGGAGTTTATTTAATGCATGTATTTTCTCTGTAAGACACATCACAGACTTCTTGGACTTGTGAATGCTAAGCAGCACTTCAGCACTATGCTTGGGGGTTAATTTAAATGGCAAAACAACCAACAAACAGTACAAAAACAGGAAAAGCATGGCATTAAATAGACCACAAAAAGGATACCTGACTATTGTATGAGAGCTGAAAAAGAAGGCAGAATATCATCCTGTTCAAACTCAAATTCTTTGACACTCTGCGCAAACACATGACTATGAAAGTGCTGTGAGTACTGATTTGGGGGTTACAAAAAATAGTAGGTGAGTTCACAAATACAAAAGCTGAAAACAAGGAGGATCGACTGTATTTTCGTAGACAATCTAATCTCAGAAGATTTCAGTTCAGACAAAAATCATGATAATTACTGTATTACAAAAGGGCACTAGATAGGGGGGAAAGAGTAAAAATCACAATTAAAACAAAGGTTCAAAATTCTGCAGCAACCATATCCAGTTACACTTTAATATGTTTGCGGCAGACTACATTATTGTTCCCAACTCATCACCCCTCCCTATATCTAAAACCTTTCCCCAAGACAATGCAGTTCCTCCTGCTAGAGATCAGGTATATTTATCTATACTATCAATGTTAGCCATGGACAAGGTATGTGCTTTGGCTGACTGAATGTTAGTGGACATGAGAGAAGCAATGGCTTAAAATGTACTTCCAGAACTGGAGTTTCCTTGTGATTCTATCACTGTGACAGAAACACATTCTCAGGTAGTCCACTGATCCAAGGGGGAACAAACACACAGAAAACATACCTAGACTCTATCTGCAGCTTGCAGCCTCACCAAGCCAACAACAGTCAACTCACAGATATGTTAGCAAAAATAAATGTTTTTCGTACCTTAAGTTTTATATAATTATTGACCTGCAGTTAACTGATATACAATATACATTAATCTTAAAATATCAGTATCCCATTAAAAATATTTACATTAAAAACTGAGACCACTTTCTTTCCTCCTTTTTTTTTTTTTTTTTTTTTAAATTAAGAGACAGGGTGTCTCAATGTTGCCCAAGCTGGAGTTCAGTGGCTAGTGGCTATTCACAAGAACGATCATCGCACACTACCTCAAACTCCTGGGATCAAGCAATCCTCCTGCCTCAGCTTTCCAAGTCGCTGGGACTATAAGTGTGTACCACAGCATGTCAGCTCTCTCTCTCCTTCTTGACCTAAAGCCTAGCATAAAATTAGCTAAGTAGAATGTTTCCAAAGATGCCTGCATCAGTATCTCCCATCCCACATAATTTCTGTTTGATTTTGCCATTCACCCATAAAATGGTGGGATCTACCTCCCCTCCTTGCAAATTTGAGCTGGCCCTCTGATCCTGTCTAAGATCTGAAGCCAGATATTAAGGTACTTCATTAATTTCCATGTTTGTCCTCTATGCAACCTAGCAATCAAGCAAGAAGTCAAAACATACTGACATAGTTTGGATGGGTCCCCACCCAAATCTCACCTTGCATTGTAATAATTCCCACGTGTCAAGGGTGGGGCCGGGTGCAGATAACTGAATCATGGGGATGGTTCCCCCCATACTGTTCTCGCGGTAGTGACTAAGTCTCATGAGATCTGATGGTTTTATAAATGGGAGCTCCCCTGCACATGCTCTCTCCTGCCTGCCACTATGTGAGACATGCTTTTGCACCTCCTTGCCTTCCACCATGACTGTGAGGCCTCCCCAGCCATGCAGAACTGTGAGTCAATTCAACCTCTTTCCTTTATAAATTACCCAGTCTCAGGTATGTCTTTATTTGCAGTGTGAGAACAGACTAATACAATAAGTTGATACCAGTAGAGTGGGGTGCTGCTGTAAAGATACCCGAAAATGTGGAAGCAACTTTGGAAATGGGTAACAGGGAGAGGCTGGAACAGTTTGGAAGGCTCAGAAGAGGATAGGAAAATGTGGGAAAGTTTGGAACTTCCTAGAGACTTGTTGAATGGCTTTGACCAAAATGTTAATAGTGATATGGACAACAAGGTCCAGGCGGAGGTGGTCTCAGAGGCAGATGAGGAATTTGTTGGGAAATGGAGTAAAGTCACTCTTACTATGCAAAGACACTGCAGGCATTGTGCACCTGTATTAGAAACGGGCATAAGATAGGCGGGAAAGAGGGAAAATAAGAATTTTTTTCTAGAGTTCCCTACAGATCTGTGGAACTTTGAACTTGAGAGAGATGATTTAAGGTATCTGACAGAAGAAATTTCTAAGCAGCAAAGCATTCGAGAAGAAGCAGAGCATAAAAGTTCAGAAAATTTGTAGCCTGATGATGCAACAGAAAAGAAAAATCTATTTTCTCAGGAGACTGGGTTGTAGAAATTTGCATAAGTAATGAGGAGCCAAATGTTAATCACCAAGACAATGGGGCAAATGTCTCCAGGGCATGTTAGAGACCCTCACAGCAGACCCTCCCATCACAGGCCAGGAGGCTTAGAAGGAAAAATGGTTTTGTGGGTCCAGAACCCCCTGCTGTGTGCAGCCTAGGAACTTGGGGCCCTGCATCCCAGCTGCTCCTGCCATAGGTAAAAGGGGCCAAGGTACACCTCAGGCCATGGCTTCAGAGGGTGCAAGTTCCAAGCCTTTCAGGTTCTAGGTGGTGTTAAGCCTGCAGATGCACCGAAGTCAAGCATTAACGTTCATGAACCTCTGCCTACATTTCAGAAGATGTATGAAAATGCCTGGAAATCCAGGCAAAAGTTTGCTGTGGGGGGGAGGGGAGGGGAGGGGGGGCCCTCATGGATAACCTCTGCTAGGGCAGTGTCAAAGGGAAATATGGGGTTGGAGCTTCCACACAGAGTCCCCACTGGGGTACTGCCAAGCAGAGCTGTGAGAAAAGGGCCACCATCCTCCAGACCCCAGAATGGTAGATCCACTGACAGCTTGCACTGTGTGCCTGGAAAAGCTGCAGACACTCAATGCAGCCAGAAGGGGGGCTGTACCCTGCAAAGCCACAGGGGCGGGGCTGCCCAAGACCCTGGGAACCCACTTCTTGCATCACCTAGATGTGACACATGGAGTCAAAGGAGGTCATTTTGGAGCTTTAAGATTTGCCTGCTGGGTTTTGGACTTGCATGGGGCCTGTAGCTCTTTCGCTTTGGCCAATTTCTCCCATTTGAAACGAGTGTATCTACCCAATGCCTGTATCCCTGTGTATCTAGAAAATAACTAACTTGCTTTTGATTTTACAGGCTCATAGGTGGAAGGGACTTGCCTTGTCTCAGATGAGACTTTGGACTATGGAATTTTGAGTTAATGCTGAAATAAGAGTTTGGGGGACTTAGGGGAAGGCACGATTGCTTTTGAAATATGAGGACATGAGATTTGGGAGGGGCCGGGGAAGAATTATATGGTTTGGCTCTGTCCGCACCCAAATCTCATCTTGAATTGTAACAATTCCCATGTGTCAAGGGTGGGGCCAGGTGGAGATAACTGAATCATGGAGGCAGTTTCCCCCATGCTGTTCTCATGGTAGTGAATAAGTCTCATGAGGTCTGATGGTTTTATAAATGGATGTTCCCCTGCACATGCTCTCTCCTGCCCACCATGTCTGACTAAATTTTGTATTTTTACTAGAGACGGGCTTTCACTATGTTGGCCAGGCTGGCCTCCAACTCCTGATCTCGTGATCCGTCCACCCCGACCTCCCAAAGTGCTAGGATCATAGGCATAAGCCACCACACCCGGCCTCTTTTTTTTCTTTTTCTTTTTTTTATCTGGAGACTGAGTTTTGCACTCGTTGCCCAGGCTGGAGTGCAATGGTGCGATCTCAGCTCACTGCAGTCTCCACCTCAGCAGGAGAGCAGGAATCTTCAGTGATCCACGGGCAAATATGCAGCCATTGTGGGCACCTGTTCCTCCCGCGACCTTTGTGCCCACGTCTCTCCCTCCAGTACCTACTGCACGACCCCCCACGTCCGCCTCCTGCCATTGCCAGCAGGTGCCTTGCGCCGGTACCTGGCTGCGCTTATTCATCCATTATGGTCGCTCTGTCACTGGTGCCATTATGTGCTCACATGCCCACTCCCTCAGGTTTAGAAGTCGCGTTGCCCGGCAACAGAACAATCTGCTGGCTTAGCCTTTGGCCAAGTTGGCAGCTGGACGAGGACGCTCAGAGCCCAGCTCTTGAGAGTTCAAGTATCCGACAGTTCCCCACTGCTCCCAGGAGCGGTTACCCGGGCACTCTGTGCCCCTCATTCCTGTTTGGGCCAAGGCCGAGGACCTGCGAGTAGGGCTCAGTTGCCTGGAGCCCCTTCAGCCCATCCCCCAGTTCACTTTGCTTGTGGGATCTCCCCGTTGCTCCTGCCCCTGGACTGAGTGGCAGGCCATCCTACAAACACCCGCACACTCGACATCAGTGGTGTCAAGACAACTCTAAGAAGGTTTTCCGTGATCCTGCAAGACCTGTGTTCCATCCTGGTGATTCTGTCTTCAATTTCACTGCACAGGTACCACAGTAAGCCAGTGCTGTGTGCTCCGAGTTCCAGGGCATCCCCCAGCTCAGCCACTACACTGAGCACAAGGACTCTGTGGGGCCCAGGAGCAGGTAGTCACCCCTTTGGGGTCCACAACACCCGGCTGTCCCCAGACTTGTGTCCAGGGAAGATAGTGTTGAGGGCCCTCAAGGAGAGCGGGGCAGGGATGCCTGAGCAGGACAAGGACCCCAGAGTCCAAGAAAATCCTGATGATCAGAGAACGGTCCCCGAGGTCACCGGGGATGCACGGTCTGCATTTTGGCCCCTGCGGGACAATGGAGGCCCCTCTCCCTTTGTGCCCAGGCCCGGGCCTCTGCAGACAGACCTCCACGCCCAGAGCTCAGAAATCAGATATAACCACACATCCCAGACATCCTGGACGAGCTCGAGCACCAAACGAAATGCCATCTCCAGCTCCTACAGCTCCACGGGAGGCTTGCCGGGGCTAAAGCAGAGGAGGGGGCCAGCCTCATCCCGCTGCCAGCTGACCCTCAGTTACTCAAAGACAGTGAGTGAGGACAGGCCTCAGGCTGTCTCTTCGGGTCACACACGGTGTGAAAAGGGGGCAGATACAGCACCAGGGCAGACAATCGCCCCAACGGGTGGCTCCCCCAGATCCCAGGACTCTAGGCCCCGTAGACGCAAGATTCCCCTGCTGCCACGCAGGCGAGGGGAGCCTTTGATGCTGCCACCTCCCTTAGAGCTGGGGTACCGGGTCACGGCTGAAGACCTGCACCTGGAAAAAGAGACGGCATTCCAGCGCATCAACAGTGCACTGCACGTTGAGGACAAGGCCATCCCGGACTGCAGACCCTCACGGCCTTCCCACACTTTGTCCTCACTTGCAACAGGGACTTCGGGTGGGCCTCCCGTTTCTAAAGCACCCACTATGGATGCACAGCAGGACAGACCCAAGTCCCAAGACTGCCTGGGCCTACTGGCCCCCCTAGCATCTGCTGCAGAGGTCTCCTCTACAGCTCCCGTGTCTGGGAAGAAGCACAGACCACCAGGACCCCTGTTCTCCTCCTCAGATCCCCTTCCTGCCACCTCTTCCCACTCCGGGGACTCAGCCCAGGACACCTCGCTGATTCCTGCCCCCTTCACACCTGCAAGCAGGGATGCCGGCATCAGAAGAATGTTTCGTGTTCGAAATTGTTTGAGGGGTTTGGGTTTATTTTTGTTGGTTTTTTCTTTTTTTTTTTTGCTTACGTGGGCATCCTTCAGCTTTTAATAATCTGAAAAATTCTATTTACCCATTGTCAATGTGTATAAATTAATCTCAGTCAATTTTATACAATAAAGGGTGAACTTTTATCCATCAAACAATAATTTAACAAAAAATGTACCGGAAGAAGAATGTTCATTACAAATATAGGAAACATAAATATTACCAAATATTGGCAAGCACTGAAATGTTCAGAAATATAAGTCTATTACAGTTATAGCTCTCTCAAGCAAAAAAACAGCAGAGAAAAACTTAGTTTACCTGAGGGGCTATTTATTTACTTAGGGATTTGTTAAAAGGTCAAATGGGGTCACACAGAATACTAAGAAGAGCTGTTCACCCAGGCCTCACTAAGAACTCTTCTTCATGCAGTAGCTATATAGGAATATGACAACTGCTCCTACGACCCAAAGAGGAACTACAGCAACTACTCTTTAGCATCTGTTGCTCCCAACTCTGCTTTGCAATTATATGACTCAAGCATTCTGGCTCCGTTAACTATTACTGCTGTTACTCCCAAGTAAATTCCCTCTAAAAAATAAAAATTTTTAAAGCTGTAATTTAAGCTCTCTGCTGCCTCATGACTTCAATTCCATCAGAGTTACGCATTGTTTCCTCTGTACATCTTTGCTCTGCTTCCATTGCTAATTCCCTAGTAAAGTGTTGTATATTCAAAGTTCCAAAGAAACAGAATATCCAAGACATCACCAATCATCCAAAACACAGTGTAGGAGGCCACAGTTAAGAGAAGCAAGACCATTAGCTCTTTTTATAGGCTCGAGAACAACAGGATGCTTTGGTCCTGTATCAGCAGGACGCTTTTTGGGTAGATCCTACTGCCACCCTACTATCGGGTAGATCCTACTGTCACCCTAGCTATGGGCACATGTCAGAGTCCCATGTAATAAAGGAGACAAAAGGAAACCACCACAAGTATAAACTAAGAAAAGTACTCCAAGGTTTCTAAGAATGGAGCTGTATAACTCACTTTGCCCCGTTTGTTACTTCTCCACGGTACTTACCACCACCTATTACATATATTTTGTTTATAGTCAGTCTTCCCCCATTAGAATGAAAGTTCCGTGAGGATAGGACTATACAGTCAGCCCTCAGTATCCATGGGGGACTGGTTTCAGGATCTCCTGAGGGTAACAAAGGATACTCAAGTCCCTGATATAAAATGACATAGTATTTGCACATCACCTTTGCACATCCTCCCATATACTTCATATCAACTCTAGATCACTCATAATATCCGATGTAAATGTCATGCAAATAGTTATTGTACTATATTGTGTAAGGAATAAGGACAAGAAAAAAGTCTGTACATGTTCAGTACAGACGCAATTTTTTTTTCCAATATTTCCAATCCTTGGTTGCCTTAACGGATGTAGAACCCAGGAATAAGTTCTGGTGTCCTATTGCATAGTAGGATGAGTATAGTTAACAATAACATATTATATATTTGAAAATAGCCAGAAGAGTAGATTTTGAATTTTCTCCCTACAGAAAAATCATTATGCAAATTACCCTGATTTGATCATTACACATTGAGTACATGTATTAAAACATCACATTCTACCCCATATATATGTACAGTTATTATGTGTCCATAAAAATTTAATGTCAATGTGTGAAATAAAATGAAAAAATAAAAATTTTTAAAGCTGTAATTATCTCCATCTGGTAGGAATATATACAATCTGAAATAAAAAATATATTTGTAATTGTTAGGACAAAATAGATTATACATTAAGTCTGCAAATTATAAATTATAAAATTCTCACAGAACCTGAAAAATTATTGATACTGTTAAATATTTAAAAAGCTGTCCTTGGAGAGAAAGAAACCTATCAGATTTACATCAACAAGTGTAATATGTCAGCCTATTACCATCTGCTACAGACTGCATGTTTGTGTTCCCTCAAAATTCATATGATAGGCCCGGCGCGGTGGCTCATGCCTGTAATCCCAGCACTTTGGGAGGCCGAGGCGGGTGGATCATGAGGTCAGGAGATCGAGATCATCCTGGCTAACATGGTAAAACCCCGTCTCTACTGAAAATACAAAAAATTAGCCGGGCGCAGTGGCGGGCGCCTTAGTCCCAGCTACTGAGGAGGCTGACGCAGGAGAATGGCGTGAACCCAGGAGGCGGAGCTTGTAGAGAGCCGAGATTGTGCCACTGCACTCCAGCCTGGGTGACAGACAGAGCGAGACTCTGTCTCAAAAAAAAAAAAAAAAAAAAAAAAATTCATATGATAAAGCCCTAACCCCCAAGGTGAGGATACTGGGAGGCGTGGCCTTTAGGAGAGAATTAGGTTTAGATGAGGTCATGAGAATAGAGCCCCTATGGTGGCATTACTTCCTTTATAAGAGACACTAGAGCTGCTTTTCTCCCTACCATGTGAGGATACCGAGAGAAGATGGCCATTTCCAATCTAGGAAGCAGGCCCTCTTTAAGAAACATAATTTGCCAACACTTTGATCTTGCACTTCCAGTCTGCAGAACTGTGAGAAATATCTGTGTTTTTTTGTTTGTTTGTTTTTGTTTTTTTTGAGACAGAGTCTCATTCTGTCATCCAGGCTGGAGTACAGTGGTGCGATCATGGCTCACTGCAACCTCCGCCTCCCAGGTTCAAGCAATTCTCCCACCTCAGCCTCCCAAGTAGCTCAGACTACAGGCGTGCACCACCACGCCCAGCTAATTTTCGTAGAGACAAGGTTTTGCCATGCTGCCCAGGCTAGTCTCAAACTCCTGAGCTCAAGTTATCCACCTGCCTCGGCCTCCCAAAGTGTTAGGAATACAGGCATAAGCCACCACGCCTGGTCAAAATATCTACTGTTTAAGCTACCTAATTTATGGTATTCTGTTTTAGCAGCTGAAGCAGACTAAGATACCATCCTATAAGCTACAGACCAGCACTATCCAATAGAACTTTATATGACGAGCAAATGTTTTATATCTGTGCTATCCCTTATGTTAGCCACTAGCCACATGTATCCATCAAGTATTTGAAATATGGCTAGTGCAACTAAAGAACTTAATTTTTAATTTTCTTTTTTTTTTTGAGATGGAGTCTCGCTCTGTCCCCCAGGATGGAGTGCAGTGGCGCCATCTCGGCTCACTGCAAACTCTGCCTCCCAGGTTCACGCCATTCTCCTGCCTCAGCCTCCTGAGTAGCTGGGACTGCAGGCGCCCGCCACCACGCCCGGCTAATTTTTTGTATTTTTAATAGAGATGGGGGTTCACCGTCTTAGTAAGGATGGTCTCGATCTCCTGACCTAATGATCTGCCCGCCTCGGCCTCCCAAAGTGCTGGGATTACCGGCGTGAGCCACCACGCCCGGCCAATTTTTATTTTATCTTATTTAAATAACCACATGTGGCTAGTGGCTAATGTATTGAACACTACAGCTGTAGACAATACGAAATAAATATAAAGCAGTCTCAACTTTGGAAAAACAGAAGACTCTTACTGCCTCATAATATAGATGAAAAATGAAATACTAAGATAAGTAAAACGTTCTTTAAAGAACAAAAACAAAAGAAAACCTAATGAAAGCTATAAAAGTCCATTGGATAATAATGCTACCAGTACTAAGGAAGTACAGCCCCTAAGAGTGATTTGCAGTCACAAATATAAAAATGACTATTCAAGTGAACTCCTAAGGTGAAAATTTCTTATTCACCATGCTCCAAAATGGTCTGTAATATTCTTCAGAGATGGCATGGTAAAGTACGATAAAAGGGTAATATTAACAGTATGCTGTCACAGGTGCCATTCTCTTAAAAAAGAAATCCAAAAATAAATATAAATGGAAAGCAAATAATTAATGGAGTTTTGACGGTCAATCAATGGTAAATATTATTGGCATTAGATTTTTCTATTAATTATAGTTTACCTATGATCATGTATTTTTCCATTTAAAAATTACCCTAAAACTTAATGGCTTAAAATAACAAATATGTATGACACAATTCATAGAAGTCAGGGAAATGATGGATTTGGGTAGGTGGTTCTGACTCAAAGTCTCTCATGAGTAAAGGTTGCTGTCATGTTGTTGACCCAGGCAGCATCCCCTGAAGCCTTTAACTTGTGTTGGAAGGTCCGTGTCTTAGTTTGTTTGCACTGTCGCTACAGAATACCATAGACAGGGTAGCTTATAAACAACAGAAACGTTTGTAATGGTACCGGAGGCTGGATGGTGCAAAATCAAGGTGCTTGCAGATTTGGTGTCTGGTCAGAGCCCATTTTTTAGTTCATAGATTACTGTCCTCTAGCTCACATGGCAGAAGGGGCAAGGACGCTTTTTGGGGTCTCTTTTATAAGGGCACTAATCCCCGGCTGGGCACGGTGGCTCACATCTGTAATCCCAGTACTTTGGGAGGCTGAGGCAGGCAGATCACGAGGTCAGGAGTTCCAGACCAGCCTGGCCAGTATGGTGAAACCCCGTCTCTACTAAAAATACAAAAATTAGCCAGGTGTGGTGGTGCGTACCTGTAGTCTCAGCTACTCAGCTACTCAGGAGGCTGAGGCAGAAGAAACACTTGAACCCAGGAGGCAGACGTTGCAGTGAGCTGACATGGCACCACTGCACTCCAGCCTGGGTAACAGAGCAAAACTCTGTCTCAAAAATAAATAAATAAATAAATAAAAATAAAAATAAAAACAAAAAATAATAATCAAGGCACTAATCCCCAACATGAAGACAGACTATCATCTACCAAAAGCTCCACCTCCTACTATCATTACACTGGGGGTTAGGATTTCACAAATTCAGTGCATCATAGTCTGCTTCTAGAATGTTTAATCATTTGGCTGGATATCAGATAGGATGCCTCGGTTCTTCATGTGAGCTTTCTAGAAAAGATAGTTTGGAATTATTTGCATGGTGGCTGGGCTCGTAAAGAGTTGAAGGAGAGAAAGAGAGAGAAACACCAGTAAGGAGCAAATTAGTTCACTCAAAATTAAAACCCTAGCCTTTGTGACCTTGTCTCACAAGGTAACATTCCAATCCTGCGGTGTTTTATTTCTTAGATGGGAGTCACTCAGCTTAGCCTGCCTTCAAGGGGAGGAGTATGAAGCTCCACTTCTTAAACTGAGAAGAATCAACAAATATGTAGATATATATATATTTTTAATAGTATTACAGCTCATGAACCCATTTAAACCCATTTTAGAACTTTAAAGAAATATTTTAAAACGGAATTTTCAATTAAGCAGAAGAAATTGCCAGCTGTGGAACAGTGAACTTTATCGCTGAAATCACACACACATATATACACACACACAGTGCAAACTCATACATGATCAAATCTATAATCTTATTACACAAAGTTTTGTGAGAGGAAAAATGCTTGACTTTTCAAAAGGGCTCATTTATTAAAAATAAAATGACCATTGTGTTCATTTTAGCTGCAACCTTTAAGCAATCAATGACTATATACTTGCTGTAATCATCCTTTAAAATTAGAATTATTGAAAAGCTTTATCACTGATGAATGAAAGAAAGTAATATTGATTTGTGGCCAAGAGAGATAATCTCAGGCAATAAACAGGTGCAGTCTTTGAAGGAATCATTTTATTTTATTACTTTCTGACATTATTGAAGCCAATTTTAAATAAATTCATCATGTTTTTAAATTTAATCACGTATTATTTTATCATACATTAGGTAAAGTTTCAATCTAAGTAACTCCTGGATAAAAAATGAAGTATATCAATTTACAATTACAAATACCCAAATTGTACAGGCATGCATTTTTCAATGACATTTATAAACTGTGTTTTGTTGTTTGTGCCTTGTGTTTGTTTTATTAATCAAATTAATTTATACAGATATATGTATGGAAATGAGACAGATATAACCAGTTCTCTATAAGTAAGCATTATTTAATGGAGTCTTTCCTTTCACTAATGATCATCAGGACAGCTAGGGAAGTGAGTTGAAATTTTCAGGCCATTAGGTTAATAGTTCTAGTAATTCTAGTAATGTTTCGACAGTCATAATATAAATGATACTATGTGGCTTGAATTAATGCATTTTCTTATGTAACAAATAATAAGACAATTTTTAAAAGTGGTAATTACTATTTTTAAATATGACAATTAAAAATAATGAAAGAAAAGAGGTTGTACATTGAGTAGCCATAACATTATCTTTAAACATATTTATTCTTCATTTCCTAACTTTTCCCACCTTTTGGCTAAATCGTATGTTCTTTCTCTAACCTCACTTCTGTTTTATTACTCTCTGGGAAAGATTTTTATATAAAACGTCTAAGCAATCAAACCTAACACAGGATGAATTTCTACACATTACTATACCCTCTGGTCACTATTTTTTTCTTCTCTTTATTGCCCATTTCCCTGTTCTTGAAACATTCCAATTATTTGCCTTCCATGACATTCTACTCTTACTTTTACTTTTCTGTCTCTGATTACTCATTTCCAGTTCCTTTTGTCATCTCCTTGTCTTCCTACACCTGCCAATTAAATTTGAATTTCCTCTGCATTTCATCTTATGTCTCCTTTTCTTCTGCCAAATTCTCTCCTTAGACAAATACAGTCATTCCCATGGTTTTATATCCCACTTATATTCAGGGGCTCTAGAATGTATAGCGCCAGGCCAAATCTATCTTAAGAACTTACTTTACTTAACCAATTACATCTGCATCTGCTCAGGATCATGTAACCCACATCAGCATTTGGCTCTTTTGTAGACCCATTTTTTCTTTTCCTGGAAGTCTATTTTGACACCTACTTTCTGTCACTACCCACGTTTTAGCATTTAGCCTTGTCAATTTACTCTCATCCATATGTAACTCTATCCATTTTCTTCTCTCTATTATGAACAGCAGTTTGAGCCATCATGACCAATTTTGCAGTATCCCTTCTTAAATTAGCCTCCTGTTTCGCATTGGACATTTTCACCCCCCAGCAATTCCACCGATTTCATTCTCGGAAAAATATAAATGAAGAGTTACATTTTTCAATAGCCATAATCATTAAATTTCCATGTGTAAGAAAATGTTCAGAACAGTATCAGTGCATTTATAATAAAATTTTAAAACTTGACCCACAAATCTCTACTTGTCCTTCTAGTTTTATTTCATTTGTCTCTCGTCAATCTCTACATTCTGATCACCACAATCTTTTAATTCATCTGAAAGCTAAGCTCTCTCTTAATTTACATTCTCTATACTTGCAATTTTGTCTACCTAGAAGTGTCTTCTTCCATCTTTGGATTGTTATTGCAAATCCATTGAATAGTTCTCATCTGAATTGTTTCTTCCTTGGGATGACTTATAAACACTTCATCCTACAGCCAAATCAGAAGACCAATATCAAAATCTTTCATCACATCCTAAATTTGCTTATATGTAATTATATGGCAAGAATCTCTTTGTCTTTATAATCATTATTCACTTATCTATGTTTTTTAAAAACTCTTCTAGGTGGTGATGCTAAGCTCCGTAATGTTGGGCTTGTTACCTGTCTCAACTATCTTCCACACCTACCACAGTACCTGCTACATAGATGTATTCAATATATATTTTTAGAATTAGTAAATGATGAGCAAGCGTGTACTTTTGTTCTCTTTCATTACAGTGTTAGAAATGCTATTACAGCATTAGAAAAGATAATCAGAAAGAAAATTTAATAGATCATCAGAAAAAATCCCAAGACTTTTAGGCAAATGAGCCTACAAACACAGGTGGAATGGACTTGCAATTTACCAAGAAATAGGTTTGTCATACTTAGAAACCAACTGCATAAACATGTTTTTATCTATTAATAACTTCATTTTCCAAAACGCTCTACTTTATATGAGACGATTCTTGATGGAAATACCATTTGCTTCTAGGCTCGTTGCTTAAACATAAAGTTAAAAATCTTTGTATGACACATAAAATTGTGGTGACTGCTTAACTTTGCAACTATAGTGCTCCTGAAATGCTCATTTAACCAGTCTGTGTTCCAGACCTACAGAACTTAGATGGTGCTAAAATTGCGCAAAAATTGTGTATTTCTTCTACAACTAACTTCTGATAAAAAGGGGGCAGAGAAGGTTAACTCTCTCCCCCTTTAGCTTTATTTGCTTAGTGAATTTCTACAAAACATAATTTAAGTGCTATATTTTTCCAAGGTTTTAATAAGGAAATAAAAACCGCAATAGGTATCTTAAGCAGAAAGTGCATTTCATACATATACAATAGGAAGGGCTAAAATAACTAAAGTAGCTGTGGCATGGAGGAAGGTTTTGAGTTCTTGAATTCAAAGGCACGCAATCATTTCTGCAATCCTGGGTCAAAAAGATGCTCCTGCTATTAAAACTTTAAGCCTCTTATGCCCATGAAACTGGGGATTAGGCACAAGGATATTGAATCCTACCACTTCCACTACTTCTGAACTATTGTCCCCATGATTTCACTTGCCAGAATCAACAATAGCAAGACAGGCTTTGATCTCTTCCATTTTTCTAAGTCTGATTCATATGCAAACAATCGGTAAGTGGTCTAAGCTGCATTCATAAAGCTAGCTCAAGGGAAGCTGCATTGCTTGTTTTGTTTTGTTTTAGTTTTCTAACCTCTTCAAAGAGTGGAACGAAAGTTGAGGAAACCTGTCCAACAGTCTACCACACACCTTCCATGAAAGGTTCCCCAACACCTCCAACAAAATAATGTAAACACATGCTGGAACCTGTATTACTCTCGCACCATAACACTTCCCACACTTCCCACGATACTTTTTCTCTTCATGGGAATATCCTTCCAAAACATGCTGATATCTCCTAAGCATTATTCATCTGTCGAATTTTCCCACCTATTGTAAGGTCTTCCAATTGTTAGGTTCTTAATAAATATATTTTAAATTATTAAAATTCTGAACTAATGGGTAATCAACTGTACAACCCGAATTGCTGATTTGCATACAGCTGAAGTCCCTCCTCAAAACTTCTGTAATACATGAAACTTAGGCAAATGGTTGGGTCATTACCATATATTACTTTATATTTTTATTTATCAGTATATGTGATTACAGTTATGCTTATGTTAATTGATATGTATATGTACATTGTATTATTCTGTTACATAGCACAGCATTTTGTACTCAAAAAGTGACCAATAATAATAAGCTACATACTTTGGGAAGCATTGCAGGCTAGTCGTACAGTTTTGTTTTGTTTTTTTCCCTGCAGCCTGACAACCTTTTTAGTCATTCACTAAACCTCTCTCAGCTTCAGTTTCTTCATCTGCAACATATAGCAAATAATAAAACTTAACTCAGATGGTTCTAGTGTGAAATAATACAGAGTAAATGTGCCACCAAATACAAACCAATGGCTTGATTGACATAACTCACTGTTAATTTTCTTGAAATGATTCAAAGTATTTTCCAGACAAGCACACACTGAGGGAATTCGTCACCACCAAACGAGTCCTATGAGAAATACTCAAAGGTGTCCCAAACACAAAAATGAAAGGTCAACATTCATCATCATCATCAAAACACATGAAAGTAGCAAACTCATAGGTCTTGTAAAACAGTCACACAAAGTAGGACGAGCAATCAAATAGCAACACAACAGATTTCCACCAAACCACAAAGACAAAGAGACACACAGAAAGAAAAACAAAAAACAACAACAAAATAACCCCAAAGAACTTATAAAACAAGTAGAAAACAAACAGCAATATGGCAGAAAGAAAACCTCATGTATTAACATTAACCTTGAATGTAAATGAATTAAACATTCCACTTAAAATATATAGATTGATAGATATTGGGCCAGGTGCAGTTGCTCACACCTGTAATCCCAGCACTTTGGGAGGCCGAGGTGGGTGGATCACGAGGTCAGGAGTTCGAGGCCAGGCTGGCCAACATAGTGAAACCCTATCTCCATTAAAAATACAAAAATTAGCCAGGCGTGGTGGCCGGCACCTGTAATCCCATCTACTTGGGAGGCTGAAGCAGGAGAATCGCTTGAACCTGCAAGACGGAGTTTGCAGTGAGCCAAGATTGCGCCACTGCACTCCACTCTGGATGACAGAGTGAAACTCCATCTAAAAGTAAAAAAAAAAAAAAGAAAGGTAGATTGATGGAACGAACTAAAAAATGATCCAAAAATATTATGCTTACAAGAAACATATAGACACATACAGACTGAAAAGTAAAGACACATACAGATTTAAAGTAAATGGGTGAAAAAAGATACTCCATGTAACGGAGACTAAAAGCAAGCAGGAATAGCTATACTTATATCAAGTAAAACAGAACTTAAATCTAAAACAGTATAACAATGACAAAGGAAGTCATTACATAATGATAAAGGGATCAATTCAGCAAGAGGATATAACAATTCTAAACACATATGCATCCAACACTAGACCACCAAGATTCATCAAATAAATATTACTAGACATAAAAAAGGAATAGACAGCAATACGATAATACTGGGGGACTTTACCATCTCACTCACAGCATTAAATGTTATCATCAAGACAGAAAACAAATAAACCTAAGACTTAAATTCAACCTTAGATGAAATAGACCTAACTGACATTTACAGAAAATACTACCCAGCAACTACAGAATATACATTCTTAATAAAACCGCAATTTCACCCAACAATCCCACTACTGGAGATCTACCCAAAGGAGAACAGATAATTGTATGAAAAAGGTATCTGCACCCATATGTTTATCACAGCACTATTCACAATAGCAATGTGTCCCTCAGTGGATGATTACATTAATAAATCTGGCACATATGCGCTATAGAATACTATTCAGCTATACAAAAGAATAAAATCATGTCTTTTGTAACAACATGGATGTAACTGGTCATTATTTTAAGTGAAACAAATCAGACACAGAAAGACAAATACTGCATGTTCTCACTTATAACTGGACGCTAAATAATGTATACACATGGACATAGAATGTGGAATGATAGACAACAGAGACTTGGAAATTTCAGGAGGGTGGGAGGAGGGGATGATGAGAAATTATGTAATGAGCACAATGTACATTTTTCAGGTGATGTATATTCTAAAACCCTTACTTCAACACTATGTACTTTATGGAGGTAATAAGATTATATTTGTATCCCATAAATTTACATAAATAAAAAATTGCCTTCTGTACTTACTTTAGCCCAGTTATTGTTAGGTTCAACATTCAGCACTTTACTCAAATTTTCTATAGCTTTCTGGACCTTTTTTTGATATTTATATATAGTAGTGTGGCACAGAAGTGCTAATATTTACCAAAATAAAAGTTATATTTTTAATTAAAAATTAATTAAAAGGTTGTAGAATCTCAGGATGGAATGCAGACTGTTACAAATTTATCTAGCTCTATTATGAACCATACAAAATAACTTCAGTGAGGGACTTAAGGGAAAGGGTGCTAGTCAAAGTGATATTGAAAATGAGTGCAGTCTCTTAAGATGAAAGGCAAAAGAAACTTGTACGAAGGCACTTAATTTAGTTGATAAAGATGTTCTTCTACTAAGGGCAGGTTATCAATTCTGGTACAGCTATATACATATACTGGAAGTGAACAATTAACTAAATAGATGTCACAAAGTAAGAGTCAGGATTTTTATTGTTGGAGTGGGGGTTTAGAGATACAGGAAGGCATTGATGCTTGCGGGACTAGGTTAGAGGTAGTGACATCAGTAAGAACCCATGTTTAGCTTAATACAGACATAGATGGTGATATGGTTTACATTTTGTCCCCTCTCAAACCTCTCGTCCAATTGTAATCGCCAGTGTTGAAGGAGGGGTCTAGTGGGAGGGGACTGGATTATGGGGGCAGATTTCCTCCTTGCTGTTCTTGTGATAATGACTTAGTTCTCACACAATCTGGTTGTTTAAAAGTGTGTAGCATCTCCCCCTTAGTTCTCTTCCTCCTTCTCCAGCCATGTAAGATGTGCCTGCTTCCTCTTTGCCTTCTGCTATGACTGTACGTTTTCTGAGGCTTCCCCATCCTTGCTTCCTGTACAGCCTGTGCAACTGTGAGGCAATTAAAGCTCTTTTCTTTATAAATTACCTAGGATCAGGTAGTTCTTTATAACAATGGGATAATGGACTAATATAGATGTTTACATATAGAAATATTTAAAGATATGTGTCTACATATGTGTAAGAATATACACATTGTTTCTTTGCTCTCTCATCTTAGAGAGCTATGAAAAAATTGATACTCCCTTAGCTACAGGCACAGCTAGCACTTAAATATTGATTTCATATATAGAAAGCAGGGCGTCTTTGAAAGTGGCTGATTCTAAGAATGGGGAAGAAAATACACAAGATGAGCCTGGGACATCCTCTAGTGCCAGAAATTATGAAAATACTAACAAAAATCTATTTGTGAGATATGTCAAACAAGCACAGGGGCCAGGTGAAAGGTCTTTCAATTTCTAGAATAATTTTAGCAACACAATACATTAATTGGTAGTATATTTGGATTATACCCAAAAATGTAATTTTCCTTAGTCCATATTGATATCAATAAATGACTGAATAAACAAATGAATGAGATAAAAGAGGTAAATCTCCTCTGCAAATAATTTACATATGTATTCCAACTAAAGGAAGTCAGCTCTTAAAGACATCTTAAGCAATACTGCAACTGAATTAGCTTTCCAAAGATACTGTCACAATTCATCTATTCCAAGACCTATACATTTCATATTTTAATATCTCCTGAAAATATAATGCATTTTACAATTCAGTGGTATGTCTTAGTTTAATTAGCCACAATGCGAATTACTTGCTTAACGGGACATAAAATAGTGCATTATACAATCTATGGGCTCTTGGACTCAAGAAAATACGATAGAAAGGAGTTTATGTTAGAGTCTGCGCACTGACTAAAGATCAGAGCAGAAAGCAGATTCTAGGAACAGTCACATTTGTGGCAGTCACTGGTCTCGGCATGCAACAAAATTCAAAGTAAATAGTGGTAAGGTGGGAAATGGACAAAGCTATGTAGCTAGAATCAGAAGTCCTTGAAATCAAAACATCAAGATTCAAACTATTTAGGGGCAGTGGGGCTGACGTGGTGACCGTGGGCCTGATCAGATAAAACCTTTACAAAGAAACAGTAGCTCTCAGACTCACCTCCTGAGACAGAGTTGTTCTGAGGGGAAAATGGGTAAGTTTCCACAGTAACATACAGTACTTAAACATACAGTAAGATACAGTACTTAAAGCCCTGACCTGTCCAGTTCCCAACACATCTTTCTTGATGGGCACCTAAATGTCACCTTTTGGTTTTATTTTTGTGTTTTTCTCATCTAAGCTCGGAGAGCAAAGCCTGACAGGGTGAGCCCCCAAAGTGTGTTCATGTCTTAAGAGTGTCCAGAAGCCACCTAGGGAGTGTGCAAGTTTTTCATTTTCATGCCAGGGACAATGTCTCTCTTTATTGAGCTAATGGCAAGGTATGGGCCTCAGAATATGTACAGTTTGAACATATTTGCATCTTCCCTTTAATTAACTGTGAAATCTGTGAGGCTAATGAGAAGAAAATTGATGGGTAGTCGGTGGAAGAATTTTTTTTTCATTGTCATATCTTCAACTTTCCTGGGGTATAATAAGAGATGCACAGTCAATTCAGTATACTTGAAATGTGTGATGTGGTCAAATTTGAGATAGATATATATATATATGTATATACTTTTGGAAATATCACTACATTCACAACCATCATTATGAAAAGTTTTCTTGTGCACCTCAGTAATCAGTCTCTCCCTCCATGCTGTCTCCAGGCAGCCATTTGATTTTCCATCAGGTAACATGAGTGAGAAGAAAATGTTTGTTGCAAGCTATTGAAATTTTGTGGTTGTTCACTTTTTAGAAACTCTTTGGAATTTTCTTTCTCATATCTTTATTAACATATAAAGTGTCTGTCTGGCATACTTTCAGATAATGTAAATAATATACTCAGCAATTGTTTTGTGCTGGGCTTCCATTTAATCTTTCAAGATCATATGGATTTTTATAGCTTTATATGTTGTGTTTGGCATCTTAAGCTCACTATCTACCTACTGACTCTTAAATCCCAAACTCTAAAGAGGTTCTGAAGATTCCAAACAATGGCTTGATAGCTTAAAGTAAAAAAAGCTCAGGATAACTCAAATTTTGTGACTTAGCATGCTTGAGAAAGTTTTTTTTTTTTTTGAGACAGAGTCTCACTCAGTCACCCTGGCTGGAGTGCAGTGGCGGGATCTCGGCTTACTGCAAACTCCGCCTCCCGGGTTCACGCCATTCTCCTGCCTCAGCCTCCCGAGTAGATGGGACTAAGGCGCCCGCCACCGTGCCCGGCTAATTTTTTTTTGTATTTTTTAGTAGAGACGGGGTTTCACCGTGTTACCCACGATGGTCTCGATCACCTGACCTCGTGATCTGCCCACCTTGGCCTCCCAAAGTGCTGGGATTACAGGCGTGAGCCACCTCGCCCGGCCTTGAGAAAGTGCATTTAAGCTCCTTCCTAAATGAATGATTATTTAGTCTTGCAGTGTCCATAATTTCTTTAGGTCACTTACGGAAGTCTCAAACTTGTCTGTAACACCTGATAATAACTTCCAGTACTATTCTAAAATGTAGATTTACTTTATCACATTTTCTTCTAACTTCTACTTGCCCCTGTTGTAACAATCTTCATTCTTCTTTTGTACTTATATTTTCTCCTTTTAAAACTCAATATCTAGGTCCTCTCTTATAATTGTGCTTAAAATTCATCCTGCAGTAGTGTCAGAGCAGGGTTTCTCAAAGTCATTGTGGGGAACTATCGTGTACATTGTAAGATGATTAGCAACATCCCTAGCCTCGACCACCAGATGCCAGTAGCACACCCTCTCTTTCACAGTTTTTTTTTTTTTTTAATCAGAAATATCTGCGCACATTGACAAATGTCCACCGGATGGGAAGAAGAATGTGGGGTGTAAAATTCCCATTTTTGAGACCCACTTGCTTAGAATGTATTAAAGACCTATAATTGAAAATACCTTGGCAAAATCTCCCAAAATTGTCTCTCAAAATAACAGTATATACAGTGTAACATACACAACATCCTGTTATACTAATGAAAAAATCTAAGAAAAACTCTATAGGATGATATTTAGATATTACAGTCACTATATTAACTATTAGGATAATGTGCCACTAATTCCCAATCGTCACTGCTTTCATGTAGTGCTTGCTCCATATTGTCTTAATGTTAATCCTTAACATACACAGCCTAACATATTTATTGATGTGAAAGTTTTTGTTTTATTTTCAACAACACGGTCTCAACCAGGGGTGATTTTCACTACCAGGGACAATTTGTCAATGTTTAGAGACAATTTTAGTTTTTACTGCTGTAGGTAGTGGAGTGTGCTATTCACATCCGGTAAGTTTAGGGCAGGAAAACTGGTAAACCTCCTATAATATGAGGCTAGAGCCCACAACAAAATTATCAGGTCCAAAAATGTCAATAGTATTGAAGGTGAGACAATTTCTAGGGAGATATTACACCTTGATATTCTCATTTAATATGCTGGTAATGTAATCCAGCATTTTTCCAAAAATGAGAATAGCCTGGTGGCCTTAAATGTCATTGTTTTACTCTTACTTACATTGGACTAAAGAATGAGATCAAATGCAGCTGAATAATTTGGATATTTAAAGCAATAACATTTTTCACTAACGCGCATAGGCTTAATGCCTGGGTGACAAAATAATCTGTATACCTATTTACCTATAGGTTTACCTATATAACAAACCTGCACATATACCCCTGAACTGAAAATAAAAGTTAATAAATAAAGTAATTACATTTGTTTAGAAATAAAATAAATTTAGAAATGGAAAATATTGTTGAAAATATTCTAAGAATTTTAAATTTATACATTAAAATAAAAATAATCTGAATATTATTACTAACAGAAAATCTTTGTCTTGATCTCAAATTCCAAGTAGAATACCTTTAGACTATCTCTAGCAATAGCTAACAGAATAAGATTTACAAATCTTGATAGATCATTTTTCATGCCTGTGTCATTTTAAAATGAATTGATGGCTGTTAAAACTTAATTTAATTTGAGTCTCTTCCGGATCATATACATAGTTTTACAGACAGCCATGTTCAATGAAATTATAATATGTAACACAAGAAATATGCCAGATGTAAAGTAAGAATCTCTTTTAAACGCTCTGATATTCAAAAATCTTTATCAGATTTCCTAAACTAACGATTTTAAACAAAACCTTTTAGTTAAGAAAGCATTGGTCTCAATAGTAAATCTGCCAATATGAATTGCTGCATTTTATTTTTGAACTTTCTAAAGGCCATCTGCCAGAGTAATTAGATATAAAATCCTGCATGCAATCTAATATTAGATGAAAAGTTTAAACTACCAATGATACAATATTGATGCACAGAGGAATGAATTGATTTTTTATGTTATTCTCAAATTGAAAGTCAATCTTTTTATAAAATAAATTTATAAATAAATCCAAATATGATATTTTAGCTCACTTTTGACAGTAGGTTTTCAGTTTCTGATGTTAACAATGGCATAATTATGATTTGCTGAATGACTTTAAAGTGATCGGATAAGGAAACAATTAGGGTTTGCAGTAGCTGGAGAAAGAAAAAAAAGAAATATTTAGATATTGCATACTCAATATGGCACATACTACGTCACAGGCTTTAATATCAGTTGACTACTCTCTTTAGAAGGAGTACGGTTTGACCTAGACCAGTTTATTTATTCATTTTTGTAATAATTTTTCCTCATTCTCTTTGACACATTGGTTAACCTAAAATTACTGTGTTGCTTAGGACATTGACTAAAAATCGTAGTCTTTCAGTTTGTGGCTGCTCACAGGATTTTTTTTTTTTTTTTGCTTTGGCTTACTAAATAATCTTTTATTGGAGTTAAAACAACAAAGCTAGTAAAGATATATAAATCAATGCCAAAAAAAAGGAGACAGGCCTACTTATATGCCATTATCTTCTGTTATTGCCGTTGGATAGAAGACAGACATTATCATTTTTAATCAATTGTATACTTCATAAATATGATACAACAGATATTTTTACTTCCAAGATTATACATAGAGTTTTTATGATTCCTTTGTGAGTGTGAACTATATAGCTGTCCCTAAAACATAATTGAGAACAGAAAGGTTTTATTTTTAATTATATAATTTTCTTGCCCAAGTTATATGGATTCATAGGTTACAGAATGTATAACAATATACATTTTTTGCATTTTTAAATTTACTGTATAATTTATTTCTGAAACCAAATTTGATATACAACTATGTAAACCATTAAATATGATCTGGATTAAAATAATCTTAACAGACAAATCCAAAAACACTGCATTTTATTATTTCTATTTCTAATGTTACCTCCAGGTTTAGACTCCCCTAAGTAATTGACTCTACCTATTATGTTTGTGTTTTGAAACATCACTCTATATTGTAACAAAAAGAAAAATGACACAATTAGTTTCCTATATGTACACAAAAATTTTCAGTTTTAAATAAGGAAATATAGTTTTGAAATTTAAAAAAGTAAATGTTATAATATTTTCTCAAATAATTTACTACTCATATTCCCATTGCTTAGTTTCATTAATTTTTACACTCACATTTTACATATCCAAGATATATTTCCAGCTTTATTTTCAGAATGAACTGCTAGGATCTTAGATGAGTTTATTATTTTGCACGAGGTGCCACTGCTTGACACCTGATTGTGTGTATACCCCCCCTTTTTTTTTTTATATACTTTTAAGTTTTAGGGTACATGTGCACAATGTGCAGGTTAGTTACATATGTATACATGTGCCATGCTGGTGTGCTGCACCCACTAACTCGTCATCTAGCATTAGGTATATCTCCGAGTGCTATCCCTCCCCCCTCCCCCCACCCCATAACAGTCCCCAGAGTGTGATGTTCCCCTTCCTGTGTCCATGTGTTCTCATTGTTCAATTCCCACCTATGAGTGAGAACATCCGGTGTTTGGTTTTTTGTCCTTGCGATAGTACTGAGAATGACGATTTCCAATTTCATCCATGTCCCTACAAAGGACATGAACTCATCATTTTTTATGGCTGCATAGTATTGCATGGTGTATATGTGCCACATTTTCTTAATCCAGTCTATCACTGTTGGACATCTGGATTGGTTCCAAGTCTTTGCTGCCCAAGGTAATTTATAGATCCAATGCCATCCCCATCAAGCTACCAATGACTTTCTTCACAGAATTGGAAATAACTACTTTAAAGTTCGTATGGAACCAAAAAAGAGCCCGCGTTGCCAAGTCAATCCTAAGCCAAAAGAACAAAGCTGGAGGCATCACGCTACCTGACTTCAAACTATACTACAAGGCTACAGTAACAAAAACAGCACGGTACTGGTACCAAAACAGAGATATAGATCAATGGGACAGAACAGAGCCCTCAGAAATAACGCCGCATATCTACAACTATCTCATCTTTGACAAACCTGAGAAAAATAAGCAATGGGGAAAGGATTCCCTATTTAATAAATGGTGCTGGGAAAACTGGCTAGCCATATGGAGAAAGCTGAAACTGGATCCCTTCCTTACACCTTATACAAAAATTAATTCAAGATGGATTAAAGACTTAAACGTTAGACCTAAAACCATAAAAACCCTAGAAGAAAACCTAGGCATTACCATTCAGGACACAGGCGTGGGCAAGGACTTCATGTCTAAAACACCAAAAGCAATGGCAACAAAAGCCAAAATTGACAAATGGGATCTAATTAAACTAAAGAGCTTCTGCACAGCAAAAGAAACTACCATCACAGTGAACAGGCAACCTACAGAATGGGAGAAAATTTTCGCAACCTACTCATCTGACAAAGGGCTAATATCCAGAATCTACAATGAACTCAAACAAATTTACAAGAAAAAAACAAACAACCCCATCAAAAAGTGGGCGAAGGACATGAACAGACACTTCGCAAAAGAAGACATTTATGCAGCCAAAAAACACATGAAAAAATGCTCACCATCACTGGCCATCAGAGAAATGCAAATCAAAACCACGATGAGATACCATCTCACACCAGTTAGAATGGCAATCATTAAAAAGTCAGGAAACAACAGGTGCTGGAGAGGATGTGGAGAAATAGGAACACTTTTATACTGTTGGTGGGACTGTAAACTAGTTCAACCATTGTCGAAGTCAGTGTGGCGATTCCTCAGGGATCTAGAACTAGAAATACCATTTGACCCAGCCATCCCATTACTGGGTATATACCCAAAGGATTATAAATCATGCTGCTATAAAGACACATGCACACGTATGTTTATTGCGGCACTATTCACAATACCCCATTCTTTAGACTTTTAAAATCAATACCCACTCTTCCCCACGAACAAGAGAAAGTAAAAACAACTAACAGTGGATTTCTGTATCACGATGACTCATTTTCAATAGAACACTACCATAGGTCAAATGGATGAATGCATAAATAATGAATGGATTAATATCTTTTACATAATCATGTGCCACATAACAACGTTTACATCAATAAGAGACAGCATGTAAAACAATGGCTCATTAAGATTATAATAGGGTTGAAAAATTGCTATCACCATTATAGATTGATCACTCTATGAAGTTTGCACAGTAAGATAATCACCTAGCCACACACTTCTCAGAACATATCCTCATTGCTAAGTGACACAAGGCTATATTTCATTTAATGATTGCGTAAATAGTTGTTGAGAAAAATCTGCACTCTAAGTACCAGGATAAAAGAGATTAATAATAAATTAATGATTAAATGCACCATGATCAATCTTATCATTGAGGTCTATATGCTACATTTGGATTACATCGTAAAGGCAGAGGTTAATCATCGCAACTTACACAACAGGATACAGAGTGGATCAGCAGATAATTACATAATAGAATACAGTTTGAAACCTGCAAGATGCATTAGAATTAATTAGAATCAAACCATATGTGTGACTTTGGTTTAAATGTGCAAAACCTATTAATATAGATATAGCCAGGACATTTCTATTGTGTGTGTGTGTATATATATATATATATATATATATATATATATAGTGTGTATCTATATATATACACACACATATACATTTATATATACATACATACATATATATAATATATAATATATATATATATATATATATATATATATATATATATATATTTTTTTTTTTTTTTTTTTTTTTTTTTTGTGATGGAGTTTCGCTCTTGCTGCCCAGGCTGGAGTGCAATGGCATGGTTTCAGCTCACTGCAACCTCCGCTTCCAAGGTTCAAGCAATTCTCCTGCCTCAGCCTCCCAAGTGGCTGGAATTACAGGGGCCAACCACCACACCAGGCATATCTTTGTATTTTTAGTAGAAACTGCTTTCACCATGTTGGCCAGGCTGGTCTCGAACTCCTGACCTCAAGTGATCTACCCCCTCGGCCTCCCAAAGTGCTGGGATTACAGGTGTGAGTCACTGTACCCAGTTTGTCTTTATAAATCTTATAGAAATATTTAACTTTTAAAATCAACCACACACAATTAAGACTTTGATAAAAGTAATTAAGAAGTAAAGCAATGGAAAAAGCAATTTTTAAAAACATATATGAATGATTGAAAGCCAGGAGTAAAATTAAGAATTGTATTAAAATATCACTATTAAAATTAGCTACATAAATATTTAATTAATGCAGCTAAATTGTTAACAAAATTTACAGAAGAAAAGTATGTTAACATTACTGAATCATCTTAAAATCTTATTAAAATTTAAAGTTCTTCTCAACTGAAATTATATCACAGAAAAAAATAATGTCACCTTAAAAAGTTTAGGATTAGAAATACATAATTATTTTTAAATATAGTCTTTATATATTAATTATATTTCATTAATGTCTTATTTCTTGAATAAACTTTTTTCATGATACTATTTAAGTGCCACATTCTACAATAATATGGAAAACAATTCTACAAAATGTGGCATACAGTAATTGATAGGTAGTATAGCACACCTTTTATCTTTATAGCAAAAACATAATGTGTAAATTAATATAACACTAAGTCCCATATTGTCATTTTTTGTCAAAGAGCTATCTCCTTGAAAACCATCATCCTCAGATGCATCTCTAACTTCAAAAAGACCTTAGAAACTGTAACAATTGTAAATGCGTTATAACTTAAAGAGATATTATCTTCACATTAGAGGCTAACAGGCTTATACCTACTGATAGCTGACAAGTATTATAGGAATCCTGGCAGGCAAATTGTTGCATAAAAATTATGTAATTTACTAACTGTAAAATAACCTTTAGAGTTTAGAATCAGTCAGATAAGTAGAACAGACAATTGTTATCAAAGCCATATAAATGGCTATTAAAATTATTTTTTGCTACCCTCATTTTATCTCTGAAGAGACATCTTGTTAAAAAATGAATAACAGACACATATAAATACCTAATTACAAGCAGAGTTAAGATTAAAATTCAGCCTCATTAGGGGTGGGATAGAAATCAGTACACTAAAGAATATTTTGGTGCAGGTAGTTTGTTTCAAATGATTCAACCTTCAACATTACTTCACTTAAATTTTAGCAAACTTTCTGCTATAATTTAAGCATACAGACCTATGACACTAGACATATGTCCTGTGTAAGCCTGGGCTAGGGGAGCTCTATTTAATACTTACATAAACCCCAAAGATGTCCTAAGAAATAAAATTTGGAAAAACTTTGATGTGCTACAGCACGGATTTTCTCCTACAGCAACAGAGCAGACACTTGAATGTAGTTATACTCCTGCTTTCCACCTCCCTGTCAAAACAATAAAAAAGGCCACAGGCCTGTGGTTCTGGCCTCCAGGGAACTGGTGGCTTCTTTAACCCACACTGCTGCTGCTGAATCCCATTTAGGTTTAGGGTTTATTTTGTATATGCCTTTGTACAGGCTAAATGCTGGTCTAGTTGAAAATCAACCTAAAACAACCTTAATAGCATCTCATTTTATTGTGACTTTACTTTTTGTGTTGTTTGGTGTTTTACTTTTGGAGACAGAGTCTTAATCTGTCACCAAGGCTGGAGTGCAGTGGCATGATTATGGCTCAACCTCCAGGCTCAAGTGACCCTCCCACTTCAGCCACCTGAGTAGCTGATACCACAGGAACATGCCACCACATAAGGCTAACTTAAAGAACATTTTTTTAGATGGGATCTCACTATGTTGCCCAGGCTGATCTTGAGCTCTTTGCCCCAAGCAATCCTCCCACCTTGGCCTCCCAAAGTGCAGGGATTATAGGTGTGAGCCACTATGCCAGGCCTCTCTCATGACTTTAAACTTGAACATGCTTTTGTGCTGTGGCCGAGTTTAGGATCCCAACCAGCCTGTGATTACTGTGGTCACCACACAGATTCCCTCTTGTTCCATCTTTTATATTCCATCTTCTCACTCTCATAACTGTGTGGATAGGAAAACAATTATCCATACAGGTATGATATTGGCAGAGAAAATCACAAAATGTTTTAATGAGCAAACACTTTGGGGATGGTAATAATCTTTCTACCACCTTCATTGTCTTGTTTAAGTATCTCTACATTCTTCTTTAAAAATTAGGAATATATCTTTCTTGCTCTTTCGTTGTTGTTGAACACCAGAAGGGGATATTCCTTAATTCTCTCTCCATAGCTAAGGACAGTACAGCACAATATTCCATTCAGCAGGTGAAGTCAGTATGAATGAATGCATTTCAATCAGCAAATTGCTGGTTGTGTTGCAACTCCTAGTTATGATGTTTTGTGTACTTTGAAGGGCTCCCATTAATTAAGGTATTTCTTATAAGCATTCAGAAAGTTTCTTTTCTTGGCATGCGACTTGAAAATTTGTCCTGATATTTTCCCTGTGACAATGTTTTGTGAATTGTAACTCAGCCACTTAAGTGGCTCCTCATAATAAAGCCACATGGTATCCATGTACACATATTTAACAAATCAAAGAAGTGGTTCTCAACCTAATCTCTAGAGGAGGTCCTTCTTGTTCACTTTCAATAACTATGTTGAAGAATAGATTCTAAAAAGCTATCACCAAATTTTCGAATATGTTTTGAAATTTGTGTCCACAAAATCTATAAATCAATAAATGTATAGAATAGAGCATAATAATCCAATTAACAAATTTAAGATGTCATCTAAGCAGGAATGAATGCAATAAATAGGCCTTCTTACTTCAAAATCAACTGCAGAGGTAATGCATTGCCACTAGACTTGTGTGCTGTGTTGGTAATAAATTAACAAAAACTTTGGGGATAAGAAAAATCTGCAAATAAAATGGTGTGTCATTTGTGAAATATAATCACAAAAATGTTCAGATTGTTATAATTAACAGAAAAACTATTGTTTTTATTATATCCAGTGTTTAACAGACACTATTCATGTATACATACAACATTCTTATAATAACTCTTGTGTCCATGTAAATAGCAGTCTTGCCAAAAAGAATTGATTATCATGTAGTAGTTTGTAAGTATTTTCATGCATAGGCTGCAACCCTTTAGAGTGCTATTCTAATAAATTATTAATATTAACTTGATGAACACAATTCTAAGACATTTCATTTGAGGATATGTTTATTAACTATTAGGTTGGTACAAAAGGCATTGCGTTTTTTGCCATTACTTTCAATAAAAAATAGAACCAGCATTTAGAAATCTACTTTCAGAAACTTAATAAAATGAGAATTTGTCCTCTTTTACATATAGGAAGCCTGCATAATAAGCATTCTGTTGCTAGTACATAAGCTTCCCATTTTCATCAGGAAACTATACACTTACATTTCACTTTTACTAACTTCAATGCATGACTTCTACCTTCAAGGTGATTTCATGCTTCTAGCCACCATGTCTGTACTCCAGGACAGCAGCACAAAGTGTAGAAAAATAAAAAAGACATACCTCCCTAATGAGTCAACTGCACTTAAGGAGCCATCCCAGAAGTTTCACACGGCTTATTTGAATACAGCTATATCCAGATGCAAGGAATGCTGGGAAATGTGGTATTGTGCGCAGCTAAAGTTGGGATTATGTTAGTGAAAATGAGACCACGAACATTGGAAGGTTAAAAGCAATCTCTCATGACATATACAATTACAGAAATTAAATTAAATCTTTAAGCAATGTGATAAACCTATGGAATGTTAACAGGCAAAAATAGCAACATTAAAAATTACAGTGAGGGAATAAGGTATGATTCGTTTGTAGATGGTTTGTGTGTCATTAATCTAGGCAAAAAGTCATAAACTCCTCTAACAGTGACCACATGTATAAAAGAAATAATAATACACACTATGGCTAACAACATTCCATTTTGGCCTATTTACTGTTGTTAAGTCTCTATGGTTAGCATCAGAAATGTACAGTTTTGATAGCCTATGACCTCAACATGTTCAGTTTGATAGTAGAAAGGACAACATAAAGACAAACCAATCAACAAATAAGAATAAAAACTGTTAAAAAAAGGACAATATTATCATAAGAACATAAGGATGTGATAATGTATTTGACATATCGTTTATTTATTGTTTTATAGTTGGATAATACATATAAATTTACTGCTCCTTCAATGTTAGAATCAATAGAATCATAGCAGAAGTAATTAAGCAGATAAAGATCAAAACGTCACCTTTATTACTTACTGTTTGAAAAATAGTCTAAGGCTGGTTTTACAGGGTTGCTCCTATCCATCACCTGATGTGAAGTTTCTTAGGAAGCTTCAGGACTACACCAAAGAAGCAGAACCTGCTCTTTCACTCTGTTGCATTGTGTGGAGTGCAGGCCATCATGACTGCTCTCTACAAGAAAAAGAAAGGAAATAATTAAGAAACGCACAAAAGTTTGTGAATTGAGAATCCCAAAATAGGTATGAAATTGGTTAGCTTTCTAAATTCACCAATCTCATAACTAACACCTGTCCCCATGCAGTGAATGAGTAAAGGATGGACAGACTCCATAATGATTATTCTAGGGAAAGCCTTCTGAGTAGAAAGAGGAGAGTTTTGCAAACAGTTTTGTAGAGTTTACTCTTGTTTATGCACTGATAATAAATAAGAGTTCCTAAAATTCTCTCTAGAACTCTAGGTAAATGAGATATTTCACCGCTCATGCTGTGTGACCTTCATGTCCCATCTGCCTAGACTGTAAATATGCTTTCTGAAGTTTAAAAGAATTAGTATACTATGCTTACATTAAGCAAAAAAGTACCCTTATTATGCAGGATCAAGTAACACTCTAAAGATTCATGTTTATGAAAAAACACTGATGATTCTATTTTATTATGTGTCTTCTAAAGAGAAAAATACTTGTGCTCTGCAGCATAATTTTACAATGTGCTATTCTAAATACTTTCATTTAAACAAGACCATTATGAAAATGTTTTGCACACAGAAATATATTTTGAATACTTTTTTAAAAAGATCACAAAGTATATGGTCTCTGTACGTGTTCAATTATTTTAATGCTTTCACTATAACAGGAATTCTTAAAGAGGATATGTACTTGCATAATGCTGATAATTCTTTCTCATTTCTGTTTGTGCTTTGGCTGTTGTTACAACCACTGAAAGTAGTAATTACATGAGTGTATTATCCATGATTATCTTTAGATATATGTGCATTTTCTTTAATTAAACTATAAACTCTAAATGAAAAATAAAAAAGAAGTCACCTCTTGTCTCTTTGTACAATATTAAAATTTTTTTCTTGTATCCAGAGTTTCCCAAATGCCTGTTGCAAAATTTTACTTAGGGAGTAGAAAGTGGAGAATCAATATGGTAAAAAAAACTGTGTTACAGGGAAGGAGACACAGGGTAAGCATTTTCCTTATCTTCTCTCCTGTATCTACGTGCTGCACAAGCATAAATGATAGCAGTCACATGAACGAGTACTTTTCAAGAACGTAGAATATGGTGATGGAAAAAAAAAACCGCTTTGAAACATCGAATAATATAAAAGCCAGAACTACTACAACTATTTTTTACATCCATAGAAGGTAAACTATTTTTAGATATAAAATTCCTTCTGACGGTAGTCCTGATCATTTAACCAATATTTTGATAAATCAAAGAAGGGAAAAATGGACATTCAGTCCAAAGATGGGCATGTATTCCCATGCCCAGTCAGGCAAAATTGTGGATGTTCTTTAAAATAACAATTCATTCAACAAATAATTTTTAAATGGCTACTGAATACCTGGAAAGGTTCTAGACACAGGGGCTATAGTAAGAAACAAGAAGGAACTAATTGACAAGAATGTGCTCACCGACAATGAAACATCTCCTCATGGAGCTTGAGTTCTGTTTGAAAAGACAGAGAACAAAAAAATATTATTGCACAGAGTGTTAGTTATGTGTGAATTAAAAGACTGGTCAGTACTTGAAGGAGAAGGAGTGACAACAAATCTCACTTCCAGTTCTATTTACCTGAACAGATTAATTCTATTTTGTTTCAATGCAACAGTAGTCCTACGGTTAACAAGATGCACTACACAAAGCAAACAACTTATAAAACGCATTTTTTCCTTATATTGCAAATCAATTTTAAGTGGATCTACAAATATACAATAAATAATATAAATTACGGATCGTTTGTTTCTAAGGTAATAAGTACATTTGTTAATTTCACATAAATAATTTCAGAAGGAGAGCAAATGTAAAAATGTGTTTTAGACAGTGGAGATGCCATTTTATTGTAAGACTATTTATACTCAAAGGACAAAGTAATCAGCTTTCTATGTCAATGATCGTCCTTCTCTATTTCACCCAGTTCCAGACAAACCCAAGTCTTCCAAGTCTCTTCATATATCTGATCCAATAAAATCTATAATGAGTTCAGTTAGCATACACACACACACACACACACACCACACACACACAAGCACACAAACACACACACATGACTGCATTGAAATACTTGCTCTAGGGAAGGAACATAGTGTATATGCAACTTGTGTACTTTCTAAGTATGGGAAGACTAATCCTTTAACAACTGCATTTACTTTCTTTCACTTCTATCGTTGCTATCTACTCCTCAGAAATCTACTTAAACAACCAATAAATATATATGATGTTGTTATGAGAGTTTTGGAAATAATTCCTAAAAATTTGCATGGTTGCCTCTTTATATTTGGCAGCTTCTATCACCCATGGGAACAACCCCTACAGAATGATCAGAATATAAAGCATGTGAGCCCTGGGTTTCTCAGGCACTGGAAGGACCTGTCAGAATCCTCTCAGGTGGGTCAAAATGGCCAGGCTTTATAACCTCATCTCCATTCGTGTTTGCATGTCCAGTGCTCCAGGATGCCCTAACATTGAGCCAGACAATGGTTACAGCTGAGGCAAACTTTGAAGGAGCTGAGAGCTGAAGGCTGCTTTGTAATATTGCTCCTAGCAGCCAAGGGGGAAAGAAATCTTTTCTTGAAGAGCGATCTGTGTCCATAGCAAAATGTTTTTTTCTTAGCTCTTGTAAAATCGAAATTGTTTGCTTTTGAATTTTTTTAAATGATTCCTTTAAGATTCTTAATACCAAGATATCACAAGGTCAAGGAATTTTATAAAGAAGTATTTCTATTTATGTAATTTCCTAAATTTATCTATACACAAATCAGCACTAAAACATGCCTTTGATACTAACAACTTGATCGGTTTGTGAACCAAATCTGTCATGCAAATACATACGGCTGTTTTTAGATAAATTCTAAAGGTATTACCAAATCATTTAATTTTATTGTGTATCTCAATATTCTGGTTGATGTATAAGTTTAAATAGAACAAACTATTTGACATTGAAATGTTCTTTATCAAAGGAGAAGGAATACAATTTTAAAGCCACAACGAGTGACACATAGTTCTGAATGATTTATTGGCTGTCTGCCATTCTGAAATGGCTGCCAGTCAATGTTACATGTGACATCTTTCAGATAGTGTGAACTCTTTTATGCAAGCACCTTTCACTATAAAATTACAGCTGGAGATCATGAAGAGAAAAGTGTGGTGTTTATCTTAATGGGCTGAAAGACCTATTTCAACAGTTACAGTAATTCAGAAAAATAGTCTGAAGTCTAGTATTTCAATAATGTTATTTTCATAGATTTTAATCTCTAAAGACAATGCTTCACTTTTGTAGAAAATGACTTTTCTAATCATCCTGGATTTCAAAATTCTTTCCATTACTTAATATTTAAATCACTGGCAGAACTTGGCATGAGGACTAGAGAGCTGTCACCAAGCAGCCAGTCATTTTTCTTGGCTTCCCATATGCCATGCCCAGCAATAGAGCATTTCTTAGTAGCTGAGGAATAGCAGCAGTGCTAAACACAGAGATGACATTAACAGGAATGAGAGGGTCCAAGCTGTTTTCCTAGACTAATTCTCATTCAGCCTGAATTCAAAGCATTTTCCTATCATTATCATAGATATTTCGCTTGTGGTATTATCTATCTTTTGGCAATGTTGATTTTTTTCTGATTATCCAAATAAGTAATGTTAATGGAAAAAATCAGATATTAGGGGAAAAAAAACTCTAGAAATAAATGTTAACCCAAGACAATAACAATTCAATTAATTTATATGATACCTTAGGGATTGTGTCAATTATTTTTTAAATGAAATTCAAAAAATTCAACACCTGTGTTTTCTCCTACGATTACAAATTCAACTAGGGCACAATTGTAAATGGTTGTATTTGGTTGAATTTTTAGATTGTTTATAAGTTTTACTCTTGCAGACAATAATAATGGAGTTTCTTTGAAAATAAATTTAGTTGTTCTATAACCAAGGCATAAATATTCAATTCAATAAAATTAGCAAAAATATTAAATGAAAAGTATATTATATATAAAATGCATAAATAAAATATCCTGCACTGATCATTTTATGTCTATGGTTACCCTACTGATTCTGTGCACATTTGCATATGGGTATATATGCAATTTTATACAATGAAGTATTAATAGTGTACATAAATTTAGTAATTATTTTACCCCTTAAAAGTATATGCAATGAGTGTCACTTATATATAAATTCTGTTAACGTGGAAGAAGAATGTTAGTCAAAAAAACTACGAATTTAACAATTTTCTGGTTAATTCAAAGGGCTTTCCAAAAATGTCTTTTAAAATTCAATTTCATTTATTTTCTCATAGCAGAATATGAGAATGAATCTTTTTTGCTGCAAATTGGCTAGCAATAAATTTTTATTTTTATTATTTTAATTCTGTGAATTTCGGGAATGGAGTCTCATTCAGTATAAATATTATAATACTAATGAGATTGACTCCCTCCTTCTTAT
Source organism: Homo sapiens (assembly GCF_000001405.40). Classification (NCBI taxonomy): domain Eukaryota; kingdom Metazoa; phylum Chordata; class Mammalia; order Primates; family Hominidae; genus Homo; species Homo sapiens. The sequence continues at coordinate 69,683,794 of NC_000005.10, forward strand.
TAACAGTGTGCATTTTTACCCTCCGTGATTCAGTGCATGGTGTAGTGCTATAATTAAAAATGAACATTTTTTTTAAATTTTATTATTATTATATTTCAAGTTTTAGGGTACATGTGCACAATGTGCAGGTTAGTTACATATGTATACATGTGCCATGCTGGTGTGCTGCACCCATTAACTCGTCATTTAGCATTAGATATATCTCCTAATGCTTTCCCTCCCCCCTTCCCCCACCCCACAACAGTCCCCAGCGTGTGGTGTTCCCCTTCCTGTGTCCATGTGTTCTCATTGTTCAATTCCCACCTATGAGTGAGAACATGCGGTCTTAGGGTTTTTGTCCTTGCGATAGTTTACTGAGAATGATGATTTCCAATTTCATCCATGTCCCTACAAAGGACATGAACTCATCATTTTTTATGGCTGCACAGTATTCCATGGTGCATATGTGCCACATTTTCTTAATCCAGTCTATCATTGTTGGACATTTGGGTCGGTTCCAAGTCTTTGCTATTGTGAATAGTGCCGCAATAAACATACGTGTGCATGTGTCTTTATAGCAGCATGATTTATAGTCCTTTGGGTATATACCCAGTAATGGGATGGCTGGGTCAAATGGTATTTCTAGTTCTAGATCCCTGAGGAATCGCCACACTGACTTCCACAATGGTTGAACTAGTTTACAGTCCCACCAACAGTGGAAAAGTGTTCCTATTTCTCCACATCTTCTGCAGCACCTGTTGTTTCCTGACGTTTTAATGATTGCCATTCTAACTGGTGTGAGATGGTATCTCACTGTGGTTTTGATTTGTCCTCTCTCACCACTCCTATTCAACATAGTGTTGGAAGTTCTGGCCAGGGCAATTAGGCAGGAGAAGGAAAGAAAGGGTATTCAATTAGGAAAAGAGGAAGTCAAATTGTCCCTGTTTGCAGATGACACGATTGTATATCTAGAAAACCCCATTGTCTCAGCCCAAAATCTCCTTAAGCTGATGAGCAACTTCAGCAAAGTCTCAGGTTACAAAATCAATGTACAAAAATCACACGCATTTGTATACACCAATAACAGACAGTCAGAGAGCCAAATCATGAGTGAACTCCCATTCACAATTGCTTCAAAGAGAATAAAATACCTAGGAATCCAACTTACAAGGGATGGGAAGGACCTCTTCAAGAAGAACTACAAACCACTGCTCAATGAAATAAAAGAGGATACAAAGAAATAGAAGAACATTCCATGCTCATGGGTAGGAAGAATCAATATCGTGAAAATGGCCATACTGCCCAAGGTAATTTATAGATTCAATGCCATCCCCATCAAGCTACCAATGACTTTCTTCACAGAATTGGAAATAACTACTTTAAAGTTCGTATGGAACCAAAAAAGAGCCCGCGTTGCCAAGTCAATCCTAAGCCAAAAGAACAAAGCTGGAGGCATCACGCTACCTGACTTCAAACTATACTACAAGGCTACAGTAACAAAAACAGCACGGTACTGGTACCAAAACAGAGATATAGATCAATGGAACAGAACAGAGCCCTCAGAAATAACGCCGCATATCTACAACTATCTCATCTTTGACAAACCTGAGAAAAATAAGCAATGGGGAAAGGATTCCCTATTTAATAAATGGTGCTGGGAAAACTGGCTAGCCATATGGAGAAAGCTGAAACTGGATCCCTTCCTTACACCTTATACAAAAATTAATTCAAGATGGATTAAAGACTTAAACGTTAGACCTAAAACCATAAAAACCCTAGAAGAAAACCTACGCATTACCATTCAGGACACAGGCGTGGGCAAGGACTTCATGTCTAAAACACCAAAAGCAATGGCAACAAAAGCCAAAATTGACAAATGGGATCTAATTAAACTAAAGAGCTTCTGCACAGCAAAAGAAACTACCATCACAGTGAACAGGCAGCCTACAGAATGGGAGAAAATTTTCACAATCTACTCATCTGACAAAGGGCTAATATCCAGAATCTACAATGAACTCAAACAAATTTACAAGAAAAAAACAAACAACCCCATCAAAAAGTGGGCGAAGGACATGAACAGACACTTCTCAAAAGAAGATATTTATGCAGCCAAAAAACACATGAAGAAATGCTCACCATCACTGGCCATCAGAGAAAAATGAACATTTCAAAGATGTGCTTCCAAATGCCAAATCATCACTAAAAAGCTCTGTGGCATAGAGGAAATTTCACAACCTTTTAGCGCCTCAATTTTGTGGAAGAATGGTTAGGAGGCTATTGCAATAACAAAAGAAAATTTGAATAGCTGTATCCAACATGAAAAGATTGCTAGTAGAATTAAATGAGTTACTATAGGTAAAACAATCAGGGAAGTAATTAAAGAGAATCTGCACTAACATTGTTTTATTAATTTAAAATATCTGTACACAATCCTTTGACTCATTTGGAATTAGTTTTAGTGTATTTTAGAAAATAAGGTTTATTTTTTATTTTCTCCCAAAACAATTCTTCAAGACAACTTTTCGAACAGTAAATTCCTTCTTTGTTTATAATATGTATTTTAATAAAGTCACTTATCTTCATGATTTCTAGGACATCGGTTCTATCTAATCTATTGTTCAGCATTCGTCTGAGTATTTTCTGAGCAGCAATTAACCCCTCTGTACCTCTGAGTGCCCACATTTCCTTGATCCATTTCACCTTGCTGATCAATCCTTCTTTACTCATAGTCTAAATTTTTTTTTTAGAACTTCTGAGAGTGCCTCAAACCTTGGTCTTGGGTCTTCCTTCAATCTTATTTGTCTTTCCACCTGATCTTAATTATTTACATCACATTATACCCTATCTTTATGGTGACAAATCTCAAAATTATCTCTCTGACCTAAACTTATCATTAAAGATTTGGTTGCAACTTATTAAGAAGTCAGGTTCAATGTAATACATGCATTGTTGATTTAATATGCTCATCAAAATACTTAAAATTTTATTTGAATGCAAAAAAATAAAGCTTTTAATTTTATCTCCTATTTAATAATTTTGACAAAAACATTATACCAATCATTACTAATTATTGCTGGCTTTTAAAATATTATCTGATTAAATATTTTTGACTTGGAAAAATGGTAACAAATGCTTCTCTCTTTCTTGTCCCCTTGAACCATACTTGATATATTGCTTTTTCCAAATCCGGGCCACAAGTTCAGAATATAGCCTGTTAAAATATCTTCTATGTATAAACTATCTTTAAATTTTCTTGAGAGAATACTGAGTAACCAAAAGCATTGCTCCTTCACCCTACAAAAGAGAGAAAAATTAAAAAATCACATTAATTTGTAATTTTAAATGGTAATTAAAGCTATTGTGAGGGCTCTTTTATCGGCCAAACTTGTGAACAAAAAACAGCTCAAATTTATGTGTAAATAAAATATATTGAGATGAAGCCTTTCATTCAATGTGTGATTTTCAGTTCAAAAAAACACACTGATGTTCAAGAACAAAGACTGGTACAATAACTATCTACAAAATGCTTTTGTTACTAGATTTTAATTCCTTCATCAAACAGACACAGTCAAAGTTGATAGTGTCACTAGATCTAGAGGTCTATCAATATCCTTCCCACCATTTAATATGTTCTTAATCTCAGGGAAATTCTAAATCATATTCTTCTAAATTGTACAGTTGACTCCTGAAAAACACAAGGTTTAGGGCCATCAAACCTCCCTAACCCCTCCCCACCACCCCAGCACAGTCAAAAATTCACATATAACTTTGGACTCCCCAAAACTAAACTAACAGCCTACTGTTGACTGGACAATCCTTAACACATATTTCATACGCTGTATGTATTTTACAACGTAGTTTTACAATGAAGCTAGTTACAGAAAAGAAAGTGTTATTAAGAAAATTATAGGGAAGAAAAAATACGTTTACAGTACTACAGTATATTTATTTCTCTCATAAGTTTACAATCCTGTGTTTACAAGATGGATCCTTCTTCTGAAATGGCAGCACACACAGCTGCAGGCCTCAATCTAGGGTACCTATCAAGCAATTCATTGTTTTCCTGTAATGTCAGGACCCTTCTCTGTTTCCTGGAAGAACTTTCAGCATCACTAGCAGCACTTTTTATAGGTCTGAAGGTGTTATTCAAGGTTTATGGTATTGCACTAGACATCATGAATAATACAGGAGAAACATGAGAGAACACTTTTTACTGTGTTAATTTACTGGAGAGACAAGCTACTCACAAGAAGATGATTAGCATTATGTGGCATTTTAAGTGAATACTCACAACACTTGAGTTCACTGCAAGAACAACAGGTGGAGGCTAGGAAATTATCCCAGTAGTACAGTATGTACTACAGTTAATTTTGTGCAGTTATGATTTACTTTTGTATATTTTTGTTTTACTTTTCTCTAAACTTCAATTGGCTGCATGTATGCTCTGTGTTTGCCTACGTCTTGATAAATTTTAACTTTTTATAATAGACGCATATATATCTCATTGTATTAAATGATCACTAGTATCTACATATGATTTATGCATTCATGACATCGTTTTCTTAGTTTTTTAATATTTCTTGTGTAGATGGGTCACCTGTTATCTTTTTCAATTTTTCATAAATCTCCAAAAATTTTCTAATATATTTATAGGAAAAAATCTACATATGAGCAGACCTGCACAGTTCAAACCTGTGTTGTTGAGGAGTCAACTATATATTATAATTTAAGAGAGGATTCAACTCTTTCATTCTACTGGCAATGGGTTAACATAAACTTTAGTCAGAACTGCTGAGCTTTTCTGGCACAATGAGGACAAATTGACCAATGTATTTAACCAATAGCTGGGGGAAAATTTTGCTAAAATTGGTAAGTATATCTTTATATAACTATATCCTTACAACTTGTCTCAACCTTCGTCAGATTAATCCTAACAAAACTGTAAAATGTCTCAGTAAAAATCTAAATGAATTTTTCATAACAAGTGCTGGCAATAGATTTTAAATATGTTCTGATCATTATTTGTCTCTTGTTGGCATGGAGAAAATCCTTTTTTTTTTTTTCAGCCTGGGGAATCCCAAACTATATCTCTAGTAACAAGGAAACCATTTTACCGGAATTTTTATTAACATGGAAAAGTTCTGTCAATTAATCAGACTTCACTGTCCATATCACTTTCAACCTTTTGGGAAGGTAGAAAGATGGAATTCTGAAACTAAAGTTGGTAAAGTTCACAGACATCGTCAAACTTGCATGGTCTAAGGTATTTCTTCTTTCTGTGGTTCATGAGTTAGTAACAGCTAAACCAAGTGTCTAGGAATATTAGCTCTGATTCTAGAAATCTACACTTATTTAACTAAATGCTGTAAGGACTCAGGAAATCCATTCTTTCAACAAAAGTTACTGAAGACTTTCCCCATTAGTATCCTAAACAATGTCTGCAAAATTGGTTTTCATACCTGGATACCTTGTCTTCTAAGAGACACGGCAGGGAAAGATCATAGGAAAAAAGTCACTATCAGGCACAGCTAACAACTAGCAAACCCATAGTCTTTAAAAGACTGATCCTTTGATTCCTATCTCTCAAGTAAAGAGGTTTAGGTCATCTTCATATTACAGGAAAGTATCCCTACCAAAAACTTCTAACTAATGACTCTTAGGATTCTTCCAAAAGCAAATAGTCTTTGGGAGAAGACAGCTTCCATCAAATGCCTTTGGATCAAGTGAATCACTATATGAGATATCGGTATCTGCAAACCAAGATCCACAAAAAAAGATCCATTGTTTGTCATATTTAATCTGTATATCTTGAGTTTTCATTTTCCTAGTTAACTTTATCTTTTTATGCTTAAGGTTACATTTAATTATTTTACCTATAAAGCTACTATTCCTAATTCCTCTATGCCGTCCTTAGTCACTCTCTAGAAGAGTCCGGAAGCTGGCCGTAATTTGTTCACAATTTGGCTAAACATGCAGTTGAATCAGTGCTAAGCTGCACACATTTTCCTTAGGATGCCAATTAGAGTTTTTTTTTTTTAACATCGATTCCTAAATATGAAACATCTGGGTTTATCAATAATTGGACTCACTATTTATTGTTATTTTATCTGACAAACAGCAGAGTATTAGATAAATAGAAATCTTAAATCCTAACATGCTGCACCCAGGAAAGAAAGCTTATGCCTACAGCAGAACAGCACTTAGGGATCTTTAATAGAATGCAACTTCTGTCACTAAACCTTTAGAAAGAAATGTCTTAAAAAGAAGAGAACAAATGGCACATACTTAATTCATTTCTCACATTTACATATCATAAAAAATTCTTATTACATATTCAAGCTCCTATCACATCTACCTCTTCCTCTATGTGATAAGGTCTTCATTTTATATCCCCAAAAGTGATTAATAGCAGAATGGAGCTGAAAGCAATCAATAAACTCAATCAACCTTAATGACTGCTACTGGATTTGTGGTACCAGAACCTATTGATTATTACAGCAATCTTGACATAAACTAACATACTGATGTGGTAGTCAGAATAATGGCTCTTCAGAGATGATGCGGTCCTAATCCAGATAATTTATAAATTTGTTAGCTTACCTGGCAGGACAGACTTTGCAAATGCAATTAGAGTTAAGGATTTTGAAATGGAGAGACTATCATAGATTTTTAGATGGCCAAATGCAATCATAAGATTCTTTACACGTAGAAGAGGGAGATATAAAAGGAGAATGTGAAGACTTGCTCCTTCATTTGTAGCTTTGAAGGTCAAGGAAAGGAACTGTTATGAACTGAATATTTGTGTCTCCCTAAAATTAATCTATTGAAGATGATTGGCATTGTTCAAATATTAATAGATTATTTTCAATGATCTATTAATTGGCAGTGTGATAGTATCTGGAGATGGAGCTTTTGGGAGGAACCTAGGTTGAGATAATGTCCTAAGTGTGGTGTTCTCATGATAATGTTAGTGTTCTTATAAGAAAAGGTGGAGATACTAGACCACCTCCCACCCAACCACCCTTCTCTTTCTCTCTCCGTAAACATGTATCCAGGAAAGGCCATGTGAACACAGAGAGAAGGAGGCCATCTACTAACCAGAGAGGGAGTGGGCCCTCACCACGAACCAAATATACCAGCACCTTAATCTTGGACTTCCCAACTTTCAGAACTCTGAGAAATAAATGTCAGTTGTTTAAGTCACCCGGTCTATGGTATTTTCTTACAGTATTCCAAGCTGCCCAAGACAGGGAACATGCATCAAAGAATGCAGCTGGATTCTAAAGCCTGGGAAAGGCCAGGTCATGGATTATTCCACAGAGCCTATAGAAGGAATGCAGTCTTCCAATGCTTTGATTTTAAATCAGTAAGACCTGTGTTGAACTTCTAACCTGGAATACTGCTAGACAATAAATTTATGTTGTTTTAAACTACTAAGTGTATTGTGATTTTTATAACAGCCACAGGAAAATAATACATTTGGCAAATCAGTGCATGTTTCATGATGGTCAATGATATGCCCCAGGGTCCATCTTAGCCATGATTTCTATCCCTTCAAAAACCAAAACAAAATAAAAAAGTAAAACAAAAAGACCAATTTTACTATACTACTTGATTTTTAACAATATTTTATATGTATTTAATCCAGTATATCCAAAATATTGTCATCTCAGCATAAAACAATATTAAAATTATTCAGTTTTACATTTTTTAAACTAAATCTAGTTTGTATTTTACATATAGCATAAATCAATTCAAATCCACCATATTTCAAGTGTTCAATATCTACATGTCACTAGTAATGACTATAGTGGACAGAATTGATCCAGATTTCCAGGTGTATTGCTATAAAACTAACCATATTTTTATCTTATTAAAACAAAACAAAACTCCTCCATAACTATGTCTATGTTCCTTTTGCTTTTATTAACATTGAACATATTCTTGTTTTTAATCTAATTTTGTCTGTATTTAGGTCTATTTTTTGGTGGTGTTATTTCTTGTATGCTTGGCATCAACTTTTTTTTCAATTTCTTAGACTATCTAAACTATTATGCTCTGAGTTTAGCTCAATTTCAATCAGCTACTCACTTTGAAAGACTCATTTAACTCTCTTAAGCCATTCTCCACAAACATGAAAAATCTTCCTCTCACTCTTCCCTGCTGAAACACTGCAAAAGTATGTCAAAATGGTGTACTTTCTTGGCACAGGGTTTCAATAAACTTAGTTTTGCTTTAATAACAAATTATCTGAATATATTTCAGGGAGTTCCACTGGTAAAAGCATAAAATCATGTTAGTTCAGGTCATCTTTTGTAAAGTTATGACAGTGCCATAGTATCAATTCTTGTCAAAATTTATGACTTCAAAATCAACTTAATATGCATCAACATAGATATTTTTTAGTTAATTCTAGACTCCAGGTGCTCATTTAAATAATATGGGTACATAAGACTGAACAAAACCAGTTGCTATTGAATGTACATTTTAGAGAAATACTTCATACACAGCTGTGTTTTGTTAAATAAGGAACTTGATGACATAATCAATATCACGGCAGCATACAACTGTTTGGTTAGTATGTCTCTTTAAACAAGCACATATGCTCATTCATGGAGTGTGTATTTGTATCTGTGTATGGTCTGTGTGGTGAAGCAGCAAGCAACAGTTGGATGTCTTAATTATCTAACAGGAAAAAACACCTAAATAATCAGAAGAAATTTTGATTTATTTATTAGTTCGACTGAGCTTTTCTCTTGAATGTAACACAGATGGTCCCAGATTTACAATGGTACAACTTTACAGCTTTATCATGGTACAAAAGTGATAAACATTCAGTAGAAACAATGCTTTTATTACCCATATACCCATTCCGTTTTTCACATTCAGTATTTAATAATTTACATGTGATATTCAACACTTTATTTAAAAATAGGCTTTAGGTTAGATTTTTTTTTTGGACTGGCTAATGTAAGTGTTCTGAGCACATTTCTTAAGTGTATTTTTTTTTAATACTTTAAGTTCTAGGGCACATGTGCACAACTTGCAGGTTTGTTACATATGTATACATGTGCCATGTTGGTTTGCTGCACCCATTAACTCATTAACTACATTAGGTATTTCTCCTAATGCTATCCCTACCCATCCCCCCACCCCACAATAGGCCCCAGCATGTGATGTTACCCACTCTGTGTCCAAGTGTTCTCGTTGTTCAATTCCCACCTATGAGTGAGAACACACGGTGTTTGGTTCTCCGTCCTTGCGAAGGTTTGCTCAGAATGATGGTTTCCAGCTTCATCCACGTCACTACAAAGGACATGAACTCATCATTTTTTATGCCAGCATAGTATTCCATGGTGTATGTATGCCACATTTTCTTAATCCAGTCTATCATTGATGGACATTTCGGTTGGTTCCAAGTCTTTGCTATTGTGAAGAGTGCCGCAATAAACATACATGTGCATGTGTCTTTATAGCAGCATGATTTATAATGCTTTGGGTATATACCCAGTAATGGGATCACTGGGTCACATGGTATTTCTAGTTCTAGATACTTGAGGAATTGCCACACTGACTTCCACAATGGTTGAACTAGTTTACACTCCCACAAACAGTGTAAAAGCATTCCTATTTCTCCACATCCTCTCCAGCACCTGTTGTTTCCCGACTTTTTAATGATCGCCATTCTAACTGGTGTGAGATGCTATCTCATTGTGGTTTTGATTTGCATTTCTCTGATGACCAGTAATGATGAGCATTTTTTCATGTGTCTGTTGGCTGCATAAATGTCTTCTTTTGAAAAGTGTCTGTTCATATCCTTTGTCCACTTTTTGATGGCTTTGTTTTTTTCTTGTAAATTGGTTTAAGTTCTTTGTAGATTCTGGATATTAGCTATTTGTCAAATGGGTAGATTGGAAAAATTTTCTCCCATTCTGTAGGTTGCCTGTTCGCTCTGATGGTAGTTTCTTTTGCTGTGCAGAAGCTCTTTAGTTTAATTAGACCCCATTTGTCTATTTTGGCTTTTGTTGCCATTGCTTTTGGTGTTTTACACATGAAGTCCTTGCCCATGCCTATGTCCTGAATGGTATTGCCTAGGTTTTCTTCTAGGGTTTTTATGGTTTTAGGTCTAACATTTAAGTCTTTAATCCATCTTGAATTAATTTTTCTATAAGGTGAAGGAAGGGATCCAGTTTCAGCTTTCTACATATGGCTAGCCAGTACCATTTATTAAATAGGGAATCCTTTTCCCATTTCTTGTTTTTGTCAGGTTTGTCAAACATCAGATGGTTGTAAATGTTTAGCGTTATTTCTGAGGCCTCTGTTCCATTCCATTGGTCTATATCTCTGTTTTGGTACCAGTAAAATGCTGTTTTTGTTACTGTAGCCTTGTAGTATAGTTTGAAGTCAGGTAGCGTGATGCCTCCAGCTTTGTTCTTTTTGCTTAGGATTGTCTTGGCAATATGGGCTCTTTTTTTGATTCCATATGAACTTTAGTTTTTTCCAATTCTGTGAAGAAAGTCATTGGTAGCTTGATGGGGATGGCATTGAATCTATAAATTACCTTGGGCAGTATGGCCATTTTCACGATATTGATTCTTCCTACCCATGAGCATGGAATGTTCTTCCATTTGTTTGTGTCCTCTTGTATTTCGTTGAGCAGTGGTTTGTAGTTTTCCTTAAAGAGGTCCTTCACATCCCTTGTAAGTTGGATTCCTAGGTATTTTATTCTCTTTGTAGCAACTGTGAATGGGAGTTCACTCATGATTTGGCTCTCTGATTGTCTGTTATTGGTGTATACAAATGCATGTGATTTTTGCACACTGATTTTGTAACCTGAGACTTTGCTGAAGTTGCTCATCAGCTTAAGGAGATTTTGGGCTGAGATGATGGGGTTTTCTAAATATACAATCATATCACCTGCAAACAGGGACAATTTGACTTCCTCTTTTCCTAATAGAATGCCCTTTATTTCTTTCTCTTGCCTGACTGCCCTGGCCAGAACTTCCAACACTATGTTGAATAGGAGTGGTGAGAGAGGGCATCACTGTCTTGTGCTAGTTTTCAAAGGGAAAGCTTCCAGTTTTTGCCCATTCAGTATGATACTGGCTGCGGGTTTGTCATATATAGCTCTTATTATTTTGAGATATGTTCCATCAATACCTAGTTCATTGAGAGTTTTCAGCATGAAGGGCTATTGAATTTTGTCAAAGACCTTTTCCGCATCTATTGAGATAATCTTGTGGTTTTTGTCTTTGGTTCTCTTTATGTGATGGATTACATCTATTGACTTGCGTATGTTGAACCAGTCTTGCATCCCATGGATGAAGCCAACTTGATCTTGGTGGATAAGCTTTTTGATGTGCTGCTGGACTCGGTTTGCCAGTATTTTTGTTAAATGTACTAAATGCATTTTTTACCTAAAATATTTTCAACTTATGAGTATATCCAGATCCATCATAACACATCTTGGCCTGTGGTTATCAGGATGTAACTCATTATAAGTCGAGGTAGATTTGTATTATATCCCATGTACACACACACACACACACACACACACACACACACACACACACAGACTTAATCTGTTTACAGAAATAAAAGGAATAAAATACCGTTTCTATTATACACCAAAACTAGCCATCTTGACAGATACTTCACTCTGAAAAATAACGTTTTATAGCTACTTTACAGATTAGTATAATAATTTGGTGTTTCTGTTTCAGAGATTCGATTTCACATTTCAATAAGTAGGCCGCTCCCTCTGCTAAGCCTGGGAATGTAATTCTTTTGAAAAACTATCTGTGCTGTAAAATTACATGTCATATTGGGAAAAGGACAATCGCAAACAGTAGTCACACATAAAATCAAGCAACACAGACATCCTTTTCACATACAGTGAAGACCCTTGTCAATTTTGAGATTACACAGGAAAACAGAATGGGGGACAAGTGTCTCTGACACATAGAAAATCCCGTGAAGAAGAACTCAGCTGACACAATCAAAACATACACAAAACTGAAAGAAACAAGGTGAGTGCTTTTTATATTAGTTCAGCTGTCAAGAAAGTGTAAAATAAACCTAACATTTTTTTACTAAGTGAGGATTTTCTTTTTTGAAACATCATCATTTATATTTATCCAGTTTGCAACTTCATCAGCTGAATCTCAGGATGCGTTCCATGACACTGAAGGACAATTAAATCATATCCATGACAATATATGAGAAGCTGACAGGAGAACATGGTGGCATTTGAATTAATGTCTATCATTAGATAGAATTTCTGATCACATAATTTAAGTTGTAGTTTTCCATACAATTTAATCAAGATAAGCACTTATTAGGTGAGTGATATACTTTGGCTCTGTGTCCCCACACAAATCTCATGTTGAATCGTAATCCCCACGTGTCAGGGGAGGGGTCTGGTAGGAGGTGATTTGATCATGGGGGTGGATTTCCCATACTGTTCTCGTGACAGTCAGTGAGTTCTCACAAGATCTGATGGTTTAAAAGTGTGTGGAACTTCCCCCCGGCTCTTCTCTCTACTGACACCATGTGAAGAAGGCACCTGCTCCCCCTTTACCTTCTGCCATGATTGTTAGTTTCCTGAGGCCTCCCAGTCGTGCTTCCTGTTAAGCTTGCAGAACTGTGAGTCAATTAAACCTCTTTTCCTCATAAATTACCCAGTAGTTCTTTATAGCAGTTTGAGAAGAGATAGATACAGAAAATTGGTACCAGAGAAGTGGGGCATTGCTATAAAAATACCTGAAAATATGGAAGTAACTTTGGAACTGGGTAACAGGCAGAGGTAGGAAACAGTTTGGAGGACTCAGAAGAAGACAGGGAGATATGGGAAAGTTTAAATCTTCCTAGAGACCTGTTGAATGGTTGTGAACAAAATGCTGATAATGATTTGGATAATGAAGTCCAGGCTGAGGGGGTCTCAGATGGAGATGAGGAACTCATTGAGAACTGAAGAAAAAGTTACTCTTGCTATGCTTTAGCAAAGAGACTGACAGCCTTTTGACCCGGCCCTAGAGATCTGTGTAATGTTGAACTTCAGAGAGATGATTTAGGGTATCTGGTGAAACAAATTTCTAAGCAACAGACCTTCCAACATGTGGCCTGGCTGCTTCTAAAAGTTTATGCTCATGTCCATGAAGAAAGAGATGGCTTGAAACTGAAACGTATATTTAAAAGGAAAGCAGACCATAAAAGTTTGGAAAATTTGCAGCCTAACCATATAGTAAAAAAGAAAAACCCACGCTCTTGGGAGAAATTCAAGCAAAAATTTGCATAAGTAAAGAGGAGCCAAATGTTAATGGCAAAGACAATGTGGAATACGTCTCCAGTACATTTCAGAGACCTTTGAGGCAGCCCCTCCCATTATAAGCCTGGAGGCCTAGGAGGGAGAAATTGTTTAGTGGGATGGGCCCAGGGCCCTGCTGCTCTGGGCAGCCTCGGGACATGGTGCCCAGTGTTCCAGCTGCTCAGCTCCAACTGTGGCTAAAAGGGTCCAAGGCACTACTCAGGCCATTGCTTCAGAGAATACAAGCCTCAAGCTTTGGTGGCTTCCACATGAGGCTGGGCCTGTGGTTGTGCAGAAGGGAAGAGGTGAGGTTTGGGAACCTCCATCTAGATTTCAGAGGATGTATGGAAATGCCTGGATGTCTAGGCAAAAGTCTGCTGCAGAAGTGGAGCCCTTATGGAGAACCTCTACTAGGGCAGTGCAGAGGGAAAATGTGGGGTTGGAGCCCCCACACAGATTCCCCACTGGGGCACTCCCTACTGGAGCTTTGAGAAGAGGGTCATAGTGCTTCAGACCCCAGAATGGTAGATCCACTGACAGCTTGCACAGTGTGCCTGGAAAAGTCACAGGCACTCAATCCTAGCCTGTGAAAGCAGCTGTGGGGGCTGTGCCTTGCAGAGCCACAGAGGCAGAGCTGTCAAAGCTCATGGGAGCCCAGATATTGCATCAGTATGCTCTGGACGTGAGAGATGAGGTCAAAGAAGATTGTTTCAGAGCCTTAAGATTTAATGACTGCCTTGTCGGGTTTTGGACTTGCATGGGGCCTGCAGACCCTTTGTTTTGGCTAATTTCTCCCTTATGGAATTGGAGTGTTTACCTGATCCCTGTACCCCCACTGTTGTCTTGAAATTAACTAACTTGTTTTTGATTTTACAGGCTTATAGGCAGAAGCGATTTGCCTTGTCTCAGATGAAACTTTGGACATGGACTTTTGAGTTAATGCTGGAATAAGTTAAGACTTTCAGTCTGTTGGGAAGGCATGATTGGTTTTGAAATGTGAGAAGGACATGATACTTGGGAGGGGCCAGAGGAGAAATAATATGGCTTGGCCCTCTGTCCCCACCCAAATCTCATCTCAAATTGTAATCCCCTCATGTCAAGAGAGGGGCCTGGGTGGAGGTGACTGGATCATGGGAGCAGATTTCCACATGCTATTCTCATGATAGTGAGTGAGTTCCAAGAGATCTGATGGTTTAAAAGTGTGTGGCACTTCCCTCCTTGTGCTCTCTCTCTCCTGGTGCCATGTCAAGAAGAACCTTGTTTCCCCTTTGCCTTCCACCATGATTTTCTGAGTTTCCTGAGTCCTCCCATTCATGCTTCCTGTAAAGCCTGAAGAACTATGAATCAATTAAATCTCTTTTCTTCATAAATTACTCAGTCTCAAGTCATTCTTTATATCATTGTGAAAACTGACTACTACGGTTAGCAATCTTAAAGAATACTTGTGATTTTGAGAATCAGGCACATATTTTTTTAATAATCGGACTGCTTATAATTGTTTAACTCCTTGCAACTTATAGTTAGTGCCTAAAACTTTGATGACTTTCATTACATTTCAATGGCTCTGTTCCCTTATAGCAAACTACCTTTTTTACTGTACTTACTGTAACTACAGTGCATTTATTTTCAGCCCAAATAGTATTCAGTAATAAGCATTTCTTCCCACATAAGAATAAGTTATATTCCTATTCACTATATTCTAGAATTTCTATTTTCCTTCCACAGTGCCAGCTAAAATTAAAGTGGAATAATCTATTGGGGCCCTGTGTATTTAATGTTTGTTTTCTTAGTATATTATAAACACTGTGAAGGAAGGAAATCCTTGCCTCTTGTTTATACTTTTATCTCCATTATAGAAACACTCTGCATTATTTTCTTACTGCTGCTGTAGCCAATTACTACAAAGTTAGTGGTTTAAAATAGCACAAATATAGTGTCAAACAATTGTGTTTGTCAGATGTCTGCAATGCATCTTATGAGGCTAAAATCAAAGAGTGAGAACTGTTGTGTTCCTTTCTGAAGGTTTTAGGGGAAAATCAGTTTCCTTGACTTTTCCAGCCTCCAGAGGCTGTCCTGATTTGTTAGCTTATGGTCTTTCATTTGTTCAAACCAGAAATGCTGTGTCTCTCTGACCATTCTTTTGAAATCATACCACCTTATGTTTCTAGCCAAGAATGTTTCCCTAGTTTAAACCCATTTGATTACACTGAACTCAAAAGGACACTTTTTCATCTTACCATCCTTAACATTATAATACTTGCAAAGCCCCTTTTACCAGATAGTTAACATATTCACAGCTTCCAGAAATCAGGACATGCGGTTTTTTTTTTGTTGGTTTGTTTGTTTTGTAAACCATTATTTTGCTTACTATACTGTCTTAATTGGAGGAAGCAACTTCTTCGAATAGGTGAATTAATTTCAAATTGATAATGTGATTCTGAATGAACATTAAAGAAATCAACTATTACACCGAACATTACTTTATTGAGCTAAACAAATATTAACTGACTATATAAAATTCATTACACATTTGGAGATAGAATTTTGTACTCTTTAATAAGACTTTTTACATTTTTTGCAATCCTTTTTCTTATTTAAAAAATCAGTACTGTATTAGTACCCACAATATAAGTTTGTTCTAAGAATCAAATGAGATAAACATTTCAGACACCTATCATAGTATCAAGTTCATATCGTAAGCCTAAAATACCAGATGACTTTTATTATTTTCAGAATGTAGTCAAAATCAACATAAAGTTACATTAACACTTGGTTTACTGTATCATAATGCTAGCTTTGTGTCATATCTATCTAGAGAGTACACTGAATAGCTTAAACCAAGTAGAAGGTGATTTCTTGCTTACATAACAGTTTACCATAAGTAATTTTGGCTAAAGACGCATCTTTCCTGCAAAAAATAATTCAAGTTAACGAAGGATCTACTATTACCAAATTGTATCTTCCCAGATTACTTTGTATATATCACCATTCCAGAAGACAAAAGACTACTCATGAAATACAATTTGCACACTTCTTTATATATGAAAAATTCACTTTTCTTCCCTCTGTAAACAACTTAAAGTTTTGCCCAGTTACTGCCTACAACTTAGAGTTCAGGATGTTTCATGACGTGCAGTTCTCTCCCTCAGGCCACTATATGACTTAACGAGGACTAGTGTCCTATAAAGTCAAAAGACAAATTATCTGTAAAATCTAAGTTACCATGGTGAAGCTCCTATCAGAAGACAAAGAAGTCTGCAGAGCACTGACAAAAATATTTCTGAGCAGTACAAATATTTATTTGATGAAACCATAAACATGTCCTGTGGAAATAACTTTAAGGTCCATTGTCCCTGTGGCTCATAGATTTACTTTCTGAGGTAATTTACATTTTCTCTTATTCTCCATGCCTCCATCTTAAATTAGAACAATGAGTGTTTTCTCAGCATGACTAATCAATTGCACTGATTAGTGCAATTTGGGATGCTTGAGGATATTTTAAGCCTTAATTTTTTTTTCTCACAATAGGCTTATTGTACCTTTGCCAAGTAGTTACGTGGAAACCATTTATTTATTTATTGGATCTAGTTTATAACCAAACATACAGTTCTTTCCTAGGTATAATTCTAAAGTCTGCCTCATTTCCTTCTTTTTTCTCCTCCCCAACACACATATGCTTCTCTGACTGTAAAGATGACCACTTTAAGGTCATTTGAAATCATAGACTTGAAAGAGAAAACAACTTCCCTGATGAGTTCTTTGCTTCAGGGCTGGGTTCCTTGTTTTTTATGAACACAGTAGGATTTAATTTCTGAGCAGCTTTTTCAACCTAATCAGAAAAACCTGAGCTTTTCTGTCACTGTATAATTCCACCATTACTAGACTTTTTGTTTACAAGTGGTTTCCAACAAGGAATGACTTTGTTTCCATAGAACACTTGTCAGTGTCTGGAGACATTTTGAATTATAATGATTAGGTGGTGATGCTACTGGTATGTGGTGGTATAGCCTAAAGATACTATTAATATCCTACAATGCAAAGAATAACCTCCCACAGAATGCAGGAATATCAGGCATAAAATGTCAATAATGCTAAGGTTTAGCAACTCAACTCTATCCACTTTCTTTCCACTCTAAAGACAGGATATTTCTTTTTTCTTTTTTTTTTTTTTTTTTTTTTGCCTGTGTTTATCTATTTCTTGGATTATGGAACAGAACAAACATGAACACATTACCTTTTGCCTTTCCTCATTTCCCACACTCTTTCCTAGAGGTAATATTAAGCTTCCAATTAATTTTAGATGGTAGTTTCAATAATTTTTTTTCACTGGGTATTACAAGTCTTCATTTCAACCCTCTGAGTTTGGTTTACTTGTCCATTTAATACTAATTTAGTGGATACGTTTTAGGTGCTGTTATGGCAGACCCAACTCAAGCTGGTGATTTCTATATTACTTGGAATCGTGCTAGTTGCTTTGACAACTACACTCAACAACATATAATATCTTAAACAGAACAGAAGTTTCATTCATATAAACTGTTTTTTTAAGATAGGAAAAGCATTGCTCCTTTATGTCCGCATTCAAGAACATAGGCTACTAAGGTATTTAATCTGCAGTATGTTGCTTCCAAGACTACTGTAGAATTGGCCGTTCCAGTCAAGCATACTGAAAAACGTATACAGAAGAGTGCATGTTGGGATTTTGGAGACTAAATTGGATATAAAATATGTTATTTCTACTAATTTTCCACTATTTTGACTTTAATCCCATGCCCTAATATAAAGTATATAAGAATGAGAAACATAGTTTATGTATCTATCAAAATAGAACATAAATGTTTGTGAACATTTGAATCTGTCAGCTTCTCTTGCTCACGTGCCTGTAGTGCCTGTACTCAGGATGCTGAGGCAGGAGAATCGCTTGAACCCAGGAGGTGGAGGTTGCAGTGAGCTGAGGTCACACCACTGCACTCCAGCCTGGGCAACAGAGCGAGACTCCATCTCAAAAAAAAAAAAGAAGTGACTCAACTGATTGATGTGTAAAACCTCATTGTAAAATAATGTTCTGTAAATGAGACATTAATACAGTTAAATTTTTGGATTAAAAAAGTCTGCCACTTTGTGAATATGTTTTATTTAGGCTTGATTTAGTTAATTTTCTTTTTTCTTTTTCTTTTTCTTTTTTTTTTTTTTTTTTTCTGAGGAGTTTCACTGTTGCTGCCCAGGCTGCAGCGCAGTGCTGGGATCTCGGTTCACTGCATCCTCCACCCCGCCAGTTCAAGTGATTCTCCTGCCTTAGCCTCCTGAGTAGCTGGGATTACAGGCACCCACCCACCACCATACCCGGTCAATTTTTTGTGTTCTTAGTACACATGGGGTTTCACCATGTTGGCCAGGATGGTCTCGAACTTCAGACCTCAGGTGATCCGCCCACCTTGGCCTCCCAAAGTGCTGGGATTACAGGCATGAGCCACCGCACCCAGCCAGTTAATTTTTCTATTAACTAAGACCTAATTAAGATTGAGGCAGAAGAAATGGGTCCTTGGGATTTGAAAATTACTATTCAATTTGGAAGTTTAATTTGCAACATAGATTGTCTGTTATTAAATTACTAGATATAATATCACAAAGGTGGAAAGAAAGGTTGCTTAGTTAAAGATCTAAGTTACTAGTCATGGTGTCAGATATAGAGAATGATTGAAGGTTATCAGAGTCACACACCAGATGAGTAAATTGTTGTTTTCAAGGAAGAGGTTACATAAAGGTAAGCGGAGTAATATTTCAGCATTTTTGTTAATTAAAAATTTGTAAAGTTATTTCCATTTCAAGGAAATTACTCTCAGTAATTTTACGGGTAAAATGACAAATTCCAAGTTTAATTTTCTCATGTAACACCCTCCTTGAGCACTTATTTTTATAAAGCTATTAATCTATTTTGGTCTCAATTTACCTTTCTTTAAAGAGATTTTAAAATTTTCTGAAAGAAGTTGACATCTGGAAGTGTAGCTGTTATATTTTTCCATTTTTAATTACATATTTAATTATCCTTTAATTACTTAAGGTTATTCTCAAAAGTGAAGAGATAGCTGGGATCACACTGCGTAAGATTTTACTCCTGAATGTAATATTCAAAAATGTTACAAAGTCTATCAAAGAGGTTTTCATTCTGTGACAATACATGGTCAATTTGACATGGTCAGGAAGCACCACCCCCACTGAGAGATACCAAATTATGGAGTAAACCACCGTAATTTAGGCAGATCTTGAGAGAGAAAATGCTGAGTGGATGCAGAGGCAGCAATGAAGCTGAGCTGAAGAGGGAGGAAGCCTGTGCAGGGAACCCAAACACTACAGCTAGTTCCCCAGAATGGCTCCTAGGAAAGGGCCTCTGCCTGAGAGAGACCTGTGGCCTAGAACACCTAACACAAGAAACACAGTGATTGCAGGAGACTCCCCCAGGGCCCAGGAGCACATCTGGTGATGGAGGCATCTCTCCCACCCCCACTATAGAGCACACCTGCAAACAAAAGGAAGTATAAAACAGCCATGCCACTGGGTATTAGGCTAGCCACTGGCCATCACTCTTAAGCACTATGCATTGGATCACATCCCAAACTACAACATCAAAATTTATCCTGCTACATATACACCTGTGAAACCAAACACAAGAATTACTCATACATAAAAATCCTGGACAGAGAAAGCCCTGACCCTTTGAAAGCATCCAGAAACAAAACCAATTGCCTATACTCAACATACACTACAGTTAAAGGAACACTAACCCTACCAGAAGAGAAAAAATCAGTGCAAGAACTCTGGCAATTCAAAAAGCTAGAGTGTCCTCTTACCTCAAAATTAGCCCACTAGCTACCAAGCAATGGTTCTTAATCAGTCTAAAATAATTGCAACAGACATAGAATACAGAACCTCGATGGCAGGGAAGCTCATGAACATTAAGGAGAAAGTTGAAACCCTAGCCAAGTAATCCAGTAAAGCAATCTAAGTAAGTGCTGAAAGATGAAATTGCCATTTTAAACAACAGCCACACTGAATTTCTAGAGCAGAAAAAATTCAGTATAAGAATTTTATAATACAGTAAGAAATATTAACAGAAGGTAGGCCAAGCTAAGGAAAGAATCTCAGAGCTCAAAGACTGGTTCGTTGAATCAACTGAGTCAAAAGAAAATTTTAAAAAAGAATTAAAAAAAGAAAATGAACCAAAGCTTTAAGAAATATGGAATTATATAAAGAGACCAAATCTACGACTCATTGTCATTCCTAGAAGAGAAACAAAGAGAAAAGGCAACTTGGAAAATAGATTTGAGAATAGAGTCTATGAAAATTTTCCTAACCTCGCTAGAGAGAGTGACATGTAAATCCAAAAAATACAGCAAACCCAGCTAGGCACTATAAAAGGTGACTATCCCTAAGGCACACAGTCATCATATTCACCAAAGTAAATACAAAAGAAAAAAAAAATCTTAAAGGCAGCTAGAGAGAAAGGTCATGTTTTCATAAAGCAAGAACTCCACTAGGCTAGTAGTAAATATCTCAGCAAAAACCTTACAAGCCAGAAGAGATTAAGGGCCTATGTCCAACATCATTAATGAAAATAAATTCCAGGCAATAATTTTATATTTCACTAAACTAAACTTCCTAAGTGAAGAAGAAACAAATTTCTCCTCAGATAAGCAAATACTGAGGGAATCAATTTCAACTTGACCAGCCTTATGAAAGGTCCTTAAGGGAGTGCTATACATTGAGTAAAAAGAATGACACCTGCTACCACAAAAACCCACTTAAGTACATAGCTCACAGGCACTATAAAGTATCTACACAATCAAGTCTACCTAAAAACCAGCTACAAACGTGATGATAGGATCAAAATCTCATGTATCAACATTAACCATAAATGTAAATAGGCTAAACACCCCCACTTAAATGACATACAATGGCAAACTGGATAAAAATGCAAGGCTCACCATCTGCAGTCTTCAAGAGACTCACCTCATATGTAATGACAGCCACTGGCCCAAAATAAGGGGATGGAGAAAATCTGCCATGCAAATGATAACAAAAAAGCAGGAGTAACTATTCTTATATCAGATAAAACAGACTTTAATCAAAATTAAAAAGAACAATTGAAGAATGAAGAGCATTATGTCATGAGAAAGTATATGATCAAACAAGAATACTTAAGTACCCTAAATATAAATGCACCCAACATGGAGCACCCAGATTCATAAAACAAGTTCTTTTTGGACTACAAAAAGACAGACGACCACCCAATAACTGTAGGAGACTTCAACACCCCCGCTGGCAGCACTGGATCATCAAAGCAGATAACTAAGGAAGAAACTGTGTACTTAAACTTCACCCTTGACCATCTGGACCTAATAAGACATCTACAGAACACTCCACTCAATAACCACAGAATATACATTCTTCTCATCTGCACAGGGAACATATTCTAACATTGACCACATGCTTGGTCATAAAGCAAGTCTGGATAAATTTTAAAAAATGAAATCATATCAAGCACACTCTTAGATCTCAATGTAATCAAAATATAAATAAATACCAACATCTCTCAACACTACACAAATAGATGAAAATTAAACAACTTTCTCCTGAATAACTTCTGTGTGAAAATCAAAATTAAGGGAGAAATTTTAAGAAAGTGAAATTAATGAAAATGGGAACACAAATTACCAAAATCTCTGGGATGCAGCTAAATCAGTGTTAAGAGGAACGTTTAAATGCCTTTATCATAAAGTTAGAAATACTTCAAATTAACAATCTAACACTACACCTAAAGGAACTAGGGAAGAAAAAAAAAAGAACAACCCTACATCAACGCTAGGAATGAAAAGAAACAACTAAAATAGAGAAGATCTGAATGAAATTGAGATGCAAAAATCCATACAAAAGATTAATGAAACCAAGAGTTGATTTAAAAAAAGAGATTGATAGACCTTTAGCTAGATAAACAAAGAAAAAAAAGAGAAGATCTAAATATATAAATCAGAATGACAAAAACGACATTAAAAATGGTCCCACAGACATACAAAATAATCCTCAGAGAATACTAGGAATAACTCTAGACACAAAAATTAGAAAATCTAGAGGAAATGGATAAATTTCTGAAAACAGGCAATCTTCCAAGATTGAATCAGGAAGATACTGAAATACTGAAGAGACCAATATGAAGCTCTGAAATTGAATAAGTAATAAAAAATCTACCAAGCCAAAAAGCCCTGGACTATATGGATTCACAGCAAAATTCTACCGGAAGTATAACGAAGAACTAGTACAATTCTACTGAAACTATTCCAGAAAAGTTGAAGAGAACGTACTCCTTCCTAACTCACGCTGTGAAGCCAGAAGCAGCTTAATACCAAAACCTGGCAGAGACGCAAAAAAAAAGAACATTCAGGTGACCACTGTTGACGAACATAGACTCAAAAATTCTCAACAAAGTACTAGCAAACTGAATCCATCAGCAGCATATCAAAAAATTAATCTACTATGACAATACAGGCTTTATTCCTGGGATGCATGGCTGGTTCAACATATGCAAATCAATAAATGTGATTCACCAGATAAACAGAATTAAATCAAAAACCATATGATCATCTCAACGGATGCCGGAAAAGCTTTCAATTAAATCCAGTGTCCCTTCATGAAAAAACAAAACAAAAAAAAACCCTCAACAGTTGAGGCTTCAAATAAGCATACTTCAAAATAAAAAAGAGCTATCTACAACAAACCCACAGCCAATATAATACTCAATGGGCAAAAGCTGAAAGCATTCTCCTTTAGAAATGAAACAAGCCAAGGACATCCACTCTTACCACTCCTATTCAACATAGTACCAGAAATCCTAGTCAGAGCAATCTTGCAACAGAAAAAGAGAAAAGCACCCAAATAGGAAGTGAAGATTAAGGCAAACTATCTGTCTTCACCCAACAATATCCTTCTATACCTAAAAAACCTTAAAGACTTCAACAAAAGTCTACTAGAAATGATAAAGGATTTTAGCAAGGTTTCAGGATACAAAATCAATGTACAACAATTAGTAGCATTTCTATACAACAACAACATCCAGGTTGAGAGTTAAATTAAGAACACAATCATATTTACAACACCTAGGATGAAAATAAAATCCCTGCAAATACAACTAACCTAAGATGTGAACGATCTCCACAAGGAGAATTACAAAACACAGCTGAAATCTGAAGCTGGATGCAGTGGTTCATGCCTTTGGGAGGCCGAGGCAGGTATATCGCTTGGACCCAGGAGTTTTGAGACCAACCTAGGCAACATAGTGGAACCTCATCTATACAAATTTTTTTTTTTTTTTTAAATAGCGAGGCATGGTGGCACATGCCTGTAGTCCTAACTACCCTGACGGCTTGAGGCCAGGAGTTCAAGCCTGCAGTGAGCTATAATAACTCCACTGCATTCCAGCCTGGGTGAAAGGGTGAGACTCTGTCTCAAAAAAGGAAGGAAATAAGAAAAGGAAGGAAGGATGGAAGGAAGGGAGGAAGGGAGGGAGGGAGGGAAGGAAGGGAGGAAGGGAGGGAGGGAGGGAGGGAGGGAGGGAAGGAAGGAAGGAAGGAAGGAAGGAAGGAAGGAAGGAAGGAAGGAAGGAAGGAGATTTTGATAACACAAATAAATGGAATAACATTCCATGTTTACAGATTAAAAGAATCAATATGTTAAAATGGCCACACTGCCCAAAGCAACTTGTAGATTCAAGGCTATCTCCATGAAACTACCAACATCATTCTTCACAGAATTAGAAAAAACTATTCTAAATTTATATGGAACACCCCCAAAAGCCAGAATGGCCAAAGCAATTCTGAGCAAAAATAATAAAGCCAGAGAGGCGTCATACTACCCAATTTCCAGCTATACTATAAGTGTACACTAACCATGATACTGTTACAAAAGCAGACACTTAAGCCAATGGAACAGAATAGAACACTCAAAAATAAAGCTGCACACTTACCACCATCTGGATCGTGGACAAGGCCAACAAAAACAAACAATGGGGAAAAGGCACCCTATTCAATAAATGGTGCTGGGATAATTCGCTAGCCATAAGCAGAAGAGTGAAACTGGATGCTTACCTTCCACCATACACACAAATTAATTCAAGATGGATTAAAGGTTAAAATGTAAGACTTCAGATTATGAAAACTCTAAAACAAAACCTAGGAAATATTTTTCTCGACATTGGCCTTGGCAAATAATTTTTGGCTAAGTTTCTAAAAACAATTGCAACAAAAACGAAACTGACAAGTGAAAGTCAATCAAACTAAAAAGCTTCTGCACAGCAATAGAAACTATCCACAGAGTAAACAGACAACTTACAGAATGGGAGAAAATATTTGCAAACTATGCATCTGATAAAGATCTAATATAACAAATCCATAAGGAAGAAAAAATGACAAGCATAAAACAACCCCAGTTAAAAAGGGCAAAGCTAATACAGGAGCAGAAAATCAAACTCCGCATCTTCTCACTTATAAGTGGGAGCTGAACAATGGGAACACATGGACACAGGGAGGGGAACAACACACAATGGGGAACAACACACAACACACACTATAATTTTCTGTAGGGGGTTGAGGAGAGGGAGAGCATCAGGAAAAATAGCTAATGCATGCTGGGCTTAATACCTAGGTGATGGGTTGATAGGTGCAGCAAACCACCACCACACACGTTTATCTATGTAACAAAACTGCGCTTCCTGCACATGTACCCCAGAACTTAAAATTTAAATCAAGAAAAGGCAAAGGACATGAACAGATATTTTCTCAAAAGAAGACACTCAAGTATATGAAAAAACACTCATCCTTACTAATCATCAAATAAATAAATGCAAGCAAAAACCACAGTAAGATGCCATCTCACATCAGTCACAACAGCTATAATTAAAAAGTAAAAAAATTAGATGTTGGCCAGGCTGCAGAGTAAAGGGAATGCTTATACACTACTGTTGATGGAAATGTAAACTGGTTCAGGTACTGTGGAAAGTATTTTGGAGATTTCTCTAAGAACTTAAAACAGAGATACCCTTCGACCCAGCATTCCCATTACTGGGTATATATTCAAAGGAAAATAAATTATTCTACCAGAAAAATATACATGCACTCGTACGTTCATCAGCATGTTATTCACAATAGCACAGACATGGAATGAACCTAGGTGCCCATCAAAGGTGGATTGGATAAAGAAAATGTGGTACATATACACTATGGAATACTATGCCTCCATAAAAAAGAATGAAATTATGTCCTTTGCAGCAACATGGATGGAGCTAAGGACATAATCCTAAGCAAATTAGTGCTGGAAAAGAAAACCAGATACCACACATTCTCACTTATAAGTGGAACCTAAACACTGAGCACACAGGAACATTAACATGGGAACAAGACATGCTGCAGGCTACGGGGGTGGGGGAAAGAGGGGAGCATGGGCTGAATAACTACCTACTGGGTACTATGCTCACTACCAGGGTGCACTGTACAAAAGTAACAAATCTGCATATGCACTATCTGTGTCTGAAAAAAACTGAAATTATAAAAACCAAGAGAATATGTTTCTAATGAACGTAGACTTTATTTGATGGACTGGATTAGAATATAATTTTTTTTAAGGGGAAAGGCATTGGGGGATGCACAATGTCTACAGGTTTCTAAACCTCTCTGGTTTCTCACCTAATTCATAGTCTCTTATGTCATTTTCATAGTTTTCATATTCTGCCTTTCCACCTCTTCTTTTTAACAAGTAAAATTCCTCATAGCATACAAAAAAACAATTTTATAAAAAACCCATATTATAGATCAGGGACCTGTGGATTATATGCTATTAGAACTATACAAAATGTCTCTATATAGTTTTCTGTATCTTTGGAATATCTTTGGGTGAAGCTGCAGACCTTCTCGGTGAGTGTTACAGCTCTGCGCAGAGCCAAACAGTGAGCAGCAGCAAGACTGCAAAGAGCAAAAGAACAAAGCCTCCACACTGTGGAAAGGGACCCTAGCACGTTGCTGTTGCTGGCTCTGGCAGCTGCTTTTATTCCCTTATCTCACCCCACCCACATCCTGATGATCGGTCCATTTCATAGAGAGCTGATGGGTTCATTTTACAGAGAGCTGCTTGGTCTGTTTACAATCCTTTAGCTAGACACAAAAGTTCTCCAAGTCCCCACCAGATTAGCTAGACACAGAGCACTGATTAGTGCGTTCACATACCTTGAGCTAGACACAGCATGCTGATTGGTGCATTTACAATCCTCCAGCTAGACGTAGTAAGTTCTCCAAGTACCCACCGGACTCAGGAGCCCAGCTGGCTTTGCCTAGTGCATCCCGGCCGCGGGCGGAGCTGCCCGCCAGTCTCTGGCGCGCTGCCGCACTCCTCAGCCGTTGGGCGGTTGACGGGACCGGGTGCCGCGTAGCAGGAGGTGGCGCCCGTCCCCTCGGGGTGGCGCGCGGGAGCCTGCGGTTGGGGGGCGGGGGGCGGGGGGCGGGGGGCAGGGGACGGGGGCGGGGAGGAGGGTGAGGGCTCCAGCATGGCAGGCTGCAGGTCCCGAGCCCTGCCCCCTTGCCCCGCGGGGAGGTGGCTGAGGCCCAGCGAAAATTCGAGCGCGGCGCCGGCGGGCCATCACTGTTGGAGGACCCAGTGCACCCTCCGCAGCTGCTGGCCCGGGTGCTAAGCCTCTCACTGCCCAGGGCCGGCGGCGCCAGCCGACCGCTCAACAGTGCGGGGCGCGCCGAGCCCGCGCCCACCCGGAAGTCGCGCTGAGCCCGCGCCCACCCGGAAGTCGCGCTGGACCTGCGAGCACCGCAGGCAGCCCAGGTTCCGGCCCGCGCCTCTCCCTCCACACCTCCCCGCCAGCAGAGGGAGCCCGCTCAGGCCTCAGCCAGCACAGAGAGGGGCTCCCACGGTGCAGCTGCGGGCTGAAGGGCTCCTCAAGCGCGGCCAGAGTGGGCTGAGGCCGAGGAGGCGCCGAGAGCCAGCGAGGGATGCCAGCAAGCTGTCACCTCTCAGAAATACAGGAAGAACATCAATAATGTTCGAAGTTATAAAGTAGTAGGTTTCTATCAAGAGTAAAACATAAACGAAGTTATAAAGTAGTAGGTTTCTATCAAGAATAAAACATAAACGATCAAAGAATTCCTTATAAAAACATTTTTTATTTCTAGGAATCAAAACATAAATATAAAATTTGAGAGTCCACCAAAAAAAATTAGATGCCAGATTTCACTATAATTATCAGGGAAGCGCCCAAATGGGTTGTTTACGGCGCCTCGGGGAAACTTTCTGTTTCGTGTTAAGGGTCTTGAACCATGATGTTTAGAAAACCATGGGCTGATGCTTTCAGAACCTCTGTGATTTTTGCCTCTGACACTGCATCCAATAGACTAGCATGTTGATTAGGGAAAGCTAAATTCAATAAAAGACGACTGTAAGTGGGGTCACCACCTTGAGGGGTCATGTTAGAAAAGTAGATGATAAGGTGGTATTGATAGAGTATTGAAGTCTGGGCTCAGATGGTTGCCCGGGGCCTTTCAAGACCAATGACTGATAAGAATAGGTAATGTTCAGGACATAGAGTTTAGGATTGGGGGACACTGTGAGTTAAGGGCCATGACAGAAGTCTTCATAAGTAAACTGTTAATTGACACAAGCTGCTACCTGCCCAGGTGAGCAATCTGTTGGCCCAGAGGAGAGTTGCTTACTGACATAAATTGATTTGCAGAAATTTCCTGAAGCAAACAATAAGTTATTTATTGGTTTGCAGCCTTACTTTCCTGAAAAATAATTTTCTGGAATGAATTGTGAAATCATGTTGACACAGATGGCCTCAGGTTTCAGTTCGGATAATTAAGCTGTGTAAATATAGAAAGTCGAAGGTTTCTGGGTGCTGTTGATTCACAGTATGCAACAATGATCATATTACTTTTATTTACTATGAGCTTCAGCTGAAAATCCAAAAGAAACTTTAATTTCAGATATTTAATGAAATCATTATAGCTGTGGTAATTTCCTTTAGCTGGGTGTGAGTGTGTGATGTGAGCGTGTGATGTGTGTGTGTGTGTGTGTGTGTGTGTGTACTCTGGCAGCATATTCCAAATAATTTCTGTAAAATTTCAGTTTGAAATTAATAGAAGACATATTAAATTGTTTAAACTCTTTGTTATTTAAATTCTATATTACTTTAGTCGATTACTCTGTATTATTACGGCAAAGCTTTGATATGTTGCCCTGAATTTAAATGAAAAGGCTGTTCGGCCTAAAAACAGGAATATTTTATTACCAAAAAGAATTAACTACCATATGTCATTTACAGAAAAGAGTAAATTCTTCAGGGCATAGAAAATACACATTTCCTTCTGTTTGTGTGGAAATAAGCAAAATACCTGTTATAATAGATTCCTCACAGAATTTTGTGAAGCTTCAGGTAAACTTGAAAGAGAAAAATTAAAATGCTAGAGTTTCATAATTACAAATTGGGATATAAAAATAGAATAATTATTTGAATTTTGTATTTCTCTCCAGGGGATCAAAAGTAATATATAAACTTTTAATAAATATTGATATAGCTTCACGTTGACTCCATATGTGAGCAATTTGCTTTCTGTTAAATTCACAATTGCATAATTTTTTTCAGGCTGGAATGCACTTGGATGCCAGAGATTTTGATTTCTTCATGTGACATAAGATGATAATACATTCCAAAGTATATATTTTTTCAACTTTGAATATATCTGGTGTATTTGGAGTAATATCTGAGTAAATACACTTATATGTAAGAGAATCAAAGGAACAAGATATTATTTTATATCCAAGGAAATTAACACTTAGAACATAAATACGTATTGCATTACTTCATATTAAAGAAATGTTTTACAAAAGAAAATAAAGGAGCTTATTTTATAGCCCCATTTCCACAAATAATAGCAAAGGTACATACACATATCTAATGTTTTACACACTCATTATTGTTTCTCTTAAAATTTGTTGCTTATACTATTTTAAAAGGCAAGCCTATAGATTGTTGTGTGTATATACATATACACACAACATACATATGTGTGTGTGTGTGTGTGTGTATATATATATATATATATATATATATATATATATATATCAGCAAGCAAGAGAATGGGCCTCTTCCTACTGAGGTTTAACATTTGCATGTATATGTATATTTTGATTCACATAGACTTATTGTTCTTTAATTACATGAACAGTGATTCCTGGTTACATTATTGGAAAATGGAAGCAATGCTCAAAGAGCATCACCTAAATTTCCATCATATTTTGCTCTCAATATGTTTTGTACATCCAAATATATTGTGATTAATCTGCATACATTTTTGCTGTTCTAGGTGACGCTGGTATGAGGCTAGGTAATACACGACCTTAGTCTGCATGTTGTACTTGTGTAACACACATAATTTTACAGTGCTAACAGGTGCTATAATAACTAACTATAGTTAATGATGAATGAAAGAAGGAAGATGTTAAGATGTTAGGGAAGGACTCAAAAGATGCAGTGCTTGAGTTAGAATTTTAAGGGAGATTATGCAAAAGCAGTCACTTAAGGTGGGTCGGGATGATCTAGAATGTGGGAATGATGTATGCAAAGTCACACAGGAGAGATACAGCATGCATGTTTAGAAAATTGTTGATTACATATGGAAAGTTTGCAGGACTTGCATCCTAGAATGTCAGGATTTTAAGCTAAGTAGGGTTCAAATTAAATTTTTCACATACTTCGCTGCATTATAATAACTAGTTTATGTTTAACTCATCCACTAAACTAAGTTATTTGAAAAGAGATGCCAGTGTTCACTCAATCTAGTTGTCTGTCATTAATAATTTAAAAATAATTGAGATTTTAATTTTGGTCTGCTAAGCCTGTTTAATTAAAATTTGACATTAAATAAGATTTTACAGGCCTCATTTTTTTTTTCAGTCATCACAGTTTGAATATTAAACATTACTACTTTTATCTCCCTCAGTCAGCATAAAACATACTACTTATGGTTTTAATAACCAAATTCAATGAGCACCAACAAAATTTGATGTAACTATTAACTTTGAAATTTTGTTGAAATAGAACTATGCCTTGGGTATCATTCAAAGCATTTAATTGTTGCAATAAAAAACTTTGAGATAAATTGAAATGATGGACAATATGGGTCGAAAGCAACACTGGCTTGAGGGAATAGGCTAATGTTTGAGAACAGAATTGTTAAGGACAAGATTGGATGTTTATATTACTTTAGGAAAGACACACTCTAATGGAGTTTAATTCTAAAATGTTTAATATTATGAAAATATTATATGTTATATGATCATTATAGAAAATTAAAAATATAAGAACATCAGAAGCAAAATAGTCAAAGTCTACCTAAACCCAATTAGAAGTGAATACTATTAATCTTGATTTGCATGTTTCTAATCTTATTATTATCAAATTAATAAACAGCTTTCAGATATTCTGCTTCTCCCTGTTACTAGATCAGGATAATGTCATTTATGTACAGGCATCTCCTGCTTACTCAGTTCAGCATTGATCAATAAATATTTTAGACTTCTATTCAAAACACTTCCATTTTTCTTTTGCCCATATTCTTTTTATTCAGTGCTGCCTGTTTTCAAATACACAACACTTTGTCAAACAAATTCCAACATTAGATTGGATATAGTTGGTATCAGAGTAGTAATACACATTGCCATTCCTAATCCTCAGTGCATTGATCCTGAAAATTATTTGTAAGAATAGAAAAATACTGGATATTTCAAATTAAGTCTCATTTTGTTGCTTACCCATGAAAGACTGGAATTAACCAACATAACCATTACAAGGTGATTGAGCAAATGAATAGATGGAAAATATTATAGAAACTTTACTGCAGTTCATCAACCATTGTGGTCATTAGGCCATAGGAAAATACAGTGTGACAGTACCCCTGTCTTCTTTTCCATTTGTTAAGTCTCATATCCAAGTAACAGTGGGTAGACCTTATGAGAACCCAAAGTGAGATAAAAATAATTTTTGGCTTTTCAATGTATCTTATTTGATCTAAGAGGTATTTCCCCGACTTTGATGCAATAATTCTTGTCACAAAATTTGACTTTACTGAAGACCGTTTTAAGGATCTTTGCAGCTGACAGCAGTGACTTTTTTACCTCCTACAAAGTTTCAACTGACAGTCTTATTGTCTCTGACTTTCCCAAATTAATGACATAATTAGTCACCAGGGCTTTGGCTGCTCAATAGGGATTTAGTAAGCAATGAGTCATATGTTGGGGAACACTTCAACAAACAAAATGTTGGCAGAGAAAGATGTATGAATCAGCTAGGAAGAAACACTATTCTATCACTGAGGATCTTTCTAATATTAGATATCACAGAAAAATTTTCATATAGATTACCATATGAGTGAGCCAAAACCTCTAGGAACAAAAAAGCTTAGTATAATTATAACTCCTTGCCATGATTTAACTTAAAATTTCTTTACTTATTTAGCAATTCTATAAACAAGAATCATTTCTGTTAAGGATACTAAGGAGAGTGTTCCTATTGAATCAGAACATTTAAAAGAAATAATTGAGGGAACTCACACATGTAAAACGTCATTAACCAAACTAAAATAAAATGTGAGGGCATAAACTTAACCAGAAATGTTTAAAACCTATATATAAAAAAAACTAGAAAACACTTCTGAATGGCACAAATTTGGACTTGAGCACGGGGAAAGAAATTCCATGCTCTTGAAAAAGCCTTAAAATCATAAATGTGCCAGTTCTTTAAATAAACTTATATCTTCTGTGTCATAACAAAACGACATTTTCTAGAATTTCTTTTTCCAGATTTAGAAAAATAGACAAATTTACTTGGAGGAATAAAGAAGCAAGAATAGCTAGAAATATCCTATAAAATCAATGGAATTTGGAGTCAATACAAAATATTAAGCAATTCTTAAAGCTTCTATGATTAAAATGAGTTATAACTACAGATAGATGAAGATCATATAGAAAATCAAGACATTGACAGATATGGAAAGGTGGTATATAATGAAAACATTTCAGATCAATGAGGGGGAAATGTTAACCGGAAAAGAATATTAAAAAGGCAATGAACTCAATAAGACAACAAGAAGCAAACCACAGAAAAATAACTGGACTGGATTAGAAAGAAAATATTTTAGACACTTCAAAAATAAAATATTCAAATAACCAATGAACTTATTAAAAGGTTTTTATTTATATTGGTTACCTGAAAAAATAATTCAAACCACAATGAGATGTAAGTACTTGTCATTCAGAATCCTGAATTTGAAAGGAATATTTTAGAATTCTAAGTTGAAGAGAAAGTGCAAAGTATTGATGAGAATGTTGACTAATTAGAACACTCAAATTGATGTTATTGGCATAACTTAGTTCAAATAATTTGGATAAAGATATGTATTAGGCCCCAAAATTCTACTTGTAAAGATGGTTTCTCCAGAAATGCATGCATATATATAGCTAAAAAAAATGTGTACTCATGAAAACACTTTTCAGAATAACACCAAAATAACCCCAAACTGTGGCCCAAAAGTGGACTAAAATACTTATAAAGAGTACAGTAAACAAATAAGTTGTAATATGATCACCTAATAAAATATTAGAGAAATAAATATAAATAGTTTCATTTGCAGGTCATATAGTCAATTCGTCTCACAAATATAATATTAAGCAAAAAAATGTGGTTCAAAACACTACACACACTATTTGATTCCTTACTGGTAAAAGTTAGAATAGTGTTATGTTAGGAGGGATGGGTGGAAATCAGGTGTGTGACTATTACATTTTCTTATTCTGGATGATCATAGTATTTTAAAACTCACTAAGCTTTAAACTTATGTGCATTTACCCATGTGTATACAATACTTTAATAGAAGCTTCAAATCAATGAGAAAACATGAAACTGTCTGATGGAAAAATAGCTTGAGGAAATGAACAGGTATAGCAGAAAAGAAGGGCTGCATATAGTTTAAAAACTTGAAGAGATGTTTAATCTCTTTGCAAATAGAAAAACATACGCATTTAAATTGAAATACCATTTTCATGTTCCAAAATTAAAATTATTAGAAATATGATGGTATACAGTGATGGTAATATGGGAGAAAGGAAACATCCTAGGCAATTTGGCTAAGCTTTTCTGAGAAAGATTTAGGCAATATGCCATTAAAAGATTTAATGTGAACAAATGGGAAATTTGCCCACATAAATAAATGGAAAGATACTCTATTTTTCCTAATTTAATCTGAAAATACCTAAGCCCCTGATATTTTAGAGACATAATTTTCACTGCGATGGTCATAATTTTAAAAGGTTGCATCATCCATTTTTAGTTAACATATATTGTACTAACATCACATATCTATGTAACAGAAAAATAGAGTCAACTCATGTAGGGACAGACATGAAAATGACAAATACATATAGAGATAGAAAGGTATCTTGTGCATTATACTGAGAAAGACAATAGAAATAAACAATTTACATGGGTTGATTTATTTTGATTAAGATATATAAGTGGTTAGATAAATGTTAAATAGGTCAGTATGTAATTACAGAAAATGACAAATTGTTATGTATGGTACATTTGTAGGCATAACACAGACATTACATTTTGGAAAATTGTGTTCTATGCAACAGTGCCAAGTCTAATGAAAGTAAGAGGAAGAGGAATTCAGCCAAAGTACCAACCCCTGTTATCCATTCCTTAAGAAAGGAACTTCTTTATACACTCAAAAGAGGGGATTCTTTTTAAATTTGTTTCCAGAGGGGCATCTGCATACACATACACATACACACACACACACACACACACACACACATTTACATTATATTTAAATGTGTGTGCATGATATATATATATACATGTATTTATTTATTTAATATATATGTGTTATCTGGGTCCTATATAGGAACACACACACACACACACACATTTTGAATCAAACACTCTTTCGTATAATTTTGGTGACAAATGTATGCAATAAATGAGAATACTTTAACTTTCCAAAAAGCTATTCAAAAGTATAATTTTCAAATAAAATATATGTTTGTATGACAACAAATGATTTTTTACAAATAATATATTCTGCATTATCAATCTGCCACTGGTTTTTATTAAATAAAAAAACCTGTAAGTTTGTATGCTCTTAAAATACATATAACATTTGTAAGAATAGTTTTTATGTAAAAATAATTATAGTTCACTATAACTATGTTAAAAATAGACATAGCCAGGCAAGTCGCTCATGCCTGTAACCCAGCACTTTGGTAGGCTGAGGCGGGCAGATCACTTGAGGCCAGGAGTTCAAGACCAGTCTGGCCAACATAGCGAAACCCCATCTCTAATAAAAATACAAAAATTAGCCGGGCATGGTGGCCCATACCTTGTAATGCCAGCTACTCAGGAAGCTGTGGCAGGAAGATTGCTGGAACCCGAGAGGCGGAGTCTGCAGTGAGACAAGATCATGCCACTGCACTCCAACCTGGGTAACAGAGTGAGACTCTGTCTCAAAAAAAAAAAAAAAAAAAGAAAAGAAAAGAAAAGAGAAAAATAGACACAGATGAAGGGTGTCTTTGATTATGCAAATAGATTACCCATCTTGTACTCACTGTGTTTATTTCAATAAATGATCCACAGAATATGCTACTTTTGATTTATAGTTTTCTTCTCCTTCACCGCTGTGGACTGGGAAAATATTTCTTATTATTTCTGCTGCAGAGTAGCAAAAAATTATGAGCCAGAAGGAAGACCACTACAACAAGCAAAATCTCTGAGTAATCATAAAATGAAGAACTATTTCCTGTTGGGATTCACTGTGACGAATTTGATTTTAAATTCTTGATGTTGGCATTTTATTTTTAAAACTTAGCTTTCTTGCCTATTCTGAAATTGTCAAAAATTCAGAAAAACAATCATGATCATTTGCTTGCTGACCAGTGGAGACCTACTGATTTTTAGGCTGTGAGACTACAGTAATAAATAAATAAAAAAGTTCATACTTCCTTCTATCGAGGGAAATTGAGCATTTTTCTCATAGTCCTAAATCACCAGATCAAGGGATATATGTAATACTTGAGTGTTGACATTTTATTAATTTTTATATTTAACTAGAGCTGTAAAGTTGAAACAAATGGGTCAATGCAGTAGCCCATAAAATATTTTAAAAACACATAAAAGAAATATCACTAAAATTTAAACATAAAAAAAATACAAAAAAACCCTGAGCTATAGGAAGGGAAGTATCCTCTAAATGCCCAAGTTGAAGGTAGTCCTCTTAGAAAGGCACAGTAAGAAGCAGTGTTTGATGGGAACGTGATTTTTCAAGTATTTGAATTTTCAAACTCACCACATTAACTGAGTAAAATGAAAAAAATATATAAACTTCCTCTGAGGCAGAAAAAACATTTGGCATTTTCAAGATAGAATTATAATAAAAATATCTCGCCCCAATAGAATACAAAGAAGCATCCTTAAGCAAATAGAAGGCATCTACGGAAATATCACACTGAAGTTTGAACTAATAAATTATTCATTTAAGATCCAGAAGAAGACAAAGTGTCCTCTTTCACTATTGTTCTCTCTACTGTATGGGAGGAATTAACCAGTGAGACAAATCAAATAAATAAGTAAAACATACACAGTTAAGAAATGAAAAATACAATTCTAAATTTTTAAACAACTCCATTACCTACACATAAACTTCTAGTGACTGTAAAAATCAGCTGCTGGAATAAACTAGTAATTTTAGCCACATCATAGAAAAAATAAGTCAACCCATTAACTTATTTCTATATATTTCCAATGAGCAATTAATGATAAAAATCAAATCCATGTAAAATACTAATAAAAATAAAATATGTATATATGATTTTAACAAATTACATGCAAGATCTCTCTAAATAGGAAACTAGCAAAAGTGTTGGGAGATGTAGGAAAGTTCTAAATAAATGGAGTCGCATACAATAATTGATGGTTTTGATGTGTGTCCCTGCCCAAATCTGGTATGATGTAATCTCCAATGTTAGAGGTGAGGCCTGATGGGAGGTGATTGGATCATGGGGTGGATTTCTCATGAGTGGTTCAGCATCATCCCTCTTGATACTGTTCTCATAATAGTGAGTGAGTGAGTTCTCATGAGATCTGGTCATTTAAAAGTGTGTAGCAGCTTCCCCTTTCACTCTCTTGCTGTTCTGGCCATGTGACGTGCCTGTCCCCCTTTGCTTTCTGCCATGATTGTGCGTTTCCTGAGTCTTCCCAGAAGCTAAGTAGATGCCAGCATCATCCTTCCTGTATAGCCTGCAGAACAGTGGGGCAATTAAACCTCTTTTCTTCATAAATTGTCGAATCTTCTGTATTTCTCTATAGCAATGCCGGAACAAACTAATACAATAATCATGGCTTGAAAGTTCAGTGAATTTTAGTGTGTAAAAGGTTTTGGTTTTTCCAAATTAATCATTCTAGAAATCCTCACCATAATCACAAAAGATATTTTTATATAAATTGACACACTGATTTAAAAATGTACATCAAGAGAGCAAAAACAAATGATAGAAAGCTGAAAAAAAAGTTGGAATACTCACACTTCCTAACACCATGCAATAACTTAAAGCTATAGTCATCGAGAGAATGTGTTATTAGTAGATGGATAAACAATTAGAGTAATGGAATGGAATAGAGTTCACAAATAGATCCATGCTTATATGAATAATATAATATCAAAGATACTGCAGTTATTCAAAGGGGAAAGATAATTTTATTTAACAAAGTGTGCAGAACTACGAGATAAATGTGAAGAAAACAAACCTCAAGTCCTTCCTCACAACAAAAGCGTGAATGAGTTCAAAATTAAAGGAGTCCAAAATATATTATGGAACAATGTGTAAAAGTGAAAGCATAGGCTTCAAATATAAAGCACAGAAAATGTCTTAGTAAACTACATGAAAGCACTTCTTTTTATCCAAACTGTGGATACATTTCTTTTTATTCAGAAAGCAATAATTATATAATGATAAACTACAGAAATGTGTAAATATATTTATACTTTAATGTTTATTTTTAATTACACAATTATATATACTATTTATTATGAATAAGAGCAAGAATATATAAATATAATGTACAACATAGAAACAAGAGAGCTATAAAAACTAACAGATGCTACACAAAAATGATATAATAGCAAATAAGCAAAGGAAAAATTTCTTAATATCGTTAGTAATAAAAAATAAAATGAGATAATTATACACATCTACTAGAAAAGCTACTATTTTAAAAATTGTGTTACCAATATTTGGCATAGATGTCAAGAAACCAGACTCTAGAGTTTGCATACATCGACGGTGGGAGTGTAACACAGTACAGCTACTTTGGATAACTAAATCTACCTTACATGTACCAATTCTACCCCTAGGCATTTATCCTAGCGGGGAGAAAAGCATAAGTCTGTAAAAAGGCTTGCACAAGTACCTTTATTCATTATTGTCAAAAACAGACACCATGCAACTGTCCACCAAGAGCGGCGTTCTCAAGTTCAGCACTATTAGCTGTTGAAGTGGCTTAATTCTTTGTTGTGGGGAGCTATCCTTTGTGGAACCCTGGCCTGTGGACACTCTATCCCCTCCTCCACAAACCTCTGATAACCAAAAGTGTCCCCAAACATTGGAAATGTCCCCGGCAGGTAAAATGTCCCTCATTTGAGAACCTCTGGTCAAGAGTTTAGTAAATAAATTATAGTGGTATGTCTATGAAATGAAATAATACGTAACAATAAAAAAAGGTGCTACTTCAACATGCAAGAAATTGTTGAATCTCAAAAATATTATGCTTAAGGAAAAAAGACAAAAAGAATTCATACTCTATAATTCTACTGATATATAATTGTAGAAAATAAAAGCTAATATATGGTAATAAAACCAGATTAGTACTGGATTGACAATGTGTTGAAAGTCAAAAGAAGAGGCTTGAGATCTCTTTCTAGTGTGATGGTTTTACAAGTATATACGTATGTTAATGTTTAAAAATTTCACACCTCAAAAATGTGCAGTATACCAGATGTTAATTATATCTCATAAAGCTATTAAAATTTTATCTCAAAATTATAGCTTTATTGCATTTAGGGCATTATCCAATTTTGAATCTAGTCCAGTTATCATAGCTTAATGCAGTATTATGAAAATAATGCCTATAAAGGTCCAGTTCCTCAAACACCCTTGGAACCAATTTTGTCATCTATATTAGTTACCTTGGGCTGCTATAATGAAGTACCACAAGCTGTGTGTCTTTAAGCAACAGAAATTTCTTCCCTCACAGTTGCGGAGGTCAGAGGTCAGAAAACAAGGTGTCTGCAGGACCAACCTCTCCTCTGGATGCTCTAGGTGAGAATCTTTTCCATGCCTTTCTCTTAGCTTCTGATGTTGCCATCAGAACTTCAGATGGTGTTCCTTGGCTTCTGTCAATATTAATACATAAATCCTTTTCAGTCTCAGCTTCTCTCTTCACATGGTCCTCTCCACATCCTATCTGTTTCTGTTCCCTCTTCTTATAAAGACAACCCATGTTATTTTAAGTCCCACCTACAGACATAATTTTAGCTTGATTACATCTGCAAAAACTTTGTGTCCAAATGAGGTTTCATTTACCTTATGTGTATAACTAGGGGTTAGGGCTTGAACATACGGGTTTGGGGAGGGGAACACAGTTCAGACCATGACACTCATTGTTTCACTCATTAATGAGTTAAGGGTGCTTTGATATTATTACATTTGAATGAGAGTGGTCTTTAAAATTACATTTTGTCGTGTAGTTTGTTCCACCCTGATGCTTAAAGGGAGTCACCTGCCTCAGCCAATTAAACTGTGTTGTCTCTGCAGTGCGTTTTATCACAAGAACATGACCTTTAAGCACAAGAACACCTTGTACTCCACCACTAAAAACAGAAATGACATCTACCTTCACTGCTTCCCTATTTCTCTCCATCTTTACTGACTTGGTATTTTGTTGTTGCTGTCATTTCTGGTTGTTGGTCAATTTTCATTTCTGTTCTTATTTTGCTGATAATTCTTATAAATCAGTGCTGAATTTTGTCAAATTATTTTTCTGCATCTCTACAGATGATCATTTTATGTTTTCGTCCCTGTGATAATTTAGTGAATGTCATTGATCAATTTTTAAATAATGAATATCTTTGCATTTAAGATAATATTTTTCACTATTAATGTTATCTCTGAAATGAAAGCTAAACCTAGTCAATAGATATTAGAGGTGCATGATTTTTAAAATTGTATAAAATTAGATAAAAAATACAAAGAAATATATATAATTTTAAAACTATGTAAAAATGTAAATGCCAAATGATAGAGCACTAAATGAAGCTTGTAATATTAAATACAATCTTTAGAAACTCTTTTGCAGTGCAGGAAAAAAATAGAACTGAAAACAAAGCAGAAGAAATCACAGATATAAAATTAAAGAGGATAGAATTAAGCACCGGAGTTCCCACATCTAAAGTGAAAATCTAAGAATTTAAATATCATTCAAATGCAGACTAAAATACAATATAAAATAAAATTTCCTGAGCTAATTTTTAAAATACTGCTTAATTTGTAGGTAAAAATGCAGACTAATTTTCTGACTATATTACTATAAAAACCTTCTACAAATATTTTTTAACTAAAATTATAAGAAAAACATCCGCCATAAACACGTAAGATTAGTATTTTCGTTTCTGAAGTATAAAATGTCTGGATAGACTTGAGCTTGTTGCTTTAGTTTTATATGTGAAGACTGGAAAAATTCTGTTTTGTTTTGAAAAATATTTTGAGCTAAAAATGTTGTATTCCACATTTGTTAGGAATGGAAGTCTTTAAAATATGAAATATTTCCAATTGAAGAAAAATAGTGAAAATGAACTTTATCTGAATAAGATTAATGAAAATTACATGTTGAAAAAGTAAAATAGTTATGTGTACTAACAGTGACTACTAACCCAACAATATAAAATTAAGTAAAAATGTTATTACCATGTTAAATACAAATTAAAATTAATTATAAAAAAGTTAAGATCTATGATTAAAGTATTAAAATAAAATGAGACTGTATTCACAAATCTAAAAGCAAATTGGTGAATGACATATTTTTTGAAATAATAAATTCTTTGGCATATTTTATATTTTTTATTATAAATGAAAATTATTTATTTGAAATATTTAAAGGAACAAAATATTTGCAGCTCTATTTTATTGAGAAAGGAATTACAAAACAAAAACAAGGAGCTTTTGTAATTACAAAAGAATATATTAATAATATTATTTAGAAGCACAAAACCAGAAAAGCTTTATATTATTTCTAACAATAAATGTAAACCATCTAATTTTCTGAAAAGGGGTGGAAATAAATATTTAACAAAGAAGATGTTATTCTTAAATTGTAATATGTACATTGCCTAAAAATAAAAAGGTAGTTGAAGATATATTGTGAACAACAAAAAATGAAGAGCTGATAATATTAATGTGCGAAGGAAACTCATAACATATTGTACTAATTATAAATCAGTGTATTGACAAAACCTGAGTCCTCAATTATTATTGACTGTCATTGACATGTTAATGATAGAATATTAAATATAGAATATAATAAAGCAATTTAGAATAAAAAAGAGAAAGCGATAGACATGAATAGAAACAAAATGCAACTGTTCAATATTAAAAGCCTTTCTAAATTGCTTGTGTTTTTCTAGTGACCTGTTTCGCTATGCAGTGTAGGCTCAGGTGTCTAGATTTTAGTTGCAGATAAACACAGGTAGTGTTTTCCAGATCTCAGAATGACCAGTTACATAAAAATAGGCCATAAACCATATATTTCATTCTTGCGGTTGACAAACCTCTAATTCACCTGAAAATATTAAAAAGAAAGAAGACAGACGTGACAGTGGTTGGAAGTTGAGGATAAGAAGAAGTTGGCAGAAATAAGCTTTCTTCTTTTGGACAGCAATGCATGATAAAAAAAATTAAACTAAATTCAGTTCATTTCCACTAACTGGGACTTATTTAGAAACTTTAAGAAAGTCTGAAGAATTTCAATTGAGGAGTAAATAAGGGCCAATTTATTTCATAGTGTGGACTCTCAAGACAATATACAACAGTGCTTCTCAAGGTTAAACAGTGTATGAGTGACCTGGAAATGAAGATGCAGATTTAATAGGGCTGGAGAGAAGTCTGAGATTCTCAATTTCTAATGAATTAAATTACAAAGAGGAGAAAATAAGGTTATTGCTTACTTTATATACATTCACAAACACAGGCTAATCAAATAATTGTTTAAAGTATTGCTCTGATAAGAATTAAATTACATAGTTCATAGGAAACATTTTCTTTACATTCGGATTTTATCTATTATTAGAATAATAATAGAATCTTGACTTTATGTAACTCTATGTTCCAAACAACTAGAAACTTTTCGATAGCAATTGTTCACCATTTAATAACATTTTTCCAAGATACCTAATGCACTCAAGGACAAAATAGCTGCCTTCCAGTGATTTCCAATTTATTCAATTTTCAGGCCATCTGTCTGCCCACACAATGACAGATTATAGTTACATTCTTGCCATGCTCTGAACAGCTAAGCCAATTGTTTTCAATCTTTTTTCTTCAGCAACTCCATCTCTTAAAGTACTTCAGAGTAGTTCCTGAAAGGATTCCTCTTTAGTTAAATGGCTATACAGCTCTCCCATCATCCAAAATAATCAGTGGAGAGATAGCAATATTTTTCATTACATTAGGCCAAGTTCCGTTGCTTCCTTCATCTTGTAATCTGATCAGAAACACCACTATAGATTCAATAATTGAGTTTAGAGTTTCAGAGAATTTGGGGTCACAGAACATCTATGTCTATTTTGTAAAGATTATTGCATATTACTGAAATAGCTTGTCAAACACTGCAGTCTGCTTAAAGTATCAAAATAGAAATGTTGAATGCTGTGTCTGCACAGAGTTCATTTAAGCAAAGAATCTACTAGGCTCTTAAGTCTGTTAATGCAAATTCCTGAATACAGCTGACCCTCCATACCCCCATTGTGGGTGGATTTAACTAACCATGAATCAAACATATTTGTTAAAAGAAATACCAAGAATAATTTTTAAAAAGAAATACAACAATAAAACAATGCAAATAAAAAACAATCCTTATAACAATTATGTGCATAGCATTTATATTGTATTCAGTATTATTAATGTAAGTAATAATCTGGAAATGATAGAAAGTATACAAGAGGGTTGTGTAAGTTATATGCAAATACTAGGCCATTTTATATAAGAAACTTGAGCATCTCTGGCTTTTGCTATGAAGGGATGATGGTGGTAGGATTGGTGGTGGTCCTGGAACAAATCCCCAGCAGGTACCAAGGGGGACTGTAGACCCCAAAGCTGTTTAGGAATGGGTCACAGCAGCAGGACTGAGGCAGGAATGCTCCCCACAGAAAACATCAACCACCTGTTGATTTTTGAATCTGCTCCTCTCAGGCATGCCTTCAAATGCTATAACCTGGAGAGTCAACTCATTTTCATGCTGCTAAGTAGGAATAGGTGATTCAATTCCCCAAGAAAGTGACAGAGGTCCCTGAAATATAGATTTAAAGTTACATAGTGTCAAATGCTAGTCATTTTCTTTTTGCTC
The DNA here is from genome assembly GCF_000001405.40 of Homo sapiens. Lineage (NCBI taxonomy): Eukaryota > Metazoa > Chordata > Mammalia > Primates > Hominidae > Homo > Homo sapiens. The sequence goes on from NC_000005.10 coordinate 69,726,846, forward strand.
GATGGTATCCTCTCAGAAAAACCTTTTATAATATTTCTAATTCATTTACCAGATTTATAGAATCATCAAATTGTCTATCCATGTGTTTTTCAAATATTTTGTGAAGTGTCTAGGGTAACAACCTAGTGTTCGAACGTATTTTGTGAAGTGGCTAGGGTAACAACGTAATGTTCGAACTTATGTTCGTATTTAAATACAAATGTATTTTGGTTGAGTGATTACTCAAGGTCACTGAGGAATCCACAAGGTTAACCTCCTGACTCTAGAACCATTGTTATATAGAGATATATAAATAGCTGATTTAATATTATAGGCTTAGCAAAATATTTAATAAATAAGGTCTTAGTAAAACAACACACATGTATTTATCCACTTATTTAATTTTGTTTTTCCATTTCTTCTGAACATAAGTTCCTGAGGACACGGGCCTTTTTTCACAGTTCATTTTTGGATTCCAACATCTAGCCAGTACTCTGCAAAGAGCACTGAATTTGAAAGAAATTTCTCAGTTAATGATTTGAATCATATAAAATATTTAGTAAATTTGAAAACTAGTAACCGTGTAAAGCGATTAAAACAAACATACTAGAGGGTAATAATCCCCCGCCCCTTGCCTTCTTCCTTTACATCCACTTCATTCTTATTCTTGTCTACTTCCCCTGCCCCACCCAGGGAACGTGGTTAGCCCATCAGCTGCAAAGATTGTTCTCATATAATATTGTTCTGATGGATAATGAGACTCTGAAAGTGGAACATAAACAGATAAAACAAAAACAAACAGAAAAGAACCCAAAAACCTAAACTCAACTTCAGTTAAAGCAGAAAATATCTGTCCAGCCTAAACCAGGCATACTCCACAGACTTCTGTTAGACGCCTGATCCTACTTCAGTCTGGAACCACCTAGTCTTCAGGTTTGCCTGGTGCTCACCAGCTGAAGAAATCCTTTAACGACCTTTATTCAGTCAAGTAAATCGTTTTCTTTTGGCAACTTGCATGTTATTTTTTAGGTTTTCATTTATTTATTTTTTTATATTTAAAGTCATATTTTCTTCCTTTTATTCACTTTGCTGGTCTTTCTCACTTTGATTTTTTTTTTTTTGCCTTGTTTTGCATTTGTTTACTTTAACATTTTTTGTAACTTATCTCTTTTATTTTGGAAATTATTCACATTATCAGTTTTCTTTTGCTAGGCAATTTTGATATTCTAATAAACATTATTAACATAAAATATAAAGTTTACTAACACCAAGCCCAAACAATACAAAGTCTTAGGGCTCTTTAATTGCAATTATTTAAAAATATTTGCTACAAATTGTTCATTATTTTATATTCATGTTGTTTTTCTTATTCCCACAAATCACATATTGTTGGTGTGTTTGTTAAATAAAATTGTGACTGCTTATATATGTTTTTTCACATCCTTTCTTCTTCTAATATTTTGGAATTTACATCCAGTTAATTATCCTTTATTCTATGGTACATACTGTAAAAGTTACTATTCTTGGTAGTAAACTCTCAGTTTTTGGATTGTCTGAAGATGTCTCTATTTTGATCTGCTCTTGAATTCTAAATCTAATTGACATAAAATTCTAGATTTGCCGTTATCATTTATTAGCACTTCAAAGATATTCCACAATTTTCTGACTTTCAATATTTTTGTTGGTAAAAATGGTGATTGTTAATTGGCTTGCATATTCTGTTTTGGATATTCCACTGTTTCCTTATAATTTGTTTATTTATAAGGAAACTTATAAACAAATTATAAGGAAACAATAGAATATCCAAAATAAAGAGAATAGTTATGGGTTCGTATAGATAATTCTTCAGAATCTACTAATTTGTGTCTTTCTTCTTTACTTCTGTAAACTTTTCAGCTACTATATATTAGAATATTTCTTAACTTTTTTATATTCATTCTGAAATTTCTTGCTGAAATTTGTTCAGAAGGTGAGTTAACGGAGCTATACATCTTTAGTGTCATGTGCTCTAAATTGCAAAATACATGTATTTTTATTTCAGACAACTTGAGTAACATTTGTGCAAATGTTTTATATACACGGACTTAATTTGGTAAATTTAGGCATGTGGTAGACAAATTTAAAAATGTATAAAAATCATGGGCAAGCATATGAACATTCTATTTTTGCTACTATAAAAAAATAGCAGACTATCCAACTATTTTATGATACTCAACGATACATCTTACTAAATGGTCACGACTCTTGCCTCTCAGGGTCAGAGTTTGCAATAGTGAAAGCAAGAGAAAGCCACGGAAAAAAAAACAGGGAGAGGGAAAATATTAAGCTCTAGAATATGTACATTGTTTTGCTTGTATAAATTTGGAACATTCAACACATGTTTACAATGAATACATATAAAATACCAATGACATGAGGAGAATTAGAATAGAAATAAATACAAGGATTCTTTCATGATAACTAAAAATATCAGTGAAGGTTTGTACATAAAATTTAGGGATTTTATATTATTACCTAATACAATTCTGGCTATAACATCACTAAAGGATTGTAAACGTCTGCTGGGAAACCTATGGGAAAAAAATGCAAGTGGAACTGGTGTCATACAAACACATTTTCTAATGGGAAGCTTAACTGGTGAAATGTAAGTTGGAAACGTTACTCAATTTAGGTCTATGAAAATGTTTTCCCAAATACAATCTTTTCTTGTTTGATAGGAGGTTTTACTGTGATGTATTATTTCTGACAGCCTCTTTTTTTTTTTTAAAAGCAAACGAGTAGAATTAAGTGAATTAATTATCATATCTAACCTGTAAGTACAAATTACTTTCCCTTGGAATTACATAATTGATAATTGTACATCCTCAGATGTGTTTGAATCTGAGATTTACTCTAAACTCAGAGGAAAAAAAGTGAAATTTTGTTTCCATTGTGGCACCTTTGTTTCCTTTTTAAGTTTTCAAAATTTCTTAGAAATTATTTTTCCCTTTCATAATTTATTCAACAAGTATCTATTGTTAGGTGTTGGGAACACAAGACCTAAAACTCCTGACAAATATATTCTATTTCTGAGGTCAATTTGTACATTAATAAATGCATATATAATACCAGACAAGATTGTAATGCTAACCAGTTTGACTTTGAGGCACGGTATTCAGAATGTAAATGCCCCTGGAAAAAACATTGAATATAAATGCCCCTGGAGAAAGAATGTAGTTGGAAAAAACATTCTGAGGTAAAATTATGCAATATTGGTATGACTAATTAGAGTGACCAGAGGTTCACACATTTTTGTGACATGCCATTGGTAGAAAAAGAGCCATAGCTGAAAAAATATGGCAGTCATAAGATGTCAGTGGAAATGAAGACAAGGATACCTTTTGGTCAATTTTCTTGAAAATATTGGCTTTTTCAACAGTGTAGTTTATTTAAAATTTAGTCCCAGTTCTTAGCAATTATTTATATACTGATGGACTTATATCCAGGGTCTTCTTGAATTAAAAAAAGTCAAAAAATAATTTTATAAATTTAAAATATTATAAAATTATGATATATACAATTCTTGCTCTCTCTGTCATATTTTTCCAATTTTTTGTCTGTCTTGTTTTTTCTTGCCTTTTCTTCCCTGTCCTTTCCCTTTCGTTTCTTTTCTTTTTGTTTCCTTTGTCTGGCCTTGCTTTGAGTTTCTTTTCCAAACGAATTCACTGGAGGTGGTATTTTTATGCATAATATACACAGCAAATGTCTAGGGCCTCTCATTTTTTACAAATCTTTGTAAGAAAAGGCTATCTATTAACCCAATGACATTGTCATAACCTTTTCTAAATTTCAATGATATTCAGTTTCTCGCAGCTATTACATTACAAAGTATACCTCAGTAAAAATCTAGTAAGTCATAGGGCTGATGTTGCTGATTGCTCACTTGCTCAAGCCAGAAGCTTAGAATACATGCTTGATTCTTCACTTTCCTGTGGGTTTATGCCAAATCAATTTCAAATCTATAGATCTTATCCTCTAAATAACATACAGCATGCCTACTTTTTTCTCTCTCTCGACTACTGTCACATTAATTCAAAAGAAAAAGACTGATGATTCCTAACTTCCTGGCTTCAGTAATTGGCAACGATGACATCACTACTAAGGCTTCACTTCTCACCTCTGCTTCCATATGAGTGTAATGTTATTTTCTCCTATGACAGATAAGTTTATTTTTCACCATTAAAAGGTAAGAAACTCACGCATAACCAAAGTTGGAGGAGACAGTTATTTTTTTTCCCCAGCTTGCCTGTTAAAACCATAAGGAATGATTAATCTGCCATGGTGCTTGATGTGGCCCAGGGATGTGCTCAGACTCAGTCATGTAGGGGCAGGTGGTATTAACATTAGTTCAAACATGGAACCATGGCATGTGTTAGAAATAATGGCTTATATTAGAAACCGGACATAAAATTGTCGTGAGCAAGAAAGTTACCTCAATTTGAGTCTACTAGAAGTTTCAGAGTGCCATTTCACATGGCCACAAAGTTCAAAAGTTCCAAAAGAAGCAAAAGTTTGACCAAGAAATCAGTGATTTTTTAAAAAAGAGAAATTGAGCTCAATCATGTTTTTTATATCTTCTACTGTACTAAAAGTTTTTTTCTCAATAATTGACTAAAAGTTCATTAACTACTGCACAGACTTCAATATTTAGAAATGTAATACGGGCTTGCTAACTAAAAGTGAAGTTATTTTATTGTCGGAACTAGCTATTGTTAGAAAGACTCATTTGCTTTTTATAATACAATTTTACATATGATTTATAGATTGACAGATTATAACAATTTATAGATTATTACCTCATTAATTTATTGAATAACCTGACTAAATTACTTAGTCACTGAATTAAATACAACCCAGCCTTAATACTTTGGGTCAAGGAACATTGACCAAATATGTATTTATGCCACAGATTCCTTGAAATTTCTTACCAAAGTAAATTGTTTCATGAAAAATACAGAAATAAATTGGTAACTAAATAAAACATGTTCTATATTTCAACTTGAAAAATTAAAGAAATTAATAATTCTTAAAATCAAAGCAATGATCATTTGTTTCCTAATTATTATTATTGTGAATGTACTTAAAATTTTTGCTATGCTTTTAAGAAAGATGTACTTCTATTAAAAATTATTAAAATAAACAGCAGAGAGACTGACTTTTCAAAATAGTTTATCTGGGAAGAGCAATGAACTGCAATTTGGGATATGTGTACCGTACTGAACCATAGGCACATTTGAAAAAGCTGGGGGAGCCGAAGCTTTTTTAAGGGTAAAAGGTGAAGTTCCCCATCAAACTACCGTTGGCATTCTTCACAGAATTAGAAAAACCTATTTGAAATTTCATATGGAATCAAAGAAGACCCCATATAGCCAAGACAATCCTAAGCATAAAGAACAAAACTGGAGGCATCACACTACCTGACTTCATTACTGCAGGGCCTCAGTAACCAAAACAGCATGGAACTGGTACCAAAACAGACATATAGACCAATGAAGGTGAACATAGACCTCAGAAATACACCACACGTCTACAACCACCTGATCTTCAACAAACCTGACAAAAACAAGCAATGGGAAAGGATCTCATATTCAGTAATAATGTGGGAAATCTGGCTAGCCATATGCAGGAAACTGAAACTGGACCCCTTCCTTACACCTTATACAAAAATTAACTCAAGATGGATTAAAGACTTAAATGTAAAACCCCAAACCGTAAAAACCCTAGAAGAAAACCTAGGCAACAACATTCAGGACATAGGCAGGGTGGGCAAAGACTTCATGACAAAAATGCCAAAAGCAATTGCAACAAAAGCCAAAATTGACAATGGGATCTAATTAAACTAAAGAGCTTCTGCACAGCAAAAAAAAAAAAAAAAAAAAAAAAAAAACTATCATCAAAGTGAACAAGCAACCTACAGACTGGGAAAAAATTTTTGCAATCTACCCATCTGACAATGATCGAATATCCAGAATTTACAAGGGACTTAAACATGCTTACAAGAAAAAGACAAACAACGCTATCAAAAAGTGGGCAAAGGATATGAACAGACACGTCTCAAAAAAAGACATTTACGTGGCCAAAAAACATACAAAAGAAGCTCAACATCACTGATCACCAGAGAAATGCAAATCAAAACCACAATGAGATGCCATTTCACGCCAATTAGAATGGAGATTATTAAAAAGTCAGGAAACAATAAATACTGGAGAGGATGTGGAGAAATGGGAATGCTCTTACACTGTTGGTGGGAAAGTGAATTAATTCAACCATTGTGGAAGACAGTATGGGCATTCCTCAAGGATCTAGAACTAGAAATACCTTTTGACCCAGCAATCCCATTACTAGGTATATACCCAAAGGAATATAAATCATTCTACTGTAAGGGAACATACGTGTATATATTTATTGCAGCACTATTTACAATAGCAAAGACATGGACCCAACCCAAATGCCCATCACTGATAGACTGGATAAAGAAAATGTGGTACACATACACCATGGAATACTATGCAGCTATAAAAAAGGAATGAGAGCATGTCCTTTGCAGAAACATGGATGAAACTGGAAGCCATCATCCTCAGCAAACTAACACAGGAACAGAAAACCAAATACCGCATGTTCTTATTCGTAAGTGGGATTCGAACATTGAGAACAAATGGACACAGAGAAGGAAACAACACACGCTGGGGCCTGTTGGAGGTTGGGGGGTGAGGGGAGGGAACTTAGATGATAGGTTGAAAAGTGTAGCAAACCACCATGGCATACGTATACCTATGTAACAAACCTGCACGTTCTGCACATATATCACTTTTGTTTGTTTTTTGAAGAAGAAGAAGAAATAAAGAAAAAAAAAGGTGAAGTTCATGTAAATTATTTTAAAATAAACCTCTTTGGCCCCAGAAGCTTATTGCTTGGTATGGACAAATACTCATCGGTGATACTGGCTATTGCTGGGAAGATGTCTTCATAGAAGCGTCGTATCTAAAATTTTTGTAGTTTTCAGGGAGTCCTTGCAATAGTTCTTTTAGAGACATCCATGCATGAAGGGCCTTCTTTTATACTCTCCCAGCTCCATTTTGTTGTGGTTTGACTTCAGTGAGTCAACTTCTTTGCTTGTAACTTTAACATTTCCCCCCTTTGACCAAGAATTTTTTCTGAAAGCATTGCTGATTAATCAGCCTATAGTTAGGTTTTGATTGTTTCTTGGTGCTGGAGTGGACCTTTCCTAGTCAGTCTGATCCTGCATCAGAGGTGAATGGCCAGCAACTAAGAGCAGATGTCAAAACCCTTTTAGTCACATTTAAGAAACAAAGAGGTTCAGAAGGAGTGGCTCTCAGGATAAATCTGCCTGGAGTTCATTGCTAAGTTCAATTTTGTCAGTTCCATAGGCATTGACTACCATTTGGAAGTTCTGGACCAGTGTTATTCTGTTAGATGCATCATTTCTGCAGAGGTTGGACAGGAAACAGATAAAAAGTTTAAAAAGAATGATGCGGTACAAAATTAATAGTAACATGAAATATTGTCTATGAACATGGACCCAAAGGCAGCCAACTAATGAATCAAAAGTCTATGTGAGACTGAGTGAGATCTGTTGTAGCCATAAAGCCTGTCTTGCTATTTTATGCAATTAGGTCTTGACTTCCCCAGAGAAATATATTCAGGTACAGCATGTAGTTATTAGCAATGGCACAGACATTCTTGTTCAACCAGTAGATAATTGAGAGTTATCTCATCCTGTCCTGTTGTGTTATCTACGGCTACTCAGCAAGATACTTTAATGAGCACTGCTGGGCGGCAATAGCCTTTGCGGTGAAGCCTGCAACGAAACCCAAGGTGGCAAATAAATTAGGGATGTTGCCATAGTTACCCACTGGGTGGACTAAAGGATCCCTTAGGTCATGTAAAGATGTGGGTTTGACACGACAGATCCAAAACTTCATTCAGTTACGGAAGCTACTGAATGTGAAATTCTAACCACAGCGTTATTCTGCCAAGTGAAAAATGTAGGCATAAGCAAGAAAAAAAAAAAATAAGAAGGATAAGAGTCCAGTTTTGTTACAATGTCTTGGGAAAAGCTTTCCACACTGTGATGTCATCAACTTCTTACTCTGGTTTGTAGTTTGAATGTTCCTGGGTATAGCATGGGGCATTTTAGTCAATTCTCTTTGTAGCCCACACAATAGCCATGAGATTTCTCTCTTGAAATTTACATGGAGTTTTCTGGCTCCAACTTGTAGGACTTTAGGAACAAGGCAGTTTATGTTCTTAGTTGGAGAATCATAGCCAGACGTTGGAGGAAATTAGAATAATTAAGTGCCCTGTCTAATTTAGAGATAGATGACAAAAACTTGAAAACAACAAAGAAAACTACAATCTACTAACAGGTGTACTGCAGTTTTTCTTCAGAAACATAATTTTTCTCTGTACAATCATCCCTATTTCTACTAAAGATAATCAGAGTAAGACTAATTTGTCTGCTGAATAAGTTTAGTCTCATTAAACTTGGCATGATTATTGACAACAGTATAGCAAGAAAAGGGATGAAACATGGGCTGTTTTTAAGTTTATTTTGATGGAACTTTTGATAAGAAATCTCAGATTAGACTTTTAAAAGCCTTTCAAGGGTCAGAAGTCAAAGGAGGGCGAACATCAGACTTTGGCTGCAGTATCTAAAAATCTGCATGAATTTCTCTCTTCTTGAGGTCTCCAATATATCTGGAGGTTCCTGGCCTGTCAAGAGGTAAAAATGTTTATTCACTCACTGTGAGCTTGGGAATCCTTGAAGCTAGGCATCCTGTGCATAGTCTCAAATATCACATTCAAGTCAAACCATTTATAATATAACCAATGTTTGTAATTCTATCCTGTTACAAAGAGAATAGATTTTTATTGAATTAATGCAAATAACTATGTTGCCATAAAATAAAAATATCAATAAGAGCTCTCTGAAGACTGCAGCCGCAGGTAGGAAGAAAAAATAAATATTTCCATTTTTATTTATAAAAGTATACTTTACCAAATTGCTGTATGCTATAGATAGCTTTTTAAAAGTTTTCTCAAATCTGGAAAACAAAAAATTTAAAAAAAACAGCAAAATGTTAAACAAAAAGTCACTCGAAAATATTGCCATCAGTTTGTTTAGTCCCATTCATTAAACTTATTCTACTTGATCTGGGTTAGATGTTTTAAGAAGCCATCGTTTCTTCATTAGAGTCCTGGAAATTCTTTCCCAGTCCAGTGGTATAATCTTAAACTCATAAGAAATCTAAATTCCAGCATACTTGTTAGAGTCCTTTTCATGAACCTCCTTGAAGAGGAAGTATTTTTCTTTATTCATTTTAATTTATTCTCTACAATACTTCATTAGGGAGTTCAATGATTTGCACTCAGAAGTTAAATAGCCAAGAGGCAAGCAAGTATAATAAACTTCAGAATTGGACTGAGGTTGTTGCACTGAAGGCCATGTAGTCTTTTGCTTCAGGGAAATAACAACAAAAATAACCAAAATGAACACATAGCTCCCTAGGCTTCTGAATCTCAGTAGAGAATAACATCAACATTTAATGAAATTGTAGATATTAACACATCATGGGAAAAAAGATACTGTGCAAAATATTATAATTAACACTTGGCACTTCTTATGTCTAGATTTTTATTATAAACAATAAAATATATGTAATATCTTAACTACAGACCTTTCATGTTGAAAGGGCATCTAACATAACTTGTTTTAACATTATGAAGGGAAAAAGTTTAGAAATTTCAAAGTGGAAACAATCCAACACTAACAAACTATAGTGATCAAAAGTATTAACTTTTAAAGAAAAACAAGGACAATTCATAAAAGTAGAACTACCATTTGATCCAGCAATCTTACTGGTTATCTACCCAGAGGAAAAGAAGTCATTACACAAAAAAGATACTTGCACATGCACGTTTATAACAGCACAATTAGCAATTGCAAAAATGTGGAACCAGCCTAAATGCCCGTGAATCAATGAGTGAATAAACTGTGGTATATATTTATGTGTGTGTGTGTGTGTGTGTGTGTGTGTGTGTATGTATATGTATATATATATGCATATGTATATATATATATATGCATAAATACATATATGTAATGGAATACTATTCAGCCATAAAAAGGAATGAATTAATGGCATTCATAATAACCTGGATGGGATTGGAGACTATTATTCTAAGTGAAGTATCTCAGGAATGGAAAACCAAACATTGCATGTTCTCACTCTTAAGTGGGAGCTAAGCTATGCAGATGCAAAGGCATAAGAATGATACAGTGGACTTTGGGGACTCAAGGGAAAGAGTGGGAAAGGCATGAGGGGTAAAAGACTACAAATTGAGTTCAGTGTATACTGCTCGGGTGATGTGTGCACCAAAATCTCACAAATCACCACTAAAGAACTTACTCATGTAACCAAATACCTCATGTTCTCCAAAAACCTATGGAAATAAAAAATTTAAAAAATTACAGAAAGGGAATGTATTATGAGACAAGCCACGTTTATAGACCAAAGCATGCTCATAGCTAGGGATGAAACAAACCACAAACCAAGCCAGCAAAGTTGGGTTGATTCCTTGAAAAGAATGGTTACCTATTGTCCAGATTGAGTAGCCCAAAGACAGAGGAAACACTGAGCGTAAAACATTCCCTTTTTTTTAAACCTACCACTCACACCACATGCACTGATCACTCTCATCACTGCTTTGGTAAAGCATGTAGGATGCAGTTCAGTTTCAATTTGGAGCTGTTACCTCCCCAGGCAAAGCTGCCACACAGATGATCCAGGCTTGGTGTTTTTCCTGAGAGCCACCTGCCACACATTTTCATAAGGTGACCATGACTATGCACATCCAGGCTACTTCCTGACTAGGCCCTGTTCAGGAAGCATCCTGAGGTGTCCATTCCTCGTGGAGCCAAATAGTTCCCTTGGTTGACTCCTGAGTCCCCTTGGCAAGCCAAGCAGAATTCAAGCATTTCTACTGCTAGCCTTGTGTGGGAGCATGAGCGAATGTAAAGGGAGCAAGGCTCTTCAGTCCATAAACCACAGCCTACTTCGGGGTGGTGCTGGACCAGCCCTATTCTTGGGTACTGAATTTCTTTTTCTCATTTGTTGGGATTTTAAATTTTCTATTTATTTTCTTAAATGGCAGGTATCCTACTGCATCTTCAATAAAATAAAATATATACATATATATGTTGTACACTGGAGAAAACAAATAGGGGAACAGTTTGATAGTTTAGCCCCATTTTTTGCTTTTATTTAACCTTTAGAAGTAAAACACAATTATTAAAACAGAATGCTTGAGCAGTAATAAGCGTAGCCCTATGTATCAATATTATTGTACAAATTGGATGTGGGTGCTTAACCCAGAGCTGACCACCCTGATAATAATCCAGAAAAAAACCATTGTTACATCTGTTTGTAACAAGACATTTATTATTCTCAGCACCAGGACATCATAAAATGACTCCTTGATCTTCATTTACTTCACCAAGGGAAACGTGGCAGGCTACAGAAACTCAGCACAGCAGTTAGTGGGGCTGTGCCCTGGGTGCCCTGATGTCACCCACATTTCCCTTGCATGTCTCAGGTCCTAATAAGCAGTGCAGGACAATGTTGAGCCAACCTACTCACCCGTGCCCATTCCTTCCCAGAAACTTAAAGGTGATCCCTATAATAGCACATATGTCCTTTCCCAAATTGTGTCTTTGCTCCCCTAACCCCATTCTTGGCAGAAGAAAAAACAAAACATCTCTTGACTTGAATATTTGCTTATTTTAGAAACCGACACAATCACCATAAACTTAAAAAAAAAATAAATCAAAATGTTGTTTTCACTGGGTTGACACCTATCTGCTTCAAGAATTCTCTAAGCATGTTGTTGAAAACCAGTGTAACATCTTTAGGATCTTTCTCCCAACTGACCAGTCTTCCTGTGAATCATTTCAGCAGTTCCTTTGTGGCAATGTTTACAAAGCATCTTCTAAGTCCTCTAATTCTATGAGCTTTGCTATCAAAATAGTGAAGAATAGGAAAGGGGGAGGAAAAAACTAGCTGACAGCTGTTTGGAAATCAGCAACAATGTGAAAGAGAAATGTATCTCATGAAAGTTTGAAAGACATGGAATAAATGAGCTCCTTGGAAATTTGCCCTGGCGGAGTGAAGATTCCCACTTTATCTTCTTAGGCAAGATAAAGATCCACCTTATGTAATTACACAGCTTTGTTTAAGCATCCTGTAAAAGACTGAAAAATCAACTGTCTTCCTAACTCTACAGGCAAACTAGAAAAAGGATCTCCCTGCTTACTGGTCCCTCAGGATGTTTTCCTGAAAAGAAAACCAGCTTAGAGATACTGGATTTTCTTCTATGACAAAGTGTCCTCTTAAAGTCCAACCGAAACTTGTTTGCACACTTACACTTCTGAAAGCCTAGGTCCGACTATAGGGCTGATACCGGGAGAGAAGTGAAGTAGCTGGGTGGTGAGGAAGTGGTCTCTCCTTTCACATCTCTGTGCAGTCATGATATCAAGACCCCTTGTGGACATCTCTATTCCATTCCTCAGTCAGTGACACCACAGAGCTCTGTTTGATACCGGGAGACTTAATGCAGTAAAAGTGACAGAAAGTGCAACTGATAGTAGGATGAAAATTATAATCTTCAAGGATTATTGAGCCATGAGATCTGCAATGCTATCGTAGGGTTTCTGATCCTGATGTGGGTCTCTGTCCGGGATCCTTGAAGAAATTATGGCACCCACATCCAACCCTAACATAGCTTCCACTTATGAAACAAGGAGGTTGTAATCAACTCTTGGTATGTAATAAACTGGAAGTTCAAAAATGTAATTTAAAACAATCTAAAAGAATGTAGTGTTGGTCTCCATTGCACAGACTGCTAGGGGAATATATCAACTTGATTTGGGGAGGCTGTAGAGGTATATAGAGGAGTATATGGGTTAAACCTTAATGGATCATCAGTTTCAGAGAAGAAGCAATTTTTTATTGTAGCTGATGGCAAATGCTTTTACAAAAGAATGAAAGCAGTCGGTCCCTGTGGATGACAGACTTAGAGTGGCCATGGTTAAAAATCTCATGGAGTTTATTATACTAATAATGTAATTGACAAAGAAATTTGTTTATTTCTGTGGCATACAAAACTTGAAGATAATAACCAAGATTATGACCGATAACATGTCAGATTTTGAAGAATTCAATATAATTTTGTAACACATATCAATAACATTCTGAAATACAACTTAAAGAAGGTTTAGCACCACTTAGTATTTGACAATACTCCCTATATAATTTAATATATCAAGTAAGTCTCATTAGTTTAATATATCTCTTTACAATGTGAGATACACATTCTTTGATCTTTCCAGGGGTCCAAATGAGAAATATCAAAATTAACTTGAGGGCAAAAAGAGTTAATTTAAAATATTATTTTGGGAAGTTTGTCAAAAACATCAAACAGTTTAAAACACTTTATCAGAGTACGATAACAGGTAACCAAAATGAAAATTAAAAGATTTCAAAAAATAAATGTAGAAATTTACATAATTGTCAACAAAAACATAGCTTTTTAATACTGAGAACATTTACTTTTCTCTTTTTTTAACTTTTATTTTAGGTTCAGGGGTACACATGTGGGTTACTTACGCATTTATATAGGTAAATTGTGTGTCACGGGGTTTGGTGTATAGATTATTTCATAACCCAGATAATAAGCATAGTACCCAGTAGGTAATTTTTAAATTTTCATCCTCCTTCCTCCCTCCACTCTAAAGTAGGCCCAGTGTCTGTTGTTCCATTTGTGTCCATATGTACTCAATGTTTAGCTCCCCTTATAAGTGAGAACATATGGTATTGGGTTTTCTAGGATAATGGCCTCCAGCTCCACTCATGTTGCTGGAAAAGAGATGATCTCATTCTTTTTATGGCTGCATAGTATTCCATGTTGTATATCTACCACATTTCTTCATCCAGTCTACCACTGATGGGCATTTAGGTTGATTCCATGTCTTTGCTATTGTGAAAAGTGCTGCAATGAACATACACGTGCATGTGTCTTTATGGTAGAATGATTTGTATTTCTTTTGGTATATACTCAACAGTAGGATTGATGAGTTGAATGGCACTTCTGCTTTGAGTTCTTTGAGAAATGGCCACACTGCTTTCCACAATGGCTGAACTACCTTACATTCCCACCATCACTGTATAATCATTCCCTTTTCTCCACAACCTCACTAGCATCTCTTATTTTTTGAGTTTTTAATAATAGCCATTCTCATTGGTGTGAGATGGTATCTCATTGTGGTTTTGATTTGCATTTCTCTAATGATTAGTGATGTTGAGCATTTTGTCATATGCTTTCTGGCCACATGTATGCCCTCCTTTGAAAGTGTCCGTTCATGTACTTTGTGTACGTTTAAATGGGATTGTTTGTTTTTCACTTGTTGATTTTTTTAAGTTCACCAGATGCACTGTGCTGGGGTTCTGTGATAGTCCCTAATTGCTGTGCACCCTCCCAAGCCTGAGAGCAGCAGGAGGGAGGGTTGCGAGACAGCAAAAAGGTGGACTGCCTCTCTCTTTGGAAGCTGCATGCCGGAGAAGTGTAGAGCTGCTCCCAGCTGGAGAACTCAGGAGGACTAGGGTGGCCTCACTAGCATCCCAGGCTAGTGGGCCTTATCCTACAAGGTTCAGTGGTGGTGAGGTCTGCAGTCTATCACTGCTCAGCCCCATGGACTTGGCCCCTTTTCTGGGGAGCGTGCAAGAAAACTTGGCCTTCCCAATTGCTGGAGCTGCAGCCCCTGGTTTTGGGGTACCCAGGGAACAAATGCTACTGGGACTCCACACCTACCTAAGAAGCAGCTCTACCCAGACTCCACATGGCTCTCTGTTTTGGTCTGGAGACCCCAGCTGGGGTATCTCCTGAGCCCAGGGATTCAAAGGTTCGTGGCAGAAATATGCATCCCACGGGACTCTCACTCACTCACCATTTTCTTGTAGGGGGATTCCCCTGGGTCTGTGCCACTCCTGGGTGAATGGCTGATCTGTCTCACTCTTCTCCGTGATCCGAAGGTCACACTATGTCACTGATGAATCCTTATGTGTCCACCTGGATGTTCCGGTTGAAGAGCTAGTGTCTCACCACTCTTTCTGCTATTTGTGAGAGTGGCACACACTAGCTGCTTCTAGTCAACCATCTTGGCCCCACCTCACTCACTTTTCTCAAGTAATCAAAGACCTAGTAAAAGAGAGCATAAAGCATAAGAAATTACCTTGATAAACAAAAAATCTTGGTTTATTAGGCCAGTTATCTAAAAGGTAGAGAAAACATTTCACTATTTTCTATTAAGAGCAGGTCAATACTCAAAGAAAAGCTTGTTGTTTCAGCACAGGGGACAAATTTCAAGTTTTCCATTCCTGTACTTTTGATAATAATGCTCAAGTTTTCAGAATATTTATAAATAATTTCCTTTTAACTTTAGCCAACTTGGTCACACATAAAATTCTTTTCACAAGATTAATCTTCCACAAACTTTCTATAAATTTGTCATCCAGTTATCTTATTCAGTTTTTGTCTATATTTTTTCTCTTTTTCTTTTTGGAACAGTAAGACATTCTACTTTTAGACAAAAAATACTCTCTTTTTCCCTTAACAAAAACACAACCTCTTACTTATAACTTTCTTTATGTGTTTTCCTTCCCTCGCGTACAGATTTGTTTCCCTTCATTATTTCTAGTTTAAATTACTCTAATATTAATTTTAATTAACTCTTAGTAACCTTAATTTCTAGTGAAAATTAGTAAGCATTTTGAAGTGCATCATGTTAGTATTTTGCAGATGAACACCATCTCATAAAATAATTTTTATGCCTTTAATTAACAGGCCCAAATATGTTTAGCTTTTCCATAACATGTGAAACCAAGATGCCAAATTACGTATATTTTAAACTTCTGTTAAGCAATTGATATTTCAGTATTTTCCTTAGAAATGACTCAAATATTAAATCAGTAAAGTGTTACTTAATTTAATATAACATGATTTTAAGATTTCAAGTCACACTAAATTATTTTTGAAATTCTGACAACTTTATTATCAACCTTTTGTCAATGTATATTCACCTAATTCACTTGTTCTTAACAATTGTGCTTCAGTTCCTCCTTAAACACAACGATGAGTGGATTTATAGCTTTAAGACATTCATTATACATCTCAGTAATAGCAAGCTTGTTTCACCAGTAACTTTAGGTTTAAAAACTGTATCTGTACATTGTAATTAATGCTGACAATTCTGAAAATATTTGTTTTTATTTTGCCAACAAATTTTAAAACTAGCTTTGTCTGCCAAAGATTATTTCATCACATAAGCCAAAAGGCAATTGAGTTTCTGTTTTTCTGAGAGAATTCTTAGTTTAAACACTTATGTTTTCTCTGTAAGCCAATTAAGTAGAGCCGTTTATGAATTTTGGTAGAAAAAATTGTACATACGCACACACACACACACACACGTAGAAAAATACAGACAGAGGAAGAACTTACAACTTGCATTAAGAATTGTTATTTGCCTGGCTTGCAAGTAGTTTTACTCCCTCTTTCAGACTATCTGTCTTTTAATGATCTGTTCAATTGGCCCATAAACAAGTGTTAGTTAGGCCACCCAAAATTTGTACTTCCAAAGAGATGATTTTTAGGTGAAGGAATGTAGAAAATTTAAATCTCAAAGGTACAGAACTTAAACACCACTATTTGTTGAGATGAAAAAAAGCATATATAGGAAGCCTTCAGAATGAAATGGTCAAGGGTGAGTTTACACAGATAGATAGATTTAGGTCTCTTCCTTTTGCTTTGTGAAAGCATCTAGTGTTTTAGGTGTCAGAGAGGGAGATATCCTTACAAAGCAGAGATTATCATTACAGGTTTACATTTCTTACAAAGAGTTTCAAAATAAACAGGTAAATGCCAAAAACATATATTTTGGAGACGGATTAATTCACTAGTTGGTCTATTCAACTTAACTTGTTTCCTAATGAGATTAAATTCATGCACAAATAACCAAACCAAAAATTAAACCAAAAGAATACTCACCAGAAAGGATGTCCTTTACAAGAGCAGATCCCCCAAAATGTAAGAGTTCACTGAAAAGGTGGGAGCTCAAACCAAGAGAGGACTTATCTCGCAGCATAAAGACAACTTGTACAAGTGAAGATCACAATAGGCTCAGGTGAGTATCATACACAATTTCAAGTATCGCCAGATACTTGAAAGCCTTCCAAAGGCTTTCTTTGTTACTGTTTGGATAACAGTGCTGTAACTGTAAGTAACAAAGAAGGCTTGGAGCCTTTGCATCTTGCTTCTGACATTAGATTATGTCAACTTAAACAACAGAGATACTGACTCTCTAAAATAAAGAGTGGAGTGTATTCAGGAAATAGCAGTAAATTGCAATTTGAAATACACATGCTATGGTGGACCTTAGGCACCAAAGAAGCTGAGGGACTGTATTAGTTTGTTCTAGCACAAAGAACTACCTGAGACTTGGTAATTTATAAAGAAAAGAGGTTTAATTGACTCATGATTTCATAGGCTGTACAGGAAACATGATTGGAGGAGGCCTCAGGAAACTTACAATGATGGCAGAAGGCAAAAAGGAAGGAGGCACGTCTTACATGGCCGAAGCAGGGGGAAGAGGGCAAAGGGGAAATACCACACACTTTTCAACAAGCAGGTCTCATGAGAACTCACTATCACAAGAACAGCAAGGAGGAAATCCACCCCCATGATCCAATCGCCTCTCACCAAGCCCCTCCTCCAACATTGGGGATTACAATTCGACATGAGATTTGGGTGGGGACACAAATCTAAACCATATCAGGAAGGCAAAAATCTTAAAAGAGAAATTTTATGTAAGTTTTGTAATAAACCTCATGGGCCAGAGAAGCTTGTTACAAGAGTTGGCAAATACTCATTGATAATATTGGCTGTTGCTGGAGAGATGTCTTCATAGAATTATCATATCTAACATTTTCGTGGTTTTTGAGAGAACCATTGCAGCAGTTCTTATTATAGACATATGTACATGAAGGCCCCTCTTTCATGGCCTCCCAGCTTCATTTTTTTATGGTTTGATGTAAGTGACTCCATTTTGGTGCTCACAACTTCCACATTTCTCCCTTTTGGTTGAAATATTTTTCTGAAAGCATTTCACACTTAAAAGATATAGATTGGCCGGGCATGCTGGTTCATACCCGTAATCCCAGCACGTTAGGAGGCGGAGGTGGGTGGATCACCTGAGGTTGGGAGTTCGAGACCAGCCTGACAAACATGGAGAAACCCCATTTCTACCAAAAATACAAAATTAGCTGGGCGTGGTGGCACGTGCCTGTAATCCCAGCTACTCAGGAGGCTGAGGCAGGAGAATCACTGGAATCCAAGAGGCAGAGGTTGCAGTGAGCTGAGATCACGCCATTGCACTCCAGCTTGGGCAACAAGAACGAAACTCCATCTCAAAAAACAAAAACAAAAACAAACCAACAAAAAATGAAATAATTGTAAAAACCAACCATAGTTCTCAGTAATGATAGTTTCATTTCCGTCAGCTATTAGTAGAGTTAATTAACTCCTATCAACCTCACATTTTCCATTTAAAAAATACAGGAGAAAAAGTTTGATGTGGGTTTAATGAGAAAACTTATATAAAATAGATCTAACTACTATATTTATCACAAAACAGATGCACAAACTATGTTTTTTTCCTCTCACTTGTTCTTATTTTATATATCATTTTAATTGAGGAAATCATTGAGCATAATGTAACAAATATTTTCATAAGTTATTATAAAGAGGGTTTGAAGGACTTGTTAGAAAGTGTCTGGCAGTGGAAAAAACATCTGAATAGAAAAAGAAAATAGCATGTGAATGCTGAAATAGCGTATTAAATAGCTGCAACTCTAATATAATTTACATTTGGATTTTAGTGTAGACAGAATACTTAAATTTATTTCTGCAGTCTTTTCAGTTGTTAAACATTTTATTGAACTCTTCATGTGCCTTTCAGATGTATTGTGCTTCAAGTGTGCTTGTACCAGCTTTTTCTGTTTAGAAATGCTTGAGTGTCTCCATTGTCAAAACGATCAGAAGGCAGTAATTGTATTTCCAATGTGAGGACAAACAATACTAGATATCCTGCGATCCTACATTGTAAAAAATATTCCCATCAAATGCCCCAATGGATAGCCACGTAAGTGATCATCTGTAATTATTTAGTCAAGAAATGAATATTTTACATGTAAATACTTTGAATGGCTTAATACAAACTAAATTTTTCAGAATGCAACCACTACGGAAATTGAAGAGAAAAAGTCTTTTTATTGTAGAAACTTCCCAGAGTCTTTCAATATTTACAAAAATTATGTTGCCAGTGGCAATACCTTAGTTATTTGAATCACCAGTAGAACACACTATAAAAACATGCATTGTCACATCTGTACCCTGTCACATCCAGGATAACGATAATATTGAGATATATAACTATTTAGCCCTTATTTTAAAACATCAGGTAACAAGCATCAATCAATTTCTATCAAATGTTTCAACTTGGGTATTACAGCATAAGCAGAAATATACTGTTACCAATATCCCAGCCAATTTCTTTTCCTAATGAAACAATAAAACTGAGAATATAGAGACCATTTAGTAAAGCTGATATATATATATGTTTGCATATGTGTGTGTGTGTGTGTGTGTGTGTATATACATATAAATGTAATTAATACAGTAGATGAGGTCAAAGAAGCAAGTGATACACAACTTTTAATTTGGATGGGATGTCCTTGAAGATTCCTGTATTAGTCCTTTCTCACATTCCTATATGAAAATACCTGAGACTGAGTAATTTATAAAAGAAAGAGGTTTAATTGACTCACAGTTCCCTATGACTGGGGAGGCCTCAGGAAACTTACAATCGTAGTGGAAGGTGAAAGGGAGGCAGGCACTTTCTTCACAAAATGGCAGGAAAAAGAAGGATGGGAGGAGGAACTTGCCGAACAGTTGTAAAACCATTAGATCTCGAGAGAACTCACTCACTGTCATGAGAACAGCTTGGGAGAAACCACCTCCATGATTCAATTACCTCCACCTGGTCTCTCCCTTGACATGTGGGGATTATGGGGTTTACAATTCACCATGAGATTTTGAGTGGGGACACAGCCAAACCATATCAACTCCTAAATCTTAATACACTTTATTACTAGCTGATATGATTTGGATCTGTGTCCCTTACCAAATCTCATGCCGAATTGTAATCCCCAGTGTTGGAGGTGGGGTCTTGTGGGAGGTGACTGGATCATGGGGGCAGATTTCCCCCTTTGATGCTGTATCATGATAGCATCCTCATGAGATATGGTTGGTGAAAGTGTGTGGCACCTTTTCTCTTCCTCTCAGTCCTGCTTCTGCCTCGCAAGATTCGTGCTTCCACTTTGCCTTCTGCCATGAGTAAAATCTCCCTTTAGCCTCCCCAGAAGCAGATGCTGCTATGCTTCCTGTTCAGCCTGCAGAACTGCGAGCCAATTAAACTTCTTTGCTTTATAAATTACCCCATCTCAAGTGTTTCTTTATAGCAGCAGTGTGAGAACAAGCTAATACACTAGCCTTCTTGAATACATCTTAGCAAGCTCTCGAGCAGCGTAACCACATAGATTAGAGAAGGCCAAAACTGACAGATTCCCATCTTGACCAAAGTTTAATCATTCTTCTCCAGTCCCTCTTCTCAGGCCCAGTTTAACAAAGACGCCTGCTAAGCCAGTTCACTGAGAATCACTTCGCCCTGGATATCTTATCACTTTGGCATGCCTTTAGCAATAATGCAGTTTAGCAAGAACCCCGCTCCCCGCCACCCCACCCCCCGCCACCCTTAATATCTAATTAGTTTCTATCCACTGACTCACTCCCTCAGCTCTTTGCTTATAAATTTCCAGCTCCATGCTGGGAGAAATTTTAGTTCAATCTCTCTCTACTATAGCTATATTATTCCCCCATTGCTATAGTCCTGAATAGTCTTCCTTGCTATTTTTAACAAGCAACCAGTGTACACGTTTCCTTTTGACAAAACATAGTGTCCATATGTAGAGGGAAGAGGAAAGCTAACAAAATATAAAGTCATCCAAACCACACACACCTTGGACAAGCTTATCATGTGTGGGAATAAAATGCTGGAGGTGGGTTTGGCTTCCCAAAAAAAAAAAAAGTGTGTAGTTTGAAATTTCATATCAAGAACAGTTAAATTCCCAGATTCTTTATCATTACTGAATACCTTAGTAATTATTCTTCATTTAACACAACAGGAAATAGGAGATTTATTTTCTGGAGAGACTTGTCCAATTAAAGTGGGGATATGGTTGCTCCGTTGAGCAGAAATTTGGCTTATATAGACCCAAAGCTCAGAAAAAGAGTTATAGATCTAAAATGACAATCATTGAGACAATAAAGTCCATGGAAACCACGATGGGAAGCATCTACGTGGAAATAAAAAGTTGGATTTTCAGTAGAGAAATTGGTAACAATGTAAATTTCCTCTTAATGTCAGGTGAGAACTAATTCTGAAGTCAGAGGAGGAAAGTAGCCTACAACAAAGAGTAAGATCATCTTGACAGGATCAGGGAGAAAGATAATAGTTGCAAATGGAGACAGGTATATTGATTTAGTGCCAGGTAGTTGAAAGACTATGAGTATAAAGACTTATATTTTCTCTGTGTTGCAGTAGCAAAGTCATCTGCAGAGAGAGAGAAGTGAGAAGGGAGAAGAGAGTGTCAGAAATTAGAGGATTGTAGAGATTGAAAAAGTTATGTCAGGCACAATTGAAAACCCGGTTTCCAATGGTGATCATTGTCTTAAAATATTATCAGTTTGTTTTCTTGCATGGCATTCTTCAGCAGCAGTCATGGACTGAGAAATATGCAGAAATCAGATAGTTGAGTTCATCTAGAGAAGAGGTTGCAATGTGCTTCTAAAAAGGACAAAACCAAAAGCAACCGAGGGAGAGAGAGAGAGAGGGAGAAAGAGAGAGAGAAAAATGAAGATGTGAAAGGGGATAGGTCAAAACTCATTAATTTTTTTTAAGCAAAGGGCCAGATAGTAAATATTTTTATTTTGTGAGCCATATTGTCTCTGTAGGAAGTACTCAGTTCTCCCATGTTCTGCAAAAGCAACCATGGACAATAAGAAAATGTGGCTGCGTTCCAATAAGAATTTATTTAAAAAATAGGTGATGGATTGTATTTAGCCCAAGGGAAGCAGTATGTCAATTCTGGTTTTATGTTACTGGCAATTACATTTTAAAATATTCAGTAATTGAATCTACAATATCGATTCCCAACTATTGCTGCATATTAGTATCATAATAGAATGCCAGGTCCCAGAGACACTGGGTCAGCCAATCTCAATTGGGGCCAAGGCACTCATATGTATCTTTGGAACCTCCTCAGGCAATTCTAACATAAAGCCAGTGTTGAGAAGAGCCATTGTTAGTTTGCTTGTGGGAGTAACTGACCGCAGGAGGATCATAATGCTATAGGCAAAGGCTGAGGCACCAGTGGATTGAAAGTCCTAGTGAGGCAGGAGAACAGCTGCAGTGGGAATTGTTGCCACACTGAACAGACAGGAGATTGATCAAAGAGTGGTGTGCTTATTTAGTCATTTAAGAGGAATATCATGTTTTGTCATTATACATTTCATGGGTTTGGTAAGCAGCCTCTAAAATTGCTCCATGTCACTTGTACCCCTGGTAGAGGTAACTCCTTGAGGAATCTTCTACTCTGTTGTCCTAGTTGAATTTATCTCACTTCACTATCAAATAGACTGTGGCAGAAGTGATGGATATCACTTCCAACATTAGATTGCACAAAGACTGTGGCTTCTGTCTTGGGAATCCTCTCTCTCTCTTTCATTGTAAGGGAAGCTGACTTCTATGTTGGGCGCTGCCTATTAAGAAGTCCACATAGCACGGAGCCAGTGTCACCAGTCACAGCCAGCAAGGAAGGACCTGGGGACTGCCCCCAGCCACATGATTAATCTTAGAAGTGAATCTTCCCTAAGTAAGGCTTTTAAATGATGGCAGCCTTATGAGAGTCCTTGAGCTAGAGGGCCTTACTAATTCTGATATAGTTCCTGACCCAGAGAAGTTGGCATAATGAATGTTTGTTGTTTTAATCCACTAAGTTTTGGAGGTAATATGTTAAGCATCAACAGATAACTAATAAAAGGAGTGATTCTGAGCAAGAAAGGCTTAAGTGGAGGGAAGCTAAGGTCGAATAGTTTATGAATATCATCCTGTAAGAATACAGGGCTTGGAGCTTTGAAGGTGGGAGCAGAAAAAAATTTATGTAAGCTTGTCATTAACAATATGACTAAAAAAGTTCATTATACTGAAGGATAAATGCTTACATGTGCCTCAGAGAATAGATGTTTTTATTCCCGGGAAGAAAGATAAACTTTTTCAAAAAACATAAAGATTAAGTAGGATGCAGTTTCCAGCTTTGGATTCTGACATTCAGGACATGGGGAGGGTGATGAGCTTCTCCTGGAGGACTGAATTTAGGACACAATCAAGTTCATGATGGAAGCCCTTATGAGGTAGAGAGGGAGTGCATCTCAGCTCTTTCGATTAATTAAATGATTGTTTGAATTGGAGAAGGTGTGGGTATTTTGTGTTGTTTGGGTGAGTACATTGGAATGGTTTTCTAGCATTCCTTTGAGATTTTCCACAGTATAAGTTAAGGTAAAAGAACATTTTTACTTGTTTCAGAAAGCATACTGAGGAAGCTTTAATGTTACTATTAAGTAGGTAGGGAAATGACCAATATTATAAACGCAGATTTCCAGCCTCTCCTTTTAATGCTTTCAGAATGATTCCACAAGAACCTTGAAAATGTTGAGTATTTATATTTATTTTATGCCCTTTTATTGTGATTTTTTTAATAAATAACATTTTTTTGGTAAATACTGGAAGTTAATATTCTATAGTTCAGAAAAGCAATTTTGAACACTCAACTAGTGAGCCCATATAAAACTACATAACAGCACAGAATATAGTAAAATAATAATATAATGAACTGGGAGACAAACTAGGCACTGTGTGCCAAGTTTTTCAAGGAAGATACAATTTCAATACCAATGAAATAAACTCCCACAAATTGATTTTTCTTTGTGTGCACTCATCAGTGTAAATACAATTAAGTAATAAAGCCTGTATTTGTTCAGGAAAGATGTTTTCTATTCATAGTCTGATATCTGGGTGCTTTGGTTTCTGATAATTTGTTATGTAAAAACCCTGCAAATTAAAAAAAAAAAAATCAGCAGCTCCAAGTTCATGGGCCCTTATCACAGAGGATTTAAAACCTGTGCATTTTCTTTAAACTGAGAATATTATTACATTTTTTAATCCAGTGATGAGACCATAATAGTTTTCTGAAATAATTCAGAATAATTATATACCTAAAAGTTAATTTGCATGTGCTGTAATTTAAATAAAAGGACAGTTAATTTTTGCATTACAAAACATGAAAAATAAAATCAAACGTTGCATCTTTACTTTTATTACATAAATTCCTTTACATTGTAGTGCCCCCTAGCACCACGCAAGTTTATAAACTGCTTTCAATATTAATTATGTTATTATAATAATAACTAATTTAAGAATGTATTATTAAAGTCAGTAATTTAATAATAATAATTTCAACAATATATGTGTCACAAAAATACCTGAAATTACAATTAGTATGTCCGGTTTACTGATGGGAATACTGTGGCTCAAAAACATCATCTCAGGCAGGGTGTGGTGGCTAACTCATGTAATCCCAGCACTTTGGGGGTCCAAAGCAGGTGGATCGCCTGAGATCAGGAGTTTGAGACCAGCCTGGCCAACATGGTGAAACCTCATCTCTACTAAAGTACAAAACCGGTCCGGCATGGTGGTGCACACCTGTAATCCCAGCTACTCGGGGGGCTGAGGCAGGAGAATCACTTGAACCCATGAGGAGGAGGTTGCAGTGAGCCAAGATCACACCACTGCCCTCTAGTCTGGGTGACAGAGTGAGAGTCCTTCTCAAAAAAAAAAAAAAAAAAATCATCTCACCCAAATCATGTAGCTACAAAGTTATGGTTTAGAATAATTCAACTATTTTACTGAAATCAAAACTTTTACTATTAACCAATCAGTTACACTCAGCTTTGTGTAACTGAATACCAAATAACATCATGTTCCAGTAATTTTCATTTGAGTGAGAAGGGAGCACACTGGTACCCTGGACACACCCAGATACACTAAATCAGAACCTCTAAAACTTGGTGACTGTAAAAATAATTTTATTCTGAGTCTGAAACATATGCTCCGTGTTTCTTAGCAAGTTTCTGCAGCACAGGAGTCAGGTGAGGGAAGGTAGCGCCCCACTCCTGGTTATGGAAGGCAGAGGGTGAGTTCTGCTGCACATATGAAGCTATGGAGAGAGCAAGACTGCATAGGAGCAGGGTACAGTCTCTGGATATAGAAGACAGATAAACCTGGGTTATAGTTGACCCAGTGGAAAATTATAGGCCAAGAATAAGTTTCCAGATACCTTAATAGGACTGGGCATTTGATAAATTTTGAAAGTTCTCTGATAACTCGTATGTGCAGTGTAGGCTAAGAACTCACGGAAACAATATAGACATTTTTTGCCTCTCAGGGATATGCAGACACCCCAGTTCAGATATGATGTCTTCATGATCATCAGAAATCCAGATGGCTATTATCTTGTTGCTTTGCACCTCCAAGTACTGCTGCTTGTCATGTTGCCCCATGGCTGCCCCAGATCTAGCCATCAGAGCTGCCTTTCCAAGAAGGAAGAAAGCACAGAGATAGGACATGCCCCCTGCATATAAGTCAGCTTCTCAGAAGTTACACGCGTTACTTCCCCTTACACAACATAGGTCAGAAATTGGTCACATGTGTCATGCCCTATGTTAAGAAAAGATTGGGAATATAGCATTTATTCCTGGTGATCATGTGTCCGGCTAAGCATTAGAGGACATTTTTACTGATGGCGAAAGGGTCAGTGGAGATTGCGGTGAACCAGCCATCTCTGTCCAATAGGCACTTTATTTGGTGACGATAATTATAGGAAAGGTAGCACTAGACAGTTTTAATTCATTGAAGTTATTTTGGTTTTTTCTTGTTAATTTGTTTGTTTGCTTATTTGTTTTATCCTTCAGAGAAATGCTAGAAATTTAGTAATTAAATTAAATATTTCATTGAACACAAAAGCATAACATTATGGAAAAGAGTAACTGTTGTTTGGTTTTATTTATATATGTTAGTGTTTATACTGACTAATCTCACCAATGGAGACAGACAATTTCTAAGATTTATTATAGGCATTGTGTTTGGAT
Organism: Homo sapiens; assembly: GCF_000001405.40. NCBI lineage: Eukaryota > Metazoa > Chordata > Mammalia > Primates > Hominidae > Homo > Homo sapiens. Next base: position 69,753,315 of record NC_000005.10, read on the forward strand.
CTTTCTTTCAGAAAAGTAAAAATCAGCTTAACCCAAAAATTATTTTAATAATAATTGGCATATCCAGCTTCATCCATGTCCCTACAGCGGACATGAACTCATACATTTTTATGTCTGCATAGTATTCCCATGGTGTATATGTGCCACATTTTCTTAATCCAGTCTATCATGGATGGACATTTGGGTTGGTTCCAAGTCTTTGCTATTGTGAATAGTGCCGCAATAAACATATGTGTGCATGTGTCTTTATAGCAGCATGATTTATAATCCTTTGGGTATATATCCAGTAATGGGATGGCTGGGTCAAATGGTATTTCCAGTTCTAGAAGCTGGAAACCATCATTCTGAGCAAACTATCGCAAGGACAGAAAACCAAACACCGCATATCCTCACTCATAGGTGCAAATTGAACAATGAGAACACCTGGACACAGGGTGGGGAACACGACACACCGGAGCCTGTCGTGGGGTGGGAGGAGGGGGCAGGGATAGCATTAGGAGATATGCCTAATGTAAATGACGAGTTAATGGCTGCAGCACACCAACATGGCACATGTATACATATGTAACAAACCTGCACATTGTGCACATGTACCCTAGAACTTAAAGTATAATAAAAATAAATAAATAATAATTGGCATATCCAGAACCCTTTGCTGTCTTCTGCTACATTTGCACAAATTCACAGCTATTTGAATACCAGTCATTGTCAATCCTGGTCAGCTTTGAAAATACTGTTCCTTAGTTTTGCTCTCTGCCTAATTTACTTGGATTGAGGGGAAACCCAGGAATCAGTTGATTTGAGTACGTAGCCAATGTTGTAAAGAACTAATTGCTTTAACTTCTAATAGAAAAATATCACTATTTTTTTTAAAAAGTTACATAATTCATGTGTAGGAACATAATCCTTTTAGCCTAGAAGTAAAAAATGATATAGTCTTGCCCTATAGCACTGATCATGGCCATATATAATTTATAATAACCAAAATAATGACAATATTTTGGTACAGCATGCTCTATTAATTTGAATGCTCACGAGTTAACACATAATTCAATGTGATATGTATTAGGTTATAGAAAACCATGAGGTAAAAATCATAGGCTGCATTGAACTTTCTACTTCCCCAACTTTGCCTCATTATAGGGAGGGATGCAGCCCTAGAGTTCAAGAATTCCATAAAGACCAACCTGAAATTCTGGTGCCTGGCATCTTGTCACACCTTCTTCCAATACACAAACATCAAGGAGTGTAGAAGTTGAACATGGTCTGTTGTCACTGCCTCAAAGAATCCACTTCTAGCTTGTTCACACTAGGGTGTGAACATTTAAAGAGGGTAGGGAAGAACCACCTGGGTGGATTTTCACTGGGGATCTTATAATAAACTCTCAAAATCCCAGATTGAGACAAGGGAAGGGATGCTCAGTCGTATGTAATTAGGAAAAAGAGAGGGATTTTGAACCCACCCCTGCATCATCTAAGTCAAATAGAGCCAGTGTAACTGTTGGGACCGTTGCAGGTAGGGTGTGCTAGGTACCAAGCCGCAGTTAGGTAACCAATGACTTTTACAAGCTTATTTTCATCTCAGTACACCACATGCTTCATGTGCCACGTGCATGTATGTAAGTTACACATCTAAGATTATATTATTGGGTTACACTACCATGAATTATCTAAGGAAAACAGAATGATCATCATTGTGTGTGCAAAGACGACTTCTGAAATTAATACCAACAAGAGATTTCTTCTTTGCATATTTTCAAGCAGAAAGTGGACTAAATTATATCATTGGAGCATGACGTCTCAAAAAATATTTATTGCCAAATAATTCTTTACTGCTAAAAATTATTTATTGCATGAAATAGAAAAGATCTGAGACTGAAACTTCCATTTAAAAACATGATTTAAAAAAATAGAGTAATTACATAACAATTATGAAACTCAGATGCCAGAGTCAGAAATCAAGAAATTAACTATGTCAAGCAATTACAATATGATTACAAAGGCCCTTATATATTCATACAAGCTTTTTGCATTTTTTGAGCTAATTTTATGAAAAACATCAAAAGCCAGAAAACTAATGCTTAATGTATATTTTAAGGCCAAGAACAATATAGAAAAATTAATTTTCTCCTTAAAGTTTTTTAAGATATTTAAAGTAAACATTTTAAAAATTATTTAATCTGTGACCCAATTTGAATCACTTTGCTCTTCAGATTCCGATGTCTCCACAAAAATTCCGATGTCTCCTTGAAATTAGCTGATACATTATAAGAAATGAATGACTGTCCTGTCCTATTTGGGATACACATAAAAGTTACCCCAAAGGTTTAATTAGATAGTGAAGTACAAAAATACAGATTTGTAAAATATTACATATATAAACAATATAAATCTCTATTTTGACAAGTGACTTGATAAACTAGGTTAAATAATTGTTAATAGAGTTGAGTAAAGGCAGTGATGTTGGTAAACTAGTGATCCAAATGAAAAGAAAGTCGGCTGGGCACGGTGGCTCACGCCTGTAATCCCAGCACTTTGGGAGGCCAAGGCGGGTGGATCACAAGGTCAGGAGTTCGAGACCAGCCCGGCCAATATTGTGAAACCCCGTCTCTAATAAAAAATACACAAATTAGCCCAGCGTGGTGGCATGGTGCCTGTAGTCACAGCTACTCAGGAGGCTGAGGCAGGAGAATCGCTTGAACCAGGGAGGTGGAGGTTGCAGCGAGCTGAGACCACACCACTGCACTCCAGACTGGGCAACAGAGTGAGACGCCATCTCAAAAAAAAAAAAAAAAAAACAGAAAAAAAGAAAGTCTTGATACATGGTGTATGCTGCATGTATGTAAGTTACACTCAAAGAGTAAGTCCTCCCACCATAGCTGTTTTCAAGTTATTACCATTTCAAGATACTAACTCCTGTGAATAGGAGGGTGAAGTCTTTAAATTACAGGAAATTGCAATAAAAGCCTGAGGCAAAGATATTTCAAGGGTTTTGGTTAAACAAAAGACACATTGGCTGGCATGAACAAGAGGAATCCACTATTGAAACCATCTTAGTCAATGGCAGGAAGACAGTGTTATGAGTCTACTGGTTACAGAAAATCTTTGTTTTAAAAACTCAGGTTTATCGAATTAAAATTTATATATGCCAAAAGTCATCTTTTTAAGTATGCAGTGTGTTGAAAACATAGATGGTTATATAACAAATACCATCCTCAAGATATAGAACAGTAACATCACCTAGAAAAATTCCCTTTTGTGCCTTTTGAATCAGTATTTCTGCTGCCCTCAGTCTTTGGAAATCGCTGTTCTTTGTCCCTATGGTTTTATATTTTCTAGAATGTCATACACAAGGGAGCAAACAGCATCCTGAATAGGCCTTTAAATCTGGCTTTTAAAATAGCATAATAAATCTGAGACACATTCATGTTGTTATGTTATCAGATTTGTTTCTTTTTCTTCCTAATGTGATATTAAATAGATACAGTATATAACTTTTTGACTATTCACCAGTTTTTGAAATTATGAATCATATGGTTAAAGTCACCAACAGATATACATATGTATATTACATATATGTATAATAATGTATGTATATATAATATATGTATATATACATATATGTATATAGTATACATATAAATCAGTGGATTCTTCAATTTTTTTATTGTCAAAATGATTTTTCCATTATAATTCCTTTGCTTCTCTGTTGAAAGTTTTAGAATGAGCTTGTTTGTTAGTTGCAAATATCCTGTTAGGAATTTTAACTGGATTGAATTTTTGTATTGAATTTTTTGTTTGGTTTGAACAGAATTAATTTATTGTCAATATTGGCTACCAAGCTCTTTACTTATTTACTTCTTCTTTGATTTCTTTTACCAGTGTTTTTTTAGTTTTTGTTACCCTTTCTCCATGTTTTTTTAGATTAAGAATTTAATGTTTCTTGTGCTACTTTAAATGTAACTTTAAAAAATTCTAATTTCCAATTGTTCATTAATAGTGTTGTAAAGTAGCGGGTCCCCCACCAGGGAATTTAAGGGCATATGTTGACTGCTTGAGTCCTGAAGGCTAGATGGTGAGCAAAGTTCATGGTGCTCAGCCGAGGAGCAGATGTCCCTGAAAACCAAAACATCCGGGAGCATATCTAGGTACATACCAAGAAGAACAGTTTCATCACATGTAGTAAGCAAAGAGCCAGAAAAGTAGCTTTGGCCGGGCGCGGTGGCTCATGCCTGTAATCCCAGCACTTTGAGAGGCCAAGGCGGGCGGATCACGAGGTCAGGAAATCAAGACCATCCTGGCTAACGTGGTGAAACCCCGTCTCTACTAAAAATACAAAAGATTAGCCGGGCGTGGTGGAAGGCGCCTATAGTCCCAGCTACTCGGGAGGCTGAGGCAGGAGAATGGCGTGAACCTGGGAGGCGGAGCTTGCAGTGAGCCGAGATCCCGCCACTGCACTGCAGCCTGGGCGACAGAGCGAGACTCCGTCAAAGAAAAGAAAAGAAAAGAAGAAAGGAAAGGAAAGGAAAGGAAAGGAAAGGAAAGGAAAGGAAAGGAAAGGAAAGGAAAGGAAAGGAAAGGAAAGGAAAGGAAAGGAAAGGAAAGGAAAGGAAAGGAAAGGAAAGGAAAGGAAAGGAAACAGAAAAGAAAAGAAAAGAAAAAAGTAGCTTAAAAGCAGCTTAGAGGAAGATGGTGGGCAGCAGGCGGATCTCTGGAGTTATCCCGCTGCCCTTTACGTAAGTCCTAATAAACTCATCTTCTCATGAAGCTGGACTTGTCTGAGTCCTTCTTTGTTATTTCAGCACTATCTCTTTGGCAGAGGGATGTTCTTCTACACAGGTCTGGGTTTTTCCTGCAACAATTATATATAAAAAATAATTCTGTATATTAACATTATAGTGTTATAGTGCATAGTGTGAAATTACAAAACTCACAATTTATTTCTAGTAGCTTCACTTTTAATAATTTTAATTATTTTGTACTCACAATTTATTTCTAGCAGCTTCACTGCTAATAATTTTAATTATTTTGTACATAATGGAATACTGTGCATAGACCATCCACGAATCAAATAGAGTTTTATTTCTTCGTATCCAATTTGTATGCCTTTTGTTTATTTTTCTTACTTTAGTACACTGGTTAAAATTTCCAGTATACAGTTAAATAGTTCTTGAGGACAGGTTTCCTGTACTTCTTTTCTTCGTGCCTGTGTATAACGTATATTTAACTATATAATACATACAACACAACTATGTTTGTCTTCATATAATTTTTTACCTTTTTTTTAGTTTGTTTACGTAGCCCCTATATCTCTAGAAATGTTTCTTGGATTTACGATTTGATTGCCTTCACTTCTTTTGGAAAATTCTCATTCATTTTGTTTTTAAGTATTTATCATCCTTGTTCTCTTTCATGAATCCGTTCAAGTTAGGCATCCAGAGCTGTCCTTCAGCTCTTGGATGCCATGTTCTGCTATTTATCACTCTTCTTGTTTCTTACTTGTATTTGTTATTCAATTTCTATGTTTTTTATCTTCAACTTTACTGTTCCATTCTTTATTCATATCAAGTCTTCTGATGAATTACTTCATTGGTGTTTGCATTTTGAGGTAGATACAACAGTATATCTATTGAGACATTAATTAGTGCAATTAAACCGAAGTTTAACACATTTTAAGTAAAAATTTATCCCACTATCGCATAAAACTTGTGAAAGTTAAAGTCATCAGCACTTAATATTGTCTGTCATGCGAGGCAATCGGCACTCAAGTGGCAAATGCACTCATTTAACTCTAAATTGGTACTTTAGTTAATCTCTCATATTGATTTTTTAACCCTTAAACACTGGCAAAGAGAAGCATACACCTAAAGAGAGATTTTTTACATTATTGTTTATTTAGTTAGTTTTTAGAAACAAGGTCTCCTCTCTCTCCCAGGCTGGAGGGCTGTGGTGCAATCACAGCTCACTGCAGCCTCAAAATCCTGGGCCCAAGCATACCTCCCACCTCAGCCTCCCAAGTAGCTTGGATTACAAGTGCCTGCCTCAGTACCCGGCTACTTTTAAAACATTTTTTGATACACATAGAGTCTCAGTTTGCTGCTCAGGCTGGTCTCAAACTATTGGTCTCAAGCAATCCTCTTGCCTCAAGCTTCTGAAGTGCTGGGATTACAGGTTAACCAGGACACCTGGCCGAGAGGTTATTTTTTGTTGTTTTAATTTCTTTATTTAATAGTCTGTGTATTTAAATTTTGTTGACAATAATCTTAACAGCAACAATAGTATCTACTTGAAAGGTATGCATTCTATATATAATTCCTTAGATATAAATTTAAGTATAAATATTTGAAAACTCTTTAATTTTTTAATATTGTGTCCCATTTCTTAAAAAAGAGAGAAGCTATATTAACTTTTGAATTCAGTACACAGTTAACAGTTCTTTCATTTAATATGTGATAATATAAATTTAACAGTGAAACTTTCAAATACTCATATTAACTTACCCTGATAGATTTTATAGCTTTAATATAAAACTTCTCATAAATGTAAAATTTGACAAAGCACAATATTCTCCAGGAAGTTAGAAAAGTAATATAATTTTCTGTCTCTCAGAATGTGTTTTCTAACCTCTAAATATAAATTGATGGACTAATCTTTTAAAATTCAGAATCAAATATAATTGCTTTGGTTTGATCATTGAGAATTCTTTTTCCATTCCATCATTTTATAGTTTTTGCCTAAATAAAATACTTAAGGAAGTTATTGTTATGTTGTATTTGAAAGATGCCTGATGGAGAAACATTCATAGTTCTTTTCTATCCTTATGAAAGGTTATATGAAAACATATATATATGTATATATATAAACATGTGGATAAAGTACAGAAAATCCTATCATTGCCTCTGACTCAAATGGTAATCTTTAATATAAAGATTTGAAACTTTCATGGAACAGTATATCAGAACTTTATTTCCAATTTGTTTATGTATACTTAACGTATATCCTAAGTATCAAGAAATCACATTCAATTAACATATACATTATAAAACAATTCCTATATGATAATTCTAATAAGTAAACATGATTTTAGTGGTAGTAATTATTCAATCAAATATTCATATTTTAAAGATTAAATCTTCATATTTTAAAGCACATTACATCAGTTTACAATTCGATATTGACTACTGGATAGAATTTATCAATGAAATTTTGAATATGGCATGGTTAATGCAGATCATGTGAATTAAATTGCAAGGCAGAGAGCTTTTAAATTAAAAAAATAAGCTGGTTTATAAATCCAGTGCTAGACAGTTAATAAAAGCAATACATATAAATCTCCCAGACACCTCCCAATCTTGGTATTTTGAAATATTTTCCTCTTTTTAATATTATTTAAATAAAAAAATTATCTGCCTTTAAGCAACAAAACATGAACTCTTGGTAGAAAATTCACTAATTGACATAGGTATCTAGACTTATAAACCTGTAAAAAATGTGAAATAGAAGGCATAAAGTATTTGAGTCAATAAATTACTAACTAAATCTTTTTTTTTTTTTTTTTTTTTTTTTTGGGACGGAGTCTCGCTCTGTCGCCCAGGCTGGAGTGCAGTGGCGGGATCTCGGCTCACTGCAAGCTCCGCCTCCCGGGTTCACGCCATTCTCCTGCCTCAGCCTCCCAAGTAGCTGGGACTACAGGCGCCCGCCACTACGCCCGGCTAATTTTTTGTATTTTTAGTAGAGACGGGGTTTCACTGTTTTAGCCAGGATGGTCTCGATCTCCTGACCTCGTGATCCGCCCGCCTCGGCCTCCCAAAGCGCTGGGATTACAGGCGTGAGCCACCGCGCCCGGCCTTAACTAAATCTTTTGATTAAATCAGCTTTATAAAAAAAGTAAACGTAAACACATAAGTCTTTGTATAAGCACCCCTACATTTTTAAAAGTATATTTGCCTTTTCATAAACTCAGTTGAGTAGTGGTAACATTCATCATCACAACTTTTTAGAGGCAATGAAATTGATGTCATTTGAGGTCTTCATCTCATATTTATCTTTTATTTTCTTATTTTGTCATGTTTAGCAAAGGATAGTAAAAGTAGAGGATCATTCAACCCAGAAATACAGGGAAACTGATCCTTGTAAATAGCACCCTTTATAGACTAATGGATATTTTAAGAGCAAGATGTGCTAGAAAGGAAAATAAGGCAATCTCTTAATGCTGTGCCTTTTCTTCCATTACATTTTTAGATTATATATTATCCCTTGTTTATTGCTGTAGCTGGGGAAAATATTTTTATTGAAATAGATTGTTTTTTGAAGTTTGCTATATTAGGTAAAAATAAATACCAAACTTCTCTGTCTTCAGTTTAATAGAAAAAAAAAATCCCTTGTTACTCTGTTTCTGCCTTACTGTTAGTAGAAAGATTTATGATTAAGTAATTTTAGTAGGACAACATTAAGAACAAAAACATGAACCAAAATACTTTTTAAAATAAATATACACATTTTTACTATATATAGACACATATATAAAAGTATATATACATATATGTATATATGTGACTTCAATAACAGGAAAATAGATTTTCCAGATTAACAATCTAAACATCTCATCCATAACAAAAGGTTAGGCTCTATACCAATGCTTGAATGAAAACTGTAATATCATCCATTTAAAAAAATGCCAACACATGCATAATTTTAGGCTGTAAAAATGAAAATATTTCAGAATTGATTAACAAATGGTGGAAGTTAAAGTTGTCTCTTCCCGACCTGCACTTTGTTTTCTGTCTCTTGCCTTTTCTCACATTTTATTTTTCCTTCCTATCTCAACAATATACCCCACCTGCAGTGTGCCCAATGTGGACACATACCTGCTTTTTTCAGGCACTGTTTTGGACAACATTTCCCTACTGAGCATTAAATCACTTTTTCTTAAATACGTACTAAAGATTTCCATGGCTGAAAAGCTAGTTCCACATACATTAATAATCCTTGAAGAATTAAATCAGATACAACCTCTACATCAGCACAATATTTCAAGGTGGTAAGGGAGTGCTACTGCTGGGTTTGTCTTCACTTAATAACTTTATTAATGATGTGGATGAGTGAACAAATATGAAAAGAAAATTTATAGGTATTACATACGTAGATTCTGCAGAAACAAATAGGCTGGAAGGTAATGACTGTAGAATGACCTAGAGAGGTTAAAAAAAGAAAATAGTAGTCCAATATTATTCCACTTTTAAGTAAATGAGACCATTAAGCTCTTTAAAATAACCAGTAAATAAAAACTCAAAGCAATGATAGCTACATCAAAAAGTGAGGGAAGAGGGGAAATTATATGTTGCAATGTTACAGAGTACATTAAAGCATTCAGTATATTTCCTGAAAATTTCATAAGCACAGTTCTTAATGTTTATTCATAAATAAACAAAACCAAACCAAAAGCCATAGTTCATTTGTTTCTAACTAAGAGTACAAATTATTTATGCGGAAAAGTACATATAAGCTCACATAAATAACACGAATAATGTTTTCATTGTGAAGATATTCATAACGTTCAAATGACAAGGTCTTAGGAACTCTGCACCTTCATTAATTTTAATCAATATTTAACAATCAAGATTGTTTTCAATAAATCATGATCTAATAATGAAAGGGGGAAACTATTTGTTTTAACTTTCATTTCAGTTTTACCCTTTACTCACAAGTTGAAATTCATTCTCACTCTTTGCAAACTATTTTGAAACACTTCCAGGTAAAATTCATATAAATATTTTATTTTTCCTAATTTTTGGAAAAATTTTAGACTATTACAATCTGAGTTAATAGCCTAGTTCCTTTGTTGATCCAGTGTAAATAAATATTTCTCTTTTCTTGCTGTATTAAAAAACCCACAGTCTCTATAGCCAAGTCTATATCTATATCGATATCTATCTGTATCTGTATCTATCTATGTGTATCTCTATCGATGTATGCATACACAAATAATATCTGTGGAAGAATTTTTTTTCATGTAGTGTAATATCCACAGCTCTTCTACTTTAACCATAACTCAAGTTAATAACATTTTATTGTCTTTTGTTAGTTTTACCTGGAAAAGAAAGCACATCATATACAATATTATAAAATAGAAATAAAACTAAATATAGCGTTTTAGAAGGTAACAAAGTTTTATGTTTAAGGATATTAAATAAAATCTATTTCTTCCAGTATATTTTTTCACAATCTGTCTTAAATGGAATCTTCAGATATCTTAACAAGTTGACTACTAGATTTTGTAGTGTATTCCAATCAGATATCTATCTGAGGCCACTCTTTTTTTTAATAATCTAGGCTTCTGTAGACAATGTGGAAACATTTTTAAAATGATGACGCCCTCCTTTTCCTTCGTAGCTAAATTAGTACACAAAATTCTAAATATTTCCTTAGTTTTAATAATAATAAAGCAATATAAGATTCACCCTCTGTATTCAATTCTTTGTTACCAATTCTGCTACAATGAGAATTTTTGAAATTCTTAGTTATAACCTTTATTTTTGATAATTGCATTTAAAATGCAATGATAAAGCAAATAATTAAAATGCTAGGAATAAAATTGTCCTTTATTAGTTTATCATAAAGTTCCATAAATTTCAGCTCTCCTTGATTTCTCACTATTCTAGTTCATCAATTTTGTAATTAATCATTAAACATTATTCTTTCTCTATATTAAAAATATTAGCAATTAAAAAATCCCTATTTAATATTATATTCATTGTTTTAGTTTGATGCTTTTTTTTTTTAGTGATATGTACAGAAGACAAAAAAATGATGTGCAGCCTTTGTGTTCCATTTATTGTTGCGTAAAATAAAATTTCATCAATCTTGGATAAAAATTCTTAGGCCTATGATTATATTTGAAGGAAACACTAACTTCTGACATGATTATTTAGAACACACATTTTCTTAACTTGTCTTCCATTTTAGTGGAGCTATAAATAGCTTTGGGAAATTTTTCTGCTTTGCTGTTAATTTAACTCAGTAGATTTATTGAAATTTTAAGACACCACGTTACGCAAGATTTAGGGTATGTGACTACTCTTTCCTCCTGTGTGGAGGTCGACATTGCCACAGTCTAATATCATAGTTCCCCTAAGTGGTCCCCTCCCAGAAGTGAGTTGCAAGTTCCTGCTGACTTTCAGAATTATTTCTCCATGTTTATGTCATTTTGATGCAAGAGAGGTCAATACACAGGTATGTCATCAAAATAATATTTAGACTATGTCATTCCCACAAAAAACAACTTATATGCCATGTTTTACTCACTACCAAAGTCTTGTTGAATACTACTTGTTTCATTCCTCTAGCCAGGAGACAACCTGGCAGGTATACTGCCTGAGCACCAAGAAGTTATCATATAATTTGCGTTTCACTGACCTCTCTTACCTTGTCAAATTACCCACAATAATTTTGGTAAAGTTGCATCTAACTTGGTATGGACTAAAAATACTTGCGTCGCCCCCAAAATTTGTATGTTAAAACCCTAATTCCACTGAGATGATATTTGGAAACAGGGCCTTTGGGAAATAATTAGGTCATGAGTCTCTCTCTCTCTTTCTCTCTCTCTCTCTCTCTCTCTCTCTCTGTCTGGTCTCTCTCTCTGTCTCTTTATGAGGACATGACAAGGAATGGAGGTTTTACCTGTAACCATTGACTGGCACCTTTATCTTGGACTCTCAGCCTCCAGAACTCCGAGAAGTAAATTTCTATTGTTTAAACCAGTCAGTGTATGTTGTTTTTGTTGTTGTTATAGCAGCTTGAATTAAGACACAATTTTCCTAAAACTTAAAAATGTCGGATTGGTGGATAAAATTGTATTTCATTGTGCTTTTTTCTTCAAGCCTTATACCTCTGACTCCAAACTCATAGTAACCAGTGTAAGACATGGTAGAATCTTTCCACTAGTGCTTGGGACACTATTTATAGTATCTACCCAATCTAATTTTAATGAAAAAGTTGAAGGTTGGTATAAAAAAATGTTTATCATCTAGGAGTTCCAGGCTCAATTCAACATACTTGTGATGGTCTCATGTAGTAGCAGTGACAGTCAACTACAAATGGTGCCTGAACAGGGACATTTCAGAGACTATCAGGGACATACAGAGACCTGAAAGGACCTGGAGGGACCTGAAGAGGTCTGCAGGGATAAACAGAGATAAGTAGAGGTAAGTAGAGAAAAGTAAGTAGAGATAAGTAAGTAGAGAAAAGTAGAGATAGGTAGGGAAAGACGGGGACTTGCAGGAACTTGCAGGAACTAACAGGTACCATAGGGACAGACAGAGACAGATAGGAATAGATAAAGACTAGCAATATAAGGTCAGTGCCCTGAAGAGGTACTGGTCTGCGTCCTAAAGAGGTACAAAAGTAGAGACTAGCAAAGACTAGGAGAGATTTGGAGGAACAGACAGGGACAGATAGGGACAGATAGGGTCCTATAGGACTAGAGCGAGGAAGGTCTGCTGGAACAGAAAAAAACTAAAACCAACTAGATGAACGAGAAAGCCCATTACAACTCTGTTGGCAGCGACATAAGGTTAGTGCTCTAAAAAGGTACCGGTCAGTGCCCTAGAGGTACAAAGAATGGGAAGTTTTTAAAACAGGGAAACGAGGAAGAATTTGGCTATTTCTTTTCTCTTTTTTGTTTGTTTGGAGTTTTGGTATGTACCATCTTTTTGTTATTTAGAATTTTTTGCCCCACCTACAGTGCCTATCGAAAATGGTGAACAGAAGAGGGAGAATGAAAATTGCCTTGTATCGTCTTCTTTGGTGGCTACAGAAAGGCTAACTTTAGCTTTGGCTTTCATGGATTGTAAACGTGCACTGGCACCTGTGAGATGTGCAGAGGACTTGGGAGGCTTTCTCAGAGCTTGTCAAGATGTGGGAACTGAGCTTCATTGCTCTGCAGTATTGACTCAGGCAATAGCAAATTTGGTGGCTGACAGATCTAAAAGAAGCCAAGGGTCAAGCCCTAAAGTGGGAAAGTGTCATAAGTGTAGAAAACTTGGACGTTTCAAAAGAGAATGCCGTCAGACCTCTGTGAACAAGAGATCTTGTAACATAGTCCCCCTCTTAACAGAAAAAAAATGCCGGACTTTGCCCTCGATGCAATAAAGGAAATCATTGGGCTAATCAACACCACTCAAAATTTCATCAAAACGGCACCCCCCTGTTGGGAAGCAAGAAGGGGGCCTGGACCCGGGCACCTCAAACTATGAGGGCGTTCCCTGTCCAGGCCACAACTCCGTTTCAGGGATGGGTTTCCAGAGGCACATGGATTCCCTCTCCCCAGGAACACCTGGAAACGCAGGATTAGATCTCCCAGAGAACCAATTACATTAAATGAAAGAAACAAACTCACTAAGATTCACATTGGTATTTGGGGATCTTTGCCAACAAGATACATGGGATTGATTTTGGTAAAAGCTGTCTTAACTTACAGGCCCAGGAGTTGTTGATTTTGATTGTGAAGGAGAAATTCAGGTAGTGGTAATGTCACAAGATCTTTGAGTTTTTGAACTGGGACAATACGTTGCTCAATTTTCGCTTCTTCCCTGTAAATTGTACCCTTCTCCACATAAGAAGAAGCGAGGTGGTCAGGGATTTGGAAGTGCAACTAGGAGAGAGATTTATCTATCACCACCCATAGCATCTAGTGGACCCACCTGTACAGTGCAAATTGAAGGTTTAAGGATTGCTTTTTGCTATACTGTTTTACGAGAAGGATAAGCCTCGATTTGCTTTCTCTGTGCCGTGTGTTAATCAGAAAGAGCCTGCTTCTTGTTCTCAGTGGAAAGTTTTACCCCACGGCAATTAACCAAAGAGGCAGAAGCTGAGTTACAAATGTTTCAGTAATGGCTTGCCTCCCGGCTACAGCAAAAAAAAATAAAAAATAAATAAAAAAGAAAACACTTTTGATTCTGTTTGGTAGATTTACTAACGTGGGGACGAGGGTATACTTACGTCTTTGCAGAAGATGAACAAACCGAGTGGGTGCTCCCAAGGTGTGTACGACCGTTGAACAGGAGACTGGAGGGACCCATGGATCCCAACCATGGACCTTGTTCCCCCAGTATGAACCATGAACCAGTTGAATCTGAATGCAAAGATGGAATGAGGACCACTAGAAGCAGGGAGCTCTCTTCTTCCCCATGCTAGCCTTTCCTTAAAACAGTTTCTTTTGTTTTTTGTTACCATTTCTATGTTCGTCTCTTCATTCAGTCTAGTAATGACGGTCTCAAGTAGTAACCGTGGCAGTCAGCCACACTTAAATCTTAATGCTTTTGAATTCTAGAAGGAACTCAAAAAGAGACAAACAAGTCAGTCATAGTAGTAATACATGGAGAATGAATTGTGAAATCTAAGAGACTGAATATCATGTCAAGCATAAGCTTTTTCAAAGCAATTAAACTGGGCTTTTGATGACATTACTTAGACTTTCCAGACAAAATGTGTAACAATACAGCTAATTTTAATAAAATGACTTTGAAATCCCCAAACTCAAATATAATCTCATGAAGTAATTGTTTGTGATAACACCTTAATATGTTTTATACCATCATTATGAAAAACAGTGCAAGAGAAAGGAGAAAAAATTCTTTATTGTGAGTTAAAAACTTTGAAACCTAAGTCAATCATTTTTATTGTTTCAAGAAATATTTCCCCACGGCTACTTTAGTAGCAAAATCAAAGTCAGGAGAGCCCAGGCTTCTGTAAACAAAGTTTAATTGTATCCCCTCCCCCTTTCTTCTCTGTCTCATAATTTTCTCAGTACTTTTTAAGGAGCGAGAGGCATCCCCATGAATGACACTGTTATAGGTTCTAAGGCAGAGGATGTGATGATGATGATCTTTGGGAAACGGTGAGGTGAATGTTGTCCACGAAGCTGCTTTCTAGTAGGGTGTCTGTGGGAAACTATACCCTTTCTGTGGGGTCTTCTGAATGTAGCTAATACTATTTTTGTTTGGGCTGGAAGTTTTTTATTATTATTGTTTTTACACTTTAAGTTCTAGAGTACATGTGCATAACGTGCAGGTTTGTTACATATGTATATATGTGCCGTGTTGGTTTGCTGCACCCATTAACTCATCATTTACATTAGGTATTTCCTCTAATGCTATCCCTCCCCCATCCCTCCACCCTACGACAGGCCCCTGTGTGTGATGTTCCCCGCCCTGTGTCCAAGTGTTCTCATTGTTCAATTCCCACCTGTGAGTGAGAACATGCGGTGTTTGGTTTTCTGTCCTTGTGATATTTTGCTGAGAATGCTGGTTTCCAGCTTCATCCAAGTCACTACAAAGGACATGAGCTCATCCTTTTTTATGGCTGCATAGTATTCCGTGGTATACATGTGCCAGATTTTCTTAATCCAGGCTATCCTTGACGGACATTTGGGTTGGTTCCAAGTCTTTGCTATTGTGAATAGTGCCTCAATAAACATATATGTGCATGTGTCTTTATAGTAGCATGATTTATAATCCTTTGGGTATATACCCAGTAATGGGATGGCTGGGTCAAATGGTATTTCTAGTTCTAGATCCTTGAGGAATCGTCACACTGTCTTCCACAATGTTTGAACTAGTTTACACTCCCACCAACAGTGTAAAAGTGTTCCTATTTCTCCACATCCTCTCCAGCACCTGTTGTTTCCTGACTTTTTAATGATCGCCATTCTAACTGGTGTGAGATGCTATCTCATTGTAGTTTTGATTTGCATTTCTCTGATGACCAGAGATGATGAGCCCTGTTAAGTTCTATCCTCTCCATATGTCCATGGGGCTGTTGGAAATATTCTTTTTCTGGGCTTCATGCTGTGCCCAGAGCATTTCCTTTTTCCTTCTCCTTTTTAAGGCAAGGATGCATCTGTTTTCATAAGGTTTGTGATAAAACAACACTCAAGTTTTGCAAGTTACATGATTGTCATCATCATCGCACTAATTTTTTGTGAAATATGCATTTTAATTACTTCCAAGAGGGTTTATTTCTAATGAAAAAAATTAAACAATAAATAATTTTAGACTTACCCCATGCAAGAAATGACAAATTCACTGAAGCAAACATGTTTAGGCTACACTGTATGCAATCTACAAATTGCCTGCTCAGTCTCAGTTTCTTGCATATATTTCTCATACATCTAAATGTTAATTTCCACACTTCTGTCTCTCTGAATCCCTGGCAAATGGCAATGGCTAGTGACTTTGCATTCACCTATCAGAAAAACATGAATCCGGACACACTTCCGGGAGCGTGGGACGTGGTAGGAATTTACTGGATAATAGGAACTGATATGTTATTTTGAGAGTGCTAAAATTCTCCCAGTGAATGTAACTTTGCCTATATTTTATATAACTTATTGGTTTTGGTTTGATAATTAAAAATATCAAAATTATCCTGGGGCAGGAGCCAAGGATGGTATTATACAGTGAGAAGTGAGTCCCACATGTCAGTCTTGTCATTTTCTTCCTCAGATAAAGTGCAGAATTTTGTCATCAGTAATATGAAAGAGAGATTTTACAGAAAAATTGCCAATTTTTGTCCATGAAGATGAGGGCAATATGCTAAGTATCAACGGACTAAAAGATGGCATATATTTTTTAGTGGGACATCCATGCAAGACTGCATTTCTTACCTGTTGACTATTACAGTAAATAGAAAATAATTATTTTAATTAAGCGACTACAATTTAGGGCATTTGTTGTAGAGATTTACAAATGTTTCACATTGCTTGACTTCAGGGGGCGCCATTTTTACATCATCCATTTCTAATAGCATGGCCAAGAGTATACTCCAAGTAACAAATGAGGTATAGCATATGAGACAAAGTAGAAACACTTAAAGGGTTAAAGAAATTTTCACCCGTATCTCTATGATGCAAAGTAAAGCAAAAGACAAAGAAACAAGCAAAAAAGAACAAGTGGTCGCCAAGCTGGACTGCAGTGATAAAACCATGGCTCACTGCAAACTCCGCTTTCTGAGCTCAGGCAATCCTCCCACCTCAGCCTCATGAGTAGCTGGGACCACAGGTGCCCACCACCACTCCTGGCTAATTTTTGGGTTTTTAGTAGAGACAGATTTTTGCCACATTGGCCGGGTGGGTCCCAAACTCCTGAGCTCAAGCAATCCACCCACTTCGGCCTCCCAAAGTGTTGAGATTACAGGCATAAGCCACCACACCCGGCCGCTGCATTTTTTTTTAATGGGAAATAACAAGCATATTCATTACATATAAAATGATATATTTAGAAATTTTGTAGGCTTTATAAATTCTGTTGGATAATGGAAAATTTTTTATTGTATTTTTTGTGTATGAGAACATAATGTTATAAAGTAAAATGTACATAGAGGGAAATGGGATTGTGAGGATAGTAACCATAGGTGAGGAGATGGATGAAAGAAAGGTCTTACACTGCTGTAAGGAGCTGTTACTATATCTTCTTCATATTTTTATAAAACATATCTTATTAGAAGACTTAAGTTACTTATTTTTTTCTTGTATGTATATATTCACCTCCATTTTGAAGGCTATTAGTCTGGGAAACCTACAAGAACATTGCCGTAGGGAAGCTCAAGTATGTTAACAACAACAAAAATAGTTCTGTGAATGCCTTTACATAATATAAGGTCTACATATTCTCTCTAGATCTGTGCGCCGTAAGACTGGATTTTGAAAAGCTGAGGCATAGACTGATAGCTCTTTACCACACTTGTTTTTTCTTCTTTCTGGATACATAGCTTGGCTATATTTCCATGCAACTGTGTCCCGGTTAATGTGTACCACTTTTAGAGGGTGGTACATATAAATGTTTCTTCCAGTTCTTTCAACATGTGTCATTTGAAAAAGGAGAACTCTGAAGCCCTCTAGGAAGTTGGAGCTACAATACTGGAGGCCAGTTTCCTGAATTACTCCCTGGTAAAAGCCACCCAGACAAGAAATGCCTTTATTTGAATGTTATTAATGAGAAACACATTTTAAACTTTCAGCCACTTTAACTTTGAGGATTGTTTGTTAAAACAGCTGGTGTTACCCAAACTGTTATAGGAGTCTACTAAATATCATTTCATTTTTTTCCCTTCTCAAACTCAGAATGAATTGGGAGATAGCCGTGGGCATTAAAACTGTTTCAAGAAGTGCAACTTAGCGTTCAGGGCTGACCTCATGAGCTTCCAGAGACATCAGAGTAAGTGACCCTTATTCTAGTTTCGAAGCTCTGTTCTAGTTCTAAGCATGCAAATAAATTTTAAGCAGGATTTCTTAGCCTGCAGGAGCTGAGGATGATTAATAAGTCCTGCTGTTATGCATAAATGCACTGACCTATACTGTGCCCTTCAGTCAAATTGTATATTGTTTAATCGTGATAAATGAAGTGCACCAGGCACAGATAAGCTAGTCCCTGGAGTATGTCCAGATACACCTGAAAGAAGAATGACTCAAGCTGGGTGTGTAAAGCTACACTTTGGAGGATAGAGCTTCCCACAGGTGCAATGGAACTCTCACTTCTCACTTGCTCAGAAATTATGATCTGCAGTGTGAGTCTCCCCTGGTAAGGAAACGTGTCCAGCTCCTTGAAACATGTTCTAGAGAACAGCATTCATTACCCTCCCATGAACTTAAACATGCTTCTTGGCTCCTGTGCATTTTAGGTAAGTAAGCTTTGATTTCCCCAGGTGGTGTCGGTGTCTAGTCTTTTCATAAACTTGCACTTACTATTAACATGGAGAGGACATCCACAGGCCGAGATACATTGCCATGTCTTGCATTAAAAGCAAATGAACCTGAAGTTTTTTTGTAAACAACTTACGAAGTTTCATTTGATTTGATTTGATTTTTAATAATTCCCTGAATTGCTGTGATAATTAGAGTAGTGAATTCATTTCTGGTATGTTTTAAAAGTAATTCAAGGAAAATAATTTTGCAGAATCCTGATTTAGATAATATGAAGAGTGAATAGGAAAATGATGAAATTGTTGCTGCTTTTTACAGAGGCTTAGAATCATGGAAATCATTTGCTTTCAGGTATAAAAGGGAATAATTTCATTTTCTACTTTTTACTTTAAATTTCTGTTATCTATGTCTACATGCTTCTGTCCATTTCTTCATAGTTTGTTTTTTAAATAATATGCTTCTACCATTCTCTGAAAGCTATTTTAATTTTTCAGCTTGAATATAAATTGGTTGATACTGGCTGCAAATTATTTTTGGTATTCTAATTTGTCTATTTTTCTTTTTCTTGAAATGGAATAAATAAGCTTCACACACACACACACACACACACACACACACACACACACACACACAAAAACCCTAAACAAACAAAAAAAATCACACAGCACCAGCAAACTACTAGGATTTACTGTAGGATAAAAGCTCTACATGGCCCTGCATACAAACTTTCTGCATACTTCTGCAAATTTTTATGCATTACTCAATCCATTAAAAATCACCTTGGAAGAAACTGCAAACACAATAGAAACTAAATGAGATAGTCACAGAGAACAACAAAAATAGTAATTTAAGCTCCCATACAACATCAAGTGTGTTCAGTCTATTTTTGGTTCTTCGGGTTCTCTTTAAAATTGAATTGAGTTTGTATATGCATATGTATGTAGGAGTGGAGGATGGAATTAATTATCCCAAACATCCTACACTCACTCCTCTAATATTTCTTTTGTTAACATGCAAATCTGTTCTCTTCATTACGGTGATACTGCATTTACATTACAACACAATTAGAGATCATTAACTTTCTCCTTTATAATCAGCCATTTTCACAGGCCTTTGATATACAAGCACCTATAATATATTCTTACTCATCTCACACTTTCATTTACCAAAGTGTCAAAACAACATTTTTACATCATTGATATTTGTTTTAGTTTCTGCAAGCTGGCTGTTAGAAGATGATTACTTCTCTTAAATTACCTCTTACCCTCATCTTGCTATCTTTTTAAAAGGAAAGAAAAAGCACTATAAAAATCAGACACTTTGGGTTCTGAACCTTTTATTTTGTGTGAAAAGATACTTATTTATGTATGCTAAATCACACTGATGCGGAAGACAAACTGGCTCTTCGTTATTTTTTTTTTGGCACTTTATAGAGGAAATGTGTGGAGAACAGATCTTTCCTAAGGTATTATATTCATGTGCCTTAAAGATTAAGAATACTCAATGCGCCAAGAAGTGCTATATACCAGAAAAGTTTGTATCAATTAATGTATCTAAATTAAGTTAAAGTTTCTTTCAATTTAATGTGCTTGCAGATGTAAAATTGCATGTTTAAGTTTTGCAGTTATGTACTAAATCTGGTGCTACACTTCTAATGTCTAAGGTTTTATTCAATTTCAATTTATTTGTTTTATAGTTTGCCAGAATGTGCTTATGAAAGGCACTCTCAGTCATAAAAATAAATTGTAAGCAGACTGGCACGTAACTATTTTTTTAAATAATAAACTTTCTGATTTTAGAGACTTGTATTCTTTTATAGGTCCTGGTTCTCTTTCACTCTCTGACCTATAAGAACCCATACAGCGTGCATTGCTGTGTATGGAAAAGCAGTAAAGGGAAGTACAGCCACCTTTTAGGTCCCATGAATAGCAAAATCTCTTTGACTAATCTCTTGTTTCAGGGTACGTCCACTCCTTGTTTAAAGAATGTAACTGGCTGGGCTTGGTGGCTCACTCCTGTAATCCCAGCACTTTGGGAAGCCAAGGTGGGCAGATTACAAGGTCAGGAGTTTAAGACCAGCCTGGCCAATATGGTGAAACCCCATCTCTACTAAAAATACAAAAATTAGTCGGCCGTGATGGTGGGTGCCTGTAGTCTCAGCTACTCAGGAGGCTGACTCAGGAGAATTGCTTGAACCCAGGAGGCAGAGGTTGCAGTGAGCCAAGATTGTGCCACTGCACTCCAGCCTAGGGGACAGAGCGAGACTCTGTCTCAAAAAAAAAAAAAAAAAAAAAAAAAAAAAAAAAAAAAAAAGAATGTAACCACACTCAATAGTCACTAGCACATTGTTCTGAATAGACTATATACTGAAAGATATCTGCTGGATATAGAATGACCTCAGGAAAAAGTCTAGACACTATAATCCATCTCACTTGCCAGCATTTAGCGACCTTTCAGCTTCATTACTGACTTTCACCCAGTGTCCCTCAGGTGAGTGACTTGAGTCCTCTTTCATAATATTTGGCAGGAGAAAAGATGAGGTCATTGCTCCATCAATCCCGTCATGTCATGTCTGCTCATGTGTCATAGCTTATAAATAGTCACATGGTTCTGTCCAAGTGCAAGGGGGGCATTGCAGGTAGAGGTCCGTCTCCATGTGCCTTGAAAAGAAAATAACCAAATATCAGGGGAAAACAATAATATGAGCCATAGTGCCTGATATATACTATGACATCATAGAGATTTAATGAGTATTAATCAGGATTCAATGGCTGCAGGAGACAAACAGTTTCACAAACGAGGGCAATTAACTGGCTCATAGGCAATATCTCAAGAAAGGTGGGGTATTGTTATACTTCATGTGTTGCAGAAACATAGATGCTCCAATTTTACATGTTCTTTCTGTGTATGTAACATTCTTTGCCTTCTGGGTCTCAGCTTTATCTCTCAGGTTAACGTCTGTCACAGCTGTAGAGATAGTCACTGTCAATTCCTAGTTTCACAGTCTCCCATTTTCCAACGGAGTCTTACTCTTTCTTTGTTTCCAGTTCAAATGTATTATTGAAGAATCCTGGTTCTTAATTTAGCTTCGGGACCTATTGAATCAGTCTGTGGAAGCTGGAATAATATGATTAGGGCAGCAGAAATGAAGAATGCTTCTTTAGACCAATCACTATGTCCATGAGGCAGACTAAGGACTACATGACCCTAATAAATTCTAATTTCTAGAGCTTCTTATCTGGATCCTGAAGCAGTTTCGGCCTTTATACTATGAGAGACTGAATACACTAACAGACAATGGTGGTTCCACACACAGAAAATCAACTCTGACCTCTGCAGCAACCAGTCTGCAGCAATTGGTCCAAATGCTTAGGAATTGGTGGGTAACTTCCAGCTTCCCTAAGTGTTTCCCTCCAGCTTCCAATTTAGAACCAACCAGAGAATGCTAATTATGCAGCTTCACCCATCAAATAGGATGTTTTGCTTCTAGTTATCCAACCTTTAGATTCCCCATGACAATAATTTCCAACCAGGGCATTCCTGCAGCCTTCTGGTTTTCCCACGATAAAGCTTTCTCACTGCCTGCCTGCCTTTGATTCGTTGCCATATTGCAAGTGATGGTGGCCAACTCCCTGGCTACAGCAAGCTCTGACTGAATAACCTGTATTTCTTTTCATTTGAGCAGTCTTAGCTTATTTTTATAACTATTGAGGAAACGTTGTAGCAACCCTTACACTAAATGAACTTAATTATGCCAAACCTTTACTTACTACTTAAACAAATACTCTTCCAGACAATGTTACCAAACAGTGTCCCCTTTGTTGTGAAATCTTGTAGATACTGTTTAATTAGTAGAATCCTCTTACTTTCTTTTCCCTGTCAGTTTTACAGTATCCAACTGGTCCCGTGTATGATAGAAAACATTTCTATAAGGTAACACAGTATATTTCAACCCACACTATTACTATTGATGAGATTACTTTGCTATTCACATCTCATAACATTAGCAAAAATGCACAAATCTTAAACTGCCTTCTTTTTCCCCTCCAGGATGAAGGACAACCACATATTTAGCTGACAGTGATTCAAACTCTCATCTTGTCCAAAACTGACTTAAATGGCATAACTTTAATTAACTCTGATCTTACATTATCTGTTGACAGTTTTCACCTAGAATAGAGAAAATTAACCTTGTTTTGGATATTCTCTTATCTCTGAAGACTCCATCTGCCTGGGTTGCTGAATCAATTTTTGTAACTGGAACTCACAATCCAGCCTGAGGCAAAAAGTGAAGAGTATATGAGAGAGAGAACATTTATGTAGATAGTAGACAAGCACTAGAAATTGTGCATGATTTTGGAATGAAGGGCTCTTAGGTTCATTTTCGACTCTTAGCTGCAAGTATAGAAATTAAAAAGAAAATTAATGTTTTATCTGACTCCTTAAGAAATTATAAGTTAATTTAAACATATCTACTCCAGTGAAATAGAAATGAAATCTAAAGTTAATTCTCAGGCATATTGCTTTGCAAGAAATGCTCCTCTTCATAGAAAGCTGCCCAAGTAAACAAAATACTCCCTTACTGTAAACATTTATTCCTCTTTATGAAAAGTTACTTGTAAAAGAATTTTAACTAGGTATTGAGATTTATTTGACAGTTCAATGATAGCCACTCGGTGGCTCCTAAATCCGTACAAATAACATTAGCAATCACACTGTGTGGATCTACCTAAAATACTAAAGGTAACTCAGAATCAGTGTTACTAAGATATCGTGGATGAGTTTGTCTAGAGAAGAGCAAGCATGCCTTATCTGGAAATTCTGTAACCACCACAATGCTGATTAATCTGTAAAAGTGGGTCAAAACTTTCAACCACTATCACAGGAACTTTAACCCCCTATAAATGGACATTGTACAAATACCTTAGTCCCAAGGAAACCAATATGTCCTGGAGATTGTTTGTGAATGTCCCTAGTGGAGCAAAGCCTAAGTATAAAAATCTTTTTGGTGTGTTTTCCCCACCTGGGATCTCCTGTCAACCCTGTCAGCTGAAGGAAGGGCTCATTTTACAAGGAAGTGTTTTTGACGATTTTGCATGGTTGTCTTTATCTCTAAAGCATAATTACACTTATAATCTGAAAAGTATATAAAAGATAGAGATATTAAGTTGTTTGTTAAAAATAAGTAATCTGAATGTTCAGAATGACTTCATCTCCCTTGTTCTATAGTGCTTCTTTCAGTGTTACTAGCCATGTGATCCTCAGCTTTAAATCTTACAGGCTTTTTCTTGTGAAGTGGTAACTGTAAGAACCATGAACTTGGATCTAGTTACTACATTCACCAATTCTTCATTTTGTGGTAGTTGTTGTTATTTTTCTTTATGAGACAGGGTCCTGCTCTGTTGCCCAGGCTGATGTACAGTGGCATGATCACGGCTCATTGCAGCCTTGAACTCCTGGGCTCAAGCAATCCTCCAACCTCAGCCTTCTGAGTAGCTGGAACTACAGGCATGCACCACCATACCTCACCATTTTCTTTTTTTGTATATATACATTTTTTTTTTCGGTAGAGAATCAGTTCTTCATTATTAAGTTTATAAAATACCAGCCAGAGGCCAGGCGCAGTGGCTCACGCCTATAATCACAGCATTTTGGGAGGCTGAGGCAGATGGATCACTTGAGGCCAGGAGTTCAAGACCAACCTAGACAACATGGTAAAATCCTGTCTCTACTAAAAATACAAAAAAATTACAAAAAATTAGCCAGGCATGGTAGTGCCTGCCTGTAGTCCCAGCTACTTGGGTGGCTGGGGCATGAGAATTGCCTGAACCCAGAAGTCAGAGGTTGCAGTGAGCCGAGATCATGTCACTGCACTCCAGCCTGGATGACAGAGAGAGAAGCTCTCAAAAAAATAAAAATAAAAATACAGCCAGAGATCGATTTAACTGTTAACTATTATTTGATGTAATTAGCTACATACCTATCATATAATTAAAATTCAGTATTGAGATGGTTGTCATAGGGACACTTCAAACAAGATTAAGTTTATTTTAAAAGTGAATTGAGAGATTTTACTTTATAAAAAAAAAACCAGTTTGGTTAGTTTGCCATTTAGGCTTCTAATTTTGATCTGAGGCCTGCTAACCCTGGAGATTACACAAAGACTTTGTGAGGCGTACTGCGGCCAGGCAAAGACTTTTAAAGAACAGGTTTCCAGGTGTCACATTCGAATACTTCTTTCATCATTCTTGCTGTCCCTCTTTCATTTCTTCTTTTTCAAAAGAATTCTTCTCCCACAATGTTTCTTTTTTTAAAAGAGAAAAATATATCTCCACTTTTTTTAACTTTACCTTGGTGCTTTGTCTCCAGGTGTTGAAATTTCCAGGATGCAAAACGAAGGGGCAATTCAAAACATTCATCTCCACTTCTCAAAAGTAAGTCACCTTGATGACTGGGTAACAAAATCTTGCTAATCATTTGTGTTTTTTGTTTTGTTTTGTTTTGTTTTAGATTTTTAATTACTTTTAAAAATTTGAAGAAATACCTAGTTGAATTGTCAATGGACACCTGCAATTTTTGTTGTCATTCTTCAAAGGAGTTCAAAGAATCAAATGTCATTGTTATAACAAAGCCCTTCCAATCCTATCCACTTATTTCTGAGAACAAGATTTCTCAGTTCTTAGATCTTATAAAAATAATGATATAGGAATAAGAATGATGTGGAACCTGCCACCTTCTAGCAATAAAAAAGGTTCATTTATAAAAACATGAATTTATAGGCAAAACATTAGGAGGTAAATTTCAAAAAACGCTTTTGCAAATAATTAAATTTTAAAATCTGTCACATGTTTATGTTTTAATTCAACTTTTAATAAAATTTGAATGTATGGAGGCATTTTTTATTTTTTCCTCCTTATCACTCTGGGCCATAAAGCTCCACTTCTTTCAGAACATGTGCATGAGATATTTATACAGCTCTTCAGCTAAGGTTACTAATATGCAGCCCTGTGATGCCACCAGTTATAATTCTATTACTGCATTATTACTCTTTCAATTAAAAAGAAATAGTAGAAAAAACAAAGCAAACAAACAAACAAAAGGCAAAATAATTGCATTTCAGAGGATGTCTGTTCCCGTGTAAGTTGCGCCTGTCCTTGCTTCAAGGGGAGTGGGTTACTTTTTTTTAAGTTTTTATATTTTCAAGATTTGGGGTTTGATACAACCATTTTTTTTTTAACTTTAAATTCTGGGATACATGTGCTAAACGTGCAATTGTGTCACATAGGTATACATGTACCATGGTGGTTTGCTGTACCTATCAACCTGTCATCTAGGTTTTAAGCCCCACATGCATTAGGTATTTGTCCTAATGCTCTCCCTCCCCTTGCCCCCCACCCCCCGACAGGCCTTGGTGTGTGATGTTCCCCTCCCTGTGACCATTTGTTCTCATTGTTCAGCTCCCACTTATGAGTGAGAACATGTGCTGTTTGGTTTTCTGTTCCTGTGTTAGTTTGTTGAGAATGATGGTTTCCAGCTTCATTCATGTCCCTGCAAAAGACATGAATTCTTTCTTTTTTATGGCTGCATAGTATTCCATGGTATATATGTGTCACATTTTCTTTATCCAGTCTATCAATTGATGGGCATTTGGACAACCATATTTTTTGTTGAGTTTTGTTTCTTTAGTGGCTTAGCCATCTCTGCTGGTTTTAGTTAGTTCCAGCTGAGTCAATGGCTCATCTTAGACTGCATTTCTACCACCAACCTCTGCAAGGAAATACTCCATAGGACTTCTGGCCTAGACCTGAGGTTGCCATGGATTCATATTGAGCAAGTGAGTTCCATGTACACATCCCAGTCTTTCCTCAAGTAGCCTGCACGCCCTGTCTCCACCCTCAGTTTAAGAACACCAATGAGGTTTTTGAGATGTTCTTCTTACTTTCTGCCAAAGCAAGATATCTGATAGAAGGAGAAACCCTGTATTGACTCCCTGGCTTTTTGTTTATTCCAAAATTATGCTCTGTCTGGCTGACACATTGTGAAATTTAAGGGGAAAATTAGACCTTTTCCTCATTTCACTTTCATTGTTTTTTTTTTTTAAATCTATTGTGTATTTCATTCATTTTGGGGGGGGAACAAATTCTACAAACTGCTTTAATATTGTCCTTTTTTTCTAATATTCACATTAACTTTTTATGTAAAACATACCAATGCTTTTAATAAAGCTTACATAGGAATAAACTATTATAGACCTGCATAGATATAAGTACACATGTATTAATCTACACTAAAATAATGGATTTTATTCTGCAAAGACTCCAAGTTGCTCCTGGGTGCTAAGTGAAGCACTTAGGGAAATGTGTTCAGTCTTTGAGGTCATAGGAACATTAGATTATATCAAAGGAAACCTGGAGCCATCAGCTAAGTGGCCCTTCTGTCCTGTAGATACATAAAAACTAATGTGCTCCGCTATGCGGCTCACTTTCTGCTATTAGATACTATGAGGCACTAAGAAAAAACTACTGCCTGCATCATATCTTTCTTCGGTTTGAGATAAAGAGAATGGCCAGAACTGTATACAAGTCATGAAAGGCCCTGGTGTACATTTTTCAAAGTAGTGCAGATTGTGTTGAAATTATCAGTTTATCTTGCATATAAAAAAAACGTATATACACTTTGAGTAAAATATAAAACGTGGTAAATATCACGAAAAGTTTGTTTTACTGTAACCATTTCTTGTTCTATTCTATTTGAGTATTTGCTCTATATATTTGATATACTTCCAGAATGCATCCTATTCACAAAGCAGGCAATTACTCTATCAGTGAATACAGTTGCAGAGTCTCTCCTCTATTCAGCTTCATTTGTACCTCCACTCCAGCCACTTGCAGAAATGGCGGATGCATCAAAAAGACTGGTTACAGGCCTTGCAACCTCCAAGCGGCTAACTACCAAGATGTTAAGTAAATGACCATTGCTCTTTATCATCCCCAATGGCGTATAAAAAGGATGTTAAACAGGTTGTCTCATGTTCCCTATACATTTATTCATTCCCGTGTTAAAATACGTCTTATGGGAAAAACAAAATTCACCAAAGAATGAGGAAGCGAACATGTGTTAACAGAGGGACTTCTGGCTAATTTTACAAAGAAGGATTAAAATTCTCAAAATATGTGTGGGGTGGATTGCGGGGGTATTACATATTCATAGCATGCCGCAGAAATCATTTTAAGTCTATCAAAAACAACTATATTGTGCATTTTCAAATAAGCACATATAAAAGATGAGCTATAAGAAGAGAGAAGGATGCTAAAATAAATAAGTGAAAGAGAAAAATGGCTGGGCACGGTGGCTCAAGCCTGTAATCCCAGCACTTTTGGGGGCCGAGAGGTCAGGAGTTCAAGACCAGCCTGGCCAACATGGTGAAACCTGGTCTCTACAAAAATACAAAAATTAGCTGGGCATGTTGGCTCATGCCTGTAATCCCAGCTACTCGGGAGGCTGAGGCAGGAGAATCCCTTGAACCTGGGAGGCGGAGGTTGCAGTGTGCCAAGACCGCATCGTTGCACTCCAGCCTGGACAACAAGAGTGGAACTCCGTCTCGAAAAAAAAAAAAAAAAAAAGAGAAAAGTAGGTGAAAAGAAGTAATTAAATGGTAAGGAAAGAATAGGTCAGGACAGGAATCCAGGATGACTTTACTATATTTGAACCATAGAACATTAACCAAAATCTTATTTTTCTTCCCCTCAGTAGTTTGAAGTTGAGCAATATCTGTCTCTTTTGCATCACACTCTGAAATTGCAAATTATTTCTTGTCCTTTCAGATAAATGATTATGCAAAAGAAGCCCAGAACTGGCACAATTTAGAAGGTTTGAGGTTGCTCTCATGTGTTTGTAGGGTATGCTATCATCATCCCATAGCCTAAGGCTGTAGTATTGGACTCTCTGGAAGCAGCTCTGAATGTGATAGGATGGAGATAATTGAAGATACAAGCAGCCATTATGTGTCTGAATATTGGTTTACTAGAAGAGCTAGATGTGTAGGAGCACATCCTTACTTGACAAATGTCTGACAGAATGACCTGGCACCATTACTGTTTTAAATGTGTAATATGCTATCTCAACTGGGACATTTTATGAAAGCTATAGGTTGTGACCTACTGTTCATTACACTTAGTTTCTGAGGTGCCAAAGATTGATGTGTGAGCCAAAGTTCATTATTGTTCTTCACTGGATCTTTGCATTTATTAGTCTGATGTTAATGGGATTCACTCTTGAGTTGGATTGATGTTCAAGGTTAGAGCCACAGATGAGCTCCTGATCTTGACCAGAAATGATTTGCCCATTGCCAATTAGAAGAAGAAAAGGGCAAGGTGGAGGTTGAACTTGGAGTTAATAGGAATAATAGATGCTGAGGGTGCAAGATGAAACTCAGTAAGATAATACACTCTATTCTTAGACTGGCAAATTTACATAGTAAAGAGAACTTTTATCATTGTCATCCAAAGGAAATATAATCCTAAGAGAAAAAGTCCCGCTAGTTTTTTTTTCTTTTTTGTTACCTGCTCATAGGATATAAACTTATTTCTATCACACACAGGTATCATTTTCTACACTTAAAACACTTCTTCTATTTCACACAAATGACAAAAAATGTCCTTCAATTATTTTGACACGTGATCTCTCAAGATACATATCGTTTTATATCAACTATAAATACAAATTTAAAATTTTGATAAAAGAGAAATAACTGGAATAAAACAAAGCAGTATTTTTTAAAACTATAGCTGTTCCCCTAAGATATTCTCACACTAAAGAATTTTTCCCAATTCTTCTCCCCCACTGAGAAGTACAGTCTTCAAAAATTAGTCCAGGTATTAGTGTTTACCAAGGAGGAATATTTTGAACAAGAATAATCTGATGCTACTTTTCATTTGTCAAGTACATTTTCTAAATTATATTCTAATAAGAGAGAATATGCACATTTGCATGTCATGATTCTTATAAATATTTACTGAGTACTGTCTCTCTGTAAAGAACTACAGTGGGATGGATTTAAGATATATAATACATAATTTTTCATCTTCAAATTTTTCACGTTTTGTAGAGATAGTAACTTGTGCATAAATGACTAGAATGTTAAGTTGCTAAGTGACAAGTGACAAAAATGTTTAACCTGTAAAATCTTCCCCTTGGGAAATTGAGGAATAAAAACTTCCAACTAAAGGAACAAAGATTGTCATGAGCAAAGTTGTATAAAAAATAAATTAAATGTAGGATAATAAAGGTAGTGTATTAAAGTGAGAAGGGTTAGGGTTTCTTAGGTGACAGACTGGCTTGATTTTGTGACTTGTGTGATGGTAGCAAGTTATGTAACACCTCTGAGTTTCCATATCTTCATCTGTGAAGTAGACATAGCTGAACCAACCACATGGAATTGTTGCGAGGGTGAAATGCAATGGTGTGTGCAAGTTTCTAGGCAGTGTTGGACTGGATCTACTATTACGCTATACAAATGATACTTAGAATTTTTACAGTTATGCTTAATATTGTCATAATTCCAGGAAATGAGAAAAATCTCAGCAGAGGTACAAAACGCGCAAGCTCTGGGCAAAATGATCTTAGTGGGTTTATTTCAAAGGATGCTTGAAAGTGATCTGTGGAAAACAAAATTGACAAAAAGTGCATGTTGAAATGGAAATTAACGGGTCTTTGAATGTTAAGAGAAAGATAGCGGGCATGCTCTTTCATCTGTCTATCCCTGGCCCTTAGCATGCCTGGTGCTTTTCAGTGCTCCAGCTTTACGTGTTTAATCGTTTTTGTTTCATTCGAAATAAATGTTCTCATAGATATAGAAAACCAGCAGGCAATAAAATATATATTCTGAGCTGTATTTAGTGGTATTATTACTTAGCAACAGTGTGTAGGATGAATTACAGAAAGCAAAAGTAGGGCATAATTATAATCACTAAGACTAATTATCAATATAAACTTTTGCCAGAACAATTGTAAATATATGGAGAGGTGATGCACATGAAAAACACATTAAAATACCCTAGGATTTTGCCAAAATAAGCTGTGTAATAAAACAAAGGGAGAAGAAATTGAAGAATATGATGAAGTTTAAATTGAGGTTCAAGGTGTTTTGCATGAAGAAAGATGAGAAATTTAAATTTGAGATATGATGAGTTTATGGTAGGAAATTGAGATACCATATTTTGCCAGTTGGACTAGACCTCACAAAAAGACTCAAAATAAGTATGCAGAACGCATTAGTTTAGATATATTTGAAGAGACCATGGGAAAAAAAGGAAAAAGGGAGGAGTTTAAAGAGTCAAACAAAAAGATGATGGAAAGGCAGTGGGAGACATAAAAGGGAACCAGAAATCTTAAGAGGAGAAAGTGTTCTGAAGAAACACACAAAGTCAATTACTTAAAAAGTTGAGAATCACTGGCAGTGCTGGATGATCGTGACTTTTTTCTCTATTTCAGTAAGCGGGCGATGGACATTAGAATGCAAGAGATGGATGAGGTATGGAAGTAGAAGGAATAAATGTCAACTATTATTTTAAAACATTTGCACAGAAAGCAAAGTAGGATAAGAGCTTAAAAATAAAGGTTCTGTTTATTTTCATTTTGTAGTCGTAGGGAAAATGTGGGCATGTTAAAAGAAAAGCTGAGTGTAAAAAGGGAATGAGAGGACAAATTGAAATAGACATGGGTTCAAATCCCAGATCCCACTGGACATCTCTGAGGCTTACTAGACATCATCTGTAAATATAAGATAAACACCTAATATAAAATGTGTTCAGCTATAAGAAGTTTGAGTTAGTGTATATGATTTTTAGAAAATCAATTTATCATATACAATAAAACATATATTAAATTAGTTTGATGCATATTGACAATTGTATATCCCCTGCACATTTCCATCATATATGAAAACTTCTCACATGCCCTCACCATCTCAATCCCTGATCACAGGCAACCACTGATGGAGGTTCTGTCATTATGTACAGGATATATCTTTTCTAAATTTTGTATAAGTGACATCATACATGTGCATTATTTTGTTTCTGTCTTCTTTATCTCAGCATCTTGTTTTTTGAAATTTGTTCTTATTGAGTACATCAGTGGTCAGCTCCTTATTATTGCTTAGTGTATTTCATTTTAAAAGTATAATTATTACATATTGTGTGGAAAGATTTAAACATTCAGAAAATATAAAACTCAGTGCAACTATTTTTTCCTACTCTTCATGTATTATAATTCAGTCTTTTTGATAATTTTATATATATAGAAGGTATGATATTTATATTACATTTAAAATTTAGTACAACTTTTATTAAAGTGTACATATTATTTATACAATGCTTTTTTCTTTTCTATATCTATACAGCTTACCCATTTTTGAGAAGGCTGCATTTTTTTCTATAACATGTATATGTTGTACTTTACTTGTCTATATCCCCATTAAGAGATATGTTGCTTCCAGGTTTCATTATTATAAATACTGTTTCAGTGAACAGCTTTCAATATACATCTTTGTGCCCATGTGACAATAAAAGTATTTTTGTATGCATCTGCAAGTATAATAGTTATAGTGTCCATGCATTTTCAATTGGGTAGTTGTTTCAAAATAGCCCTACATTTCTCAAATAATTCTAATTCAAAGGACTGCTCCCCTTTCAAACCTGGTAAATATTGAAGTCCTTAATGCTTTTGCCAGAATTAGGCTGAATTGACAGAGCACTGATATGTAGAAGATATATATATATATACATGTATATTATATATATAATATATTATAAATATAATGTATATATATAAAATTCTTAAAATTTAGCAAGTAACTGAACAACAAAAATGACAGATAAAAGAAGCAGGTCATGCATAGCCTATCTGCCTGAGATTTATTTAACCCTTCTTCAGAAGAGGCTTTGATTCTTGTCTCTCTGTGTCTACCTATAGACAGCATTTCTCCCAGGAAGCTTGCCCTGACCTCCTAGAATTGGTTATGTACCATTTATATATTTTTCATATTCCACTGTACATAACTCATAACAGAAATTATCACAAGGGAACAGCTGTGGTGTTATTGTTATGTCTAGCTATCCAGCTATCATCTTCACCAGACTGTAAGCTCCTTGAAGGCAGAAGCCAGATTTATCTTCATGACCTCTGTGTTTTAGATGAGGTCTCAGAGATAGAGGTCAGAATTTTCCCTCTAGGTAAATTAATTAGATTAACCTCAACTTATACAAAACAGTAGTCATTAAATTTATCCCCAGCCATCAGGAGCTTAACTACTCTGGAGAGAGAGCCAGGTGTTGGAGTAGGCAATTAAGACATCAAGACAAAAGGACATTAACAAACCTTTGAGGTTAAACTGGAAAAAGCCCTGACGGTCCAGTCCCCATCCTTTTTTTCCTTCATGAAACAGCTCTATCAAGGATCACATGGGTCAGCACAGATGTGGAGTTGTCTCACTATCAAAGGAACCCTGAACAACAGGCTCCTGCCTGCAGTTTTATGGAAGGTCAGGAAAAGGCTGGGAGCGGAAAAGCACTGAGTATTGAATCAGAAGGAAGACAATTGTCTTCAAGACTCCTCCTCCTCTCCCCATGAAAAGGAGGTCTTGGGCAAACATGCCTGGGGAAGGTCTGCCAAGGTCCCACAGTGGAGAGGCCTCCAGGGGAGGCACCAGTCAAGTGATGCTGATCTGTGTGTGAGCATGGCCCTGCAGCCCTTACTGAAACTGCCATTAGAGGACTATGCACTAGTGTGGGGAGGGCAGCTCTCCCTGTGGGACCCACTTGGTCAAGTCTTTGTCATTGTTTATGGATGGGCCCAAAAATCACATATAGGATTGAGTCTGGGGCTGAACTCTTTACTGCTCTGTCTGTATTCCCTGTCTTGGTTGACACCTAATACATGACTAAGAAACTAAGAAATCATTTTAGACGTCGTTTTTGTGTCTGTGTTTTATGCTTTGTTGGCTTGAAAACTTCATCCAATAAAACTTTAGTTATTTTTATTACCATTTCTTCCTTTATGACCCCACAGCATCCTCCATGTGCCAGGGTCCAAATCATCTTTAACCCGGACTATTGTATCAGTACCCAAATATATTCTTTCATCAAAATATATTCTTTCTCTTCTCTGGCTGTAATCTCATTCATTTCCAGGCTACTTCTTTTCAAACTAAAAAGCAAATATAATCACACTATTCTCTTTCTTCAAACACTTTCCCAATTCCTAGAGTAAAATCCCCCTTTTATAACATATAAGGCCTCAGTGACCTACCCTCAGGACTTCTTTAATTATTCTCCCATATTGTCCTATTATGTACCTGTTCCATCATCCTTACAACCCTCAGAACTCCCTAATCTGTTTTAATGCCACATTGTTATGCTCTTAATTTCCTTTGATAAAATGATTCTTTCCATTCATAAACTAGTTGATTACCACAATTTCTTAAGTATTCTATTGAAGTTTATCTTATTAGTCCATTTCACACTGCTATAAAGATACTACCTGAGAATGGATAATTTATAAACAAAAGAGGCTTACTTGACTCACAATTCCACATGGCTGAACTTATAAGTGAACTTATAATTAAACTTATAATCATGGTGGAAGGTGAAGGGAAAGCAAGGCAAGTCTTACACTGTGGCAGGTAAGAGAGAGAGCATGCAGGGGAAACTGCCACTTATAAAACCATCAGATCTCCTGAGAACCCCCTCACTATCACAAGAACAGCATAGAAAACCACCCTTTTGAGCTAATCACCTCCCACCAGGTCCCTCCCCATGACACATGGGGATTACAATTCGAGTTGAGATTTGGGTGGGGACACAGAGCCAAATCATAACATGTATCTTCTTTGCCAAGATTTTCCTTACAACGCAAAGTAGATTGACATATTTTAATTTCTTCCATCCCACCCCACCATAATATTCTTACCTCTATGACAGTGCTCATCAAAATTTGTAGCTATTATTTGTTTAAATGACTTCATTATGCTTCTTAAGAGGCATAAACTTTCTGCTATATTCATCTTTGTATGCCTGTCACACATTACATTGGCTGAGACAAGGTAAATATTTAATACATATCTATTAAATAAGAAACTTAAAAAAATAAAAGAGTGAATGAATAACTGTATCTAGGAAGTATGAAAGTGACTTATCTTTTAGCATTTTTCATCAAGGAATTAAGAAATGTGTGGGGAAAAAGTTAAGAGGCCCCAGTTAAAATGGCTTTTATCCCAAATTCAGGCAATAACAAAAGTTGGCGAGGATATACAGAAAAAGGAACCCTTGCACACTGTCAGTGGGAATGTACATTAGTATGACCCTTAAGGAGAACAGTCTGGAGGTTTCTCAAAAAGCAAAAATTGAGCTATCATATGATCCAGCAATCCCACTCCTGGGTGTATAACCAAAAGAAAGGACATAGTATATCAGAGAGATATCTGCACTCCATGTTTATTTCAGCACTACTCACAATAGCCAAAATTTGGAATCAACCTAAGTATCCATCAAGAGATGAATGAATAAAGAAAATATAGTACATATACAAAATGGAATACCATTCAGCCATAAAAAACAATGAGTTCCTGTCATTTGCTACAATGTGGATAGAACTGGAGGTCATTATGTTAAGTGAAACAAGCCAGGCGCAGAAAGACAAACTTCGGATGCTCTCACTTATTTGTGGGAGCTAAGGCTTAAAACAATTGAACTCATGGAGATAAACAGTATAAAGGTTAACAGGCTGAGAAGGGTAGTGAGGGTTTGGGAGGAAAGCGGGGCAGACTAATAGGTACAAAAACATAGTTAGAAAGAATGAATAAGACCTAGCATTTGCTAGCACAACAGGGTGACTATAGTCAAAAATAATTTAATCGTACATTTAAAAATAACTAGAAGAGTATAATCAGATTGTTTGTAACACAAAGGATAACTGTGTGAAGTGATGGATATTCAATTTACCCTGATGTGATTATTATGCATGTATCAAAACATCTCATGTACTCCATAAATTTTCAAAAGAAGTATGTATAGCATAATGCTTAAAATAATATACTGTAATAGTCTACAACTTGGCAAGAAATTAAGCTTTCGTTTATTTTTGTCACAACAGGTATACTACATGCAGATTAAAATATATATTTTATATTTATATATATATATATATACCATCTATCTTTTAAGGGCATTTTTCATAACCCTGAAATATAAACAATAAAAATTATGAAGCAATAATTTATTTTTTAAAAAAAATCCACTTGCCAAACAAACAAGATACTCCTTCCAGGATGTCAGTAATATCAAGATAAAATGCCAGAGAATTTTAGCTGAGTATAGGAAATCAAACAGCTAATTTTTAACTTTGATGGAGGAGAAAATTAGATAAATTCTGAAAATTCATCCATCATTTTTAGAGCACTAACCTTATGTCGCTGCCAACAGAGTTGTAATGGGCTTTCTCGTTCATCTAGTTGGTTTTAGTTTTTTTCTGTTCCAGCAGACCTTCCTCGCTCTAGTCCTATAGGACCCTATCTGTCCCTATCTGTCCCTGTCTGTTCCTCCAAATCTCTCCTAGTCTTTGCTAGTCTCTACTTTTGTACCTCTTTAGGACACAGACCAGTACCTCTTCAGGGCACTGACCTTATATTGCTAGTCTTTATCTATTCCTATCTGTCTCTGTCTGTCCCTATGGTACCTGTTAGTTCCTGCAAGTCCCCGTCTTTCCCTACCTATCTCTACTTTTCTCTACTTACTTATCTCTACTTACTTTTCTGTACTTACCTCCACTTATCTCTGTTTATCCCTGCAGGCCTCTTCAGGTCCCTCCAGGTCCTTTCAGGTCTCTGTATGTCCCTGATAGTCTCTGAAATGTCCCTGTTCAGGCACCATTTGTAGTTGACTGTCACTGCTACTACATGAGACCATCACAAGTATGTTGAATTGAGCCTGGAACTCCTAGATGATAAACATTTTTTTATACCAACCTTCAACTTTTTCATTAAAATTAGATTGGGTAGATACTATAAATAGTGTCCCAAGCACTAGTGGAAAGATTCTACCATGTCTTACACTGGTTACTATGAGTTTGGAGTCAGAGGTATAAGGCTTGAAGAAAAAAGCACAATGAAATACAATTTTATCCACCAATCTGACATTTTTAAGTTTTAGGAAAATTGTGTCTTAATTCAAGCTGCTATAACAACAACAAAAACAACATACACTGACTGGTTTAAACAATAGAAATTTACTTCTCGGAGTTCTGGAGGCTGAGAGTCCAAGATAAAGGTGCCAGTCAATGGTTACAGGTAAAACCTCCATTCCTTGTCATGTCCTCATAAAGAGACAGAGAGAGAGACCAGACAGAGAGAGAGAGAGAGAGAGAGAGAGAGAGAAAGAGAGAGAGAGACTCATGACCTAATTATTTCCCAAAGGCCCTGTTTCCAAATATCATCTCAGTGGAATTAGGGTTTTAACATACAAATTTTGGGGGCGACGCAAGTATTTTTAGTCCATACCAAGTTAGATGCAACTTTACCAAAATTATTGTGGGTAATTTGACAAGGTAAGAGAGGTCAGTGAAACGCAAATTATATGATAACTTCTTGGTGCTCAGGCAGTATACCTGCCAGGTTGTCTCCTGGCTAGAGGAATGAAACAAGTAGTATTCAACGAGACTTTGGTAGTGAGTAAAACATGGCATATAAGTTGTTTTTTGTGGGAATGACATAGTCTAAATATTATTTTGATGACATACCTGTGTATTGACCTCTCTTGCATCAAAATGACATAAACATGGAGAAATAATTCTGAAAGTCAGCAGGAACTTGCAACTCACTTCTGGGAGGGGACCACTTAGGGGAACTATGATATTAGACTGTGGCAATGTCGACCTCCACACAGGAGGAAAGAGTAGTCACATACCCTAAATCTTGCGTAACGTGGTGTCTTAAAATTTCAATAAATCTACTGAGTTAAATTAACAGCAAAGCAGAAAAATTTGCCAAAGCTATTTATAGCTCCATTAAAATGGAAGACAAGTTAAGAAAATGTGTGTTCTAAATAATCATGTCAGAAGTTAGTGTTTCCTTCAAATATAATCATAGGCCTAAGAATTTTTATCCAAGATTGATGAAATTTTATTTTACGCAACAATAAATGGAACACAAAGGCTGCACATCATTTTTTTGTCTTCTGTACATATCACTAAAAAAAAAAAGCATCAAACTAAAACAATGAATATAATATTAAATAGGGATTTTTTAATTGCTAATATTTTTAATATAGAGAAAGAATAATGTTTAATGATTAATTACAAAATTGATGAACTAGAATAGTGAGAAATCAAGGAGAGCTGAAATTTATGGAACTTTATGATAAACTAATAAAGGACAATTTTATTCCTAGCATTTTAATTATTTGCTTTATCATTGCATTTTAAATGCAATTATCAAAAATAAAGGTTATAACTAAGAATTTCAAAAATTCTCATTATAGCAGAATTGGTAACAAAGAATTGAATACAGAGGGTGAATCTTATATTGCTTTATTATTATTAAAACTAAGGAAATATTTAGAATTTTGTGTACTAATTTAGCTACGAAGGAAAAGGAGGGCGTCATCATTTTAAAAATGTTTCCACATTGTCTACAGAAGCCTAGATTATTAAAAAAAGAGTGGCCTCAGATAGATATCTGATTGGAATACACTACAAAATCTAGTAGTCAACTTGTTAAGATATCTGAAGATTCCATTTAAGACAGATTGTGAAAAAATATACTGGAAGAAATAGATTTTATTTAATATCCTTAAACATAAAACTTTGTTACCTTCTAAAACACTATATTTAGTTTTATTTCTATTTTATAATATTGTATATGATGTGCTTTCTTTTCCAGGTAAAACTAACAAAAGACAATAAAATGTTATTGACTTGAGTTATGGTTAAAGTAGAAGAGCTGTGGATATTACACTACATGAAAAAAAATTCTTCCACAGATATTATTTGTGTATGCATACATCGATAGAGATACACATAGATAGATACAGATACAGATAGATATCGATATAGATATAGACTTGGCTATACAGACTGTGGGTTTTTTAATACAGCAAGAAAAGAGAAATATTTATTTACACTGGATCAACAAAGGAACTAGGCTATTAACTCAGATTGTAATAGTCTAAAATTTTTCCAAAAATTAGGAAAAATAAAATATTTATATGAATTTTACCTGGAAATGTTTCAAAATAGTTTGCAAAGAGTGAGAATGAATTTCAACTTGTGAGTAAAGGGTAAAACTGAAATGAAAGTTAAAACAAATAGTTTCCCCCTTTCATTATTAGATCATGATTTATTGAAAACAATCTTGATTGTTAAATATTGATTAAAATTAATGAAGGTGCAGAGTTCCTAAGACCTTGTCATTTGAACGTTATGAATATCTTCACAATGAAAACATTATTCGTGTTATTTATGTGAGCTTATATGTACTTTTCCGCATAAGTAATTTGTACTCTTAGTTAGAAACAATTGAACTATGGCTTTTGGTTTGGTTTTGTTTATTTATGAATAAACATTAAGAACTGTGCTTATGAAATTTTCAGGAAATATACTGAATGCTTTAATGTACTCTGTAACATTGCAACATATAATTTCCCCTCTTCCCTCACTTTTTGATGTAGCTATCATTGCTTTGAGTTTTTATTTACTGGTTATTTTAAAGAGCTTAATGGTCTCATTTACTTAAAAGTGGAATAATATTGGACTACTATTTTCTTTTTTTAACCTCTCTAGGTCATTCTACAGTCATTACCTTCCAGCCTATTTGTTTCTGCAGAATCTACGTATGTAATACCTATAAATTTTCTTTTCATATTTGTTCACTCATCCACATCATTAATAAAGTTATTAAGTGAAGACGAACCCAGCAGTAGCACTCCCTTACCACCTTGAAATATTGTGCTGATGTAGAGGTTGTATCTGATTTAATTCTTCAAGGATTATTAATGTATGTGGAACTAGCTTTTCAGCCATGGAAATCTTTAGTACGTATTTAAGAAAAAGTGATTTAATGCTCAGTAGGGAAATGTTGTCCAAAACAGTGCCTGAAAAAAGCAGGTATGTGTCCACATTGGGCACACTGCAGGTGGGGTATATTGTTGAGATAGGAAGGAAAAATAAAATGTGAGAAAAGGCAAGAGACAGAAAACAAAGTGCAGGTCGGGAAGAGACAACTTTAACTTCCACCATTTGTTAATCAATTCTGAAATATTTTCATTTTTACAGCCTAAAATTATGCATGTGTTGGCATTTTTTTAAATGGATGATATTACAGTTTTCATTCAAGCATTGGTATAGAGCCTAACCTTTTGTTATGGATGAGATGTTTAGATTCTTCATCTGGAAAATCTATTTTCCTGTTATTGAAGTCACATATATACATATATGTATATATACTTTTATATATGTGTCTATATATAGTAAAAATGTGTATATTTATTTTAAAAAGTATTTTGGTTCATGTTTTTGTTCTTAATGTTGTCCTACTAAAATTACTTAATCATAAATCTTTCTACTAACAGTAAGGCAGAAACAGAGTAACAAGGGATTTTTTTTTTCTATTAAACTGAAGACAGAGAAGTTTGGTATTTATTTTTACCTAATATAGCAAACTTCAAAAAACAATCTATTTCAATAAAAATATTTTCCCCAGCTACAGCAATAAACAAGGGATAATATATAATCTAAAAATGTAATGGAAGAAAAGGCACAGCATTAAGAGATTGCCTTATTTTCCTTTCTAGCACATCTTGCTCTTAAAATATCCATTAGTCTATAAAGGGTGCTATTTACAAGGATCAGTTTCCCTGTATTTCTGGGTTGAATGATCCTCTACTTTTACTATCCTTTGCTAAACATGACAAAATAAGAAAATAAAAGATAAATATGAGATGAAGACCTCAAATGACATCAATTTCATTGCCTCTAAAAAGTTGTGATGATGAATGTTACCACTACTCAACTGAGTTTATGAAAAGGCAAATATACTTTTAAAAATGTAGGGGTGCTTATACAAAGACTTATGTGTTTACGTTTACTTTTTTTATAAAGCTGATTTAATCAAAAGATTTAGTTAAGGCCGGGCGCGGTGGCTCACGCCTGTAATCCCAGCGCTTTGGGAGGCCGAGGCGGGCGGATCACGAGGTCAGGAGATCGAGACCATCCTGGCTAAAACAGTGAAACCCCGTCTCTACTAAAAATACAAAAAATTAGCCGGGCGTAGTGGCGGGCGCCTGTAGTCCCAGCTACTTGGGAGGCTGAGGCAGGAGAATGGCGTGAACCCGGGAGGCGGAGCTTGCAGTGAGCCGAGATCCCGCCACTGCACTCCAGCCTGGGCGACAGAGCGAGACTCCGTCCCAAAAAAAAAAAAAAAAAAAAAAAAAAAAGATTTAGTTAGTAATTTATTGACTCAAATACTTTATGCCTTCTATTTCACATTTTTTACAGGTTTATAAGTCTAGATACCTATGTCAATTAGTGAATTTTCTACCAAGAGTTCATGTTTTGTTGCTTAAAGGCAGATAATTTTTTTATTTAAATAATATTAAAAAGAGGAAAATATTTCAAAATACCAAGATTGGGAGGTGTCTGGGAGATTTATATGTATTGCTTTTATTAACTGTCTAGCACTGGATTTATAAACCAGCTTATTTTTTTAATTTAAAAGCTCTCTGCCTTGCAATTTAATTCACATGATCTGCATTAACCATGCCATATTCAAAATTTCATTGATAAATTCTATCCAGTAGTCAATATCGAATTGTAAACTGATGTAATGTGCTTTAAAATATGAAGATTTAATCTTTAAAATATGAATATTTGATTGAATAATTACTACCACTAAAATCATGTTTACTTATTAGAATTATCATATAGGAATTGTTTTATAATGTATATGTTAATTGAATGTGATTTCTTGATACTTAGGATATACGTTAAGTATACATAAACAAATTGGAAATAAAGTTCTGATATACTGTTCCATGAAAGTTTCAAATCTTTATATTAAAGATTACCATTTGAGTCAGAGGCAATGATAGGATTTTCTGTACTTTATCCACATGTTTATATATATACATATATATATGTTTTCATATAACCTTTCATAAGGATAGAAAAGAACTATGAATGTTTCTCCATCAGGCATCTTTCAAATACAACATAACAATAACTTCCTTAAGTATTTTATTTAGGCAAAAACTATAAAATGATGGAATGGAAAAAGAATTCTCAATGATCAAACCAAAGCAATTATATTTGATTCTGAATTTTAAAAGATTAGTCCATCAATTTATATTTAGAGGTTAGAAAACACATTCTGAGAGACAGAAAATTATACTACTTTTCTAACTTCCTGG
Organism: Homo sapiens; assembly: GCF_000001405.40. NCBI lineage: Eukaryota > Metazoa > Chordata > Mammalia > Primates > Hominidae > Homo > Homo sapiens. Next base: position 69,795,465 of record NC_000005.10, read on the forward strand.
AGAATATTGTGCTTTGTCAAATTTTACATTTATGAGAAGTTTTATATTAAAGCTATAAAATCTATCAGGGTAAGTTAATATGAGTATTTGAAAGTTTCACTGTTAAATTTATATTATCACATATTAAATGAAAGAACTGTTAACTGTGTACTGAATTCAAAAGTTAATATAGCTTCTCTCTTTTTTAAGAAATGGGACACAATATTAAAAAATTAAAGAGTTTTCAAATATTTATACTTAAATTTATATCTAAGGAATTATATATAGAATGCATACCTTTCAAGTAGATACTATTGTTGCTGTTAAGATTATTGTCAACAAAATTTAAATACACAGACTATTAAATAAAGAAATTAAAACAACAAAAAATAACCTCTCGGCCAGGTGTCCTGGTTAACCTGTAATCCCAGCACTTCAGAAGCTTGAGGCAAGAGGATTGCTTGAGACCAATAGTTTGAGACCAGCCTGAGCAGCAAACTGAGACTCTATGTGTATCAAAAAATGTTTTAAAAGTAGCCGGGTACTGAGGCAGGCACTTGTAATCCAAGCTACTTGGGAGGCTGAGGTGGGAGGTATGCTTGGGCCCAGGATTTTGAGGCTGCAGTGAGCTGTGATTGCACCACAGCCCTCCAGCCTGGGAGAGAGAGGAGACCTTGTTTCTAAAAACTAACTAAATAAACAATAATGTAAAAAATCTCTCTTTAGGTGTATGCTTCTCTTTGCCAGTGTTTAAGGGTTAAAAAATCAATATGAGAGATTAACTAAAGTACCAATTTAGAGTTAAATGAGTGCATTTGCCACTTGAGTGCCGATTGCCTCGCATGACAGACAATATTAAGTGCTGATGACTTTAACTTTCACAAGTTTTATGCGATAGTGGGATAAATTTTTACTTAAAATGTGTTAAACTTCGGTTTAATTGCACTAATTAATGTCTCAATAGATATACTGTTGTATCTACCTCAAAATGCAAACACCAATGAAGTAATTCATCAGAAGACTTGATATGAATAAAGAATGGAACAGTAAAGTTGAAGATAAAAAACATAGAAATTGAATAACAAATACAAGTAAGAAACAAGAAGAGTGATAAATAGCAGAACATGGCATCCAAGAGCTGAAGGACAGCTCTGGATGCCTAACTTGAACGGATTCATGAAAGAGAACAAGGATGATAAATACTTAAAAACAAAATGAATGAGAATTTTCCAAAAGAAGTGAAGGCAATCAAATCGTAAATCCAAGAAACATTTCTAGAGATATAGGGGCTACGTAAACAAACTAAAAAAAAGGTAAAAAATTATATGAAGACAAACATAGTTGTGTTGTATGTATTATATAGTTAAATATACGTTATACACAGGCACGAAGAAAAGAAGTACAGGAAACCTGTCCTCAAGAACTATTTAACTGTATACTGGAAATTTTAACCAGTGTACTAAAGTAAGAAAAATAAACAAAAGGCATACAAATTGGATACGAAGAAATAAAACTCTATTTGATTCGTGGATGGTCTATGCACAGTATTCCATTATGTACAAAATAATTAAAATTATTAGCAGTGAAGCTGCTAGAAATAAATTGTGAGTACAAAATAATTAAAATTATTAAAAGTGAAGCTACTAGAAATAAATTGTGAGTTTTGTAATTTCACACTATGCACTATAACACTATAATGTTAATATACAGAATTATTTTTTATATATAATTGTTGCAGGAAAAACCCAGACCTGTGTAGAAGAACATCCCTCTGCCAAAGAGATAGTGCTGAAATAACAAAGAAGGACTCAGACAAGTCCAGCTTCATGAGAAGATGAGTTTATTAGGACTTACGTAAAGGGCAGCGGGATAACTCCAGAGATCCGCCTGCTGCCCACCATCTTCCTCTAAGCTGCTTTTAAGCTACTTTTCTTTTCTTTTCTTTTCTTTTCTTTTCTTTTCTTTTCTTTTCTTTTCTTTTCTTTTTTTTCTTTTCTTCTTTTCTTTTCTTTTCTTTGACGGAGTCTCGCTCTGTCGCCCAGGCTGCAGTGCAGTGGCGGGATCTCGGCTCACTGCAAGCTCCGCCTCCCAGGTTCACGCCATTCTCCTGCCTCAGCCTCCCGAGTAGCTGGGACTATAGGCGCCTTCCACCACGCCCGGCTAATCTTTTGTATTTTTAGTAGAGACGGGGTTTCACCACGTTAGCCAGGATGGTCTTGATTTCCTGACCTCGTGATCCGCCCGCCTTGGCCTCTCAAAGTGCTGGGATTACAGGCATGAGCCACCGCGCCCGGCCAAAGCTACTTTTCTGGCTCTTTGCTTACTACATGTGATGAAACTGTTCTTCTTGGTATGTACCTAGATATGCTCCCGGATGTTTTGGTTTTCAGGGACATCTGCTCCTCGGCTGAGCACCATGAACTTTGCTCACCATCTAGCCTTCAGGACTCAAGCAGTCAACATATGCCCTTAAATTCCCTGGTGGGGGACCCGCTACTTTACAACACTATTAATGAACAATTGGAAATTAGAATTTTTTAAAGTTACATTTAAAGTAGCACAAGAAACATTAAATTCTTAATCTAAAAAAACATGGAGAAAGGGTAACAAAAACTAAAAAAACACTGGTAAAAGAAATCAAAGAAGAAGTAAATAAGTAAAGAGCTTGGTAGCCAATATTGACAATAAATTAATTCTGTTCAAACCAAACAAAAAATTCAATACAAAAATTCAATCCAGTTAAAATTCCTAACAGGATATTTGCAACTAACAAACAAGCTCATTCTAAAACTTTCAACAGAGAAGCAAAGGAATTATAATGGAAAAATCATTTTGACAATAAAAAAATTGAAGAATCCACTGATTTATATGTATACTATATACATATATGTATATATACATATATTATATATACATACATTATTATACATATATGTAATATACATATGTATATCTGTTGGTGACTTTAACCATATGATTCATAATTTCAAAAACTGGTGAATAGTCAAAAAGTTATATACTGTATCTATTTAATATCACATTAGGAAGAAAAAGAAACAAATCTGATAACATAACAACATGAATGTGTCTCAGATTTATTATGCTATTTTAAAAGCCAGATTTAAAGGCCTATTCAGGATGCTGTTTGCTCCCTTGTGTATGACATTCTAGAAAATATAAAACCATAGGGACAAAGAACAGCGATTTCCAAAGACTGAGGGCAGCAGAAATACTGATTCAAAAGGCACAAAAGGGAATTTTTCTAGGTGATGTTACTGTTCTATATCTTGAGGATGGTATTTGTTATATAACCATCTATGTTTTCAACACACTGCATACTTAAAAAGATGACTTTTGGCATATATAAATTTTAATTCGATAAACCTGAGTTTTTAAAACAAAGATTTTCTGTAACCAGTAGACTCATAACACTGTCTTCCTGCCATTGACTAAGATGGTTTCAATAGTGGATTCCTCTTGTTCATGCCAGCCAATGTGTCTTTTGTTTAACCAAAACCCTTGAAATATCTTTGCCTCAGGCTTTTATTGCAATTTCCTGTAATTTAAAGACTTCACCCTCCTATTCACAGGAGTTAGTATCTTGAAATGGTAATAACTTGAAAACAGCTATGGTGGGAGGACTTACTCTTTGAGTGTAACTTACATACATGCAGCATACACCATGTATCAAGACTTTCTTTTTTTCTGGTTTTTTTTTTTTTTTTTTGAGATGGCGTCTCACTCTGTTGCCCAGTCTGGAGTGCAGTGGTGTGGTCTCAGCTCGCTGCAACCTCCACCTCCCTGGTTCAAGCGATTCTCCTGCCTCAGCCTCCTGAGTAGCTGTGACTACAGGCACCATGCCACCACGCTGGGCTAATTTGTGTATTTTTTATTAGAGACGGGGTTTCACAATATTGGCCGGGCTGGTCTCGAACTCCTGACCTTGTGATCCACCCGCCTTGGCCTCCCAAAGTGCTGGGATTACAGGCGTGAGCCACCGTGCCCAGCCGACTTTCTTTTCATTTGGATCACTAGTTTACCAACATCACTGCCTTTACTCAACTCTATTAACAATTATTTAACCTAGTTTATCAAGTCACTTGTCAAAATAGAGATTTATATTGTTTATATATGTAATATTTTACAAATCTGTATTTTTGTACTTCACTATCTAATTAAACCTTTGGGGTAACTTTTATGTGTATCCCAAATAGGACAGGACAGTCATTCATTTCTTATAATGTATCAGCTAATTTCAAGGAGACATCGGAATTTTTGTGGAGACATCGGAATCTGAAGAGCAAAGTGATTCAAATTGGGTCACAGATTAAATAATTTTTAAAATGTTTACTTTAAATATCTTAAAAAACTTTAAGGAGAAAATTAATTTTTCTATATTGTTCTTGGCCTTAAAATATACATTAAGCATTAGTTTTCTGGCTTTTGATGTTTTTCATAAAATTAGCTCAAAAAATGCAAAAAGCTTGTATGAATATATAAGGGCCTTTGTAATCATATTGTAATTGCTTGACATAGTTAATTTCTTGATTTCTGACTCTGGCATCTGAGTTTCATAATTGTTATGTAATTACTCTATTTTTTTAAATCATGTTTTTAAATGGAAGTTTCAGTCTCAGATCTTTTCTATTTCATGCAATAAATAATTTTTAGCAGTAAAGAATTATTTGGCAATAAATATTTTTTGAGACGTCATGCTCCAATGATATAATTTAGTCCACTTTCTGCTTGAAAATATGCAAAGAAGAAATCTCTTGTTGGTATTAATTTCAGAAGTCGTCTTTGCACACACAATGATGATCATTCTGTTTTCCTTAGATAATTCATGGTAGTGTAACCCAATAATATAATCTTAGATGTGTAACTTACATACATGCACGTGGCACATGAAGCATGTGGTGTACTGAGATGAAAATAAGCTTGTAAAAGTCATTGGTTACCTAACTGCGGCTTGGTACCTAGCACACCCTACCTGCAACGGTCCCAACAGTTACACTGGCTCTATTTGACTTAGATGATGCAGGGGTGGGTTCAAAATCCCTCTCTTTTTCCTAATTACATACGACTGAGCATCCCTTCCCTTGTCTCAATCTGGGATTTTGAGAGTTTATTATAAGATCCCCAGTGAAAATCCACCCAGGTGGTTCTTCCCTACCCTCTTTAAATGTTCACACCCTAGTGTGAACAAGCTAGAAGTGGATTCTTTGAGGCAGTGACAACAGACCATGTTCAACTTCTACACTCCTTGATGTTTGTGTATTGGAAGAAGGTGTGACAAGATGCCAGGCACCAGAATTTCAGGTTGGTCTTTATGGAATTCTTGAACTCTAGGGCTGCATCCCTCCCTATAATGAGGCAAAGTTGGGGAAGTAGAAAGTTCAATGCAGCCTATGATTTTTACCTCATGGTTTTCTATAACCTAATACATATCACATTGAATTATGTGTTAACTCGTGAGCATTCAAATTAATAGAGCATGCTGTACCAAAATATTGTCATTATTTTGGTTATTATAAATTATATATGGCCATGATCAGTGCTATAGGGCAAGACTATATCATTTTTTACTTCTAGGCTAAAAGGATTATGTTCCTACACATGAATTATGTAACTTTTTAAAAAAAATAGTGATATTTTTCTATTAGAAGTTAAAGCAATTAGTTCTTTACAACATTGGCTACGTACTCAAATCAACTGATTCCTGGGTTTCCCCTCAATCCAAGTAAATTAGGCAGAGAGCAAAACTAAGGAACAGTATTTTCAAAGCTGACCAGGATTGACAATGACTGGTATTCAAATAGCTGTGAATTTGTGCAAATGTAGCAGAAGACAGCAAAGGGTTCTGGATATGCCAATTATTATTTATTTATTTTTATTATACTTTAAGTTCTAGGGTACATGTGCACAATGTGCAGGTTTGTTACATATGTATACATGTGCCATGTTGGTGTGCTGCAGCCATTAACTCGTCATTTACATTAGGCATATCTCCTAATGCTATCCCTGCCCCCTCCTCCCACCCCACGACAGGCTCCGGTGTGTCGTGTTCCCCACCCTGTGTCCAGGTGTTCTCATTGTTCAATTTGCACCTATGAGTGAGGATATGCGGTGTTTGGTTTTCTGTCCTTGCGATAGTTTGCTCAGAATGATGGTTTCCAGCTTCTAGAACTGGAAATACCATTTGACCCAGCCATCCCATTACTGGATATATACCCAAAGGATTATAAATCATGCTGCTATAAAGACACATGCACACATATGTTTATTGCGGCACTATTCACAATAGCAAAGACTTGGAACCAACCCAAATGTCCATCCATGATAGACTGGATTAAGAAAATGTGGCACATATACACCATGGGAATACTATGCAGACATAAAAATGTATGAGTTCATGTCCGCTGTAGGGACATGGATGAAGCTGGATATGCCAATTATTATTAAAATAATTTTTGGGTTAAGCTGATTTTTACTTTTCTGAAAGAAAGATCCAAACACAATGCCTATAATAAATCTTAGAAATTGTCTGTCTCCATTGGTGAGATTAGTCAGTATAAACACTAACATATATAAATAAAACCAAACAACAGTTACTCTTTTCCATAATGTTATGCTTTTGTGTTCAATGAAATATTTAATTTAATTACTAAATTTCTAGCATTTCTCTGAAGGATAAAACAAATAAGCAAACAAACAAATTAACAAGAAAAAACCAAAATAACTTCAATGAATTAAAACTGTCTAGTGCTACCTTTCCTATAATTATCGTCACCAAATAAAGTGCCTATTGGACAGAGATGGCTGGTTCACCGCAATCTCCACTGACCCTTTCGCCATCAGTAAAAATGTCCTCTAATGCTTAGCCGGACACATGATCACCAGGAATAAATGCTATATTCCCAATCTTTTCTTAACATAGGGCATGACACATGTGACCAATTTCTGACCTATGTTGTGTAAGGGGAAGTAACGCGTGTAACTTCTGAGAAGCTGACTTATATGCAGGGGGCATGTCCTATCTCTGTGCTTTCTTCCTTCTTGGAAAGGCAGCTCTGATGGCTAGATCTGGGGCAGCCATGGGGCAACATGACAAGCAGCAGTACTTGGAGGTGCAAAGCAACAAGATAATAGCCATCTGGATTTCTGATGATCATGAAGACATCATATCTGAACTGGGGTGTCTGCATATCCCTGAGAGGCAAAAAATGTCTATATTGTTTCCGTGAGTTCTTAGCCTACACTGCACATACGAGTTATCAGAGAACTTTCAAAATTTATCAAATGCCCAGTCCTATTAAGGTATCTGGAAACTTATTCTTGGCCTATAATTTTCCACTGGGTCAACTATAACCCAGGTTTATCTGTCTTCTATATCCAGAGACTGTACCCTGCTCCTATGCAGTCTTGCTCTCTCCATAGCTTCATATGTGCAGCAGAACTCACCCTCTGCCTTCCATAACCAGGAGTGGGGCGCTACCTTCCCTCACCTGACTCCTGTGCTGCAGAAACTTGCTAAGAAACACGGAGCATATGTTTCAGACTCAGAATAAAATTATTTTTACAGTCACCAAGTTTTAGAGGTTCTGATTTAGTGTATCTGGGTGTGTCCAGGGTACCAGTGTGCTCCCTTCTCACTCAAATGAAAATTACTGGAACATGATGTTATTTGGTATTCAGTTACACAAAGCTGAGTGTAACTGATTGGTTAATAGTAAAAGTTTTGATTTCAGTAAAATAGTTGAATTATTCTAAACCATAACTTTGTAGCTACATGATTTGGGTGAGATGATTTTTTTTTTTTTTTTTTTGAGAAGGACTCTCACTCTGTCACCCAGACTAGAGGGCAGTGGTGTGATCTTGGCTCACTGCAACCTCCTCCTCATGGGTTCAAGTGATTCTCCTGCCTCAGCCCCCCGAGTAGCTGGGATTACAGGTGTGCACCACCATGCCGGACCGGTTTTGTACTTTAGTAGAGATGAGGTTTCACCATGTTGGCCAGGCTGGTCTCAAACTCCTGATCTCAGGCGATCCACCTGCTTTGGACCCCCAAAGTGCTGGGATTACATGAGTTAGCCACCACACCCTGCCTGAGATGATGTTTTTGAGCCACAGTATTCCCATCAGTAAACCGGACATACTAATTGTAATTTCAGGTATTTTTGTGACACATATATTGTTGAAATTATTATTATTAAATTACTGACTTTAATAATACATTCTTAAATTAGTTATTATTATAATAACATAATTAATATTGAAAGCAGTTTATAAACTTGCGTGGTGCTAGGGGGCACTACAATGTAAAGGAATTTATGTAATAAAAGTAAAGATGCAACGTTTGATTTTATTTTTCATGTTTTGTAATGCAAAAATTAACTGTCCTTTTATTTAAATTACAGCACATGCAAATTAACTTTTAGGTATATAATTATTCTGAATTATTTCAGAAAACTATTATGGTCTCATCACTGGATTAAAAAATGTAATAATATTCTCAGTTTAAAGAAAATGCACAGGTTTTAAATCCTCTGTGATAAGGGCCCATGAACTTGGAGCTGCTGATTTTTTTTTTTTTAATTTGCAGGGTTTTTACATAACAAATTATCAGAAACCAAAGCACCCAGATATCAGACTATGAATAGAAAACATCTTTCCTGAACAAATACAGGCTTTATTACTTAATTGTATTTACACTGATGAGTGCACACAAAGAAAAATCAATTTGTGGGAGTTTATTTCATTGGTATTGAAATTGTATCTTCCTTGAAAAACTTGGCACACAGTGCCTAGTTTGTCTCCCAGTTCATTATATTATTATTTTACTATATTCTGTGCTGTTATGTAGTTTTATATGGGCTCACTAGTTGAGTGTTCAAAATTGCTTTTCTGAACTATAGAATATTAACTTCCAGTATTTACCAAAAAAATGTTATTTATTAAAAAAATCACAATAAAAGGGCATAAAATAAATATAAATACTCAACATTTTCAAGGTTCTTGTGGAATCATTCTGAAAGCATTAAAAGGAGAGGCTGGAAATCTGCGTTTATAATATTGGTCATTTCCCTACCTACTTAATAGTAACATTAAAGCTTCCTCAGTATGCTTTCTGAAACAAGTAAAAATGTTCTTTTACCTTAACTTATACTGTGGAAAATCTCAAAGGAATGCTAGAAAACCATTCCAATGTACTCACCCAAACAACACAAAATACCCACACCTTCTCCAATTCAAACAATCATTTAATTAATCGAAAGAGCTGAGATGCACTCCCTCTCTACCTCATAAGGGCTTCCATCATGAACTTGATTGTGTCCTAAATTCAGTCCTCCAGGAGAAGCTCATCACCCTCCCCATGTCCTGAATGTCAGAATCCAAAGCTGGAAACTGCATCCTACTTAATCTTTATGTTTTTTGAAAAAGTTTATCTTTCTTCCCGGGAATAAAAACATCTATTCTCTGAGGCACATGTAAGCATTTATCCTTCAGTATAATGAACTTTTTTAGTCATATTGTTAATGACAAGCTTACATAAATTTTTTTCTGCTCCCACCTTCAAAGCTCCAAGCCCTGTATTCTTACAGGATGATATTCATAAACTATTCGACCTTAGCTTCCCTCCACTTAAGCCTTTCTTGCTCAGAATCACTCCTTTTATTAGTTATCTGTTGATGCTTAACATATTACCTCCAAAACTTAGTGGATTAAAACAACAAACATTCATTATGCCAACTTCTCTGGGTCAGGAACTATATCAGAATTAGTAAGGCCCTCTAGCTCAAGGACTCTCATAAGGCTGCCATCATTTAAAAGCCTTACTTAGGGAAGATTCACTTCTAAGATTAATCATGTGGCTGGGGGCAGTCCCCAGGTCCTTCCTTGCTGGCTGTGACTGGTGACACTGGCTCCGTGCTATGTGGACTTCTTAATAGGCAGCGCCCAACATAGAAGTCAGCTTCCCTTACAATGAAAGAGAGAGAGAGGATTCCCAAGACAGAAGCCACAGTCTTTGTGCAATCTAATGTTGGAAGTGATATCCATCACTTCTGCCACAGTCTATTTGATAGTGAAGTGAGATAAATTCAACTAGGACAACAGAGTAGAAGATTCCTCAAGGAGTTACCTCTACCAGGGGTACAAGTGACATGGAGCAATTTTAGAGGCTGCTTACCAAACCCATGAAATGTATAATGACAAAACATGATATTCCTCTTAAATGACTAAATAAGCACACCACTCTTTGATCAATCTCCTGTCTGTTCAGTGTGGCAACAATTCCCACTGCAGCTGTTCTCCTGCCTCACTAGGACTTTCAATCCACTGGTGCCTCAGCCTTTGCCTATAGCATTATGATCCTCCTGCGGTCAGTTACTCCCACAAGCAAACTAACAATGGCTCTTCTCAACACTGGCTTTATGTTAGAATTGCCTGAGGAGGTTCCAAAGATACATATGAGTGCCTTGGCCCCAATTGAGATTGGCTGACCCAGTGTCTCTGGGACCTGGCATTCTATTATGATACTAATATGCAGCAATAGTTGGGAATCGATATTGTAGATTCAATTACTGAATATTTTAAAATGTAATTGCCAGTAACATAAAACCAGAATTGACATACTGCTTCCCTTGGGCTAAATACAATCCATCACCTATTTTTTAAATAAATTCTTATTGGAACGCAGCCACATTTTCTTATTGTCCATGGTTGCTTTTGCAGAACATGGGAGAACTGAGTACTTCCTACAGAGACAATATGGCTCACAAAATAAAAATATTTACTATCTGGCCCTTTGCTTAAAAAAAATTAATGAGTTTTGACCTATCCCCTTTCACATCTTCATTTTTCTCTCTCTCTTTCTCCCTCTCTCTCTCTCTCCCTCGGTTGCTTTTGGTTTTGTCCTTTTTAGAAGCACATTGCAACCTCTTCTCTAGATGAACTCAACTATCTGATTTCTGCATATTTCTCAGTCCATGACTGCTGCTGAAGAATGCCATGCAAGAAAACAAACTGATAATATTTTAAGACAATGATCACCATTGGAAACCGGGTTTTCAATTGTGCCTGACATAACTTTTTCAATCTCTACAATCCTCTAATTTCTGACACTCTCTTCTCCCTTCTCACTTCTCTCTCTCTGCAGATGACTTTGCTACTGCAACACAGAGAAAATATAAGTCTTTATACTCATAGTCTTTCAACTACCTGGCACTAAATCAATATACCTGTCTCCATTTGCAACTATTATCTTTCTCCCTGATCCTGTCAAGATGATCTTACTCTTTGTTGTAGGCTACTTTCCTCCTCTGACTTCAGAATTAGTTCTCACCTGACATTAAGAGGAAATTTACATTGTTACCAATTTCTCTACTGAAAATCCAACTTTTTATTTCCACGTAGATGCTTCCCATCGTGGTTTCCATGGACTTTATTGTCTCAATGATTGTCATTTTAGATCTATAACTCTTTTTCTGAGCTTTGGGTCTATATAAGCCAAATTTCTGCTCAACGGAGCAACCATATCCCCACTTTAATTGGACAAGTCTCTCCAGAAAATAAATCTCCTATTTCCTGTTGTGTTAAATGAAGAATAATTACTAAGGTATTCAGTAATGATAAAGAATCTGGGAATTTAACTGTTCTTGATATGAAATTTCAAACTACACACTTTTTTTTTTTTGGGAAGCCAAACCCACCTCCAGCATTTTATTCCCACACATGATAAGCTTGTCCAAGGTGTGTGTGGTTTGGATGACTTTATATTTTGTTAGCTTTCCTCTTCCCTCTACATATGGACACTATGTTTTGTCAAAAGGAAACGTGTACACTGGTTGCTTGTTAAAAATAGCAAGGAAGACTATTCAGGACTATAGCAATGGGGGAATAATATAGCTATAGTAGAGAGAGATTGAACTAAAATTTCTCCCAGCATGGAGCTGGAAATTTATAAGCAAAGAGCTGAGGGAGTGAGTCAGTGGATAGAAACTAATTAGATATTAAGGGTGGCGGGGGGTGGGGTGGCGGGGAGCGGGGTTCTTGCTAAACTGCATTATTGCTAAAGGCATGCCAAAGTGATAAGATATCCAGGGCGAAGTGATTCTCAGTGAACTGGCTTAGCAGGCGTCTTTGTTAAACTGGGCCTGAGAAGAGGGACTGGAGAAGAATGATTAAACTTTGGTCAAGATGGGAATCTGTCAGTTTTGGCCTTCTCTAATCTATGTGGTTACGCTGCTCGAGAGCTTGCTAAGATGTATTCAAGAAGGCTAGTGTATTAGCTTGTTCTCACACTGCTGCTATAAAGAAACACTTGAGATGGGGTAATTTATAAAGCAAAGAAGTTTAATTGGCTCGCAGTTCTGCAGGCTGAACAGGAAGCATAGCAGCATCTGCTTCTGGGGAGGCTAAAGGGAGATTTTACTCATGGCAGAAGGCAAAGTGGAAGCACGAATCTTGCGAGGCAGAAGCAGGACTGAGAGGAAGAGAAAAGGTGCCACACACTTTCACCAACCATATCTCATGAGGATGCTATCATGATACAGCATCAAAGGGGGAAATCTGCCCCCATGATCCAGTCACCTCCCACAAGACCCCACCTCCAACACTGGGGATTACAATTCGGCATGAGATTTGGTAAGGGACACAGATCCAAATCATATCAGCTAGTAATAAAGTGTATTAAGATTTAGGAGTTGATATGGTTTGGCTGTGTCCCCACTCAAAATCTCATGGTGAATTGTAAACCCCATAATCCCCACATGTCAAGGGAGAGACCAGGTGGAGGTAATTGAATCATGGAGGTGGTTTCTCCCAAGCTGTTCTCATGACAGTGAGTGAGTTCTCTCGAGATCTAATGGTTTTACAACTGTTCGGCAAGTTCCTCCTCCCATCCTTCTTTTTCCTGCCATTTTGTGAAGAAAGTGCCTGCCTCCCTTTCACCTTCCACTACGATTGTAAGTTTCCTGAGGCCTCCCCAGTCATAGGGAACTGTGAGTCAATTAAACCTCTTTCTTTTATAAATTACTCAGTCTCAGGTATTTTCATATAGGAATGTGAGAAAGGACTAATACAGGAATCTTCAAGGACATCCCATCCAAATTAAAAGTTGTGTATCACTTGCTTCTTTGACCTCATCTACTGTATTAATTACATTTATATGTATATACACACACACACACACACACACACATATGCAAACATATATATATATCAGCTTTACTAAATGGTCTCTATATTCTCAGTTTTATTGTTTCATTAGGAAAAGAAATTGGCTGGGATATTGGTAACAGTATATTTCTGCTTATGCTGTAATACCCAAGTTGAAACATTTGATAGAAATTGATTGATGCTTGTTACCTGATGTTTTAAAATAAGGGCTAAATAGTTATATATCTCAATATTATCGTTATCCTGGATGTGACAGGGTACAGATGTGACAATGCATGTTTTTATAGTGTGTTCTACTGGTGATTCAAATAACTAAGGTATTGCCACTGGCAACATAATTTTTGTAAATATTGAAAGACTCTGGGAAGTTTCTACAATAAAAAGACTTTTTCTCTTCAATTTCCGTAGTGGTTGCATTCTGAAAAATTTAGTTTGTATTAAGCCATTCAAAGTATTTACATGTAAAATATTCATTTCTTGACTAAATAATTACAGATGATCACTTACGTGGCTATCCATTGGGGCATTTGATGGGAATATTTTTTACAATGTAGGATCGCAGGATATCTAGTATTGTTTGTCCTCACATTGGAAATACAATTACTGCCTTCTGATCGTTTTGACAATGGAGACACTCAAGCATTTCTAAACAGAAAAAGCTGGTACAAGCACACTTGAAGCACAATACATCTGAAAGGCACATGAAGAGTTCAATAAAATGTTTAACAACTGAAAAGACTGCAGAAATAAATTTAAGTATTCTGTCTACACTAAAATCCAAATGTAAATTATATTAGAGTTGCAGCTATTTAATACGCTATTTCAGCATTCACATGCTATTTTCTTTTTCTATTCAGATGTTTTTTCCACTGCCAGACACTTTCTAACAAGTCCTTCAAACCCTCTTTATAATAACTTATGAAAATATTTGTTACATTATGCTCAATGATTTCCTCAATTAAAATGATATATAAAATAAGAACAAGTGAGAGGAAAAAAACATAGTTTGTGCATCTGTTTTGTGATAAATATAGTAGTTAGATCTATTTTATATAAGTTTTCTCATTAAACCCACATCAAACTTTTTCTCCTGTATTTTTTAAATGGAAAATGTGAGGTTGATAGGAGTTAATTAACTCTACTAATAGCTGACGGAAATGAAACTATCATTACTGAGAACTATGGTTGGTTTTTACAATTATTTCATTTTTTGTTGGTTTGTTTTTGTTTTTGTTTTTTGAGATGGAGTTTCGTTCTTGTTGCCCAAGCTGGAGTGCAATGGCGTGATCTCAGCTCACTGCAACCTCTGCCTCTTGGATTCCAGTGATTCTCCTGCCTCAGCCTCCTGAGTAGCTGGGATTACAGGCACGTGCCACCACGCCCAGCTAATTTTGTATTTTTGGTAGAAATGGGGTTTCTCCATGTTTGTCAGGCTGGTCTCGAACTCCCAACCTCAGGTGATCCACCCACCTCCGCCTCCTAACGTGCTGGGATTACGGGTATGAACCAGCATGCCCGGCCAATCTATATCTTTTAAGTGTGAAATGCTTTCAGAAAAATATTTCAACCAAAAGGGAGAAATGTGGAAGTTGTGAGCACCAAAATGGAGTCACTTACATCAAACCATAAAAAAATGAAGCTGGGAGGCCATGAAAGAGGGGCCTTCATGTACATATGTCTATAATAAGAACTGCTGCAATGGTTCTCTCAAAAACCACGAAAATGTTAGATATGATAATTCTATGAAGACATCTCTCCAGCAACAGCCAATATTATCAATGAGTATTTGCCAACTCTTGTAACAAGCTTCTCTGGCCCATGAGGTTTATTACAAAACTTACATAAAATTTCTCTTTTAAGATTTTTGCCTTCCTGATATGGTTTAGATTTGTGTCCCCACCCAAATCTCATGTCGAATTGTAATCCCCAATGTTGGAGGAGGGGCTTGGTGAGAGGCGATTGGATCATGGGGGTGGATTTCCTCCTTGCTGTTCTTGTGATAGTGAGTTCTCATGAGACCTGCTTGTTGAAAAGTGTGTGGTATTTCCCCTTTGCCCTCTTCCCCCTGCTTCGGCCATGTAAGACGTGCCTCCTTCCTTTTTGCCTTCTGCCATCATTGTAAGTTTCCTGAGGCCTCCTCCAATCATGTTTCCTGTACAGCCTATGAAATCATGAGTCAATTAAACCTCTTTTCTTTATAAATTACCAAGTCTCAGGTAGTTCTTTGTGCTAGAACAAACTAATACAGTCCCTCAGCTTCTTTGGTGCCTAAGGTCCACCATAGCATGTGTATTTCAAATTGCAATTTACTGCTATTTCCTGAATACACTCCACTCTTTATTTTAGAGAGTCAGTATCTCTGTTGTTTAAGTTGACATAATCTAATGTCAGAAGCAAGATGCAAAGGCTCCAAGCCTTCTTTGTTACTTACAGTTACAGCACTGTTATCCAAACAGTAACAAAGAAAGCCTTTGGAAGGCTTTCAAGTATCTGGCGATACTTGAAATTGTGTATGATACTCACCTGAGCCTATTGTGATCTTCACTTGTACAAGTTGTCTTTATGCTGCGAGATAAGTCCTCTCTTGGTTTGAGCTCCCACCTTTTCAGTGAACTCTTACATTTTGGGGGATCTGCTCTTGTAAAGGACATCCTTTCTGGTGAGTATTCTTTTGGTTTAATTTTTGGTTTGGTTATTTGTGCATGAATTTAATCTCATTAGGAAACAAGTTAAGTTGAATAGACCAACTAGTGAATTAATCCGTCTCCAAAATATATGTTTTTGGCATTTACCTGTTTATTTTGAAACTCTTTGTAAGAAATGTAAACCTGTAATGATAATCTCTGCTTTGTAAGGATATCTCCCTCTCTGACACCTAAAACACTAGATGCTTTCACAAAGCAAAAGGAAGAGACCTAAATCTATCTATCTGTGTAAACTCACCCTTGACCATTTCATTCTGAAGGCTTCCTATATATGCTTTTTTTCATCTCAACAAATAGTGGTGTTTAAGTTCTGTACCTTTGAGATTTAAATTTTCTACATTCCTTCACCTAAAAATCATCTCTTTGGAAGTACAAATTTTGGGTGGCCTAACTAACACTTGTTTATGGGCCAATTGAACAGATCATTAAAAGACAGATAGTCTGAAAGAGGGAGTAAAACTACTTGCAAGCCAGGCAAATAACAATTCTTAATGCAAGTTGTAAGTTCTTCCTCTGTCTGTATTTTTCTACGTGTGTGTGTGTGTGTGTGCGTATGTACAATTTTTTCTACCAAAATTCATAAACGGCTCTACTTAATTGGCTTACAGAGAAAACATAAGTGTTTAAACTAAGAATTCTCTCAGAAAAACAGAAACTCAATTGCCTTTTGGCTTATGTGATGAAATAATCTTTGGCAGACAAAGCTAGTTTTAAAATTTGTTGGCAAAATAAAAACAAATATTTTCAGAATTGTCAGCATTAATTACAATGTACAGATACAGTTTTTAAACCTAAAGTTACTGGTGAAACAAGCTTGCTATTACTGAGATGTATAATGAATGTCTTAAAGCTATAAATCCACTCATCGTTGTGTTTAAGGAGGAACTGAAGCACAATTGTTAAGAACAAGTGAATTAGGTGAATATACATTGACAAAAGGTTGATAATAAAGTTGTCAGAATTTCAAAAATAATTTAGTGTGACTTGAAATCTTAAAATCATGTTATATTAAATTAAGTAACACTTTACTGATTTAATATTTGAGTCATTTCTAAGGAAAATACTGAAATATCAATTGCTTAACAGAAGTTTAAAATATACGTAATTTGGCATCTTGGTTTCACATGTTATGGAAAAGCTAAACATATTTGGGCCTGTTAATTAAAGGCATAAAAATTATTTTATGAGATGGTGTTCATCTGCAAAATACTAACATGATGCACTTCAAAATGCTTACTAATTTTCACTAGAAATTAAGGTTACTAAGAGTTAATTAAAATTAATATTAGAGTAATTTAAACTAGAAATAATGAAGGGAAACAAATCTGTACGCGAGGGAAGGAAAACACATAAAGAAAGTTATAAGTAAGAGGTTGTGTTTTTGTTAAGGGAAAAAGAGAGTATTTTTTGTCTAAAAGTAGAATGTCTTACTGTTCCAAAAAGAAAAAGAGAAAAAATATAGACAAAAACTGAATAAGATAACTGGATGACAAATTTATAGAAAGTTTGTGGAAGATTAATCTTGTGAAAAGAATTTTATGTGTGACCAAGTTGGCTAAAGTTAAAAGGAAATTATTTATAAATATTCTGAAAACTTGAGCATTATTATCAAAAGTACAGGAATGGAAAACTTGAAATTTGTCCCCTGTGCTGAAACAACAAGCTTTTCTTTGAGTATTGACCTGCTCTTAATAGAAAATAGTGAAATGTTTTCTCTACCTTTTAGATAACTGGCCTAATAAACCAAGATTTTTTGTTTATCAAGGTAATTTCTTATGCTTTATGCTCTCTTTTACTAGGTCTTTGATTACTTGAGAAAAGTGAGTGAGGTGGGGCCAAGATGGTTGACTAGAAGCAGCTAGTGTGTGCCACTCTCACAAATAGCAGAAAGAGTGGTGAGACACTAGCTCTTCAACCGGAACATCCAGGTGGACACATAAGGATTCATCAGTGACATAGTGTGACCTTCGGATCACGGAGAAGAGTGAGACAGATCAGCCATTCACCCAGGAGTGGCACAGACCCAGGGGAATCCCCCTACAAGAAAATGGTGAGTGAGTGAGAGTCCCGTGGGATGCATATTTCTGCCACGAACCTTTGAATCCCTGGGCTCAGGAGATACCCCAGCTGGGGTCTCCAGACCAAAACAGAGAGCCATGTGGAGTCTGGGTAGAGCTGCTTCTTAGGTAGGTGTGGAGTTCCAGTAGCATTTGTTCCCTGGGTACCCCAAAACCAGGGGCTGCAGCTCCAGCAATTGGGAAGGCCAAGTTTTCTTGCACGCTCCCCAGAAAAGGGGCCAAGTCCATGGGGCTGAGCAGTGATAGACTGCAGACCTCACCACCACTGAACCTTGTAGGATAAGGCCCACTAGCCTGGGATGCTAGTGAGGCCACCCTAGTCCTCCTGAGTTCTCCAGCTGGGAGCAGCTCTACACTTCTCCGGCATGCAGCTTCCAAAGAGAGAGGCAGTCCACCTTTTTGCTGTCTCGCAACCCTCCCTCCTGCTGCTCTCAGGCTTGGGAGGGTGCACAGCAATTAGGGACTATCACAGAACCCCAGCACAGTGCATCTGGTGAACTTAAAAAAGTCAACAAGTGAAAAACAAACAATCCCATTTAAACGTACACAAAGTACATGAACGGACACTTTCAAAGGAGGGCATACATGTGGCCAGAAAGCATATGACAAAATGCTCAACATCACTAATCATTAGAGAAATGCAAATCAAAACCACAATGAGATACCATCTCACACCAATGAGAATGGCTATTATTAAAAACTCAAAAAATAAGAGATGCTAGTGAGGTTGTGGAGAAAAGGGAATGATTATACAGTGATGGTGGGAATGTAAGGTAGTTCAGCCATTGTGGAAAGCAGTGTGGCCATTTCTCAAAGAACTCAAAGCAGAAGTGCCATTCAACTCATCAATCCTACTATTGAGTATATACCAAAAGAAATACAAATCATTCTACCATAAAGACACATGCACGTGTATGTTCATTGCAGCACTTTTCACAATAGCAAAGACATGGAATCAACCTAAATGCCCATCAGTGGATGAAGAAATGTGGTAGATATACAACATGGAATACTATGCAGCCATAAAAAGAATGAGATCATCTCTTTTCCAGCAACATGAGTGGAGCTGGAGGCCATTATCCTAGAAAACCCAATACCATATGTTCTCACTTATAAGGGGAGCTAAACATTGAGTACATATGGACACAAATGGAACAACAGACACTGGGCCTACTTTAGAGTGGAGGGAGGAAGGAGGATGAAAATTTAAAAATTACCTACTGGGTACTATGCTTATTATCTGGGTTATGAAATAATCTATACACCAAACCCCGTGACACACAATTTACCCATATAAATGCGTAAGTAACCCACATGTGTACCCCTGAACCTAAAATAAAAGTTAAAAAAAGAGAAAAGTAAATGTTCTCAGTATTAAAAAGCTATGTTTTTGTTGACAATTATGTAAATTTCTACATTTATTTTTTGAAATCTTTTAATTTTCATTTTGGTTACCTGTTATCGTACTCTGATAAAGTGTTTTAAACTGTTTGATGTTTTTGACAAACTTCCCAAAATAATATTTTAAATTAACTCTTTTTGCCCTCAAGTTAATTTTGATATTTCTCATTTGGACCCCTGGAAAGATCAAAGAATGTGTATCTCACATTGTAAAGAGATATATTAAACTAATGAGACTTACTTGATATATTAAATTATATAGGGAGTATTGTCAAATACTAAGTGGTGCTAAACCTTCTTTAAGTTGTATTTCAGAATGTTATTGATATGTGTTACAAAATTATATTGAATTCTTCAAAATCTGATATGTTATCGGTCATAATCTTGGTTATTATCTTCAAGTTTTGTATGCCACAGAAATAAACAAATTTCTTTGTCAATTACATTATTATTATAATAAACTCCATGAGATTTTTAACCATGGCCACTCTAGGTCTGTCATCCACAGGGACCGACTGCTTTCATTCTTTTCCAAAAGCATTTGCCATCAGCTACAATAAAAAATTGCTTCTTCTCTGAAACTGATGACCCATTAAGGTTTAACCCATATACTCCTCTATATACCTCTACAGCCTCCCCAAATCAAGTTGATATATTCCCCTAGCAGTCTGTGCAATGGAGACCAACACTACATTCTTTTAGATTGTTTTAAATTACATTTTTGAACTTCCAGTTTATTACATACCAAGAGTTGATTACAACCTCCTTGTTTCATAAGTGGAAGCTATGTTAGGGTTGGATGTGGGTGCCATAATTTCTTCAAGGATCCTGGACAGAGACCCACATCAGGATCAGAAACCCTACGATAGCATTGCAGATCTCATGGCTCAATAATCCTTGAAGATTATAATTTTCATCCTACTATCAGTTGCACTTTCTGTCACTTTTACTGCATTAAGTCTCCCGGTATCAAACAGAGCTCTGTGGTGTCACTGACTGAGGAATGGAATAGAGATGTCCACAAGGGGTCTTGATATCATGACTGCACAGAGATGTGAAAGGAGAGACCACTTCCTCACCACCCAGCTACTTCACTTCTCTCCCGGTATCAGCCCTATAGTCGGACCTAGGCTTTCAGAAGTGTAAGTGTGCAAACAAGTTTCGGTTGGACTTTAAGAGGACACTTTGTCATAGAAGAAAATCCAGTATCTCTAAGCTGGTTTTCTTTTCAGGAAAACATCCTGAGGGACCAGTAAGCAGGGAGATCCTTTTTCTAGTTTGCCTGTAGAGTTAGGAAGACAGTTGATTTTTCAGTCTTTTACAGGATGCTTAAACAAAGCTGTGTAATTACATAAGGTGGATCTTTATCTTACCTAAGAAGATAAAGTGGGAATCTTCACTCCGCCAGGGCAAATTTCCAAGGAGCTCATTTATTCCATGTCTTTCAAACTTTCATGAGATACATTTCTCTTTCACATTGTTGCTGATTTCCAAACAGCTGTCAGCTAGTTTTTTCCTCCCCCTTTCCTATTCTTCACTATTTTGATAGCAAAGCTCATAGAATTAGAGGACTTAGAAGATGCTTTGTAAACATTGCCACAAAGGAACTGCTGAAATGATTCACAGGAAGACTGGTCAGTTGGGAGAAAGATCCTAAAGATGTTACACTGGTTTTCAACAACATGCTTAGAGAATTCTTGAAGCAGATAGGTGTCAACCCAGTGAAAACAACATTTTGATTTATTTTTTTTTTAAGTTTATGGTGATTGTGTCGGTTTCTAAAATAAGCAAATATTCAAGTCAAGAGATGTTTTGTTTTTTCTTCTGCCAAGAATGGGGTTAGGGGAGCAAAGACACAATTTGGGAAAGGACATATGTGCTATTATAGGGATCACCTTTAAGTTTCTGGGAAGGAATGGGCACGGGTGAGTAGGTTGGCTCAACATTGTCCTGCACTGCTTATTAGGACCTGAGACATGCAAGGGAAATGTGGGTGACATCAGGGCACCCAGGGCACAGCCCCACTAACTGCTGTGCTGAGTTTCTGTAGCCTGCCACGTTTCCCTTGGTGAAGTAAATGAAGATCAAGGAGTCATTTTATGATGTCCTGGTGCTGAGAATAATAAATGTCTTGTTACAAACAGATGTAACAATGGTTTTTTTCTGGATTATTATCAGGGTGGTCAGCTCTGGGTTAAGCACCCACATCCAATTTGTACAATAATATTGATACATAGGGCTACGCTTATTACTGCTCAAGCATTCTGTTTTAATAATTGTGTTTTACTTCTAAAGGTTAAATAAAAGCAAAAAATGGGGCTAAACTATCAAACTGTTCCCCTATTTGTTTTCTCCAGTGTACAACATATATATGTATATATTTTATTTTATTGAAGATGCAGTAGGATACCTGCCATTTAAGAAAATAAATAGAAAATTTAAAATCCCAACAAATGAGAAAAAGAAATTCAGTACCCAAGAATAGGGCTGGTCCAGCACCACCCCGAAGTAGGCTGTGGTTTATGGACTGAAGAGCCTTGCTCCCTTTACATTCGCTCATGCTCCCACACAAGGCTAGCAGTAGAAATGCTTGAATTCTGCTTGGCTTGCCAAGGGGACTCAGGAGTCAACCAAGGGAACTATTTGGCTCCACGAGGAATGGACACCTCAGGATGCTTCCTGAACAGGGCCTAGTCAGGAAGTAGCCTGGATGTGCATAGTCATGGTCACCTTATGAAAATGTGTGGCAGGTGGCTCTCAGGAAAAACACCAAGCCTGGATCATCTGTGTGGCAGCTTTGCCTGGGGAGGTAACAGCTCCAAATTGAAACTGAACTGCATCCTACATGCTTTACCAAAGCAGTGATGAGAGTGATCAGTGCATGTGGTGTGAGTGGTAGGTTTAAAAAAAAGGGAATGTTTTACGCTCAGTGTTTCCTCTGTCTTTGGGCTACTCAATCTGGACAATAGGTAACCATTCTTTTCAAGGAATCAACCCAACTTTGCTGGCTTGGTTTGTGGTTTGTTTCATCCCTAGCTATGAGCATGCTTTGGTCTATAAACGTGGCTTGTCTCATAATACATTCCCTTTCTGTAATTTTTTAAATTTTTTATTTCCATAGGTTTTTGGAGAACATGAGGTATTTGGTTACATGAGTAAGTTCTTTAGTGGTGATTTGTGAGATTTTGGTGCACACATCACCCGAGCAGTATACACTGAACTCAATTTGTAGTCTTTTACCCCTCATGCCTTTCCCACTCTTTCCCTTGAGTCCCCAAAGTCCACTGTATCATTCTTATGCCTTTGCATCTGCATAGCTTAGCTCCCACTTAAGAGTGAGAACATGCAATGTTTGGTTTTCCATTCCTGAGATACTTCACTTAGAATAATAGTCTCCAATCCCATCCAGGTTATTATGAATGCCATTAATTCATTCCTTTTTATGGCTGAATAGTATTCCATCACATATATGTATTTATGCATATATATATATATACATATGCATATATATATACATATACATACACACACACACACACACACACACACATAAATATATACCACAGTTTATTCACTCATTGATTCACGGGCATTTAGGCTGGTTCCACATTTTTGCAATTGCTAATTGTGCTGTTATAAACGTGCATGTGCAAGTATCTTTTTTGTGTAATGACTTCTTTTCCTCTGGGTAGATAACCAGTAAGATTGCTGGATCAAATGGTAGTTCTACTTTTATGAATTGTCCTTGTTTTTCTTTAAAAGTTAATACTTTTGATCACTATAGTTTGTTAGTGTTGGATTGTTTCCACTTTGAAATTTCTAAACTTTTCCCCTTCATAATGTTAAAACAAGTTATGTTAGATGCCCTTTCAACATGAAAGGTCTGTAGTTAAGATATTACATATATTTTATTGTTTATAATAAAAATCTAGACATAAGAAGTGCCAAGTGTTAATTATAATATTTTGCACAGTATCTTTTTTCCCATGATGTGTTAATATCTACAATTTCATTAAATGTTGATGTTATTCTCTATTGAGATTCAGAAGCCTAGGGAGCTATGTGTTCATTTTGGTTATTTTTGTTGTTATTTCCCTGAAGCAAAAGACTACATGGCCTTCAGTGCAACAACCTCAGTCCAATTCTGAAGTTTATTATACTTGCTTGCCTCTTGGCTATTTAACTTCTGAGTGCAAATCATTGAACTCCCTAATGAAGTATTGTAGAGAATAAATTAAAATGAATAAAGAAAAATACTTCCTCTTCAAGGAGGTTCATGAAAAGGACTCTAGCAAGTATGCTGGAATTTAGATTTCTTATGAGTTTAAGATTATACCACTGGACTGGGAAAGAATTTCCAGGACTCTAATGAAGAAACGATGGCTTCTTAAAACATCTAACCCAGATCAAGTAGAATAAGTTTAATGAATGGGACTAAACAAACTGATGGCAATATTTTCGAGTGACTTTTTGCTTAACATTTTGCTGTTTTTTTTAAATTTTTTGTTTTCCAGATTTGAGAAAACTTTTAAAAAGCTATCTATAGCATACAGCAATTTGGTAAAGTATACTTTTATAAATAAAAATGGAAATATTTATTTTTTCTTCCTACCTGTGGCTGCAGTCTTCAGAGAGCTCTTATTGATATTTTTATTTTATGGCAACATAGTTATTTGCATTAATTCAATAAAAATCTATTCTCTTTGTAACAGGATAGAATTACAAACATTGGTTATATTATAAATGGTTTGACTTGAATGTGATATTTGAGACTATGCACAGGATGCCTAGCTTCAAGGATTCCCAAGCTCACAGTGAGTGAATAAACATTTTTACCTCTTGACAGGCCAGGAACCTCCAGATATATTGGAGACCTCAAGAAGAGAGAAATTCATGCAGATTTTTAGATACTGCAGCCAAAGTCTGATGTTCGCCCTCCTTTGACTTCTGACCCTTGAAAGGCTTTTAAAAGTCTAATCTGAGATTTCTTATCAAAAGTTCCATCAAAATAAACTTAAAAACAGCCCATGTTTCATCCCTTTTCTTGCTATACTGTTGTCAATAATCATGCCAAGTTTAATGAGACTAAACTTATTCAGCACACAATTTAGTCTTACTCTGATTATCTTTAGTAGAAATAGGGATGATTGTACAGAGAAAAATTATGTTTCTGAAGAAAAACTGCAGTACACCTGTTATTAGATTGTAGTTTTCTTTGTTGTTTTCAAGTTTTTGTCATCTATCTCTAAATTAGACAGGGCACTTAATTATTCTAATTTCCTCCAACGTCTGGCTACGATTCTCCAACTAAGAACATAAACTGCCTTTGTTCCTAAAGTCCTACAAGTTGGAGCCAGAAAACTCCATGTAAATTTCAAGAGAGAAATCTCATGGCTATTGTGTGGGCTACAAAGAGAATTGACTAAAATGCCCCATGCTATACCCAGGAACATTCAAACTACAAACCAGAGTAAGAAGTTGATGACATCACAGTGTGGAAAGCTTTTCCCAAGACATTGTAACAAAACTGGACTCTTATCCTTCTTATTTTTTTTTTCTTGCTTATGCCTACATTTTTCACTTGGCAGAATAACGCTGTGGTTAGAATTTCACATTCAGTAGCTTCCGTAACTGAATGAAGTTTTGGATCTGTCGTGTCAAACCCACATCTTTACATGACCTAAGGGATCCTTTAGTCCACCCAGTGGGTAACTATGGCAACATCCCTAATTTATTTGCCACCTTGGGTTTCATTGCAGGCTTCACCGCAAAGGCTATTGCCGCCCAGCAGTGCTCATTAAAGTATCTTGCTGAGTAGCCGTAGATAACACAACAGGACAGGATGAGATAACTCTCAATTATCTACTGGTTGAACAAGAATGTCTGTGCCATTGCTAATAACTACATGCTGTACCTGAATATATTTCTCTGGGGAAGTCAAGACCTAATTGCATAAAATAGCAAGACAGGCTTTATGGCTACAACAGATCTCACTCAGTCTCACATAGACTTTTGATTCATTAGTTGGCTGCCTTTGGGTCCATGTTCATAGACAATATTTCATGTTACTATTAATTTTGTACCGCATCATTCTTTTTAAACTTTTTATCTGTTTCCTGTCCAACCTCTGCAGAAATGATGCATCTAACAGAATAACACTGGTCCAGAACTTCCAAATGGTAGTCAATGCCTATGGAACTGACAAAATTGAACTTAGCAATGAACTCCAGGCAGATTTATCCTGAGAGCCACTCCTTCTGAACCTCTTTGTTTCTTAAATGTGACTAAAAGGGTTTTGACATCTGCTCTTAGTTGCTGGCCATTCACCTCTGATGCAGGATCAGACTGACTAGGAAAGGTCCACTCCAGCACCAAGAAACAATCAAAACCTAACTATAGGCTGATTAATCAGCAATGCTTTCAGAAAAAATTCTTGGTCAAAGGGGGGAAATGTTAAAGTTACAAGCAAAGAAGTTGACTCACTGAAGTCAAACCACAACAAAATGGAGCTGGGAGAGTATAAAAGAAGGCCCTTCATGCATGGATGTCTCTAAAAGAATTATTGCAAGGACTCCCTGAAAACTACAAAAATTTTAGATACGACGCTTCTATGAAGACATCTTCCCAGCAATAGCCAGTATCACCGATGAGTATTTGTCCATACCAAGCAATAAGCTTCTGGGGCCAAAGAGGTTTATTTTAAAATAATTTACATGAACTTCACCTTTTTTTTTCTTTATTTCTTCTTCTTCTTCAAAAAACAAACAAAAGTGATATATGTGCAGAACGTGCAGGTTTGTTACATAGGTATACGTATGCCATGGTGGTTTGCTACACTTTTCAACCTATCATCTAAGTTCCCTCCCCTCACCCCCCAACCTCCAACAGGCCCCAGCGTGTGTTGTTTCCTTCTCTGTGTCCATTTGTTCTCAATGTTCGAATCCCACTTACGAATAAGAACATGCGGTATTTGGTTTTCTGTTCCTGTGTTAGTTTGCTGAGGATGATGGCTTCCAGTTTCATCCATGTTTCTGCAAAGGACATGCTCTCATTCCTTTTTTATAGCTGCATAGTATTCCATGGTGTATGTGTACCACATTTTCTTTATCCAGTCTATCAGTGATGGGCATTTGGGTTGGGTCCATGTCTTTGCTATTGTAAATAGTGCTGCAATAAATATATATACGTATGTTCCCTTACAGTAGAATGATTTATATTCCTTTGGGTATATACCTAGTAATGGGATTGCTGGGTCAAAAGGTATTTCTAGTTCTAGATCCTTTGAGGAATGCCCATACTGTCTTCCACAATGGTTGAATTAATTCACTTTCCCACCAACAGTGTAAGAGCATTCCCATTTCTCCACATCCTCTCCAGTATTTATTGTTTCCTGACTTTTTAATAATCTCCATTCTAATTGGCGTGAAATGGCATCTCATTGTGGTTTTGATTTGCATTTCTCTGGTGATCAGTGATGTTGAGCTTCTTTTGTATGCTTTTTGGCCACGTAAATGTCTTTTTTTGAGACGTGTCTGTTCATATCCTTTGCCCACTTTTTGATAGCGTTGTTTGTCTTTTTCTTGTAAGCATGTTTAAGTCCCTTGTAAATTCTGGATATTCGATCATTGTCAGATGGGTAGATTGCAAAAATTTTTTCCCAGTCTGTAGGTTGCTTGTTCACTTTGATGATAGTTTTTTTTTTTTTTTTTTTTTTTGCTGTGCAGAAGCTCTTTAGTTTAATTAGATCCCATTGTCAATTTTGGCTTTTGTTGCAATTGCTTTTGGCATTTTTGTCATGAAGTCTTTGCCCACCATGCCTATGTCCTGAATGTTGTTGCCTAGGTTTTCTTCTAGGGTTTTTATGGTTTGGGGTTTTACATTTAAGTCTTTAATCCATCTTGAGTTAATTTTTGTATAAGGTGTAAGGAAGGGGTCCAGTTTCAGTTTCCTGCATATGGCTAGCCAGATTTCCCACATTATTACTGAATATGAGATCCTTTCCCATTGCTTGTTTTTGTCAGGTTTGTTGAAGATCAGGTGGTTGTAGACGTGTGGTGTATTTCTGAGGTCTATGTTCACCTTCATTGGTCTATATGTCTGTTTTGGTACCAGTTCCATGCTGTTTTGGTTACTGAGGCCCTGCAGTAATGAAGTCAGGTAGTGTGATGCCTCCAGTTTTGTTCTTTATGCTTAGGATTGTCTTGGCTATATGGGGTCTTCTTTGATTCCATATGAAATTTCAAATAGGTTTTTCTAATTCTGTGAAGAATGCCAACGGTAGTTTGATGGGGAACTTCACCTTTTACCCTTAAAAAAGCTTCGGCTCCCCCAGCTTTTTCAAATGTGCCTATGGTTCAGTACGGTACACATATCCCAAATTGCAGTTCATTGCTCTTCCCAGATAAACTATTTTGAAAAGTCAGTCTCTCTGCTGTTTATTTTAATAATTTTTAATAGAAGTACATCTTTCTTAAAAGCATAGCAAAAATTTTAAGTACATTCACAATAATAATAATTAGGAAACAAATGATCATTGCTTTGATTTTAAGAATTATTAATTTCTTTAATTTTTCAAGTTGAAATATAGAACATGTTTTATTTAGTTACCAATTTATTTCTGTATTTTTCATGAAACAATTTACTTTGGTAAGAAATTTCAAGGAATCTGTGGCATAAATACATATTTGGTCAATGTTCCTTGACCCAAAGTATTAAGGCTGGGTTGTATTTAATTCAGTGACTAAGTAATTTAGTCAGGTTATTCAATAAATTAATGAGGTAATAATCTATAAATTGTTATAATCTGTCAATCTATAAATCATATGTAAAATTGTATTATAAAAAGCAAATGAGTCTTTCTAACAATAGCTAGTTCCGACAATAAAATAACTTCACTTTTAGTTAGCAAGCCCGTATTACATTTCTAAATATTGAAGTCTGTGCAGTAGTTAATGAACTTTTAGTCAATTATTGAGAAAAAAACTTTTAGTACAGTAGAAGATATAAAAAACATGATTGAGCTCAATTTCTCTTTTTTAAAAAATCACTGATTTCTTGGTCAAACTTTTGCTTCTTTTGGAACTTTTGAACTTTGTGGCCATGTGAAATGGCACTCTGAAACTTCTAGTAGACTCAAATTGAGGTAACTTTCTTGCTCACGACAATTTTATGTCCAGTTTCTAATATAAGCCATTATTTCTAACACATGCCATGGTTCCATGTTTGAACTAATGTTAATACCACCTGCCCCTACATGACTGAGTCTGAGCACATCCCTGGGCCACATCAAGCACCATGGCAGATTAATCATTCCTTATGGTTTTAACAGGCAAGCTGGGGAAAAAAAATAACTGTCTCCTCCAACTTTGGTTATGAGTGAGTTTCTTACCTTTTAATGGTGAAAAATAAACTTATCTGTCATAGGAGAAAATAACATTACACTCATATGGAAGCAGAGGTGAGAAGTGAAGCCTTAGTAGTGATGTCATCGTTGCCAATTACTGAAGCCAGGAAGTTAGGAATCATCAGTCTTTTTCTTTTGAATTAATGTGACAGTAGTCGAGAGAGAGAAAAAAGTAGGCATGCTGTATGTTATTTAGAGGATAAGATCTATAGATTTGAAATTGATTTGGCATAAACCCACAGGAAAGTGAAGAATCAAGCATGTATTCTAAGCTTCTGGCTTGAGCAAGTGAGCAATCAGCAACATCAGCCCTATGACTTACTAGATTTTTACTGAGGTATACTTTGTAATGTAATAGCTGCGAGAAACTGAATATCATTGAAATTTAGAAAAGGTTATGACAATGTCATTGGGTTAATAGATAGCCTTTTCTTACAAAGATTTGTAAAAAATGAGAGGCCCTAGACATTTGCTGTGTATATTATGCATAAAAATACCACCTCCAGTGAATTCGTTTGGAAAAGAAACTCAAAGCAAGGCCAGACAAAGGAAACAAAAAGAAAAGAAACGAAAGGGAAAGGACAGGGAAGAAAAGGCAAGAAAAAACAAGACAGACAAAAAATTGGAAAAATATGACAGAGAGAGCAAGAATTGTATATATCATAATTTTATAATATTTTAAATTTATAAAATTATTTTTTGACTTTTTTTAATTCAAGAAGACCCTGGATATAAGTCCATCAGTATATAAATAATTGCTAAGAACTGGGACTAAATTTTAAATAAACTACACTGTTGAAAAAGCCAATATTTTCAAGAAAATTGACCAAAAGGTATCCTTGTCTTCATTTCCACTGACATCTTATGACTGCCATATTTTTTCAGCTATGGCTCTTTTTCTACCAATGGCATGTCACAAAAATGTGTGAACCTCTGGTCACTCTAATTAGTCATACCAATATTGCATAATTTTACCTCAGAATGTTTTTTCCAACTACATTCTTTCTCCAGGGGCATTTATATTCAATGTTTTTTCCAGGGGCATTTACATTCTGAATACCGTGCCTCAAAGTCAAACTGGTTAGCATTACAATCTTGTCTGGTATTATATATGCATTTATTAATGTACAAATTGACCTCAGAAATAGAATATATTTGTCAGGAGTTTTAGGTCTTGTGTTCCCAACACCTAACAATAGATACTTGTTGAATAAATTATGAAAGGGAAAAATAATTTTTAAGAAATTTTGAAAACTTAAAAAGGAAACAAAGGTGTCACAATGGAAACAAAATTTCACTTTTTTTCCTCTGAGTTTAGAGTAAATCTCAGATTCAAACACATCTGAGGATGTACAATTATCAATTATGTAATTCCAAGGGAAAGTAATTTGTACTTACAGGTTAGATATGATAATCAATTCACTTAATTCTACTCGTTTCCTTTAAAAAAAAAAAAAAAAAGAGGCTGTCAGAAATAATACATCACAGTAAAACCTCCTATCAAACAAGAAAAGATTGTATTTGGGAAAACATTTTCATAGACCTAAATTGAGTAATGTTTCCAACTTACATTTCACCAGTTAAGCTTCCCATTAGAAAATGTGTTTGTATGACACCAGTTCCACTTGCATTTTTTTCCCATAGGTTTCCCAGCAGACGTTTACAATCCTTTAGTGATGTTATAGCCAGAATTGTATTAGGTAATAATATAAAATCCCTAAATTTTATGTACAAACCTTCACTGATATTTTTAGTTATCATGAAAGAATCCTTGTATTTATTTCTATTCTAATTCTCCTCATGTCATTGGTATTTTATATGTATTCATTGTAAACATGTGTTGAATGTTCTAAATTTATACAAGCAAAACAATGTACATATTCTAGAGCTTAATATTTTCCCTCTCCCTGTTTTTTTTTCCGTGGCTTTCTCTTGCTTTCACTATTGCAAACTCTGACCCTGAGAGGCAAGAGTCGTGACCATTTAGTAAGATGTATCGTTGAGTATCATAAAATAGTTGGATAGTCTGCTATTTTTTTATAGTAGCAAAAATAGAATGTTCATATGCTTGCCCATGATTTTTATACATTTTTAAATTTGTCTACCACATGCCTAAATTTACCAAATTAAGTCCGTGTATATAAAACATTTGCACAAATGTTACTCAAGTTGTCTGAAATAAAAATACATGTATTTTGCAATTTAGAGCACATGACACTAAAGATGTATAGCTCCGTTAACTCACCTTCTGAACAAATTTCAGCAAGAAATTTCAGAATGAATATAAAAAAGTTAAGAAATATTCTAATATATAGTAGCTGAAAAGTTTACAGAAGTAAAGAAGAAAGACACAAATTAGTAGATTCTGAAGAATTATCTAAACGAACCCATAACTATTCTCTTTATTTTGGATATTCTATTGTTTCCTTATAATTTGTTTATAAGTTTCCTTATAAATAAACAAATTATAAGGAAACAGTGGAATATCCAAAACAGAATATGCAAGCCAATTAACAATCACCATTTTTACCAACAAAAATATTGAAAGTCAGAAAATTGTGGAATATCTTTGAAGTGCTAATAAATGATAACGGCAAATCTAGAATTTTATGTCAATTAGATTTAGAATTCAAGAGCAGATCAAAATAGAGACATCTTCAGACAATCCAAAAACTGAGAGTTTACTACCAAGAATAGTAACTTTTACAGTATGTACCATAGAATAAAGGATAATTAACTGGATGTAAATTCCAAAATATTAGAAGAAGAAAGGATGTGAAAAAACATATATAAGCAGTCACAATTTTATTTAACAAACACACCAACAATATGTGATTTGTGGGAATAAGAAAAACAACATGAATATAAAATAATGAACAATTTGTAGCAAATATTTTTAAATAATTGCAATTAAAGAGCCCTAAGACTTTGTATTGTTTGGGCTTGGTGTTAGTAAACTTTATATTTTATGTTAATAATGTTTATTAGAATATCAAAATTGCCTAGCAAAAGAAAACTGATAATGTGAATAATTTCCAAAATAAAAGAGATAAGTTACAAAAAATGTTAAAGTAAACAAATGCAAAACAAGGCAAAAAAAAAAAAATCAAAGTGAGAAAGACCAGCAAAGTGAATAAAAGGAAGAAAATATGACTTTAAATATAAAAAAATAAATAAATGAAAACCTAAAAAATAACATGCAAGTTGCCAAAAGAAAACGATTTACTTGACTGAATAAAGGTCGTTAAAGGATTTCTTCAGCTGGTGAGCACCAGGCAAACCTGAAGACTAGGTGGTTCCAGACTGAAGTAGGATCAGGCGTCTAACAGAAGTCTGTGGAGTATGCCTGGTTTAGGCTGGACAGATATTTTCTGCTTTAACTGAAGTTGAGTTTAGGTTTTTGGGTTCTTTTCTGTTTGTTTTTGTTTTATCTGTTTATGTTCCACTTTCAGAGTCTCATTATCCATCGGAACAATATTATATGAGAACAATCTTTGCAGCTGATGGGCTAACCACGTTCCCTGGGTGGGGCAGGGGAAGTAGACAAGAATAAGAATGAAGTGGATGTAAAGGAAGAAGGCAAGGGGCGGGGGATTATTACCCTCTAGTATGTTTGTTTTAATCGCTTTACACGGTTACTAGTTTTCAAATTTACTAAATATTTTATATGATTCAAATCATTAACTGAGAAATTTCTTTCAAATTCAGTGCTCTTTGCAGAGTACTGGCTAGATGTTGGAATCCAAAAATGAACTGTGAAAAAAGGCCCGTGTCCTCAGGAACTTATGTTCAGAAGAAATGGAAAAACAAAATTAAATAAGTGGATAAATACATGTGTGTTGTTTTACTAAGACCTTATTTATTAAATATTTTGCTAAGCCTATAATATTAAATCAGCTATTTATATATCTCTATATAACAATGGTTCTAGAGTCAGGAGGTTAACCTTGTGGATTCCTCAGTGACCTTGAGTAATCACTCAACCAAAATACATTTGTATTTAAATACGAACATAAGTTCGAACATTACGTTGTTACCCTAGCCACTTCACAAAATACGTTCGAACACTAGGTTGTTACCCTAGACACTTCACAAAATATTTGAAAAACACATGGATAGACAATTTGATGATTCTATAAATCTGGTAAATGAATTAGAAATATTATAAAAGGTTTTTCTGAGAGGATACCATCGAGCAAAAAGAAAATGACTAGCATTTGACACTATGTAACTTTAAATCTATATTTCAGGGACCTCTGTCACTTTCTTGGGGAATTGAATCACCTATTCCTACTTAGCAGCATGAAAATGAGTTGAATCTCCAGGTTATAGCATTTGAAGGCATGCCTGAGAGGAGCAGATTCAAAAATCAACAGGTGGTTGATGTTTTCTGTGGGGAGCATTCCTGCCTCAGTCCTGCTGCTGTGACCCATTCCTAAACAGCTTTGGGGTCTACAGTCCCCCTTGGTACCTGCTGGGGATTTGTTCCAGGACCACCACCAATCCTACCACCATCATCCCTTCATAGCAAAAGCCAGAGATGCTCAAGTTTCTTATATAAAATGGCCTAGTATTTGCATATAACTTACACACACCCTCTTGTATACTTTCTATCATTTCCAGATTATTACTTACATTAATAATACTGAATACAATATAAATGCTATGCACATAATTGTTATAAGGATTGTTTTTTATTTGCATTGTTTTATTGTTGTATTTCTTTTTAAAAATTATTCTTGGTATTTCTTTTAACAAATATGTTTGATTCATGGTTAGTTAAATCCACCCACAATGGGGGTATGGAGGGTCAGCTGTATTCAGGAATTTGCATTAACAGACTTAAGAGCCTAGTAGATTCTTTGCTTAAATGAACTCTGTGCAGACACAGCATTCAACATTTCTATTTTGATACTTTAAGCAGACTGCAGTGTTTGACAAGCTATTTCAGTAATATGCAATAATCTTTACAAAATAGACATAGATGTTCTGTGACCCCAAATTCTCTGAAACTCTAAACTCAATTATTGAATCTATAGTGGTGTTTCTGATCAGATTACAAGATGAAGGAAGCAATGGAACTTGGCCTAATGTAATGAAAAATATTGCTATCTCTCCACTGATTATTTTGGATGATGGGAGAGCTGTATAGCCATTTAACTAAAGAGGAATCCTTTCAGGAACTACTCTGAAGTACTTTAAGAGATGGAGTTGCTGAAGAAAAAAGATTGAAAACAATTGGCTTAGCTGTTCAGAGCATGGCAAGAATGTAACTATAATCTGTCATTGTGTGGGCAGACAGATGGCCTGAAAATTGAATAAATTGGAAATCACTGGAAGGCAGCTATTTTGTCCTTGAGTGCATTAGGTATCTTGGAAAAATGTTATTAAATGGTGAACAATTGCTATCGAAAAGTTTCTAGTTGTTTGGAACATAGAGTTACATAAAGTCAAGATTCTATTATTATTCTAATAATAGATAAAATCCGAATGTAAAGAAAATGTTTCCTATGAACTATGTAATTTAATTCTTATCAGAGCAATACTTTAAACAATTATTTGATTAGCCTGTGTTTGTGAATGTATATAAAGTAAGCAATAACCTTATTTTCTCCTCTTTGTAATTTAATTCATTAGAAATTGAGAATCTCAGACTTCTCTCCAGCCCTATTAAATCTGCATCTTCATTTCCAGGTCACTCATACACTGTTTAACTTTGAGAAGCACTGTTGTATATTGTCTTGAGAGTCCACACTATGAAATAAATTGGCCCTTATTTACTCCTCAATTGAAATTCTTCAGACTTTCTTAAAGTTTCTAATTCTAAATAAGTCCCAGTTAGTGGAAATGAACTGAATTTAGTTTAATTTTTTTTATCATGCATTGCTGTCCAAAAGAAGAAAGCTTATTTCTGCCAACTTCTTCTTATCCTCAACTTCCAACCACTGTCACGTCTGTCTTCTTTCTTTTTAATATTTTCAGGTGAATTAGAGGTTTGTCAACCGCAAGAATGAAATATATGGTTTATGGCCTATTTTTATGTAACTGGTCATTCTGAGATCTGGAAAACACTACCTGTGTTTATCTGCAACTAAAATCTAGACACCTGAGCCTACACTGCATAGCGAAACAGGTCACTAGAAAAACACAAGCAATTTAGAAAGGCTTTTAATATTGAACAGTTGCATTTTGTTTCTATTCATGTCTATCGCTTTCTCTTTTTTATTCTAAATTGCTTTATTATATTCTATATTTAATATTCTATCATTAACATGTCAATGACAGTCAATAATAATTGAGGACTCAGGTTTTGTCAATACACTGATTTATAATTAGTACAATATGTTATGAGTTTCCTTCGCACATTAATATTATCAGCTCTTCATTTTTTGTTGTTCACAATATATCTTCAACTACCTTTTTATTTTTAGGCAATGTACATATTACAATTTAAGAATAACATCTTCTTTGTTAAATATTTATTTCCACCCCTTTTCAGAAAATTAGATGGTTTACATTTATTGTTAGAAATAATATAAAGCTTTTCTGGTTTTGTGCTTCTAAATAATATTATTAATATATTCTTTTGTAATTACAAAAGCTCCTTGTTTTTGTTTTGTAATTCCTTTCTCAATAAAATAGAGCTGCAAATATTTTGTTCCTTTAAATATTTCAAATAAATAATTTTCATTTATAATAAAAAATATAAAATATGCCAAAGAATTTATTATTTCAAAAAATATGTCATTCACCAATTTGCTTTTAGATTTGTGAATACAGTCTCATTTTATTTTAATACTTTAATCATAGATCTTAACTTTTTTATAATTAATTTTAATTTGTATTTAACATGGTAATAACATTTTTACTTAATTTTATATTGTTGGGTTAGTAGTCACTGTTAGTACACATAACTATTTTACTTTTTCAACATGTAATTTTCATTAATCTTATTCAGATAAAGTTCATTTTCACTATTTTTCTTCAATTGGAAATATTTCATATTTTAAAGACTTCCATTCCTAACAAATGTGGAATACAACATTTTTAGCTCAAAATATTTTTCAAAACAAAACAGAATTTTTCCAGTCTTCACATATAAAACTAAAGCAACAAGCTCAAGTCTATCCAGACATTTTATACTTCAGAAACGAAAATACTAATCTTACGTGTTTATGGCGGATGTTTTTCTTATAATTTTAGTTAAAAAATATTTGTAGAAGGTTTTTATAGTAATATAGTCAGAAAATTAGTCTGCATTTTTACCTACAAATTAAGCAGTATTTTAAAAATTAGCTCAGGAAATTTTATTTTATATTGTATTTTAGTCTGCATTTGAATGATATTTAAATTCTTAGATTTTCACTTTAGATGTGGGAACTCAGGTGCTTAATTCTATCCTCTTTAATTTTATATCTGTGATTTCTTCTGCTTTGTTTTCAGTTCTATTTTTTTCCTGCACTGCAAAAGAGTTTCTAAAGATTGTATTTAATATTACAAGCTTCATTTAGTGCTCTATCATTTGGCATTTACATTTTTACATAGTTTTAAAATTATATATATTTCTTTGTATTTTTTATCTAATTTTATACAATTTTAAAAATCATGCACCTCTAATATCTATTGACTAGGTTTAGCTTTCATTTCAGAGATAACATTAATAGTGAAAAATATTATCTTAAATGCAAAGATATTCATTATTTAAAAATTGATCAATGACATTCACTAAATTATCACAGGGACGAAAACATAAAATGATCATCTGTAGAGATGCAGAAAAATAATTTGACAAAATTCAGCACTGATTTATAAGAATTATCAGCAAAATAAGAACAGAAATGAAAATTGACCAACAACCAGAAATGACAGCAACAACAAAATACCAAGTCAGTAAAGATGGAGAGAAATAGGGAAGCAGTGAAGGTAGATGTCATTTCTGTTTTTAGTGGTGGAGTACAAGGTGTTCTTGTGCTTAAAGGTCATGTTCTTGTGATAAAACGCACTGCAGAGACAACACAGTTTAATTGGCTGAGGCAGGTGACTCCCTTTAAGCATCAGGGTGGAACAAACTACACGACAAAATGTAATTTTAAAGACCACTCTCATTCAAATGTAATAATATCAAAGCACCCTTAACTCATTAATGAGTGAAACAATGAGTGTCATGGTCTGAACTGTGTTCCCCTCCCCAAACCCGTATGTTCAAGCCCTAACCCCTAGTTATACACATAAGGTAAATGAAACCTCATTTGGACACAAAGTTTTTGCAGATGTAATCAAGCTAAAATTATGTCTGTAGGTGGGACTTAAAATAACATGGGTTGTCTTTATAAGAAGAGGGAACAGAAACAGATAGGATGTGGAGAGGACCATGTGAAGAGAGAAGCTGAGACTGAAAAGGATTTATGTATTAATATTGACAGAAGCCAAGGAACACCATCTGAAGTTCTGATGGCAACATCAGAAGCTAAGAGAAAGGCATGGAAAAGATTCTCACCTAGAGCATCCAGAGGAGAGGTTGGTCCTGCAGACACCTTGTTTTCTGACCTCTGACCTCCGCAACTGTGAGGGAAGAAATTTCTGTTGCTTAAAGACACACAGCTTGTGGTACTTCATTATAGCAGCCCAAGGTAACTAATATAGATGACAAAATTGGTTCCAAGGGTGTTTGAGGAACTGGACCTTTATAGGCATTATTTTCATAATACTGCATTAAGCTATGATAACTGGACTAGATTCAAAATTGGATAATGCCCTAAATGCAATAAAGCTATAATTTTGAGATAAAATTTTAATAGCTTTATGAGATATAATTAACATCTGGTATACTGCACATTTTTGAGGTGTGAAATTTTTAAACATTAACATACGTATATACTTGTAAAACCATCACACTAGAAAGAGATCTCAAGCCTCTTCTTTTGACTTTCAACACATTGTCAATCCAGTACTAATCTGGTTTTATTACCATATATTAGCTTTTATTTTCTACAATTATATATCAGTAGAATTATAGAGTATGAATTCTTTTTGTCTTTTTTCCTTAAGCATAATATTTTTGAGATTCAACAATTTCTTGCATGTTGAAGTAGCACCTTTTTTTATTGTTACGTATTATTTCATTTCATAGACATACCACTATAATTTATTTACTAAACTCTTGACCAGAGGTTCTCAAATGAGGGACATTTTACCTGCCGGGGACATTTCCAATGTTTGGGGACACTTTTGGTTATCAGAGGTTTGTGGAGGAGGGGATAGAGTGTCCACAGGCCAGGGTTCCACAAAGGATAGCTCCCCACAACAAAGAATTAAGCCACTTCAACAGCTAATAGTGCTGAACTTGAGAACGCCGCTCTTGGTGGACAGTTGCATGGTGTCTGTTTTTGACAATAATGAATAAAGGTACTTGTGCAAGCCTTTTTACAGACTTATGCTTTTCTCCCCCCTAGGATAAATGCCTAGGGGTAGAATTGGTACATGTAAGGTAGATTTAGTTATCCAAAGTAGCTGTACTGTGTTACACTCCCACCGTCGATGTATGCAAACTCTAGAGTCTGGTTTCTTGACATCTATGCCAAATATTGGTAACACAATTTTTAAAATAGTAGCTTTTCTAGTAGATGTGTATAATTATCTCATTTTATTTTTTATTACTAACGATATTAAGAAATTTTTCCTTTGCTTATTTGCTATTATATCATTTTTGTGTAGCATCTGTTAGTTTTTATAGCTCTCTTGTTTCTATGTTGTACATTATATTTATATATTCTTGCTCTTATTCATAATAAATAGTATATATAATTGTGTAATTAAAAATAAACATTAAAGTATAAATATATTTACACATTTCTGTAGTTTATCATTATATAATTATTGCTTTCTGAATAAAAAGAAATGTATCCACAGTTTGGATAAAAAGAAGTGCTTTCATGTAGTTTACTAAGACATTTTCTGTGCTTTATATTTGAAGCCTATGCTTTCACTTTTACACATTGTTCCATAATATATTTTGGACTCCTTTAATTTTGAACTCATTCACGCTTTTGTTGTGAGGAAGGACTTGAGGTTTGTTTTCTTCACATTTATCTCGTAGTTCTGCACACTTTGTTAAATAAAATTATCTTTCCCCTTTGAATAACTGCAGTATCTTTGATATTATATTATTCATATAAGCATGGATCTATTTGTGAACTCTATTCCATTCCATTACTCTAATTGTTTATCCATCTACTAATAACACATTCTCTCGATGACTATAGCTTTAAGTTATTGCATGGTGTTAGGAAGTGTGAGTATTCCAACTTTTTTTTCAGCTTTCTATCATTTGTTTTTGCTCTCTTGATGTACATTTTTAAATCAGTGTGTCAATTTATATAAAAATATCTTTTGTGATTATGGTGAGGATTTCTAGAATGATTAATTTGGAAAAACCAAAACCTTTTACACACTAAAATTCACTGAACTTTCAAGCCATGATTATTGTATTAGTTTGTTCCGGCATTGCTATAGAGAAATACAGAAGATTCGACAATTTATGAAGAAAAGAGGTTTAATTGCCCCACTGTTCTGCAGGCTATACAGGAAGGATGATGCTGGCATCTACTTAGCTTCTGGGAAGACTCAGGAAACGCACAATCATGGCAGAAAGCAAAGGGGGACAGGCACGTCACATGGCCAGAACAGCAAGAGAGTGAAAGGGGAAGCTGCTACACACTTTTAAATGACCAGATCTCATGAGAACTCACTCACTCACTATTATGAGAACAGTATCAAGAGGGATGATGCTGAACCACTCATGAGAAATCCACCCCATGATCCAATCACTTCCCATCAGGCCTCACCTCTAACATTGGAGATTACATCATACCAGATTTGGGCAGGGACACACATCAAAACCATCAATTATTGTATGCGACTCCATTTATTTAGAACTTTCCTACATCTCCCAACACTTTTGCTAGTTTCCTATTTAGAGAGATCTTGCATGTAATTTGTTAAAATCATATATACATATTTTATTTTTATTAGTATTTTACATGGATTTGATTTTTATCATTAATTGCTCATTGGAAATATATAGAAATAAGTTAATGGGTTGACTTATTTTTTCTATGATGTGGCTAAAATTACTAGTTTATTCCAGCAGCTGATTTTTACAGTCACTAGAAGTTTATGTGTAGGTAATGGAGTTGTTTAAAAATTTAGAAGTGTATTTTTCATTTCTTAACTGTGTATGTTTTACTTATTTATTTGATTTGTCTCACTGGTTAATTCCTCCCATACAGTAGAGAGAACAATAGTGAAAGAGGACACTTTGTCTTCTTCTGGATCTTAAATGAATAATTTATTAGTTCACACTTCAGTGTGATATTTCCGTAGATGCCTTCTATTTGCTTAAGGATGCTTCTTTGTATTCTATTGGGGCGAGATATTTTTATTATAATTCTATCTTGAAAATGCCAAATGTTTTTTCTGCCTCAGAGGAAGTTTATATATTTTTTTCATTTTACTCAGTTAATGTGGTGAGTTTGAAAATTCAAATACTTGAAAAATCACGTTCCCATCAAACACTGCTTCTTACTGTCCCTTTCTAAGAGGACTACCTTCAACTTGGGCATTTAGAGGATACTTCCCTTCCTATAGCTCAGGGTTTTTTTGTATTTTTTTTATGTTTAAATTTTAGTGATATTTCTTTTATGTGTTTTTAAAATATTTTATGGGCTACTGCATTGACCCATTTGTTTCAACTTTACAGCTCTAGTTAAATATAAAAATTAATAAAATGTCAACACTCAAGTATTACATATATCCCTTGATCTGGTGATTTAGGACTATGAGAAAAATGCTCAATTTCCCTCGATAGAAGGAAGTATGAACTTTTTTATTTATTTATTACTGTAGTCTCACAGCCTAAAAATCAGTAGGTCTCCACTGGTCAGCAAGCAAATGATCATGATTATTTTTCTGAATTTTTGACAATTTCAGAATAGGCAAGAAAGCTAAGTTTTAAAAATAAAATGCCAACATCAAGAATTTAAAATCAAATTCGTCACAGTGAATCCCAACAGGAAATAGTTCTTCATTTTATGATTACTCAGAGATTTTGCTTGTTGTAGTGGTCTTCCTTCTGGCTCATAATTTTTTGCTACTCTGCAGCAGAAATAATAAGAAATATTTTCCCAGTCCACAGCGGTGAAGGAGAAGAAAACTATAAATCAAAAGTAGCATATTCTGTGGATCATTTATTGAAATAAACACAGTGAGTACAAGATGGGTAATCTATTTGCATAATCAAAGACACCCTTCATCTGTGTCTATTTTTCTCTTTTCTTTTCTTTTCTTTTCTTTTTTTTTTTTTTTGAGACAGAGTCTCACTCTGTTACCCAGGTTGGAGTGCAGTGGCATGATCTTGTCTCACTGCAGACTCCGCCTCTCGGGTTCCAGCAATCTTCCTGCCACAGCTTCCTGAGTAGCTGGCATTACAAGGTATGGGCCACCATGCCCGGCTAATTTTTGTATTTTTATTAGAGATGGGGTTTCGCTATGTTGGCCAGACTGGTCTTGAACTCCTGGCCTCAAGTGATCTGCCCGCCTCAGCCTACCAAAGTGCTGGGTTACAGGCATGAGCGACTTGCCTGGCTATGTCTATTTTTAACATAGTTATAGTGAACTATAATTATTTTTACACAAAAACTATTCTTACAAATGTTATATGTATTTTAAGAGCATACAAACTTACAGGTTTTTTTATTTAATAAAAACCAGTGGCAGATTGATAATGCAGAATATATTATTTATAAAAAATCATTTGTTGTCATACAAACATATATTTTATTTGAAAATTATACTTTTGAATAGCTTTTTGGAAAGTTAAAGTATTCTCATTTATTGCATACGTTTGTCACCAAAATTATACGAAAGAGTGTTTGATTCAAAATGTGTGTGTGTGTGTGTTCCTATATAGGACCCAGATAACACATATATATTAAATAAATAAATACATGTATATATATATATCATGCACACACATTTAAATATAATGTAAATGTGTGTGTGTGTGTGTGTGTGTGTGTGTATGTGTATGTGTATGTGTATGCAGATGCCCCTCTGGAAACAAATTTAAAAAGAATCCCCTCTTTTGAGTGTATAAAGAAGTTCCTTTCTTAAGGAATGGATAACAGGGGTTGGTACTTTGGCTGAATTCCTCTTCCTCTTACTTTCATTAGACTTGGCACTGTTGCATAGAACACAATTTTCCAAAATGTAATGTCTGTGTTATGCCTACAAATGTACCATACATAACAATTTGTCATTTTCTGTAATTACATACTGACCTATTTAACATTTATCTAACCACTTATATATCTTAATCAAAATAAATCAACCCATGTAAATTGTTTATTTCTATTGTCTTTCTCAGTATAATGCACAAGATACCTTTCTATCTCTATATGTATTTGTCATTTTCATGTCTGTCCCTACATGAGTTGACTCTATTTTTCTGTTACATAGATATGTGATGTTAGTACAATATATGTTAACTAAAAATGGATGATGCAACCTTTTAAAATTATGACCATCGCAGTGAAAATTATGTCTCTAAAATATCAGGGGCTTAGGTATTTTCAGATTAAATTAGGAAAAATAGAGTATCTTTCCATTTATTTATGTGGGCAAATTTCCCATTTGTTCACATTAAATCTTTTAATGGCATATTGCCTAAATCTTTCTCAGAAAAGCTTAGCCAAATTGCCTAGGATGTTTCCTTTCTCCCATATTACCATCACTGTTTACCATCATATTTCTAATAATTTTAATTTTGGAACATGAAAATGGTATTTCAATTTAAATGCGTATGTTTTTCTATTTGCAAAGAGATTAAACATCTCTTCAAGTTTTTAAACTATATGCAGCCCTTCTTTTCTGCCATACCTGTTCATTTCCTCAAGCTATTTTTCCATCAGACAGTTTCATGTTTTCTCATTGATTTGAAGCTTCTATTAAAGTATTGTATACACATGGGTAAATGCACATAAGTTTAAAGCTTAGTGAGTTTTAAAATACTATGATCATCCAGAATAAGAAAATGTAATAGTCACACACCTGATTTCCACCCATCCCTCCTAACATAACACTATTCTAACTTTTACCAGTAAGGAATCAAATAG
The DNA here is from genome assembly GCF_000001405.40 of Homo sapiens. Taxonomy (NCBI): domain Eukaryota; kingdom Metazoa; phylum Chordata; class Mammalia; order Primates; family Hominidae; genus Homo; species Homo sapiens. The sequence continues at coordinate 69,838,381 of NC_000005.10, forward strand.
TGTGTGTAGTGTTTTGAACCACATTTTTTTGCTTAATATTATATTTGTGAGACGAATTGACTATATGACCTGCAAATGAAACTATTTATATTTATTTCTCTAATATTTTATTAGGTGATCATATTACAACTTATTTGTTTACTGTACTCTTTATAAGTATTTTAGTCCACTTTTGGGCCACAGTTTGGGGTTATTTTGGTGTTATTCTGAAAAGTGTTTTCATGAGTACACATTTTTTTTTAGCTATATATATGCATGCATTTCTGGAGAAACCATCTTTACAAGTAGAATTTTGGGGCCTAATACATATCTTTATCCAAATTATTTGAACTAAGTTATGCCAATAACATCAATTTGAGTGTTCTAATTAGTCAACATTCTCATCAATACTTTGCACTTTCTCTTCAACTTAGAATTCTAAAATATTCCTTTCAAATTCAGGATTCTGAATGACAAGTACTTACATCTCATTGTGGTTTGAATTATTTTTTCAGGTAACCAATATAAATAAAAACCTTTTAATAAGTTCATTGGTTATTTGAATATTTTATTTTTGAAGTGTCTAAAGTATTTTCTTTCTAATCCAGTCCAGTTATTTTTCTGTGGTTTGCTTCTTGTTGTCTTATTGAGTTCATTGCCTTTTTAATATTCTTTTCCGGTTAACATTTCCCCCTCACTGATCTGAAATGTTTTCATTATATACCACCTTTCCATATCTGTCAATGTCTTGATTTTCTATATGATCTTCATCTATCTGTAGTTATAACTCATTTTAATCATAGAAGCTTTAAGAATTGCTTAATATTTTGTATTGACTCCAAATTCCATTGATTTTATAGGATATTTCTAGCTATTCTTGCTTCTTTATTCCTCCAAGTAAATTTGTCTATTTTTCTAAATCTGGAAAAAGAAATTCTAGAAAATGTCGTTTTGTTATGACACAGAAGATATAAGTTTATTTAAAGAACTGGCACATTTATGATTTTAAGGCTTTTTCAAGAGCATGGAATTTCTTTCCCCGTGCTCAAGTCCAAATTTGTGCCATTCAGAAGTGTTTTCTAGTTTTTTTTATATATAGGTTTTAAACATTTCTGGTTAAGTTTATGCCCTCACATTTTATTTTAGTTTGGTTAATGACGTTTTACATGTGTGAGTTCCCTCAATTATTTCTTTTAAATGTTCTGATTCAATAGGAACACTCTCCTTAGTATCCTTAACAGAAATGATTCTTGTTTATAGAATTGCTAAATAAGTAAAGAAATTTTAAGTTAAATCATGGCAAGGAGTTATAATTATACTAAGCTTTTTTGTTCCTAGAGGTTTTGGCTCACTCATATGGTAATCTATATGAAAATTTTTCTGTGATATCTAATATTAGAAAGATCCTCAGTGATAGAATAGTGTTTCTTCCTAGCTGATTCATACATCTTTCTCTGCCAACATTTTGTTTGTTGAAGTGTTCCCCAACATATGACTCATTGCTTACTAAATCCCTATTGAGCAGCCAAAGCCCTGGTGACTAATTATGTCATTAATTTGGGAAAGTCAGAGACAATAAGACTGTCAGTTGAAACTTTGTAGGAGGTAAAAAAGTCACTGCTGTCAGCTGCAAAGATCCTTAAAACGGTCTTCAGTAAAGTCAAATTTTGTGACAAGAATTATTGCATCAAAGTCGGGGAAATACCTCTTAGATCAAATAAGATACATTGAAAAGCCAAAAATTATTTTTATCTCACTTTGGGTTCTCATAAGGTCTACCCACTGTTACTTGGATATGAGACTTAACAAATGGAAAAGAAGACAGGGGTACTGTCACACTGTATTTTCCTACGGCCTAATGACCACAATGGTTGATGAACTGCAGTAAAGTTTCTATAATATTTTCCATCTATTCATTTGCTCAATCACCTTGTAATGGTTATGTTGGTTAATTCCAGTCTTTCATGGGTAAGCAACAAAATGAGACTTAATTTGAAATATCCAGTATTTTTCTATTCTTACAAATAATTTTCAGGATCAATGCACTGAGGATTAGGAATGGCAATGTGTATTACTACTTTGATACCAACTATATCCAATCTAATGTTGGAATTTGTTTGACAAAGTGTTATGTATTTGAAAACAGGCAGCACTGAATAAAAAGAATATGGGCAAAAGAAAAATGGAAGTGTTTTGAATGGAAGTCTAAAATATTTATTGATCAATGCTGAACTGAGTAAGCAGGAGATGCCTGTACATAAATGACATTATCCTGATCTAGTAACAGGGAGAAGCAGAATATCTGAAAGCTGTTTATTAATTTGATAATAATAAGATTAGAAACATGCAAATCAAGATTAATAGTATTCACTTCTAATTGGGTTTAGGTAGACTTTGACTATTTTGCTTCTGATGTTCTTATATTTTTAATTTTCTATAATGATCATATAACATATAATATTTTCATAATATTAAACATTTTAGAATTAAACTCCATTAGAGTGTATCTTTCCTAAAATAATATAAACATCCAATCTTGTCCTTAACAATTCTGTTCTCAAACATTAGCCTATTCCCTCAAGCCAGTGTTGCTTTCGACCCATATTGTCCATCATTTCAATTTATCTCAAAGTTTTTTATTGCAACAATTAAATGCTTTGAATGATACCCAAGGCATAGTTCTATTTCAACAAAATTTCAAAGTTAATAGTTACATCAAATTTTGTTGGTGCTCATTGAATTTGGTTATTAAAACCATAAGTAGTATGTTTTATGCTGACTGAGGGAGATAAAAGTAGTAATGTTTAATATTCAAACTGTGATGACTGAAAAAAAAATGAGGCCTGTAAAATCTTATTTAACGTCAAATTTTAATTAAACAGGCTTAGCAGACCAAAATTAAAATCTCAATTATTTTTAAATTATTAATGACAGACAACTAGATTGAGTGAACACTGGCATCTCTTTTCAAATAACTTAGTTTAGTGGATGAGTTAAACATAAACTAGTTATTATAATGCAGCGAAGTATGTGAAAAATTTAATTTGAACCCTACTTAGCTTAAAATCCTGACATTCTAGGATGCAAGTCCTGCAAACTTTCCATATGTAATCAACAATTTTCTAAACATGCATGCTGTATCTCTCCTGTGTGACTTTGCATACATCATTCCCACATTCTAGATCATCCCGACCCACCTTAAGTGACTGCTTTTGCATAATCTCCCTTAAAATTCTAACTCAAGCACTGCATCTTTTGAGTCCTTCCCTAACATCTTAACATCTTCCTTCTTTCATTCATCATTAACTATAGTTAGTTATTATAGCACCTGTTAGCACTGTAAAATTATGTGTGTTACACAAGTACAACATGCAGACTAAGGTCGTGTATTACCTAGCCTCATACCAGCGTCACCTAGAACAGCAAAAATGTATGCAGATTAATCACAATATATTTGGATGTACAAAATATATTGAGAGCAAAATATGATGGAAATTTAGGTGATGCTCTTTGAGCATTGCTTCCATTTTCCAATAATGTAACCAGGAATCACTGTTCATGTAATTAAAGAACAATAAGTCTATGTGAATCAAAATATACATATACATGCAAATGTTAAACCTCAGCAGGAAGAGGCCCATTCTCTTGCTTGCTGATATATATATATATATATATATATATATATATATACACACACACACACACACACACACATATATGTATGTTGTGTGTATATGTATATACACACAACAATCTATAGGCTTGCCTTTTAAAATAGTATAAGCAACAAATTTTAAGAGAAACAATAATGAGTGTGTAAAACATTAGATATGTGTATGTACCTTTGCTATTATTTGTGGAAATGGGGCTATAAAATAAGCTCCTTTATTTTCTTTTGTAAAACATTTCTTTAATATGAAGTAATGCAATACGTATTTATGTTCTAAGTGTTAATTTCCTTGGATATAAAATAATATCTTGTTCCTTTGATTCTCTTACATATAAGTGTATTTACTCAGATATTACTCCAAATACACCAGATATATTCAAAGTTGAAAAAATATATACTTTGGAATGTATTATCACCTTATTTCACATGAAGAAATCAAAATCTCTGGCATCCAAGTGCATTCCAGCCTGAAAAAAATTATGCAATTGTGAATTTAACAGAAAGCAAATTGCTCACATATGGAGTCAACGTGAAGCTATATCAATATTTATTAAAAGTTTATATATTACTTTTGATCCCCTGGAGAGAAATACAAAATTCAAATAATTATTCTATTTTTATATCCCAATTTGTAATTATGAAACTCTAGCATTTTAATTTTTCTCTTTCAAGTTTACCTGAAGCTTCACAAAATTCTGTGAGGAATCTATTATAACAGGTATTTTGCTTATTTCCACACAAACAGAAGGAAATGTGTATTTTCTATGCCCTGAAGAATTTACTCTTTTCTGTAAATGACATATGGTAGTTAATTCTTTTTGGTAATAAAATATTCCTGTTTTTAGGCCGAACAGCCTTTTCTTTAAATTCAGGGCAACATATCAAAGCTTTGCCGTAATAATACAGAGTAATCGACTAAAGTAATATAGAATTTAAATAACAAAGAGTTTAAACAATTTAATATGTCTTCTATTAATTTCAAACTGAAATTTTACAGAAATTATTTGGAATATGCTGCCAGAGTACACACACACACACACACACACACACACACACAATCACACGCTCACATCACACACTCACACCCAGCTAAAGGAAATTACCACAGCTATAATGATTTCATTAAATATCTGAAATTAAAGTTTCTTTTGGATTTTCAGCTGAAGCTCATAGTAAATAAAAGTAATATGATCATTGTTGCATACTGTGAATCAACAGCACCCAGAAACCTTCGACTTTCTATATTTACACAGCTTAATTATCCGAACTGAAACCTGAGGCCATCTGTGTCAACATGATTTCACAATTCATTCCAGAAAATTATTTTTCAGGAAAGTAAGGCTGCAAACCAATAAATAACTTATTGTTTGCTTCAGGAAATTTCTGCAAATCAATTTATGTCAGTAAGCAACTCTCCTCTGGGCCAACAGATTGCTCACCTGGGCAGGTAGCAGCTTGTGTCAATTAACAGTTTACTTATGAAGACTTCTGTCATGGCCCTTAACTCACAGTGTCCCCCAATCCTAAACTCTATGTCCTGAACATTACCTATTCTTATCAGTCATTGGTCTTGAAAGGCCCCGGGCAACCATTTGAGCCCAGACTTCAATACTCTATCAATACCACCTTATCATCTACTTTTCTAACATGACCCCTCAAGGTGGTGACCCCACTTACAGTCGTCTTTTATTGAATTTAGCTTTCCCTAATCAACATGCTAGTCTATTGGATGCAGTGTCGGAGGCAAAAATCACAGAGGTTCTGAAAGCATCAGCCCATGGTTTTCTAAACATCATGGTTCAAGACCCTTAACACGAAACAGAAAGTTTCCCCGAGGCGCCGTAAACAACCCATTTGGGCGCTTCCCTGATAATTATAGTGAAATCTGGCATCTAATTTTTTTTGGTGGACTCTCAAATTTTATATTTATGTTTTGATTCCTAGAAATAAAAAATGTTTTTATAAGGAATTCTTTGATCGTTTATGTTTTATTCTTGATAGAAACCTACTACTTTATAACTTCGTTTATGTTTTACTCTTGATAGAAACCTACTACTTTATAACTTCGAACATTATTGATGTTCTTCCTGTATTTCTGAGAGGTGACAGCTTGCTGGCATCCCTCGCTGGCTCTCGGCACCTCCTCGGCCTCAGCCCACTCTGGCCGCGCTTGAGGAGCCCTTCAGCCCGCAGCTGCACCGTGGGAGCCCCTCTCTGTGCTGGCTGAGGCCTGAGCGGGCTCCCTCTGCTGGCGGGGAGGTGTGGAGGGAGAGGCGCGGGCCGGAACCTGGGCTGCCTGCGGGGCTCGCCGGTCCAGCGCGACTTCCGGGTGGGCGCGGGCTCGGCGCGACTTCCGGGTGGGCGCGGGCTCGGCGCGCCCCGCACTCTTGAGCGGTCGGCTGGCGCCGCCGGCCCTGGGCAGTGAGAGGCTTAGCACCCGGGCCAGCAGCTGCGGAGGGTGCACTGGGTCCTCCAACAGTGATGGCCCGCCGGCGCCGCGCTCGAATTTTCGCTGGGCCTCAGCCACCTCCCCGCGGGGCAAGGGGGCAGGGCTCGGGACCTGCAGCCTGCCATGCTGGAGCCCTCACCCTCCTCCCCGCCCCCGTCCCCTGCCCCCCGCCCCCCGCCCCCCAACCGCAGGCTCCCGCGCGCCACCCCGAGGGGACGGGCGCCACCTCCTGCTACGCGGCACCCGGTCCCGTCAACCGCCCAACGGCTGAGGAGTGCGGCAGCGCGCCAGAGACTGGCGGGCAGCTCCGCCCGCGGCCGGGATGCACTAGGCAAAGCCAGCTGGGCTCCTGAGTCCGGTGGGTACTTGGAGAACTTACTACGTCTAGCTGGAGGATTGTAAATGCACCAATCAGCATGCTGTGTCTAGCTCAAGGTATGTGAACGCACTAATCAGTGCTCTGTGTCTAGCTAATCTGGTGGGGACTTGGAGAACTTTTGTGTCTAGCTAAAGGATTGTAAACAGACCAAGCAGCTCTCTGTAAAATGAACCCATCAGCTCTCTATGAAATGGACCGATCATCAGGATGTGGGTGGGGTGAGATAAGGGAATAAAAGCAGCTGCCAGAGCCAGCAACAGCAACGTGCTAGGGTCCCTTTCCACAGTGTGGAGGCTTTGTTCTTTTGCTCTTTGCAGTCTTGCTGCTGCTCACTGTTTGGCTCTGCGCAGAGCTGTAACACTCACCAAGAAGGTCTGCAGCTTCACCCAAAGATATTCCAAAGATACAGAAAACTATATAGAGACATTTTGTATAGTTCTAATAGCATATAATCCACAGGTCCCTGATCTATAATATGGGTTTTTTATAAAATTGTTTTTTTGTATGCTATGAGGAATTTTACTTGTTAAAAAGAAGAGGTGGAAAGGCAGAATATGAAAACTATGAAAATGACATAAGAGACTATGAATTAGGTGAGAAACCAGAGAGGTTTAGAAACCTGTAGACATTGTGCATCCCCCAATGCCTTTCCCCTTAAAAAAATATTATATTCTAGTCCAGTCCATCAAATAAAGTCTACATTCATTAGAAACATATTCTCTTGGTTTTTATAATTTCAGTTTTTTCCAGACACAGTGCATATGCAGATTTGTTACTTTTGTACAGTGCACCCTGGTAGTGAGCATAGTACCCAGTAGGTAGTTATTCAGCCCATGCTCCCCTCTCTCCCCCACCCCCATAGCCTGCAGCATGTCTTGTTCCCATGTTAATGTTCCTGTGTGCTCAGTGTTTAGGTTCCACTTATAAGTGAGAATGTGTGGTATCTGGTTTTCTTTTCCAGCACTAATTTGCTTAGGATTATGTCCTTAGCTCCATCCATGTTGCTGCAAAGGACATAATTTCATTCTTTTTTATGGAGGCATAGTATTCCATAGTGTATATGTACCACATTTTCTTTATCCAATCCACCTTTGATGGGCACCTAGGTTCATTCCATGTCTGTGCTATTGTGAATAACATGCTGATGAACGTACGAGTGCATATATATTTTTCTGGTAGAATAATTTATTTTCCTTTGAATATATACCCAGTAATGGGAATGCTGGGTCGAAGGGTATCTCTGTTTTAAGTTCTTAGAGAAATCTCCAAAATACTTTCCACAGTACCTGAACCAGTTTACATTTCCATCAACAGTAGTGTATAAGCATTCCCTTTACTCTGCAGCCTGGCCAACATCTAATTTTTTTACTTTTTAATTATAGCTGTTGTGACTGATGTGAGATGGCATCTTACTGTGGTTTTTGCTTGCATTTATTTATTTGATGATTAGTAAGGATGAGTGTTTTTTCATATACTTGAGTGTCTTCTTTTGAGAAAATATCTGTTCATGTCCTTTGCCTTTTCTTGATTTAAATTTTAAGTTCTGGGGTACATGTGCAGGAAGCGCAGTTTTGTTACATAGATAAACGTGTGTGGTGGTGGTTTGCTGCACCTATCAACCCATCACCTAGGTATTAAGCCCAGCATGCATTAGCTATTTTTCCTGATGCTCTCCCTCTCCTCAACCCCCTACAGAAAATTATAGTGTGTGTTGTGTGTTGTTCCCCATTGTGTGTTGTTCCCCTCCCTGTGTCCATGTGTTCCCATTGTTCAGCTCCCACTTATAAGTGAGAAGATGCGGAGTTTGATTTTCTGCTCCTGTATTAGCTTTGCCCTTTTTAACTGGGGTTGTTTTATGCTTGTCATTTTTTCTTCCTTATGGATTTGTTATATTAGATCTTTATCAGATACATAGTTTGCAAATATTTTCTCCCATTCTGTAAGTTGTCTGTTTACTCTGTGGATAGTTTCTATTGCTGTGCAGAAGCTTTTTAGTTTGATTGACTTTCACTTGTCAATTTCGTTTTTGTTGCAATTGTTTTTAGAAACTTAGCCAAAAATTATTTGCCAAGGCCAATGTCGAGAAAAATATTTCCTAGGTTTTGTTTTAGAGTTTTCATAATCTGAAGTCTTACATTTTAACCTTTAATCCATCTTGAATTAATTTGTGTGTATGGTGGAAGGTAAGCATCCAGTTTCACTCTTCTGCTTATGGCTAGCGAATTATCCCAGCACCATTTATTGAATAGGGTGCCTTTTCCCCATTGTTTGTTTTTGTTGGCCTTGTCCACGATCCAGATGGTGGTAAGTGTGCAGCTTTATTTTTGAGTGTTCTATTCTGTTCCATTGGCTTAAGTGTCTGCTTTTGTAACAGTATCATGGTTAGTGTACACTTATAGTATAGCTGGAAATTGGGTAGTATGACGCCTCTCTGGCTTTATTATTTTTGCTCAGAATTGCTTTGGCCATTCTGGCTTTTGGGGGTGTTCCATATAAATTTAGAATAGTTTTTTCTAATTCTGTGAAGAATGATGTTGGTAGTTTCATGGAGATAGCCTTGAATCTACAAGTTGCTTTGGGCAGTGTGGCCATTTTAACAATATTGATTCTTTTAATCTGTAAACATGGAATGTTATTCCATTTATTTGTGTTATCAAAATCTCCTTCCTTCCTTCCTTCCTTCCTTCCTTCCTTCCTTCCTTCCTTCCCTCCCTCCCTCCCTCCCTCCCTCCCTCCCTCCCTTCCTCCCTCCCTTCCATCCTTCCTTCCTTTTCTTATTTCCTTCCTTTTTTGAGACAGAGTCTCACCCTTTCACCCAGGCTGGAATGCAGTGGAGTCATTATAGCTCACTGCAGGCTTGAACTCCTGGCCTCAAGCCGTCAGGGTAGTTAGGACTACAGGCATGTGCCACCATGCCTCGCTATTTAAAAAAAAAAAAAAAATTTGTATAGATGAGGTTCCACTATGTTGCCTAGGTTGGTCTCAAACTCCTGGGTCCAAGCGATATACCTGCCTCGGCCTCCCAAAGGCATGAACCACTGCATCCAGCTTCAGATTTCAGCTGTGTTTTGTAATTCTCCTTGTGGAGATCGTTCACATCTTAGGTTAGTTGTATTTGCAGGGATTTTATTTTCATCCTAGGTGTTGTAAATATGATTGTGTTCTTAATTTAACTCTCAACCTGGATGTTGTTGTTGTATAGAAATGCTACTAATTGTTGTACATTGATTTTGTATCCTGAAACCTTGCTAAAATCCTTTATCATTTCTAGTAGACTTTTGTTGAAGTCTTTAAGGTTTTTTAGGTATAGAATGATATTGTTGGGTGAAGACAGATAGTTTGCCTTAATCTTCACTTCCTATTTGGGTGCTTTTCTCTTTTTCTGTTGCAAGATTGCTCTGACTAGGATTTCTGGTACTATGTTGAATAGGAGTGGTAAGAGTGGATGTCCTTGGCTTGTTTCATTTCTAAAGGAGAATGCTTTCAGCTTTTGCCCATTGAGTATTATATTGGCTGTGGGTTTGTTGTAGATAGCTCTTTTTTATTTTGAAGTATGCTTATTTGAAGCCTCAACTGTTGAGGGTTTTTTTTTGTTTTGTTTTTTCATGAAGGGACACTGGATTTAATTGAAAGCTTTTCCGGCATCCATTGAGATGATCATATGGTTTTTGATTTAATTCTGTTTATCTGGTGAATCACATTTATTGATTTGCATATGTTGAACCAGCCATGCATCCCAGGAATAAAGCCTGTATTGTCATAGTAGATTAATTTTTTGATATGCTGCTGATGGATTCAGTTTGCTAGTACTTTGTTGAGAATTTTTGAGTCTATGTTCGTCAACAGTGGTCACCTGAATGTTCTTTTTTTTTGCGTCTCTGCCAGGTTTTGGTATTAAGCTGCTTCTGGCTTCACAGCGTGAGTTAGGAAGGAGTACGTTCTCTTCAACTTTTCTGGAATAGTTTCAGTAGAATTGTACTAGTTCTTCGTTATACTTCCGGTAGAATTTTGCTGTGAATCCATATAGTCCAGGGCTTTTTGGCTTGGTAGATTTTTTATTACTTATTCAATTTCAGAGCTTCATATTGGTCTCTTCAGTATTTCAGTATCTTCCTGATTCAATCTTGGAAGATTGCCTGTTTTCAGAAATTTATCCATTTCCTCTAGATTTTCTAATTTTTGTGTCTAGAGTTATTCCTAGTATTCTCTGAGGATTATTTTGTATGTCTGTGGGACCATTTTTAATGTCGTTTTTGTCATTCTGATTTATATATTTAGATCTTCTCTTTTTTTTCTTTGTTTATCTAGCTAAAGGTCTATCAATCTCTTTTTTTAAATCAACTCTTGGTTTCATTAATCTTTTGTATGGATTTTTGCATCTCAATTTCATTCAGATCTTCTCTATTTTAGTTGTTTCTTTTCATTCCTAGCGTTGATGTAGGGTTGTTCTTTTTTTTTTCTTCCCTAGTTCCTTTAGGTGTAGTGTTAGATTGTTAATTTGAAGTATTTCTAACTTTATGATAAAGGCATTTAAACGTTCCTCTTAACACTGATTTAGCTGCATCCCAGAGATTTTGGTAATTTGTGTTCCCATTTTCATTAATTTCACTTTCTTAAAATTTCTCCCTTAATTTTGATTTTCACACAGAAGTTATTCAGGAGAAAGTTGTTTAATTTTCATCTATTTGTGTAGTGTTGAGAGATGTTGATATTTATTTATATTTTGATTACATTGAGATCTAAGAGTGTGCTTGATATGATTTCATTTTTTAAAATTTATCCAGACTTGCTTTATGACCAAGCATGTGGTCAATGTTAGAATATGTTCCCTGTGCAGATGAGAAGAATGTATATTCTGTGGTTATTGAGTGGAGTGTTCTGTAGATGTCTTATTAGGTCCAAATGGTCAAGTGTGAAGTTTAAGTACACAGTTTCTTTCTTGGTTATCTGCTTTGATGATCCAGTGCTGCCAGCGGGGGTGTTGAAGTCTCCTACAGTTATTGGGTGGTCGTCTGTCTTTTTGTAGTCCAAAAAGAACTTGTTTTATGAATCTGGGTGCTCCATGTTGGGTGCATTTATATTTAGGGTACTTAAGTATTCTTGTTTGATCATATACTTTCTCATGACGTAATGCTCTTCATTCTTCAATTGTTCTTTTTAATTTTGATTAAAGTCTGTTTTATCTGATATAAGAATAGTTACTCCTGCTTTTTTGTTATCATTTGCATGGCAGATTTTCTCCATCCCCTTATTTTGGGCCAGTGGCTGTCATTACATATGAGATGAGTCTCTTGAAGACTACAGATGGTGAGCCTTGCATTTTTATCCAGTTTGCCATTGTATGTCATTTAAGTGGGGGTGTTTAGCCTATTTACATTTATGGTTAATGTTGATACATGAGATTTTGATCCTATCATCACGTTTGTAGCTGGTTTTTAGGTAGACTTGATTGTGTAGATACTTTATAGTGCCTGTGAGCTATGTACTTCAGTGGGTTTTTGTGGTAGCAGGTGTCATTCTTTTTACTCAATGTATAGCACTCCCTTAAGGACCTTTCATAAGGCTGGTCAAGTTGAAATTGATTCCCTCAGTATTTGCTTATCTGAGGAGAAATTTGTTTCTTCTTCACTTAGGAAGTTTAGTTTAGTGAAATATAAAATTATTGCCTGGAATTTATTTTCATTAATGATGTTGGACATAGGCCCTTAATCTCTTCTGGCTTGTAAGGTTTTTGCTGAGATATTTACTACTAGCCTAGTGGAGTTCTTGCTTTATGAAAACATGACCTTTCTCTCTAGCTGCCTTTAAGATTTTTTTTTTCTTTTGTATTTACTTTGGTGAATATGATGACTGTGTGCCTTAGGGATAGTCACCTTTTGTAGTGCCTAGCTGGGTTTGCTGTATTTTTTGGATTTACATGTCACTCTCTCTAGCGAGGTTAGGAAGATTTTCATAGACTCTATTCTCAAATCTATTTTCCAAGTTGCCTTTTCTCTTTGTTTCTCTTCTAGGAATGACAATGAGTCGTAGATTTGGTCTCTTTATATAATTCCATATTTCTTAAAGCTTTGGTTCATTTTCTTTTTTTAATTCTTTTTTAAAATTTTCTTTTGACTCAGTTGATTCAACGAACCAGTCTTTGAGCTCTGAGATTCTTTCCTTAGCTTGGCCTACCTTCTGTTAATATTTCTTATTGTATTATAAAATTCTTATACTGAATTTTTTCTGCTCTAGAAATTCAGTGTGGCTGTTGTTTAAAATGGCAATTTCATCTTTCAGCACTTACTTAGATTGCTTTACTGGATTACTTGGCTAGGGTTTCAACTTTCTCCTTAATGTTCATGAGCTTCCCTGCCATCGAGGTTCTGTATTCTATGTCTGTTGCAATTATTTTAGACTGATTAAGAACCATTGCTTGGTAGCTAGTGGGCTAATTTTGAGGTAAGAGGACACTCTAGCTTTTTGAATTGCCAGAGTTCTTGCACTGATTTTTTCTCTTCTGGTAGGGTTAGTGTTCCTTTAACTGTAGTGTATGTTGAGTATAGGCAATTGGTTTTGTTTCTGGATGCTTTCAAAGGGTCAGGGCTTTCTCTGTCCAGGATTTTTATGTATGAGTAATTCTGGTGTTTGGTTTCACAGGTGTATATGTAGCAGGATAAATTTTGATGTTGTAGTTTGGGATGTGATCCAATGCATAGTGCTTAAGAGTGATGGCCAGTGGCTAGCCTAATACCCAGTGGCATGGCTGTTTTATACTTCCTTTTGTTTGCAGGTGTGCTCTATAGTGGGGGTGGGAGAGATGCCTCCATCACCAGATGTGCTCCTGGGCCCTGGGGGAGTCTCCTGCAATCACTGTGTTTCTTGTGTTAGGTGTTCTAGGCCACAGGTCTCTCTCAGGCAGAGGCCCTTTCCTAGGAGCCATTCTGGGGAACTAGCTGTAGTGTTTGGGTTCCCTGCACAGGCTTCCTCCCTCTTCAGCTCAGCTTCATTGCTGCCTCTGCATCCACTCAGCATTTTCTCTCTCAAGATCTGCCTAAATTACGGTGGTTTACTCCATAATTTGGTATCTCTCAGTGGGGGTGGTGCTTCCTGACCATGTCAAATTGACCATGTATTGTCACAGAATGAAAACCTCTTTGATAGACTTTGTAACATTTTTGAATATTACATTCAGGAGTAAAATCTTACGCAGTGTGATCCCAGCTATCTCTTCACTTTTGAGAATAACCTTAAGTAATTAAAGGATAATTAAATATGTAATTAAAAATTGAAAAATATAACAGCTACACTTCCAGATGTCAACTTCTTTCAGAAAATTTTAAAATCTCTTTAAAGAAAGGTAAATTGAGACCAAAATAGATTAATAGCTTTATAAAAATAAGTGCTCAAGGAGGGTGTTACATGTGAAAATTAAACTTGGAATTTGTCATTTTACCCGTAAAATTACTGAGAGTAATTTCCTTGAAATGGAAATAACTTTACAAATTTTTAATTAACAAAAATGCTGAAATATTACTCCGCTTACCTTTATGTAACCTCTTCCTTGAAAACAACAATTTACTCATCTGGTGTGTGACTCTGATAACCTTCAATCATTCTCTATATCTGACACCATGACTAGTAACTTAGATCTTTAACTAAGCAACCTTTCTTTCCACCTTTGTGATATTATATCTAGTAATTTAATAACAGACAATCTATGTTGCAAATTAAACTTCCAAATTGAATAGTAATTTTCAAATCCCAAGGACCCATTTCTTCTGCCTCAATCTTAATTAGGTCTTAGTTAATAGAAAAATTAACTGGCTGGGTGCGGTGGCTCATGCCTGTAATCCCAGCACTTTGGGAGGCCAAGGTGGGCGGATCACCTGAGGTCTGAAGTTCGAGACCATCCTGGCCAACATGGTGAAACCCCATGTGTACTAAGAACACAAAAAATTGGCCGGGTATGGTGGTGGGTGGGTGCCTGTAATCCCAGCTACTCAGGAGGCTAAGGCAGGAGAATCACTTGAACTGGCGGGGTGGAGGATGCAGTGAACCGAGATCCCAGCACTGCGCTGCAGCCTGGGCAGCAACAGTGAAACTCCTCAGAAAAAAAAAAAAAAAAAAAGAAAAAGAAAAAGAAAAAAGAAAATTAACTAAATCAAGCCTAAATAAAACATATTCACAAAGTGGCAGACTTTTTTAATCCAAAAATTTAACTGTATTAATGTCTCATTTATAGAACATTATTTTACAATGAGGTTTTACACATCAATCAGTTGAGTCACTTCTTTTTTTTTTTGAGATGGAGTCTCGCTCTGTTGCCCAGGCTGGAGTGCAGTGGTGTGACCTCAGCTCACTGCAACCTCCACCTCCTGGGTTCAAGCGATTCTCCTGCCTCAGCATCCTGAGTACAGGCACTACAGGCACGTGAGCAAGAGAAGCTGACAGATTCAAATGTTCACAAACATTTATGTTCTATTTTGATAGATACATAAACTATGTTTCTCATTCTTATATACTTTATATTAGGGCATGGGATTAAAGTCAAAATAGTGGAAAATTAGTAGAAATAACATATTTTATATCCAATTAAGTCTCCAAAATCCCAACATGCACTCTTCTGTATACGTTTTTCAGTATGCTTGACTGGAACGGCCAATTCTACAGTAGTCTTGGAAGCAACATACTGCAGATTAAATACCTTAGTAGCCTATGTTCTTGAATGCGGACATAAAGGAGCAATGCTTTTCCTATCTTAAAAAAACAGTTTATATGAATGAAACTTCTGTTCTGTTTAAGATATTATATGTTGTTGAGTGTAGTTGTCAAAGCAACTAGCACGATTCCAAGTAATATAGAAATCACCAGCTTGAGTTGGGTCTGCCATAACAGCACCTAAAACGTATCCACTAAATTAGTATTAAATGGACAAGTAAACCAAACTCAGAGGGTTGAAATGAAGACTTGTAATACCCAGTGAAAAAAAATTATTGAAACTACCATCTAAAATTAATTGGAAGCTTAATATTACCTCTAGGAAAGAGTGTGGGAAATGAGGAAAGGCAAAAGGTAATGTGTTCATGTTTGTTCTGTTCCATAATCCAAGAAATAGATAAACACAGGCAAAAAAAAAAAAAAAAAAAAAAAAGAAAAAAGAAATATCCTGTCTTTAGAGTGGAAAGAAAGTGGATAGAGTTGAGTTGCTAAACCTTAGCATTATTGACATTTTATGCCTGATATTCCTGCATTCTGTGGGAGGTTATTCTTTGCATTGTAGGATATTAATAGTATCTTTAGGCTATACCACCACATACCAGTAGCATCACCACCTAATCATTATAATTCAAAATGTCTCCAGACACTGACAAGTGTTCTATGGAAACAAAGTCATTCCTTGTTGGAAACCACTTGTAAACAAAAAGTCTAGTAATGGTGGAATTATACAGTGACAGAAAAGCTCAGGTTTTTCTGATTAGGTTGAAAAAGCTGCTCAGAAATTAAATCCTACTGTGTTCATAAAAAACAAGGAACCCAGCCCTGAAGCAAAGAACTCATCAGGGAAGTTGTTTTCTCTTTCAAGTCTATGATTTCAAATGACCTTAAAGTGGTCATCTTTACAGTCAGAGAAGCATATGTGTGTTGGGGAGGAGAAAAAAGAAGGAAATGAGGCAGACTTTAGAATTATACCTAGGAAAGAACTGTATGTTTGGTTATAAACTAGATCCAATAAATAAATAAATGGTTTCCACGTAACTACTTGGCAAAGGTACAATAAGCCTATTGTGAGAAAAAAAAATTAAGGCTTAAAATATCCTCAAGCATCCCAAATTGCACTAATCAGTGCAATTGATTAGTCATGCTGAGAAAACACTCATTGTTCTAATTTAAGATGGAGGCATGGAGAATAAGAGAAAATGTAAATTACCTCAGAAAGTAAATCTATGAGCCACAGGGACAATGGACCTTAAAGTTATTTCCACAGGACATGTTTATGGTTTCATCAAATAAATATTTGTACTGCTCAGAAATATTTTTGTCAGTGCTCTGCAGACTTCTTTGTCTTCTGATAGGAGCTTCACCATGGTAACTTAGATTTTACAGATAATTTGTCTTTTGACTTTATAGGACACTAGTCCTCGTTAAGTCATATAGTGGCCTGAGGGAGAGAACTGCACGTCATGAAACATCCTGAACTCTAAGTTGTAGGCAGTAACTGGGCAAAACTTTAAGTTGTTTACAGAGGGAAGAGAAGTGAATTTTTCATATATAAAGAAGTGTGCAAATTGTATTTCATGAGTAGTCTTTTGTCTTCTGGAATGGTGATATATACAAAGTAATCTGGGAAGATACAATTTGGTAATAGTAGATCCTTCGTTAACTTGAATTATTTTTTGCAGGAAAGATGCGTCTTTAGCCAAAATTACTTATGGTAAACTGTTATGTAAGCAAGAAATCACCTTCTACTTGGTTTAAGCTATTCAGTGTACTCTCTAGATAGATATGACACAAAGCTAGCATTATGATACAGTAAACCAAGTGTTAATGTAACTTTATGTTGATTTTGACTACATTCTGAAAATAATAAAAGTCATCTGGTATTTTAGGCTTACGATATGAACTTGATACTATGATAGGTGTCTGAAATGTTTATCTCATTTGATTCTTAGAACAAACTTATATTGTGGGTACTAATACAGTACTGATTTTTTAAATAAGAAAAAGGATTGCAAAAAATGTAAAAAGTCTTATTAAAGAGTACAAAATTCTATCTCCAAATGTGTAATGAATTTTATATAGTCAGTTAATATTTGTTTAGCTCAATAAAGTAATGTTCGGTGTAATAGTTGATTTCTTTAATGTTCATTCAGAATCACATTATCAATTTGAAATTAATTCACCTATTCGAAGAAGTTGCTTCCTCCAATTAAGACAGTATAGTAAGCAAAATAATGGTTTACAAAACAAACAAACCAACAAAAAAAAAACCGCATGTCCTGATTTCTGGAAGCTGTGAATATGTTAACTATCTGGTAAAAGGGGCTTTGCAAGTATTATAATGTTAAGGATGGTAAGATGAAAAAGTGTCCTTTTGAGTTCAGTGTAATCAAATGGGTTTAAACTAGGGAAACATTCTTGGCTAGAAACATAAGGTGGTATGATTTCAAAAGAATGGTCAGAGAGACACAGCATTTCTGGTTTGAACAAATGAAAGACCATAAGCTAACAAATCAGGACAGCCTCTGGAGGCTGGAAAAGTCAAGGAAACTGATTTTCCCCTAAAACCTTCAGAAAGGAACACAACAGTTCTCACTCTTTGATTTTAGCCTCATAAGATGCATTGCAGACATCTGACAAACACAATTGTTTGACACTATATTTGTGCTATTTTAAACCACTAACTTTGTAGTAATTGGCTACAGCAGCAGTAAGAAAATAATGCAGAGTGTTTCTATAATGGAGATAAAAGTATAAACAAGAGGCAAGGATTTCCTTCCTTCACAGTGTTTATAATATACTAAGAAAACAAACATTAAATACACAGGGCCCCAATAGATTATTCCACTTTAATTTTAGCTGGCACTGTGGAAGGAAAATAGAAATTCTAGAATATAGTGAATAGGAATATAACTTATTCTTATGTGGGAAGAAATGCTTATTACTGAATACTATTTGGGCTGAAAATAAATGCACTGTAGTTACAGTAAGTACAGTAAAAAAGGTAGTTTGCTATAAGGGAACAGAGCCATTGAAATGTAATGAAAGTCATCAAAGTTTTAGGCACTAACTATAAGTTGCAAGGAGTTAAACAATTGTAAGCAGTCCGATTATTAAAAAAATATGTGCCTGATTCTCAAAATCACAAGTATTCTTTAAGATTGCTAACCGTAGTAGTCAGTTTTCACAATGATATAAAGAATGACTTGAGACTGAGTAATTTATGAAGAAAAGAGATTTAATTGATTCATAGTTCTTCAGGCTTTACAGGAAGCATGAATGGGAGGACTCAGGAAACTCAGAAAATCATGGTGGAAGGCAAAGGGGAAACAAGGTTCTTCTTGACATGGCACCAGGAGAGAGAGAGCACAAGGAGGGAAGTGCCACACACTTTTAAACCATCAGATCTCTTGGAACTCACTCACTATCATGAGAATAGCATGTGGAAATCTGCTCCCATGATCCAGTCACCTCCACCCAGGCCCCTCTCTTGACATGAGAGGATTACAATTTGAGATGAGATTTGGGTGGGGACAGAGGGCCAAGCTATATTATTTCTCCTCTGGCCCCTCCCAAGTATCATGTCCTTCTCACATTTCAAAACCAATCATGCCTTCCCAACAGACTGGAAGTCTTAACTTATTCCAGCATTAACTCAAAAGTCCATGTCCAAAGTTTCATCTGAGACAAGGCAAATCGCTTCTGCCTATAAGCCTGTAAAATCAAAAACAAGTTAGTTAATTTCAAGACAACAGTGGGGGTACAGGGATCAGGTAAACACTCCAATTCCGTAAGGGAGAAATTAGCCAAAACAAAGGGTCTGCAGGCCCCATGCAAGTCCAAAACCCGACAAGGCAGTCATTAAATCTTAAGGCTCTGAAACAATCTTCTTTGACCTCATCTCTCACGTCCAGAGCATACTGATGCAATATCTGGGCTCCCATGAGCTTTGACAGCTCTGCCTCTGTGGCTCTGCAAGGCACAGCCCCCACAGCTGCTTTCACAGGCTAGGATTGAGTGCCTGTGACTTTTCCAGGCACACTGTGCAAGCTGTCAGTGGATCTACCATTCTGGGGTCTGAAGCACTATGACCCTCTTCTCAAAGCTCCAGTAGGGAGTGCCCCAGTGGGGAATCTGTGTGGGGGCTCCAACCCCACATTTTCCCTCTGCACTGCCCTAGTAGAGGTTCTCCATAAGGGCTCCACTTCTGCAGCAGACTTTTGCCTAGACATCCAGGCATTTCCATACATCCTCTGAAATCTAGATGGAGGTTCCCAAACCTCACCTCTTCCCTTCTGCACAACCACAGGCCCAGCCTCATGTGGAAGCCACCAAAGCTTGAGGCTTGTATTCTCTGAAGCAATGGCCTGAGTAGTGCCTTGGACCCTTTTAGCCACAGTTGGAGCTGAGCAGCTGGAACACTGGGCACCATGTCCCGAGGCTGCCCAGAGCAGCAGGGCCCTGGGCCCATCCCACTAAACAATTTCTCCCTCCTAGGCCTCCAGGCTTATAATGGGAGGGGCTGCCTCAAAGGTCTCTGAAATGTACTGGAGACGTATTCCACATTGTCTTTGCCATTAACATTTGGCTCCTCTTTACTTATGCAAATTTTTGCTTGAATTTCTCCCAAGAGCGTGGGTTTTTCTTTTTTACTATATGGTTAGGCTGCAAATTTTCCAAACTTTTATGGTCTGCTTTCCTTTTAAATATACGTTTCAGTTTCAAGCCATCTCTTTCTTCATGGACATGAGCATAAACTTTTAGAAGCAGCCAGGCCACATGTTGGAAGGTCTGTTGCTTAGAAATTTGTTTCACCAGATACCCTAAATCATCTCTTTGAAGTTCAACATTACACAGATCTCTAGGGCCGGGTCAAAAGGCTGTCAGTCTCTTTGCTAAAGCATAGCAAGAGTAACTTTTTCTTCAGTTCTCAATGAGTTCCTCATCTCCATCTGAGACCCCCTCAGCCTGGACTTCGTTATCCAAATCATTATCAGCATTTTGTTCACAACCATTCAACAGGTCTCTAGGAAGATTTAAACTTTCCCATATCTCCCTGTCTTCTTCTGAGTCCTCCAAACTGTTTCCTACCTCTGCCTGTTACCCAGTTCCAAAGTTACTTCCATATTTTCAGGTATTTTTATAGCAATGCCCCACTGCTCTGGTACCAATTTTCTGTATCTATCTCTTCTCAAACTGCTATAAAGAACTACTGGGTAATTTATGAGGAAAAGAGGTTTAATTGACTCACAGTTCTGCAAGCTTAACAGGAAGCACGACTGGGAGGCCTCAGGAAACTAACAATCATGGCAGAAGGTAAAGGGGGAGCAGGTGCCTTCTTCACATGGTGTCAGTAGAGAGAAGAGCCGGGGGGAAGTTCCACACACTTTTAAACCATCAGATCTTGTGAGAACTCACTGACTGTCACGAGAACAGTATGGGAAATCCACCCCCATGATCAAATCACCTCCTACCAGACCCCTCCCCTGACACGTGGGGATTACGATTCAACATGAGATTTGTGTGGGGACACAGAGCCAAAGTATATCACTCACCTAATAAGTGCTTATCTTGATTAAATTGTATGGAAAACTACAACTTAAATTATGTGATCAGAAATTCTATCTAATGATAGACATTAATTCAAATGCCACCATGTTCTCCTGTCAGCTTCTCATATATTGTCATGGATATGATTTAATTGTCCTTCAGTGTCATGGAACACATCCTGAGATTCAGCTGATGAAGTTGCAAACTGGATAAATATAAATGATGATGTTTCAAAAAAGAAAATCCTCACTTAGTAAAAAAATGTTAGGTTTATTTTACACTTTCTTGACAGCTGAACTAATATAAAAAGCACTCACCTTGTTTCTTTCAGTTTTGTGTATGTTTTGATTGTGTCAGCTGAGTTCTTCTTCACGGGATTTTCTATGTGTCAGAGACACTTGTCCCCCATTCTGTTTTCCTGTGTAATCTCAAAATTGACAAGGGTCTTCACTGTATGTGAAAAGGATGTCTGTGTTGCTTGATTTTATGTGTGACTACTGTTTGCGATTGTCCTTTTCCCAATATGACATGTAATTTTACAGCACAGATAGTTTTTCAAAAGAATTACATTCCCAGGCTTAGCAGAGGGAGCGGCCTACTTATTGAAATGTGAAATCGAATCTCTGAAACAGAAACACCAAATTATTACACTAATCTGTAAAGTAGCTATAAAACGTTATTTTTCAGAGTGAAGTATCTGTCAAGATGGCTAGTTTTGGTGTATAAAAGAAACGGTATTTTATTCCTTTTATTTCTGTAAACAGATTAAGTCTGTGTGTGTGTGTGTGTGTGTGCGCGCGCGCGTGTGTGTGTGTGTGTACATGGGATATAATACAAATCTACCTCGACTTATAATGAGTTACATCCTGATAACCACAGGCCAAGATGTGTTATGATGGATCTGGATATACTCATAAGTTGAAAATATTTTAGGTA
This sequence comes from Homo sapiens, assembly GCF_000001405.40. NCBI lineage: Eukaryota > Metazoa > Chordata > Mammalia > Primates > Hominidae > Homo > Homo sapiens. The sequence goes on from NC_000005.10 coordinate 69,860,044, forward strand.
AAAAATGCATTTAGTACATTTAACAAAAATACTGGCAAACCGAGTCCAGCAGCACATCAAAAAGCTTATCCACCAAGATCAAGTTGGCTTCATCCATGGGATGCAAGACTGGTTCAACATACGCAAGTCAATAGATGTAATCCATCACATAAAGAGAACCAAAGACAAAAACCACAAGATTATCTCAATAGATGCGGAAAAGGTCTTTGACAAAATTCAATAGCCCTTCATGCTGAAAACTCTCAATGAACTAGGTATTGATGGAACATATCTCAAAATAATAAGAGCTATATATGACAAACCCGCAGCCAGTATCATACTGAATGGGCAAAAACTGGAAGCTTTCCCTTTGAAAACTAGCAGAAGACAGTGATGCCCTCTCTCACCACTCCTATTCAACATAGTGTTGGAAGTTCTGGCCAGGGCAGTCAGGCAAGAGAAAGAAATAAAGGGCATTCTATTAGGAAAAGAGGAAGTCAAATTGTCCCTGTTTGCAGGTGATATGATTGTATATTTAGAAAACCCCATCATCTCAGCCCAAAATCTCCTTAAGCTGATGAGCAACTTCAGCAAAGTCTCAGGTTACAAAATCAGTGTGCAAAAATCACATGCATTTGTATACACCAATAACAGACAATCAGAGAGCCAAATCATGAGTGAACTCCCATTCACAGTTGCTACAAAGAGAATAAAATACCTAGGAATCCAACTTACAAGGGATGTGAAGGACCTCTTTAAGGAAAACTACAAACCACTGCTCAACGAAATACAAGAGGACACAAACAAATGGAAGAACATTCCATGCTCATGGGTAGGAAGAATCAATATCGTGAAAATGGCCATACTGCCCAAGGTAATTTATAGATTCAATGCCATCCCCATCAAGCTACCAATGACTTTCTTCACAGAATTGGAAAAAACTAAAGTTCATATGGAATCAAAAAAAGAGCCCATATTGCCAAGACAATCCTAAGCAAAAAGAACAAAGCTGGAGGCATCACGCTACCTGACTTCAAACTATACTACAAGGCTACAGTAACAAAAACAGCATTTTACTGGTACCAAAACAGAGATATAGACCAATGGAATGGAACAGAGGCCTCAGAAATAACGCTAAACATTTACAACCATCTGATGTTTGACAAACCTGACAAAAACAAGAAATGGGAAAAGGATTCCCTATTTAATAAATGGTACTGGCTAGCCATATGTAGAAAGCTGAAACTGGATCCCTTCCTTCACCTTATAGAAAAATTAATTCAAGATGGATTAAAGACTTAAATGTTAGACCTAAAACCATAAAAACCCTAGAAGAAAACCTAGGCAATACCATTCAGGACATAGGCATGGGCAAGGACTTCATGTGTAAAACACCAAAAGCAATGGCAACAAAAGCCAAAATAGACAAATGGGGTCTAATTAAACTAAAGAGCTTCTGCACAGCAAAAGAAACTACCATCAGAGCGAACAGGCAACCTACAGAATGGGAGAAAATTTTTCCAATCTACCCATTTGACAAATAGCTAATATCCAGAATCTACAAAGAACTTAAACCAATTTACAAGAAAAAAACAAAGCCATCAAAAAGTGGACAAAGGATATGAACAGACACTTTTCAAAAGAAGACATTTATGCAGCCAACAGACACATGAAAAAATGCTCATCATTACTGGTCATCAGAGAAATGCAAATCAAAACCACAATGAGATAGCATCTCACACCAGTTAGAATGGCGATCATTAAAAAGTCGGGAAACAACAGGTGCTGGAGAGGATGTGGAGAAATAGGAATGCTTTTACACTGTTTGTGGGAGTGTAAACTAGTTCAACCATTGTGGAAGTCAGTGTGGCAATTCCTCAAGTATCTAGAACTAGAAATACCATGTGACCCAGTGATCCCATTACTGGGTATATACCCAAAGCATTATAAATCATGCTGCTATAAAGACACATGCACATGTATGTTTATTGCTGCACTCTTCACAATAGCAAAGACTTGGAACCAACCGAAATGTCCATCAATGATAGACTGGATTAAGAAAATGTGGCATACATACACCATGGAATACTATGCTGGCATAAAAAATGATGAGTTCATGTCCTTTGTAGTGACGTGGATGAAGCTGGAAACCATCATTCTGAGCAAACCTTCGCAAGGACGGAGAACCAAACACCGTGTGTTCTCACTCATAGGTGGGAATTGAACAACGAGAACACTTGGACACAGAGTGGGTAACATCACATGCTGGGGCCTATTGTGGGGTGGGGGGATGGGTAGGGATAGCATTAGGAGAAATACCTAATGTAGATAATGAGTTAATGGGTGCAGCAAACCAACATGGCACATGTATACATATGTAACAAACCTGCAAGTTGTGCACATGTGCCCTAGAACTTAAAGTATTAAAAAAAAATACACTTAAGAAATGTGCTCAGAACACTTACATTAGCCAGTCCAAAAAAAAAATCTAACCTAAAGCCTATTTTTAAATAAAGTGTTGAATATCACATGTAAATTATTAAATACTGAATGTGAAAAACGGAATGGGTATATGGGTAATAAAAGCATTGTTTCTACTGAATGTTTATCACTTTTGTACCATGATGAAGCTGTAAAGTTGTACCATTGTAAATCTGGGACCATCTGTGTTACATTCAAGAGAAAAGCTCAGTCGAACTAATAAATAAATCAAAATTTCTTCTGATTATTTAGGTGTTTTTTCCTGTTAGATAATTAAGACATCCAACTGTTGCTTGCTGCTTCACCACACAGACCATACACAGATACAAATACACACTCCATGAATGAGCATATGTGCTTGTTTAAAGAGACATACTAACCAAACAGTTGTATGCTGCCGTGATATTGATTATGTCATCAAGTTCCTTATTTAACAAAACACAGCTGTGTATGAAGTATTTCTCTAAAATGTACATTCAATAGCAACTGGTTTTGTTCAGTCTTATGTACCCATATTATTTAAATGAGCACCTGGAGTCTAGAATTAACTAAAAAATATCTATGTTGATGCATATTAAGTTGATTTTGAAGTCATAAATTTTGACAAGAATTGATACTATGGCACTGTCATAACTTTACAAAAGATGACCTGAACTAACATGATTTTATGCTTTTACCAGTGGAACTCCCTGAAATATATTCAGATAATTTGTTATTAAAGCAAAACTAAGTTTATTGAAACCCTGTGCCAAGAAAGTACACCATTTTGACATACTTTTGCAGTGTTTCAGCAGGGAAGAGTGAGAGGAAGATTTTTCATGTTTGTGGAGAATGGCTTAAGAGAGTTAAATGAGTCTTTCAAAGTGAGTAGCTGATTGAAATTGAGCTAAACTCAGAGCATAATAGTTTAGATAGTCTAAGAAATTGAAAAAAAAGTTGATGCCAAGCATACAAGAAATAACACCACCAAAAAATAGACCTAAATACAGACAAAATTAGATTAAAAACAAGAATATGTTCAATGTTAATAAAAGCAAAAGGAACATAGACATAGTTATGGAGGAGTTTTGTTTTGTTTTAATAAGATAAAAATATGGTTAGTTTTATAGCAATACACCTGGAAATCTGGATCAATTCTGTCCACTATAGTCATTACTAGTGACATGTAGATATTGAACACTTGAAATATGGTGGATTTGAATTGATTTATGCTATATGTAAAATACAAACTAGATTTAGTTTAAAAAATGTAAAACTGAATAATTTTAATATTGTTTTATGCTGAGATGACAATATTTTGGATATACTGGATTAAATACATATAAAATATTGTTAAAAATCAAGTAGTATAGTAAAATTGGTCTTTTTGTTTTACTTTTTTATTTTGTTTTGGTTTTTGAAGGGATAGAAATCATGGCTAAGATGGACCCTGGGGCATATCATTGACCATCATGAAACATGCACTGATTTGCCAAATGTATTATTTTCCTGTGGCTGTTATAAAAATCACAATACACTTAGTAGTTTAAAACAACATAAATTTATTGTCTAGCAGTATTCCAGGTTAGAAGTTCAACACAGGTCTTACTGATTTAAAATCAAAGCATTGGAAGACTGCATTCCTTCTATAGGCTCTGTGGAATAATCCATGACCTGGCCTTTCCCAGGCTTTAGAATCCAGCTGCATTCTTTGATGCATGTTCCCTGTCTTGGGCAGCTTGGAATACTGTAAGAAAATACCATAGACCGGGTGACTTAAACAACTGACATTTATTTCTCAGAGTTCTGAAAGTTGGGAAGTCCAAGATTAAGGTGCTGGTATATTTGGTTCATGGTGAGGGCCCACTCCCTCTCTGGTTAGTAGATGGCCTCCTTCTCTCTGTGTTCACATGGCCTTTCCTGGATACATGTTTACGGAGAGAGAAAGAGAAGGGTGGTTGGGTGGGAGGTGGTCTAGTATCTCCACCTTTTCTTATAAGAACACTAACATTATCATGAGAACACCACACTTAGGACATTATCTCAACCTAGGTTCCTCCCAAAAGCTCCATCTCCAGATACTATCACACTGCCAATTAATAGATCATTGAAAATAATCTATTAATATTTGAACAATGCCAATCATCTTCAATAGATTAATTTTAGGGAGACACAAATATTCAGTTCATAACAGTTCCTTTCCTTGACCTTCAAAGCTACAAATGAAGGAGCAAGTCTTCACATTCTCCTTTTATATCTCCCTCTTCTACGTGTAAAGAATCTTATGACTGCATTTGGCCATCTAAAAATCTATGATAGTCTCTCCATTTCAAAATCCTTAACTCTAATTGCATTTGCAAAGTCTGTCCTGCCAGGTAAGCTAACAAATTTATAAATTATCTGGATTAGGACCGCATCATCTCTGAAGAGCCATTATTCTGACTACCACATCAGTATGTTAGTTTATGTCAAGATTGCTGTAATAATCAATAGGTTCTGGTACCACAAATCCAGTAGCAGTCATTAAGGTTGATTGAGTTTATTGATTGCTTTCAGCTCCATTCTGCTATTAATCACTTTTGGGGATATAAAATGAAGACCTTATCACATAGAGGAAGAGGTAGATGTGATAGGAGCTTGAATATGTAATAAGAATTTTTTATGATATGTAAATGTGAGAAATGAATTAAGTATGTGCCATTTGTTCTCTTCTTTTTAAGACATTTCTTTCTAAAGGTTTAGTGACAGAAGTTGCATTCTATTAAAGATCCCTAAGTGCTGTTCTGCTGTAGGCATAAGCTTTCTTTCCTGGGTGCAGCATGTTAGGATTTAAGATTTCTATTTATCTAATACTCTGCTGTTTGTCAGATAAAATAACAATAAATAGTGAGTCCAATTATTGATAAACCCAGATGTTTCATATTTAGGAATCGATGTTAAAAAAAAAAAACACTAATTGGCATCCTAAGGAAAATGTGTGCAGCTTAGCACTGATTCAACTGCATGTTTAGCCAAATTGTGAACAAATTACGGCCAGCTTCCGGACTCTTCTAGAGAGTGACTAAGGACGGCATAGAGGAATTAGGAATAGTAGCTTTATAGGTAAAGTAATTAAATGTAACCTTAAGCATAAAAAGATAAAGTTAACTAGGAAAATGAAAACTCAAGATATACAGATTAAATATGACAAACAATGGATCTTTTTTTGTGGATCTTGGTTTGCAGATACCGATATCTCATATAGTGATTCACTTGATCCAAAGGCATTTGATGGAAGCTGTCTTCTCCCAAAGACTATTTGCTTTTGGAAGAATCCTAAGAGTCATTAGTTAGAAGTTTTTGGTAGGGATACTTTCCTGTAATATGAAGATGACCTAAACCTCTTTACTTGAGAGATAGGAATCAAAGGATCAGTCTTTTAAAGACTATGGGTTTGCTAGTTGTTAGCTGTGCCTGATAGTGACTTTTTTCCTATGATCTTTCCCTGCCGTGTCTCTTAGAAGACAAGGTATCCAGGTATGAAAACCAATTTTGCAGACATTGTTTAGGATACTAATGGGGAAAGTCTTCAGTAACTTTTGTTGAAAGAATGGATTTCCTGAGTCCTTACAGCATTTAGTTAAATAAGTGTAGATTTCTAGAATCAGAGCTAATATTCCTAGACACTTGGTTTAGCTGTTACTAACTCATGAACCACAGAAAGAAGAAATGCCTTAGACCATGCAAGTTTGACGATGTCTGTGAACTTTACCAACTTTAGTTTCAGAATTCCATCTTTCTACCTTCCCAAAAGGTTGAAAGTGATATGGACAGTGAAGTCTGATTAATTGACAGAACTTTTCCATGTTAATAAAAATTCCGGTAAAATGGTTTCCTTGTTACTAGAGATATAGTTTGGGATTCCCCAGGCTGAAAAAAAAAAAAAGGATTTTCTCCATGCCAACAAGAGACAAATAATGATCAGAACATATTTAAAATCTATTGCCAGCACTTGTTATGAAAAATTCATTTAGATTTTTACTGAGACATTTTACAGTTTTGTTAGGATTAATCTGACGAAGGTTGAGACAAGTTGTAAGGATATAGTTATATAAAGATATACTTACCAATTTTAGCAAAATTTTCCTCCAGCTATTGGTTAAATACATTGGTCAATTTGTCCTCATTGTGCCAGAAAAGCTCAGCAGTTCTGACTAAAGTTTATGTTAACCCATTGCCAGTAGAATGAAAGAGTTGAATCCTCTCTTAAATTATAATATATAGTTGACTCCTCAACAACACAGGTTTGAACTGTGCAGGTCTGCTCATATGTAGATTTTTTCCTATAAATATATTAGAAAATTTTTGGAGATTTATGAAAAATTGAAAAAGATAACAGGTGACCCATCTACACAAGAAATATTAAAAAACTAAGAAAACGATGTCATGAATGCATAAATCATATGTAGATACTAGTGATCATTTAATACAATGAGATATATATGCGTCTATTATAAAAAGTTAAAATTTATCAAGACGTAGGCAAACACAGAGCATACATGCAGCCAATTGAAGTTTAGAGAAAAGTAAAACAAAAATATACAAAAGTAAATCATAACTGCACAAAATTAACTGTAGTACATACTGTACTACTGGGATAATTTCCTAGCCTCCACCTGTTGTTCTTGCAGTGAACTCAAGTGTTGTGAGTATTCACTTAAAATGCCACATAATGCTAATCATCTTCTTGTGAGTAGCTTGTCTCTCCAGTAAATTAACACAGTAAAAAGTGTTCTCTCATGTTTCTCCTGTATTATTCATGATGTCTAGTGCAATACCATAAACCTTGAATAACACCTTCAGACCTATAAAAAGTGCTGCTAGTGATGCTGAAAGTTCTTCCAGGAAACAGAGAAGGGTCCTGACATTACAGGAAAACAATGAATTGCTTGATAGGTACCCTAGATTGAGGCCTGCAGCTGTGTGTGCTGCCATTTCAGAAGAAGGATCCATCTTGTAAACACGGGATTGTAAACTTATGAGAGAAATAAATATACTGTAGTACTGTAAACGTATTTTTTCTTCCCTATAATTTTCTTAATAACACTTTCTTTTCTGTAACTAGCTTCATTGTAAAACTACGGTGTAAAATACATACAGCGTATGAAATATGTGTTAAGGATTGTCCAGTCAACAGTAGGCTGTTAGTTTAGTTTTGGGGAGTCCAAAGTTATATGTGAATTTTTGACTGTGCTGGGGTGGTGGGGAGGGGTTAGGGAGGTTTGATGGCCCTAAACCTTGTGTTTTTCAGGAGTCAACTGTACAATTTAGAAGAATATGATTTAGAATTTCCCTGAGATTAAGAACATATTAAATGGTGGGAAGGATATTGATAGACCTCTAGATCTAGTGACACTATCAACTTTGACTGTGTCTGTTTGATGAAGGAATTAAAATCTAGTAACAAAAGCATTTTGTAGATAGTTATTGTACCAGTCTTTGTTCTTGAACATCAGTGTGTTTTTTTGAACTGAAAATCACACATTGAATGAAAGGCTTCATCTCAATATATTTTATTTACACATAAATTTGAGCTGTTTTTTGTTCACAAGTTTGGCCGATAAAAGAGCCCTCACAATAGCTTTAATTACCATTTAAAATTACAAATTAATGTGATTTTTTAATTTTTCTCTCTTTTGTAGGGTGAAGGAGCAATGCTTTTGGTTACTCAGTATTCTCTCAAGAAAATTTAAAGATAGTTTATACACAGAAGATATTTTAACAGGCTATATTCTGAACTTGTGGCCTGGATTTGGAAAAAGCAATATATCAAGTATGGTTCAAGGGGACAAGAAAGAGAGAAGCATTTGTTACCATTTTTCCAAGTCAAAAATATTTAATCAGATAATATTTTAAAAGCCAGCAATAATTAGTAATGATTGGTATAATGTTTTTGTCAAAATTATTAAATAGGAGATAAAATTAAAAGCTTTATTTTTTTGCATTCAAATAAAATTTTAAGTATTTTGATGAGCATATTAAATCAACAATGCATGTATTACATTGAACCTGACTTCTTAATAAGTTGCAACCAAATCTTTAATGATAAGTTTAGGTCAGAGAGATAATTTTGAGATTTGTCACCATAAAGATAGGGTATAATGTGATGTAAATAATTAAGATCAGGTGGAAAGACAAATAAGATTGAAGGAAGACCCAAGACCAAGGTTTGAGGCACTCTCAGAAGTTCTAAAAAAAAAATTTAGACTATGAGTAAAGAAGGATTGATCAGCAAGGTGAAATGGATCAAGGAAATGTGGGCACTCAGAGGTACAGAGGGGTTAATTGCTGCTCAGAAAATACTCAGACGAATGCTGAACAATAGATTAGATAGAACCGATGTCCTAGAAATCATGAAGATAAGTGACTTTATTAAAATACATATTATAAACAAAGAAGGAATTTACTGTTCGAAAAGTTGTCTTGAAGAATTGTTTTGGGAGAAAATAAAAAATAAACCTTATTTTCTAAAATACACTAAAACTAATTCCAAATGAGTCAAAGGATTGTGTACAGATATTTTAAATTAATAAAACAATGTTAGTGCAGATTCTCTTTAATTACTTCCCTGATTGTTTTACCTATAGTAACTCATTTAATTCTACTAGCAATCTTTTCATGTTGGATACAGCTATTCAAATTTTCTTTTGTTATTGCAATAGCCTCCTAACCATTCTTCCACAAAATTGAGGCACTAAAAGGTTGTGAAATTTCCTCTATGCCACAGAGCTTTTTAGTGATGATTTGGCATTTGGAAGCACATCTTTGAAATGTTCGTTTTTCTCTGATGGCCAGTGATGGTGAGCATTTCTTCATGTGTTTTTTGGCTGCATAAATATCTTCTTTTGAGAAGTGTCTGTTCATGTCCTTCGCCCACTTTTTGATGGGGTTGTTTGTTTTTTTCTTGTAAATTTGTTTGAGTTCATTGTAGATTCTGGATATTAGCCCTTTGTCAGATGAGTAGATTGTGAAAATTTTCTCCCATTCTGTAGGCTGCCTGTTCACTGTGATGGTAGTTTCTTTTGCTGTGCAGAAGCTCTTTAGTTTAATTAGATCCCATTTGTCAATTTTGGCTTTTGTTGCCATTGCTTTTGGTGTTTTAGACATGAAGTCCTTGCCCACGCCTGTGTCCTGAATGGTAATGCGTAGGTTTTCTTCTAGGGTTTTTATGGTTTTAGGTCTAACGTTTAAGTCTTTAATCCATCTTGAATTAATTTTTGTATAAGGTGTAAGGAAGGGATCCAGTTTCAGCTTTCTCCATATGGCTAGCCAGTTTTCCCAGCACCATTTATTAAATAGGGAATCCTTTCCCCATTGCTTATTTTTCTCAGGTTTGTCAAAGATGAGATAGTTGTAGATATGCGGCGTTATTTCTGAGGGCTCTGTTCTGTTCCATTGATCTATATCTCTGTTTTGGTACCAGTACCGTGCTGTTTTGGTTACTGTAGCCTTGTAGTATAGTTTGAAGTCAGGTAGCGTGATGCCTCCAGCTTTGTTCGTTTGGCTTAGGATTGACTTGGCAACGCGGGCTCTTTTTTGGTTCCATACGAACTTTAAAGTAGTTATTTCCAATTCTGTAAAGAAAGTCATTGGTAGCTTGATGGGGATGGCATTGGATCTATAAATTACCTTGGGCAGCAAAGACTTGGAACCAATCCAAATGTCCAACAGTGATAGACTGGATTAAGAAAATGTGGCACATATACACCATGCAATACTATGCGGCCATAAAAAATGATGAGTTCATGTCCTTTGTAGGGACATGGATGAAATTGGAAATCATCATTCTCAGTAAACTATCGCAAGGACAAAAAACCAAACACCGGATGTTCTCACTCATAGGTGGGAATTGAACAATGAGAACACATGGACACAGGAAGGGGAACACCACACGCTGGGGACTGTTGTGGGGTGGGGGAAGGGGGGAGGGAAAGCATTAGGAGATATATCTAATGCTAAATGACGAGTTAATGGGTGCAGCACACCAGCATGGCACATGTATACATATGTAACTAACCTGCACATTGTGCACATGTACCCTAAAACTTGAAATATAATAATAATAAAATTTAAAAAAAAATGTTCATTTTTAATTATAGCACTACACCATGCACTGAATCACGGAGGGTAAAAATGCACACTGTTAATAAGAAGGAGGGAGTCAATCTCATTAGTATTATAATATTTATACTGAATGAGACTCCATTCCCGAAATTCACAGAATTAAAATAATAAAAATAAAAATTTATTGCTAGCCAATTTGCAGCAAAAAAGATTCATTCTCATATTCTGCTATGAGAAAATAAATGAAATTGAATTTTAAAAGACATTTTTGGAAAGCCCTTTGAATTAACCAGAAAATTGTTAAATTCGTAGTTTTTTTGACTAACATTCTTCTTCCACGTTAACAGAATTTATATATAAGTGACACTCATTGCATATACTTTTAAGGGGTAAAATAATTACTAAATTTATGTACACTATTAATACTTCATTGTATAAAATTGCATATATACCCATATGCAAATGTGCACAGAATCAGTAGGGTAACCATAGACATAAAATGATCAGTGCAGGATATTTTATTTATGCATTTTATATATAATATACTTTTCATTTAATATTTTTGCTAATTTTATTGAATTGAATATTTATGCCTTGGTTATAGAACAACTAAATTTATTTTCAAAGAAACTCCATTATTATTGTCTGCAAGAGTAAAACTTATAAACAATCTAAAAATTCAACCAAATACAACCATTTACAATTGTGCCCTAGTTGAATTTGTAATCGTAGGAGAAAACACAGGTGTTGAATTTTTTGAATTTCATTTAAAAAATAATTGACACAATCCCTAAGGTATCATATAAATTAATTGAATTGTTATTGTCTTGGGTTAACATTTATTTCTAGAGTTTTTTTTCCCCTAATATCTGATTTTTTCCATTAACATTACTTATTTGGATAATCAGAAAAAAATCAACATTGCCAAAAGATAGATAATACCACAAGCGAAATATCTATGATAATGATAGGAAAATGCTTTGAATTCAGGCTGAATGAGAATTAGTCTAGGAAAACAGCTTGGACCCTCTCATTCCTGTTAATGTCATCTCTGTGTTTAGCACTGCTGCTATTCCTCAGCTACTAAGAAATGCTCTATTGCTGGGCATGGCATATGGGAAGCCAAGAAAAATGACTGGCTGCTTGGTGACAGCTCTCTAGTCCTCATGCCAAGTTCTGCCAGTGATTTAAATATTAAGTAGTGGAAAGAATTTTGAAATCCAGGATGATTAGAAAAGTCATTTTCTACAAAAGTGAAGCATTGTCTTTAGAGATTAAAATCTATGAAAATAACATTATTGAAATACTAGACTTCAGACTATTTTTCTGAATTACTGTAACTGTTGAAATAGGTCTTTCAGCCCATTAAGATAAACACCACACTTTTCTCTTCATGATCTCCAGCTGTAATTTTATAGTGAAAGGTGCTTGCATAAAAGAGTTCACACTATCTGAAAGATGTCACATGTAACATTGACTGGCAGCCATTTCAGAATGGCAGACAGCCAATAAATCATTCAGAACTATGTGTCACTCGTTGTGGCTTTAAAATTGTATTCCTTCTCCTTTGATAAAGAACATTTCAATGTCAAATAGTTTGTTCTATTTAAACTTATACATCAACCAGAATATTGAGATACACAATAAAATTAAATGATTTGGTAATACCTTTAGAATTTATCTAAAAACAGCCGTATGTATTTGCATGACAGATTTGGTTCACAAACCGATCAAGTTGTTAGTATCAAAGGCATGTTTTAGTGCTGATTTGTGTATAGATAAATTTAGGAAATTACATAAATAGAAATACTTCTTTATAAAATTCCTTGACCTTGTGATATCTTGGTATTAAGAATCTTAAAGGAATCATTTAAAAAAATTCAAAAGCAAACAATTTCGATTTTACAAGAGCTAAGAAAAAAACATTTTGCTATGGACACAGATCGCTCTTCAAGAAAAGATTTCTTTCCCCCTTGGCTGCTAGGAGCAATATTACAAAGCAGCCTTCAGCTCTCAGCTCCTTCAAAGTTTGCCTCAGCTGTAACCATTGTCTGGCTCAATGTTAGGGCATCCTGGAGCACTGGACATGCAAACACGAATGGAGATGAGGTTATAAAGCCTGGCCATTTTGACCCACCTGAGAGGATTCTGACAGGTCCTTCCAGTGCCTGAGAAACCCAGGGCTCACATGCTTTATATTCTGATCATTCTGTAGGGGTTGTTCCCATGGGTGATAGAAGCTGCCAAATATAAAGAGGCAACCATGCAAATTTTTAGGAATTATTTCCAAAACTCTCATAACAACATCATATATATTTATTGGTTGTTTAAGTAGATTTCTGAGGAGTAGATAGCAACGATAGAAGTGAAAGAAAGTAAATGCAGTTGTTAAAGGATTAGTCTTCCCATACTTAGAAAGTACACAAGTTGCATATACACTATGTTCCTTCCCTAGAGCAAGTATTTCAATGCAGTCATGTGTGTGTGTTTGTGTGCTTGTGTGTGTGTGGTGTGTGTGTGTGTGTGTGTGTGTATGCTAACTGAACTCATTATAGATTTTATTGGATCAGATATATGAAGAGACTTGGAAGACTTGGGTTTGTCTGGAACTGGGTGAAATAGAGAAGGACGATCATTGACATAGAAAGCTGATTACTTTGTCCTTTGAGTATAAATAGTCTTACAATAAAATGGCATCTCCACTGTCTAAAACACATTTTTACATTTGCTCTCCTTCTGAAATTATTTATGTGAAATTAACAAATGTACTTATTACCTTAGAAACAAACGATCCGTAATTTATATTATTTATTGTATATTTGTAGATCCACTTAAAATTGATTTGCAATATAAGGAAAAAATGCGTTTTATAAGTTGTTTGCTTTGTGTAGTGCATCTTGTTAACCGTAGGACTACTGTTGCATTGAAACAAAATAGAATTAATCTGTTCAGGTAAATAGAACTGGAAGTGAGATTTGTTGTCACTCCTTCTCCTTCAAGTACTGACCAGTCTTTTAATTCACACATAACTAACACTCTGTGCAATAATATTTTTTTGTTCTCTGTCTTTTCAAACAGAACTCAAGCTCCATGAGGAGATGTTTCATTGTCGGTGAGCACATTCTTGTCAATTAGTTCCTTCTTGTTTCTTACTATAGCCCCTGTGTCTAGAACCTTTCCAGGTATTCAGTAGCCATTTAAAAATTATTTGTTGAATGAATTGTTATTTTAAAGAACATCCACAATTTTGCCTGACTGGGCATGGGAATACATGCCCATCTTTGGACTGAATGTCCATTTTTCCCTTCTTTGATTTATCAAAATATTGGTTAAATGATCAGGACTACCGTCAGAAGGAATTTTATATCTAAAAATAGTTTACCTTCTATGGATGTAAAAAATAGTTGTAGTAGTTCTGGCTTTTATATTATTCGATGTTTCAAAGCGGTTTTTTTTTTCCATCACCATATTCTACGTTCTTGAAAAGTACTCGTTCATGTGACTGCTATCATTTATGCTTGTGCAGCACGTAGATACAGGAGAGAAGATAAGGAAAATGCTTACCCTGTGTCTCCTTCCCTGTAACACAGTTTTTTTTTACCATATTGATTCTCCACTTTCTACTCCCTAAGTAAAATTTTGCAACAGGCATTTGGGAAACTCTGGATACAAGAAAAAAATTTTAATATTGTACAAAGAGACAAGAGGTGACTTCTTTTTTATTTTTCATTTAGAGTTTATAGTTTAATTAAAGAAAATGCACATATATCTAAAGATAATCATGGATAATACACTCATGTAATTACTACTTTCAGTGGTTGTAACAACAGCCAAAGCACAAACAGAAATGAGAAAGAATTATCAGCATTATGCAAGTACATATCCTCTTTAAGAATTCCTGTTATAGTGAAAGCATTAAAATAATTGAACACGTACAGAGACCATATACTTTGTGATCTTTTTAAAAAAGTATTCAAAATATATTTCTGTGTGCAAAACATTTTCATAATGGTCTTGTTTAAATGAAAGTATTTAGAATAGCACATTGTAAAATTATGCTGCAGAGCACAAGTATTTTTCTCTTTAGAAGACACATAATAAAATAGAATCATCAGTGTTTTTTCATAAACATGAATCTTTAGAGTGTTACTTGATCCTGCATAATAAGGGTACTTTTTTGCTTAATGTAAGCATAGTATACTAATTCTTTTAAACTTCAGAAAGCATATTTACAGTCTAGGCAGATGGGACATGAAGGTCACACAGCATGAGCGGTGAAATATCTCATTTACCTAGAGTTCTAGAGAGAATTTTAGGAACTCTTATTTATTATCAGTGCATAAACAAGAGTAAACTCTACAAAACTGTTTGCAAAACTCTCCTCTTTCTACTCAGAAGGCTTTCCCTAGAATAATCATTATGGAGTCTGTCCATCCTTTACTCATTCACTGCATGGGGACAGGTGTTAGTTATGAGATTGGTGAATTTAGAAAGCTAACCAATTTCATACCTATTTTGGGATTCTCAATTCACAAACTTTTGTGCGTTTCTTAATTATTTCCTTTCTTTTTCTTGTAGAGAGCAGTCATGATGGCCTGCACTCCACACAATGCAACAGAGTGAAAGAGCAGGTTCTGCTTCTTTGGTGTAGTCCTGAAGCTTCCTAAGAAACTTCACATCAGGTGATGGATAGGAGCAACCCTGTAAAACCAGCCTTAGACTATTTTTCAAACAGTAAGTAATAAAGGTGACGTTTTGATCTTTATCTGCTTAATTACTTCTGCTATGATTCTATTGATTCTAACATTGAAGGAGCAGTAAATTTATATGTATTATCCAACTATAAAACAATAAATAAACGATATGTCAAATACATTATCACATCCTTATGTTCTTATGATAATATTGTCCTTTTTTTAACAGTTTTTATTCTTATTTGTTGATTGGTTTGTCTTTATGTTGTCCTTTCTACTATCAAACTGAACATGTTGAGGTCATAGGCTATCAAAACTGTACATTTCTGATGCTAACCATAGAGACTTAACAACAGTAAATAGGCCAAAATGGAATGTTGTTAGCCATAGTGTGTATTATTATTTCTTTTATACATGTGGTCACTGTTAGAGGAGTTTATGACTTTTTGCCTAGATTAATGACACACAAACCATCTACAAACGAATCATACCTTATTCCCTCACTGTAATTTTTAATGTTGCTATTTTTGCCTGTTAACATTCCATAGGTTTATCACATTGCTTAAAGATTTAATTTAATTTCTGTAATTGTATATGTCATGAGAGATCGCTTTTAACCTTCCAATGTTCGTGGTCTCATTTTCACTAACATAATCCCAACTTTAGCTGCGCACAATACCACATTTCCCAGCATTCCTTGCATCTGGATATAGCTGTATTCAAATAAGCCGTGTGAAACTTCTGGGATGGCTCCTTAAGTGCAGTTGACTCATTAGGGAGGTATGTCTTTTTTATTTTTCTACACTTTGTGCTGCTGTCCTGGAGTACAGACATGGTGGCTAGAAGCATGAAATCACCTTGAAGGTAGAAGTCATGCATTGAAGTTAGTAAAAGTGAAATGTAAGTGTATAGTTTCCTGATGAAAATGGGAAGCTTATGTACTAGCAACAGAATGCTTATTATGCAGGCTTCCTATATGTAAAAGAGGACAAATTCTCATTTTATTAAGTTTCTGAAAGTAGATTTCTAAATGCTGGTTCTATTTTTTATTGAAAGTAATGGCAAAAAACGCAATGCCTTTTGTACCAACCTAATAGTTAATAAACATATCCTCAAATGAAATGTCTTAGAATTGTGTTCATCAAGTTAATATTAATAATTTATTAGAATAGCACTCTAAAGGGTTGCAGCCTATGCATGAAAATACTTACAAACTACTACATGATAATCAATTCTTTTTGGCAAGACTGCTATTTACATGGACACAAGAGTTATTATAAGAATGTTGTATGTATACATGAATAGTGTCTGTTAAACACTGGATATAATAAAAACAATAGTTTTTCTGTTAATTATAACAATCTGAACATTTTTGTGATTATATTTCACAAATGACACACCATTTTATTTGCAGATTTTTCTTATCCCCAAAGTTTTTGTTAATTTATTACCAACACAGCACACAAGTCTAGTGGCAATGCATTACCTCTGCAGTTGATTTTGAAGTAAGAAGGCCTATTTATTGCATTCATTCCTGCTTAGATGACATCTTAAATTTGTTAATTGGATTATTATGCTCTATTCTATACATTTATTGATTTATAGATTTTGTGGACACAAATTTCAAAACATATTCGAAAATTTGGTGATAGCTTTTTAGAATCTATTCTTCAACATAGTTATTGAAAGTGAACAAGAAGGACCTCCTCTAGAGATTAGGTTGAGAACCACTTCTTTGATTTGTTAAATATGTGTACATGGATACCATGTGGCTTTATTATGAGGAGCCACTTAAGTGGCTGAGTTACAATTCACAAAACATTGTCACAGGGAAAATATCAGGACAAATTTTCAAGTCGCATGCCAAGAAAAGAAACTTTCTGAATGCTTATAAGAAATACCTTAATTAATGGGAGCCCTTCAAAGTACACAAAACATCATAACTAGGAGTTGCAACACAACCAGCAATTTGCTGATTGAAATGCATTCATTCATACTGACTTCACCTGCTGAATGGAATATTGTGCTGTACTGTCCTTAGCTATGGAGAGAGAATTAAGGAATATCCCCTTCTGGTGTTCAACAACAACGAAAGAGCAAGAAAGATATATTCCTAATTTTTAAAGAAGAATGTAGAGATACTTAAACAAGACAATGAAGGTGGTAGAAAGATTATTACCATCCCCAAAGTGTTTGCTCATTAAAACATTTTGTGATTTTCTCTGCCAATATCATACCTGTATGGATAATTGTTTTCCTATCCACACAGTTATGAGAGTGAGAAGATGGAATATAAAAGATGGAACAAGAGGGAATCTGTGTGGTGACCACAGTAATCACAGGCTGGTTGGGATCCTAAACTCGGCCACAGCACAAAAGCATGTTCAAGTTTAAAGTCATGAGAGAGGCCTGGCATAGTGGCTCACACCTATAATCCCTGCACTTTGGGAGGCCAAGGTGGGAGGATTGCTTGGGGCAAAGAGCTCAAGATCAGCCTGGGCAACATAGTGAGATCCCATCTAAAAAAATGTTCTTTAAGTTAGCCTTATGTGGTGGCATGTTCCTGTGGTATCAGCTACTCAGGTGGCTGAAGTGGGAGGGTCACTTGAGCCTGGAGGTTGAGCCATAATCATGCCACTGCACTCCAGCCTTGGTGACAGATTAAGACTCTGTCTCCAAAAGTAAAACACCAAACAACACAAAAAGTAAAGTCACAATAAAATGAGATGCTATTAAGGTTGTTTTAGGTTGATTTTCAACTAGACCAGCATTTAGCCTGTACAAAGGCATATACAAAATAAACCCTAAACCTAAATGGGATTCAGCAGCAGCAGTGTGGGTTAAAGAAGCCACCAGTTCCCTGGAGGCCAGAACCACAGGCCTGTGGCCTTTTTTATTGTTTTGACAGGGAGGTGGAAAGCAGGAGTATAACTACATTCAAGTGTCTGCTCTGTTGCTGTAGGAGAAAATCCGTGCTGTAGCACATCAAAGTTTTTCCAAATTTTATTTCTTAGGACATCTTTGGGGTTTATGTAAGTATTAAATAGAGCTCCCCTAGCCCAGGCTTACACAGGACATATGTCTAGTGTCATAGGTCTGTATGCTTAAATTATAGCAGAAAGTTTGCTAAAATTTAAGTGAAGTAATGTTGAAGGTTGAATCATTTGAAACAAACTACCTGCACCAAAATATTCTTTAGTGTACTGATTTCTATCCCACCCCTAATGAGGCTGAATTTTAATCTTAACTCTGCTTGTAATTAGGTATTTATATGTGTCTGTTATTCATTTTTTAACAAGATGTCTCTTCAGAGATAAAATGAGGGTAGCAAAAAATAATTTTAATAGCCATTTATATGGCTTTGATAACAATTGTCTGTTCTACTTATCTGACTGATTCTAAACTCTAAAGGTTATTTTACAGTTAGTAAATTACATAATTTTTATGCAACAATTTGCCTGCCAGGATTCCTATAATACTTGTCAGCTATCAGTAGGTATAAGCCTGTTAGCCTCTAATGTGAAGATAATATCTCTTTAAGTTATAACGCATTTACAATTGTTACAGTTTCTAAGGTCTTTTTGAAGTTAGAGATGCATCTGAGGATGATGGTTTTCAAGGAGATAGCTCTTTGACAAAAAATGACAATATGGGACTTAGTGTTATATTAATTTACACATTATGTTTTTGCTATAAAGAGATAAAAGGTGTGCTATACTACCTATCAATTACTGTATGCCACATTTTGTAGAATTGTTTTCCATATTATTGTAGAATGTGGCACTTAAATAGTATCATGAAAAAAGTTTATTCAAGAAATAAGACATTAATGAAATATAATTAATATATAAAGACTATATTTAAAAATAATTATGTATTTCTAATCCTAAACTTTTTAAGGTGACATTATTTTTTTCTGTGATATAATTTCAGTTGAGAAGAACTTTAAATTTTAATAAGATTTTAAGATGATTCAGTAATGTTAACATACTTTTCTTCTGTAAATTTTGTTAACAATTTAGCTGCATTAATTAAATATTTATGTAGCTAATTTTAATAGTGATATTTTAATACAATTCTTAATTTTACTCCTGGCTTTCAATCATTCATATATGTTTTTAAAAATTGCTTTTTCCATTGCTTTACTTCTTAATTACTTTTATCAAAGTCTTAATTGTGTGTGGTTGATTTTAAAAGTTAAATATTTCTATAAGATTTATAAAGACAAACTGGGTACAGTGACTCACACCTGTAATCCCAGCACTTTGGGAGGCCGAGGGGGTAGATCACTTGAGGTCAGGAGTTCGAGACCAGCCTGGCCAACATGGTGAAAGCAGTTTCTACTAAAAATACAAAGATATGCCTGGTGTGGTTGGCCCCTGTAATTCCAGCCACTTGGGAGGCTGAGGCAGGAGAATTGCTTGAACCTTGGAAGCGGAGGTTGCAGTGAGCTGAAACCATGCCATTGCACTCCAGCCTGGGCAGCAAGAGCGAAACTCCATCACAAAAAAAAAAAAAAAAAAAAAAAAAAAAAAAAATATATATATATATATATATATATATATATATATATATAATATATTATATATATGTATGTATGTATATATAAATGTATATGTGTGTGTATATATATAGATACACACTATATATATATATATATATATATATATATATATATACACACACACACACACAATAGAAATGTCCTGGCTATATCTATATTAATAGGTTTTGCACATTTAAACCAAAGTCACACATATGGTTTGATTCTAATTAATTCTAATGCATCTTGCAGGTTTCAAACTGTATTCTATTATGTAATTATCTGCTGATCCACTCTGTATCCTGTTGTGTAAGTTGCGATGATTAACCTCTGCCTTTACGATGTAATCCAAATGTAGCATATAGACCTCAATGATAAGATTGATCATGGTGCATTTAATCATTAATTTATTATTAATCTCTTTTATCCTGGTACTTAGAGTGCAGATTTTTCTCAACAACTATTTACGCAATCATTAAATGAAATACAGCCTTGTGTCACTTAGCAATGAGGATATGTTCTGAGAAGTGTGTGGCTAGGTGATTATCTTACTGTGCAAACTTCATAGAGTGATCAATCTATAATGGTGATAGCAATTTTTCAACCCTATTATAATCTTAATGAGCCATTGTTTTACATGCTGTCTCTTATTGATGTAAACGTTGTTATGTGGCACATGATTATGTAAAAGATATTAATCCATTCATTATTTATGCATTCATCCATTTGACCTATGGTAGTGTTCTATTGAAAATGAGTCATCGTGATACAGAAATCCACTGTTAGTTGTTTTTACTTTCTCTTGTTCGTGGGGAAGAGTGGGTATTGATTTTAAAAGTCTAAAGAATGGGGTATTGTGAATAGTGCCGCAATAAACATACGTGTGCATGTGTCTTTATAGCAGCATGATTTATAATCCTTTGGGTATATACCCAGTAATGGGATGGCTGGGTCAAATGGTATTTCTAGTTCTAGATCCCTGAGGAATCGCCACACTGACTTCGACAATGGTTGAACTAGTTTACCGTCCCACCAACAGTATAAAAGTGTTCCTATTTCTCCACATCCTCTCCAGCACCTGTTGTTTCCTGGCTTTTTAATGATTGCCATTCTAACTGGTGTGAGATGGTATCTCATCGTGGTTTTGATTTGCATTTCTCTGATGGCCAGTGATGGTGAGCATTTTTTCATGTGTTTTTTGGCTGCATAAATGTCTTCTTTTGCGAAGTGTCTGTTCATGTCCTTCGCCCACTTTTTGATGGGGTTGTTTGTTTTTTTCTTGTAAATTTGTTTGAGTTCATTGTAGATTCTGGATATTAGCCCTTTGTCAGATGAGTAGGTTGCGAAAATTTTCTCCCATTCTGTAGGTTGCCTGTTCACTGTGATGGTAGTTTCTTTTGCTGTGCAGAAGCTCTTTAGTTTAATTAGATCCCATTTGTCAATTTTGGCTTTTGTTGCCATTGCTTTTGGTGTTTTAGACATGAAGTCCTTGCCCACGCCTGTGTCCTGAATGGTAATGCGTAGGTTTTCTTCTAGGGTTTTTATGGTTTTAGGTCTAACGTTTAAGTCTTTAATCCATCTTGAATTAATTTTTGTATAAGGTGTAAGGAAGGGATCCAGTTTCAGCTTTCTCCATATGGCTAGCCAGTTTTCCCAGCACCATTTATTAAATAGGGAATCCTTTCCCCATTGCTTATTTTTCTCAGGTTTGTCAAAGATGAGATAGTTGTAGATATGCGGCGTTATTTCTGAGGGCTCTGTTCTGTTCCATTGATCTATATCTCTGTTTTGGTACCAGTACCGTGCTGTTTTGGTTACTGTAGCCTTGTAGTATAGTTTGAAGTCAGGTAGCGTGATGCCTCCAGCTTTGTTCTTTTGGCTTAGGATTGACTTGGCAATGCGGGCTCTTTTTTGGTTCCATACGAACTTTAAAGTAGTTATTTCCAATTCTGTGAAGAAAGTCATTGGTAGCTTGATGGGGATGGCATTGGATCTATAAATTACCTTGGGCAGCAAAGACTTGGAACCAATCCAAATGTCCAACAGTGATAGACTGGATTAAGAAAATGTGGCACATATACACCATGCAATACTATGCAGCCATAAAAAATGATGAGTTCATGTCCTTTATAGGGACATGGATGAAATTGGAAATCATCATTCTCAGTAAACTATCGCAAGGACAAAAAACCAAACACCGGATGTTCTCACTCATAGGTGGGAATTGAACAATGAGAACACATGGACACAGGAAGGGGAACATCACACTCTGGGGACTGTTATGGGGTGGGGGGAGGGGGGAGGGATAGCACTCGGAGATATACCTAATGCTAGATGACGAGTTAGTGGGTGCAGCACACCAGCATGGCACATGTATACATATGTAACTAACCTGCACATTGTGCACATGTACCCTAAAACTTAAAAGTATATAAAAAAAAAAGGGGGGGGTATACACACAATCAGGTGTCAAGCAGTGGCACCTCGTGCAAAATAATAAACTCATCTAAGATCCTAGCAGTTCATTCTGAAAATAAAGCTGGAAATATATCTTGGATATGTAAAATGTGAGTGTAAAAATTAATGAAACTAAGCAATGGGAATATGAGTAGTAAATTATTTGAGAAAATATTATAACATTTACTTTTTTAAATTTCAAAACTATATTTCCTTATTTAAAACTGAAAATTTTTGTGTACATATAGGAAACTAATTGTGTCATTTTTCTTTTTGTTACAATATAGAGTGATGTTTCAAAACACAAACATAATAGGTAGAGTCAATTACTTAGGGGAGTCTAAACCTGGAGGTAACATTAGAAATAGAAATAATAAAATGCAGTGTTTTTGGATTTGTCTGTTAAGATTATTTTAATCCAGATCATATTTAATGGTTTACATAGTTGTATATCAAATTTGGTTTCAGAAATAAATTATACAGTAAATTTAAAAATGCAAAAAATGTATATTGTTATACATTCTGTAACCTATGAATCCATATAACTTGGGCAAGAAAATTATATAATTAAAAATAAAACCTTTCTGTTCTCAATTATGTTTTAGGGACAGCTATATAGTTCACACTCACAAAGGAATCATAAAAACTCTATGTATAATCTTGGAAGTAAAAATATCTGTTGTATCATATTTATGAAGTATACAATTGATTAAAAATGATAATGTCTGTCTTCTATCCAACGGCAATAACAGAAGATAATGGCATATAAGTAGGCCTGTCTCCTTTTTTTTGGCATTGATTTATATATCTTTACTAGCTTTGTTGTTTTAACTCCAATAAAAGATTATTTAGTAAGCCAAAGCAAAAAAAAAAAAAAAATCCTGTGAGCAGCCACAAACTGAAAGACTACGATTTTTAGTCAATGTCCTAAGCGACACAGTAATTTTAGGTTAACCAATGTGTCAAAGAGAATGAGGAAAAATTATTACAAAAATGAATAAATAAACTGGTCTAGGTCAAACCGTACTCCTTCTAAAGAGAGTAGTCAACTGATATTAAAGCCTGTGACGTAGTATGTGCCATATTGAGTATGCAATATCTAAATATTTCTTTTTTTTCTTTCTCCAGCTACTGCAAACCCTAATTGTTTCCTTATCCGATCACTTTAAAGTCATTCAGCAAATCATAATTATGCCATTGTTAACATCAGAAACTGAAAACCTACTGTCAAAAGTGAGCTAAAATATCATATTTGGATTTATTTATAAATTTATTTTATAAAAAGATTGACTTTCAATTTGAGAATAACATAAAAAATCAATTCATTCCTCTGTGCATCAATATTGTATCATTGGTAGTTTAAACTTTTCATCTAATATTAGATTGCATGCAGGATTTTATATCTAATTACTCTGGCAGATGGCCTTTAGAAAGTTCAAAAATAAAATGCAGCAATTCATATTGGCAGATTTACTATTGAGACCAATGCTTTCTTAACTAAAAGGTTTTGTTTAAAATCGTTAGTTTAGGAAATCTGATAAAGATTTTTGAATATCAGAGCGTTTAAAAGAGATTCTTACTTTACATCTGGCATATTTCTTGTGTTACATATTATAATTTCATTGAACATGGCTGTCTGTAAAACTATGTATATGATCCGGAAGAGACTCAAATTAAATTAAGTTTTAACAGCCATCAATTCATTTTAAAATGACACAGGCATGAAAAATGATCTATCAAGATTTGTAAATCTTATTCTGTTAGCTATTGCTAGAGATAGTCTAAAGGTATTCTACTTGGAATTTGAGATCAAGACAAAGATTTTCTGTTGGTAATAATATTCAGATTATTTTTATTTTAATGTATAAATTTAAAATTCTTAGAATATTTTCAACAATATTTTCCATTTCTAAATTTATTTTATTTCTAAACAAATGTAATTACTTTATTTATTAACTTTTATTTTCAGTTCAGGGGTATATGTGCAGGTTTGTTATATAGGTAAACCTATAGGTAAATAGGTATACAGATTATTTTGTCACCCAGGCATTAAGCCTATGCGCGTTAGTGAAAAATGTTATTGCTTTAAATATCCAAATTATTCAGCTGCATTTGAACTCATTCTTTAGTCCAATGTAAGTAAGAGTAAAACAATGACATTTAAGGCCACCAGGCTATTCTCATTTTTGGAAAAATGCTGGATTACATTACCAGCATATTAAATGAGAATATCAAGGTGTAATATCTCCCTAGAAATTGTCTCACCTTCAATACTATTGACATTTTTGGACCTGATAATTTTGTTGTGGGCTCTAGCCTCATGTTATAGGAGGTTTACCAGTTTTCCTGCCCTAAACTTACCGGATGTGAATAGCATCTTTGGAATCTTCAGAACCTCTTTAGAGTTTGGGATTTAAGAGTCAGTAGGTAGATAGTGAGCTTAAGATGCCAAACACAACATATAAAGCTATAAAAATCCATATGATCTTGAAAGATTAAATGGAAGCCCAGCACAAAACAATTGCTGAGTATATTATTTACATTATCTGAAAGTATGCCAGACAGACACTTTATATGTTAATAAAGATATGAGAAAGAAAATTCCAAAGAGTTTCTAAAAAGTGAACAACCACAAAATTTCAATAGCTTGCAACAGACATTTTCTTCTCACTCATGTTACCTGATGGAAAATCAAATGGCTGCCTGGAGACAGCATGGAGGGAGAGACTGATTACTGAGGTGCACAAGAAAACTTTTCATAATGATGGTTGTGAATGTAGTGATATTTCCAAAAGTATATACATATATATATATATCTATCTCAAATTTGACCACATCACACATTTCAAGTATACTGAATTGACTGTGCATCTCTTATTATACCCCAGGAAAGTTGAAGATATGACAATGAAAAAAAAATTCTTCCACCGACTACCCATCAATTTTCTTCTCATTAGCCTCACAGATTTCACAGTTAATTAAAGGGAAGATGCAAATATGTTCAAACTGTACATATTCTGAGGCCCATACCTTGCCATTAGCTCAATAAAGAGAGACATTGTCCCTGGCATGAAAATGAAAAACTTGCACACTCCCTAGGTGGCTTCTGGACACTCTTAAGACATGAACACACTTTGGGGGCTCACCCTGTCAGGCTTTGCTCTCTGAGCTTAGATGAGAAAAACACAAAAATAAAACCAAAAGGTGACATTTAGGTGCCCATCAAGAAAGATGTGTTGGGAACTGGACAGGTCAGGGCTTTAAGTACTGTATCTTACTGTATGTTTAAGTACTGTATGTTACTGTGGAAACTTACCCATTTTCCCCTCAGAACAACTCTGTCTCAGGAGGTGAGTCTGAGAGCTACTGTTTCTTTGTAAAGGTTTTATCTGATCAGGCCCACGGTCACCACGTCAGCCCCACTGCCCCTAAATAGTTTGAATCTTGATGTTTTGATTTCAAGGACTTCTGATTCTAGCTACATAGCTTTGTCCATTTCCCACCTTACCACTATTTACTTTGAATTTTGTTGCATGCCGAGACCAGTGACTGCCACAAATGTGACTGTTCCTAGAATCTGCTTTCTGCTCTGATCTTTAGTCAGTGCGCAGACTCTAACATAAACTCCTTTCTATCGTATTTTCTTGAGTCCAAGAGCCCATAGATTGTATAATGCACTATTTTATGTCCCGTTAAGCAAGTAATTCGCATTGTGGCTAATTAAACTAAGACATACCACTGAATTGTAAAATGCATTATATTTTCAGGAGATATTAAAATATGAAATGTATAGGTCTTGGAATAGATGAATTGTGACAGTATCTTTGGAAAGCTAATTCAGTTGCAGTATTGCTTAAGATGTCTTTAAGAGCTGACTTCCTTTAGTTGGAATACATATGTAAATTATTTGCAGAGGAGATTTACCTCTTTTATCTCATTCATTTGTTTATTCAGTCATTTATTGATATCAATATGGACTAAGGAAAATTACATTTTTGGGTATAATCCAAATATAATACCAATTAATGTATTGTGTTGCTAAAATTATTCTAGAAATTGAAAGACCTTTCACTTGGCCCCTGTGCTTGTTTGACATATCTCACAAATAGATTTTTGTTAGTATTTTCATAATTTCTGGCACTAGAGGATGTCCCAGGCTCATCTTGTGTATTTTCTTCCCCATTCTTAGAATCAGCCACTTTCAAAGACGCCCTGCTTTCTATATATGAAATCAATATTTAAGTGCTAGCTGTGCCTGTAGCTAAGGGAATATCAATTTTTTCATAGCTCTCTAAGATGAGAGAGCAAAGAAACAATGTGTATATTCTTACACATATGTAGACACATATCTTTAAATATTTCTATATGTAAACATCTATATTAGTCCATTATCCCATTGTTATAAAGAACTACCTGATCCTAGGTAATTTATAAAGAAAAGAGCTTTAATTGCCTCACAGTTGCACAGGCTGTACAGGAAGCAAGGATGGGGAAGCCTCAGAAAACGTACAGTCATAGCAGAAGGCAAAGAGGAAGCAGGCACATCTTACATGGCTGGAGAAGGAGGAAGAGAACTAAGGGGGAGATGCTACACACTTTTAAACAACCAGATTGTGTGAGAACTAAGTCATTATCACAAGAACAGCAAGGAGGAAATCTGCCCCCATAATCCAATCCCCTCCCACTAGACCCCTCCTTCAACACTGGCGATTACAATTGGACGAGAGGTTTGAGAGGGGACAAAATGTAAACCATATCACCATCTATGTCTATATTAAGCTAAACATGGGTTCTTACTGATGTCACTACCTCTAACCTAGTCCCGCAAGCATCAATGCCTTCCTGTATCTCTAAACCCCCACTCCAACAATAAAAATCCTGACTCTTATTTTGTGACATCTATTTAGTTAATTGTTCACTTCCAGTATATGTATATAGCTGTACCAGAATTGATAACCTGCCCTTAGTAGAAGAACATCTTTATCAACTAAATTAAATGCCTTCGTACAAGTTTCTTTTGCCTTTCATCTTAAGAGACTGCACTCATTTTCAATATCACTTTGACTAGCACCCTTTCCCTTAAGTCCCTCACTGAAGTTATTTTGTATGGTTCATAATAGAGCTAGATAAATTTGTAACAGTCTGCATTCCATCCTGAGATTCTACAACCTTTTAATTAATTTTTAATTAAAAATATAACTTTTATTTTGGTAAATATTAGCACTTCTGTGCCACACTACTATATATAAATATCAAAAAAAGGTCCAGAAAGCTATAGAAAATTTAAGTAAAGTGCTGAATGTTGAACCTAACAATAACTGGGCTAAAGTAAGTACAGAAGGCAATTTTTTATTTACGTAAATTTGTGGGATACAAATATAATCTTATTACCTCCATAAAGTACGTAGTGTTGAAGTAAGGGTTTTAGAATATACATCACCTGAAAAATGTACATTGTACTCATTACATAATTTCTCATCATCCCCTCCTCCCACCCTCCTGAAATTTCCAAGTCTCTGTTGTCTATCATTCCACATTCTATGTCCATGTGTATACATTATTTAGCTTCCAGTTATAAGTGAGAACATGCAGTATTTGTCTTTCTGTGTCTGATTTGTTTCACTTAAAATAATGACCAGTTACATCCATGTTGTTACAAAAGACATGATTTTATTCTTTTGTATAGCTGAATAGTATTCTATAGCGCATATATGCCAGATTTATTAATGTAATCATCCACTGAGGGACACATTGCTATTGTGAATAGTGCTGTGATAAACATATGGGTGCAGATACCTTTTTCATACAATTATCTGTTCTCCTTTGGGTAGATCTCCAGTAGTGGGATTGTTGGGTGAAATTGCGGTTTTATTAAGAATGTATATTCTGTAGTTGCTGGGTAGTATTTTCTGTAAATGTCAGTTAGGTCTATTTCATCTAAGGTTGAATTTAAGTCTTAGGTTTATTTGTTTTCTGTCTTGATGATAACATTTAATGCTGTGAGTGAGATGGTAAAGTCCCCCAGTATTATCGTATTGCTGTCTATTCCTTTTTTATGTCTAGTAATATTTATTTGATGAATCTTGGTGGTCTAGTGTTGGATGCATATGTGTTTAGAATTGTTATATCCTCTTGCTGAATTGATCCCTTTATCATTATGTAATGACTTCCTTTGTCATTGTTATACTGTTTTAGATTTAAGTTCTGTTTTACTTGATATAAGTATAGCTATTCCTGCTTGCTTTTAGTCTCCGTTACATGGAGTATCTTTTTTCACCCATTTACTTTAAATCTGTATGTGTCTTTACTTTTCAGTCTGTATGTGTCTATATGTTTCTTGTAAGCATAATATTTTTGGATCATTTTTTAGTTCGTTCCATCAATCTACCTTTCTTTTTTTTTTTTTTTTTACTTTTAGATGGAGTTTCACTCTGTCATCCAGAGTGGAGTGCAGTGGCGCAATCTTGGCTCACTGCAAACTCCGTCTTGCAGGTTCAAGCGATTCTCCTGCTTCAGCCTCCCAAGTAGATGGGATTACAGGTGCCGGCCACCACGCCTGGCTAATTTTTGTATTTTTAATGGAGATAGGGTTTCACTATGTTGGCCAGCCTGGCCTCGAACTCCTGACCTCGTGATCCACCCACCTCGGCCTCCCAAAGTGCTGGGATTACAGGTGTGAGCAACTGCACCTGGCCCAATATCTATCAATCTATATATTTTAAGTGGAATGTTTAATTCATTTACATTCAAGGTTAATGTTAATACATGAGGTTTTCTTTCTGCCATATTGCTGTTTGTTTTCTACTTGTTTTATAAGTTCCTTGGGGTTATTTTGTTGTTGTTTTTTGTTTTTCTTTCTGTGTGTCTCTTTGTCTTTGTGGTTTGGTGGAAATCTGTTGTGTTGCTATTTGATTGCTCGTCCTACTTTGTGTGACTGTTTTACAAGACCTATGAGTTTGCTACTTTCATGTGTTTTGATGATGATGATGAATGTTGACCTTTCATTTTTGTGTTTGGGACACCTTTGAGTATTTCTCATAGGACTCGTTTGGTGGTGACGAATTCCCTCAGTGTGTGCTTGTCTGGAAAATACTTTGAATCATTTCAAGAAAATTAGCAGTGAGTTATGTCAATCAAGCCATTGGTTTGTATTTGGTGGCACATTTACTCTGTATTATTTCACACTAGAACCATCTGAGTTAAGTTTTATTATTTGCTATATGTTGCAGATGAAGAAACTGAAGCTGAGAGAGGTTTAGTGAATGACTGAAAAGGTTGTCAGGCTGCAGGGAAAAAAACAAAACAAAACTGTACGACTAGCCTGCAATGCTTCCCAAAGTATGTAGCTTATTATTATTGGTCACTTTTTGAGTACAAAATGCTGTGCTATGTAACAAAATAATACAATGTACATATGTATAAAAGTTAACATATACATATCAATTAACATAAGCATAACTGTAATCACATATACTGATAAATAAAAATATAAAGTAATATATGGTAATGACCCAACCATTTGCCTAAGTTTCATGTATTACAGAAGTTTTGAGGAGGGACTTCAGCTGTATGCAAATCAGCAATTCGGGTTGTACAGTTGATTACCCATTAGTTCAGAATTTTAATAATTTAAAATATATTTATTAAGAACCTAACAATTGGAAGACCTTACAATAGGTGGGAAAATTCGACAGATGAATAATGCTTAGGAGATATCAGCATGTTTTGGAAGGATATTCCCATGAAGAGAAAAAGTATTGTGGGAAGTGTGGGAAGTGTTATGGTGCGAGAGTAATATAGGTTCCAGCATGTGTTTACATTATTTTGTTGGAGGTGTTGGGGAACCTTTCATGGAAGGTGTGTGGTAGACTGTTGGACAGGTTTCCTCAACTTTCGTTCCACTCTTTGAAGAGGTTAGAAAATTAAAACAAAACAAGCAATGCAGCTTCCCTTGAGCTAGCTTTATGCATGCAGCTTAGACCACTTACCGATTGTTTGCATATGAATCAGACTTAGAAAAATGGAAGAGATCAAAGCCTGTCTTGCTATTGTTGATTCTGGCAAGTGAAATCATGGGGACAATAGTTCAGAAGTAGTGGAAGTGGTAGGATTCAATATCCTTGTGCCTAATCCCCAGTTTCATGGGCATAAGAGGCTTAAAGTTTTAATAGCAGGAGCATCTTTTTGACCCAGGATTGCAGAAATGATTGCGTGCCTTTGAATTCAAGAACTCAAAACCTTCCTCCATGCCACAGCTACTTTAGTTATTTTAGCCCTTCCTATTGTATATGTATGAAATGCACTTTCTGCTTAAGATACCTATTGCGGTTTTTATTTCCTTATTAAAACCTTGGAAAAATATAGCACTTAAATTATGTTTTGTAGAAATTCACTAAGCAAATAAAGCTAAAGGGGGAGAGAGTTAACCTTCTCTGCCCCCTTTTTATCAGAAGTTAGTTGTAGAAGAAATACACAATTTTTGCGCAATGTTAGCACCATCTAAGTTCTGTAGGTCTGGAACACAGACTGGTTAAATGAGCATTTCAGGAGCGCTATAGTTGCAAAGTTAAGCAGTCACCACAATTTTATGTGTCATACAAAGATTTTTAACTTTATGTTTAAGCAACGAGCCTAGAAGCAAATGGTATTTCCATCAAGAATTGTCTCATATAAAGTAGAGCGTTTTGGAAAATGGAGTTATTAATAGATAAAAACATGTTTATACAGTTGGTTTCTAAGTATGACAAACCTATTTCTTGGTAAATTGCAAGTCCATTCCACCTGTGTTTGTAGGCTCATTTGCCTAAAAGTCTTGGGATTTTTTTCTGATGATCTATTAAATTTTCTTTCTGATTATCTTTTCTAATGCTGTAATAGCATTTCTAACACTGTAATGAAAGAGAA
Source organism: Homo sapiens (assembly GCF_000001405.40). Taxonomy (NCBI): domain Eukaryota; kingdom Metazoa; phylum Chordata; class Mammalia; order Primates; family Hominidae; genus Homo; species Homo sapiens. The sequence goes on from NC_000005.10 coordinate 69,891,184, forward strand.
CAAAAGTACACGCTTGCTCATCATTTACTAATTCTAAAAATATATATTGAATACATCTATGTAGCAGGTACTGTGGTAGGTGTGGAAGATAGTTGAGACAGGTAACAAGCCCAACATTACGGAGCTTAGCATCACCACCTAGAAGAGTTTTTAAAAAACATAGATAAGTGAATCATGATTATAAAGACAAAGAGATTCTTGCCATATAATTACATATAAGCAAATTTAGGATGTGATGAAAGATTTTGATATTGGTCTTCTGATTTGGCTGTAGGATGAAGTGTTTATAAGTCATCCCAAGGAAGAAACAATTCAGATGAGAACTATTCAATGGATTTGCAATAACAATCCAAAGATGGAAGAAGACACTTCTAGGTAGACAAAATTGCAAGTATAGAGAATGTAAATTAAGAGAGAGCTTAGCTTTCAGATGAATTAAAAGATTGTGGTGATCAGAATGTAGAGATTGACGAGAGACAAATGAAATAAAACTAGAAGGACAAGTAGAGATTTGTGGGTCAAGTTTTAAAATTTTATTATAAATGCACTGATACTGTTCTGAACATTTTCTTACACATGGAAATTTAATGATTATGGCTATTGAAAAATGTAACTCTTCATTTATATTTTTCCGAGAATGAAATCGGTGGAATTGCTGGGGGGTGAAAATGTCCAATGCGAAACAGGAGGCTAATTTAAGAAGGGATACTGCAAAATTGGTCATGATGGCTCAAACTGCTGTTCATAATAGAGAGAAGAAAATGGATAGAGTTACATATGGATGAGAGTAAATTGACAAGGCTAAATGCTAAAACGTGGGTAGTGACAGAAAGTAGGTGTCAAAATAGACTTCCAGGAAAAGAAAAAATGGGTCTACAGAAGAGCCAAATGCTGATGTGGGTTACATGATCCTGAGCAGATGCAGTTGTAATTGGTTAAGTAAAGTAAGTTCTTAAGATAGATTTGGCCTGGCGCTATACATTCTAGAGCCCTTGAATATAAGTGGGATATAAAACCATGGGAATGACTGTATTTGTCTAAGGAGAGAATTTGGCAGAAGAAAAGGAGACATAAGATGAAATGCAGAGGAAATTCAAATTTAATTGGCAGGTGTAGGAAGACAAGGAGATGACAAAAGGAACTGGAAATGAGTAATCAGAGACAGAAAAGTAAAAGTAAGAGTAGAATGTCATGGAAGGCAAATAATTGGAATGTTTCAAGATCAGGGAAATGGGCAATAAAGAGAAGAAAAAAATAGTGACCAGAGGGTATAGTAATGTGTAGAAATTCATCCTGTGTTAGGTTTGATTGCTTAGACGTTTTATATAAAAATCTTTCCCAGAGAGTAATAAAACAGAAGTGAGGTTAGAGAAAGAACATACGATTTAGCCAAAAGGTGGGAAAAGTTAGGAAATGAAGAATAAATATGTTTAAAGATAATGTTATGGCTACTCAATGTACAACCTCTTTTCTTTCATTATTTTTAATTGTCATATTTAAAAATAGTAATTACCACTTTTAAAAATTGTCTTATTATTTGTTACATAAGAAAATGCATTAATTCAAGCCACATAGTATCATTTATATTATGACTGTCGAAACATTACTAGAATTACTAGAACTATTAACCTAATGGCCTGAAAATTTCAACTCACTTCCCTAGCTGTCCTGATGATCATTAGTGAAAGGAAAGACTCCATTAGATAATGCTTACTTATAGAGAACTGGTTATATCTGTCTCATTTCCATACATATATCTGTATAAATTAATTTGATTAATAAAACAAACACAAGGCACAAACAACAAAACACAATTTATAAATGTCATTGAAAAATGCATGCCTGTACAATTTGGGTATTTGTAATTGTAAATTGATATACTTCATTTTTTATCCAGGAGTTACTTAGATTGAAACTTTACCTAATGTATGATAAAATAATACGTGATTAAATTTAAAAACATGATGAATTTATTTAAAATTGGCTTCAATAATGTCAGAAAGTAATAAAATAAAATGATTCCTTCAAAGACTGCACCTGTTTATTGCCTGAGATTATCTCTCTTGGCCACAAATCAATATTACTTTCTTTCATTCATCAGTGATAAAGCTTTTCAATAATTCTAATTTTAAAGGATGATTACAGCAAGTATATAGTCATTGATTGCTTAAAGGTTGCAGCTAAAATGAACACAATGGTCATTTTATTTTTAATAAATGAGCCCTTTTGAAAAGTCAAGCATTTTTCCTCTCACAAAACTTTGTGTAATAAGATTATAGATTTGATCATGTATGAGTTTGCACTGTGTGTGTGTATATATGTGTGTGTGATTTCAGCGATAAAGTTCACTGTTCCACAGCTGGCAATTTCTTCTGCTTAATTGAAAATTCCGTTTTAAAATATTTCTTTAAAGTTCTAAAATGGGTTTAAATGGGTTCATGAGCTGTAATACTATTAAAAATATATATATCTACATATTTGTTGATTCTTCTCAGTTTAAGAAGTGGAGCTTCATACTCCTCCCCTTGAAGGCAGGCTAAGCTGAGTGACTCCCATCTAAGAAATAAAACACCACAGGATTGGAATGTTACCTTCTGAGACAAGGTCACAAAGGCTAGGGTTTTAATTTTGAGTGAACTAATTTGCTCCTTACTGGTGTTTCTCTCTCTTTCTCTCCTTCAACTCTTTACGAGCCCAGCCACCATGCAAATAATTCCAAACTATCTTTTCTAGAAAGCTCACATGAAGAACCGAGGCATCCTATCTGATATCCAGCCAAATGATTAAACATTCTAGAAGCAGACTATGATGCACTGAATTTGTGAAATCCTAACCCCCAGTGTAATGATAGTAGGAGGTGGAGCTTTTGGTAGATGATAGTCTGTCTTCATGTTGGGGATTAGTGCCTTGATTATTATTTTTTATTTTTATTTTTATTTATTTATTTATTTATTTTTTGAGACAGAGTTTTGCTCTGTTACCCAGGCTGGAGTGCAGTGGTGCCATGTCAGCTCACTGCAGCGTCTGCCTCCTGGGTTCAAGTGTTTCTTCTGCCTCAGCCTCCTGAGTAGCTGAGTAGCTGAGACTACAGGTACGCACCACCACACCTGGCTAATTTTTGTATTTTTAGTAGAGACGGGGTTTCACCATACTGGCCAGGCTGGTCTGGAACTCCTGACCTCGTGATCTGCCTGCCTCAGCCTCCCAAAGTACTGGGATTACAGATGTGAGCCACCGTGCCCAGCCGGGGATTAGTGCCCTTGTAAAAGAGACCCCAAAAAGCGTCCTTGCCCCTTCTGCCATGTGAGCTAGAGGACAGTAATCTATGAACTAAAAAATGGGCTCTGACCAGACACCAAATCTGCAAGCACCTTGATTTTGCACCATCCAGCCTCCGGTACCATTAGAAACGTTTCTGTTGTTTATAAGCTACCCTGTCTATGGTATTCTGTAGCGACAGTGCAAACAAACTAAGACACGGACCTTCCAACACAAGTTAAAGGCTTCAGGGGATGCTGCCTGGGTCAACAACATGACAGCAACCTTTACTCATGAGAGACTTCGAGTCAGAACCACCTACCCAAATCCATCATTTCCCTGACTTCTATAAATTGTGTCATACATATTTGTTATTTTAAGCCATTAAGTTTTAGGGTAATTTTTAAATGGAAAAATACATGATCATAGGTAAACTATAATTAATAGAAAAATCTAATGCCAATAATATTTACCATTGATTGACCGTCAAAACTCCATTAATTATTTGCTTTCCATTTATATTTATTTTTGGATTTCTTTTTTAAGAGAATGGCACCTGTGACAGCATACTGTTAATATTACCCTTTTATCGTACTTTACCATGCCATCTCTGAAGAATATTACAGACCATTTTGGAGCATGGTGAATAAGAAATTTTCACCTTAGGAGTTCACTTGAATAGTCATTTTTATATTTGTGACTGCAAGTCACTTTTAGGGGCTGTACTTCCTTAGTACTGGTAGCATTATTATCCAATGGACTTTTTTAGCTTTCATTAGGTTTTCTTTTGTTTTTGTTCTTTAAAGAACGTTTTACTTGTCTTAGTATTTCATTTTTTAATCTATACTATGAGGCAGTAAGAGTCTTCTGTTTTTCCAAAGTGGAGACTGCTTTATATTTATTTCGTATTGTCTACAGCTGTAGTGTTCAATACATTAGCCACTAGCCACATGTGGTTATTTAAATAAGATGAAATAAAAATTGGCCGGGCGTGGTGGCTCACGCCGGTAATCCCAGCACTTTGGGAGGCCGAGGCGGGCAGATCATTAGGTCAGGAGATCGAGACCATCCTTACTAAGACGGTGAACCCCCATCTCTATTAAAAATACAAAAAATTAGCCGGGCGTGGTGGCGGGCGCCTGCAGTCCCAGCTACTCAGGAGGCTGAGGCAGGAGAATGGCGTGAACCTGGGAGGCAGAGTTTGCAGTGAGCCGAGATGGCGCCACTGCACTCCAGCCTGGGGGACAGAGCGAGACTCCATCTCAAAAAAAAAAAAGAAAATTAAAAATTAAGTTCTTTAGTTGCACTAGCCATATTTCAAATACTTGATGGATACATGTGGCTAGTGGCTAACATAAGGGATAGCACAGATATAAAACATTTCCTCGTCATATAAAGTTCTATTGGATAGTGCTGGTCTGTAGCTTATAGGATGGTATCTTAGTCTGCTTCAGCTGCTAAAACAGAATACCATAAATTAGGTAGCTTAAACAGTAGATATTTTGACCAGGCGTGGTGGCTTATGCCTGTATTCCTAACACTTTGGGAGGCCGAGGCAGGTGGATAACTTGAGCTCAGGAGTTTGAGACTAGCCTGGGCAGCATGGCAAAACCTTGTCTCTACGAAAATCAGCTGGGCATGGTGGTGCACGCCTGTAGTCTGAGCTACTTGGGAGGCTGAGGTGGGAGAATTGCTTGAACCTGGGAGGCGGAGGTTGCAGTGAGCCATGATCGCACCACTGTACTCCAGCCTGGATGACAGAATGCGACTCTGTCTCAAAAAAAACAAAAACAAACAAACAAAAAAACAGATATTTCTCACAGTTCTGGAGACTGGAAGTGCAAGATCAAAGTGTTGGCAAATTGTGTTTCTTAAAGAGGGCCTGCTTCCTAGATTGGAAATGGCCATCTTCTCTCGGTATCCTCACATGGTAGGGAGAAAAGCAGCTCTAGTGTCTCTTCTTATAAAGGAAGTAATGCCACCATAGGGGCTCTATTCTCATGACCTCATCTAAACCTAATTCTCTCCTAAAGGCCACGCCTCCCAGTATCCTCACCTTGGGGGTTAGGGCTTTATGATATGAATTTTTTTTTTTTTTTTTTTTTTTTGAGACAGAGTCTCGCTCTGTCTGTCACCCAGGCTGGAGTGCAGTGGCACAATCTCGGCTCTCTACAAGCTCCGCCTCCTGGGTTCACGCCGTTCTCCTGCGTCAGCCTCCTCAGTAGCTGGGACTAAGGCGCCCGCCACTGCGCCCGGCTAATTTTTTGTATTTTCAGTAGAGACGGGGTTTTACCATGTTAGCCAGGATGATCTCGATCTCCTGACCTCATGATCCACCCGCCTCGGCCTCCCAAAGTGCTGGGATTACAGGCATGAGCCACCGCGCCCGGCCTATCATATGAATTTTGAGGGAACACAAACATGCAGTCTGTAGCAGATGGTAATAGGCTGACATATTACACTTGTTGATGTAAATCTGATAGGTTTCTTTCTCTCCAAGGACAGCTTTTTAAATATTTAACAGTATCAATAATTTTTCAGGTTCTGTGAGAATTTTATAATTTATAATTTGCAGACTTAACGTATAATCTATTTTGTCCTAACAATTACAAATATATTTTTTATTTCAGATTGTATATATTCCTACCAGATGGAGATAATTACAGCTTTAAAAATTTTTATTTTTTCATTTTATTTCACACATTGACATTAAATTTTTATGGACACATAATAACTGTACATATATATGGGGTAGAATGTGATGTTTTAATACATGTACTCAATGTGTAATGATCAAATCAGGGTAATTTGCATAATGATTTTTCTGTAGGGAGAAAATTCAAAATCTACTCTTCTGGCTATTTTCAAATATATAATATGTTATTGTTAACTATACTCATCCTACTATGCAATAGGACACCAGAACTTATTCCTGGGTTCTACATCCGTTAAGGCAACCAAGGATTGGAAATATTGGAAAAAAAAATTGCGTCTGTACTGAACATGTACAGACTTTTTTCTTGTCCTTATTCCTTACACAATATAGTACAATAACTATTTGCATGACATTTACATCGGATATTATGAGTGATCTAGAGTTGATATGAAGTATATGGGAGGATGTGCAAAGGTGATGTGCAAATACTATGTCATTTTATATCAGGGACTTGAGTATCCTTTGTTACCCTCAGGAGATCCTGAAACCAGTCCCCCATGGATACTGAGGGCTGACTGTATAGTCCTATCCTCACGGAACTTTCATTCTAATGGGGGAAGACTGACTATAAACAAAATATATGTAATAGGTGGTGGTAAGTACCGTGGAGAAGTAACAAATGGGGCAAAGTGAGTTATACAGCTCCATTCTTAGAAACCTTGGAGTACTTTTCTTAGTTTATACTCGTGGTGGTTTCCTTTTGTCTCCTTTATTACATGGGACTCTGACATGTGCCCATAGCTAGGGTGACAGTAGGATCTACCCGATAGTAGGGTGGCAGTAGGATCTACCCAAAAAGCGTCCTGCTGATACAGGACCAAAGCATCCTGTTGTTCTCGAGCCTATAAAAAGAGCTAATGGTGTTGCTTCTCTTAACTGTGGCCTCCTACACTGTGTTTTGGATGATTGGTGATGTCTTGGATATTCTGTTTCTTTGGAACTTTGAATATACAACACTTTACTAGGGAATTAGCAATGGAAGCAGAGCAAAGATGTACAGAGGAAACAATGCGTAACTCTGATGGAATTGAAGTCATGAGGCAGCAGAGAGCTTAAATTACAGCTTTAAAAATTTTTATTTTTTAGAGGGAATTTACTTGGGAGTAACAGCAGTAATAGTTAACGGAGCCAGAATGCTTGAGTCATATAATTGCAAAGCAGAGTTGGGAGCAACAGATGCTAAAGAGTAGTTGCTGTAGTTCCTCTTTGGGTCGTAGGAGCAGTTGTCATATTACTATATAGCTACTGCATGAAGAAGAGTTCTTAGTGAGGCCTGGGTGAACAGCTCTTCTTAGTATTCTGTGTGACCCCATTTGACCTTTTAACAAATCCCTAAGTAAATAAATAGCCCCTCAGGAAAACTAAGTTTTTCTCTGCTGTTTTTTTGCTTGAGAGAGCTATAACTGTAATAGACTTATATTTCTGAACATTTTAGTGCTTGCCAATATTTGGTAATATTTATGTTTCCTATATTTGTAATGAACATTCTTCTTCCGGTACATTTTTTGTTAAATTATTGTTTGATGGATAAAAGTTCACCTTTTATTGTATAAAATTGACTGAGATTAATTTATACACATTGACAATGGGTAAATAGAATTTTTCAGATTATTAAAAGCTGAAGGATGCCCACGTAAGCAAAAAAAAAAAAGAAAAAACCAACAAAAATAAACCCAAACCCCTCAAACAGTTTCGAACACGAAACATTCTTCTGATGCCGGCATCCCTGCTTGCAGGTGTGAAGGGGGCAGGAATCAGCGAGGTGTCCTGGGCTGAGTCCCCGGAGTGGGAAGAGGTGGCAGGAAGGGGATCTGAGGAGGAGAACAGGGGTCCTGGTGGTCTGTGCTTCTTCCCAGACACGGGAGCTGTAGAGGAGACCTCTGCAGCAGATGCTAGGGGGGCCAGTAGGCCCAGGCAGTCTTGGGACTTGGGTCTGTCCTGCTGTGCATCCATAGTGGGTGCTTTAGAAACGGGAGGCCCACCCGAAGCCCCTGTTGCAAGTGAGGACAAAGTGTGGGAAGGCCGTGAGGGTCTGCAGTCCGAGATGGCCTTGTCCTCAACGTGCAGTGCACTGTTGATGCGGGGCCTAGAGGCCTGGGATCTGGGGTAGCCACCCCTGGGGGCGAGTGTCTGCCCTGGTGCTGTACCTGCCTTGTTTTCACAGCGGTGACCCGAAGAGACAGCCTGAGGTCCGTCCTCACTCACTGTGTTTGAGGAACTGTGGGCCAGCTGGCAGTGGGATGAGGCTGGCCCCCTCCTCCGCTTTAGTTCCTGGAGGCCTTCCGTAGAGCTGTGGGAGCTGGAGCTGGCATTTCGTTTGAGGCAGGATCTGGTCCGGGAGGTCTGGGATCTCTGGTTATATCTCACTTCTGACCTCTGGGCACGTGCTGCAGCTGTGGCTGAGGCCAAGAAATGTGAGGGGCCTCCATCCACTGCATTGAGTAGCGACCCCGACGTGGGGTTCAATGTGGAGGGGGGAAGGGCTGCTGCGGCAGCTGCAGGAGCCGAGGTGCCAGGCCTTGTTCTTCTCATGCCGGCATCCCTGCTTGCAGCTGTGAAGGTGGCAGGAATCAGCGAGGTGACCTGGGCTGAGTCCCGGGAGTGGGAAGAGGTGGCAGGAAGGGGATCTGAGGAGGAGAACAGGGGTCCTGGTGGTCTGTGCTTCTTCCCAGACACGGGAGCTGTAGAGGAGACCTCTGCAGCAGATGCTAGGGGGGCCAGTAGGCCCAGGCAGTCTTGGGACTTGGGTCTGTCCTGCTGTGCGTCCATAGTGGGTGCTTTAGAAACGGGAGGCCCACCCGAAGCCCCTGTTGCAAGTGAGGACAAAGTGTGGGAAGGCCGTGAGGGTCTGCAGTCCGAGATGGCCTTGTCCTCAACGTGCAGTGCACTGTTGATGCGGGGCCTAGAGGCCTGGGATCTGGGGTAGCCACCCCTGGGGGCGAGTGTCTGCCCTGGTGCTGTACCTGCCTTGTTTTCACAGCGGTGACCCGAAGAGACAGCCTGAGGTCCGTCCTCACTCACTGTGTTTGAGGAACTGTGGGCCAGCTGGCAGTGGGATGAGGCTGGCCCCCTCCTCCGCTTTAGTTCCTGGAGGCCTTCCGTAGAGCTGTGGGAGCTGGAGCTGGCATTTCGTTTGAGGCAGGATCTGGTCCGGGAGGTCTGGGATCTCTGGTTATATCTCACTTCTGACCTCTGGGCACGTGCTGCAGCTGTGGCTGAGGCCAAGAAATGTGAGGGGCCTCCATCCACTGCATTGAGTAGCGACCCCGACGTGGGGTTCAATGTGGAGGGGGGAAGGGCTGCTGCGGCAGCTGCAGGAGCCGAGGTGCCAGGCCTTGTTCTTCTCATGCCGGCATCCCTGCTTGCAGCTGTGAAGGTGGCAGGAATCAGCGAGGTGACCTGGGCTGAGTCCCGGGAGTGGGAAGAGGTGGCAGGAAGGGGATCTGAGGAGGAGAACAGGGGTCCTGGTGGTCTGTGCTTCTTCCCAGACACGGGAGCTGTAGAGGGGACCTCTGCAGCAGATGCTAGGGGGGCCACTAGGCCCAGGCAGTCTTGGGACTTGGGTCTGTCCTGCTGTGCGTCCATAGTGGGTGCTTTAGAAACGGGAGGCCCACCCGAAGCCCCTGTTGCAAGTGAGGACAAAGTGTGGGAAGGCCGTGAGGGTCTGCAGTCCGAGATGGCCTTGTCCTCAACGTACAGTGCACTGTTGATGTGGGGCCTAGAGGCCTGGGATCTGGGGGAGCCTCCCCTGGGGGCGAGTGTCTGCCCTGGTGCTGTACCTGCCTTGTTTTCACAGCGGTGACCCGAAGAGACAGCCTGAGGTCCGTCCTCACTCACTGTGTTTGAGGAACTGTGGGCCAGCTGGCAGTGGGATGAGGCTGGCCCCCTCCTCCGCTTTAGTTCCTGGAGGCCTTCCGTAGAGCTGTGGGAGCTGGAGCTGGAGCTGGCATTTCGTTTGAGGCAGGATCTGGTCCGGGAGGTCTGGGATCTCTGGTTATATCTCACTTCTGACCTCTGGGCACGTGCTGCAGCTGTGGCTGAGGCCAAGAAATGTGAGGGGCCTCCATCCACTGCATTGAGTAGTGACCCCGACGTGTTGTTCAATGTGGAGGGGGGAGGGGCTGCTGTGGCAGCTGCAGGAGCCGACCTTGTTCTTCTCATGCCGGCATCCCTGCTTGCAGCTGTGAAGGTGGCAGGAATCAGCGAGGTGACCTGTGCTGTGTCCCGGGAGTGGTAAGAGGTGGCAGGAAGGGGATCTGAGGAGGAGAACAGGGGTCCTGGTGGTCTGTGCTTCTTCCCAGACACGGGAGCTGTAGAGGGGACCTCTGCAGCAGATGCTAGGGGGGCCAGTAGGCCCAGGGAGTCTTGGGACTTGGGTCTGTCCTGCTGTGCATCCATAGTGGGTGCTTTAGAAACGGGAGGCCCACCCGAAGCCCCTGTTGCAAGTGAGGACAAAGTGTGGGAAGGCCGTGAGGGTCTGCAGTCCGAGATGGCCTTGTCCTCAACGTGCAGTGCAGTGTTGATGTGGGGCCTAGAGGCCTGGGATCTGGGGGAGCCACCCCTGGGGGCAAGTGTCTGCCCTGGTGCTGTACCTGCCTTGTTTTCACAGTGGTGACCCGAAGAGACAGCCTGAGGTCCGTCCTCACTCACTGTGTTTGAGGAACTGAGGGCCAGCTGGCAGTGGGATGAGGCTGGCCCCCTCCTCCGCTTTACTTCCTGGAGGCCTTCCGTAGAGCTGTGGGAGCTGGAGCTGGCATTTCGTTTGAGGCAGGATCTGGTCCGGGAGGTCTGGGATCTCTGGTTATATCTCACTTCTGACCTCTGGGCACGTGCTGCAGCTGTGGCTGAGGCCAAGAAATGTGAGGGGCCTCCATCCACTGCATTGAGTAGTGACCCCGACGTGGGGTTCAATGTGGAGGGGGGAGGGGCTGCTGCGGCAGCTGCAGGAGCCGACCTTGTTCTTCTCATGCCGGCATCCCTGCTTGCAGCTGTGAAGGGGGCAGGAATCATCGAGGTGACCTGGGCTGAGTCCCGGGAGTGGGAAGAGTTGGCAGGAAGGGGATCTGAGGAGGAGAACAGGGGTCCTGGTGGTCTGTGCTTCTTCCCAGACACGGGAGCTGTAGCGGGGACCTCTGCAGCAGATGCTAGGGGGGCCACTAGGCCCAGGCAGTCTTGGGACTTGGGTCTGTCCTGCTGTGCATCCATAGTGGGTGCTTTAGAAACGGGAGGCCCACCCGAAGCCCCTGTTGCAAGTGAGGACAAAGTGTGGGAAGGCCGTGAGGGTCTGCAGTCCGGGATGGCCTTGTCCTCAACGTGCAGTGCACTGTTGATGCGCTGGAATGCCGTCTCTTTTTCCAGGTGCAGGTCTTCAGCCGTGACCCGGTACCCCAGCTCTAAGGGAGGTGGCAGCATCAAAGGCTCCCCTCGCCTGCGTGGCAGCAGGGGAATCTTGCGTCTACGGGGCCTAGAGTCCTGGGATCTGGGGGAGCCACCCGTTGGGGCGATTGTCTGCCCTGGTGCTGTATCTGCCCCCTTTTCACACCGTGTGTGACCCGAAGAGACAGCCTGAGGCCTGTCCTCACTCACTGTCTTTGAGTAACTGAGGGTCAGCTGGCAGCGGGATGAGGCTGGCCCCCTCCTCTGCTTTAGCCCCGGCAAGCCTCCCGTGGAGCTGTAGGAGCTGGAGATGGCATTTCGTTTGGTGCTCGAGCTCGTCCAGGATGTCTGGGATGTGTGGTTATATCTGATTTCTGAGCTCTGGGCGTGGAGGTCTGTCTGCAGAGGCCCGGGCCTGGGCACAAAGGGAGAGGGGCCTCCATTGTCCCGCAGGGGCCAAAATGCAGACCGTGCATCCCCGGTGACCTCGGGGACCGTTCTCTGATCATCAGGATTTTCTTGGACTCTGGGGTCCTTGTCCTGCTCAGGCATCCCTGCCCCGCTCTCCTTGAGGGCCCTCAACACTATCTTCCCTGGACACAAGTCTGGGGACAGCCGGGTGTTGTGGACCCCAAAGGGGTGACTACCTGCTCCTGGGCCCCACAGAGTCCTTGTGCTCAGTGTAGTGGCTGAGCTGGGGGATGCCCTGGAACTCGGAGCACACAGCACTGGCTTACTGTGGTACCTGTGCAGTGAAATTGAAGACAGAATCACCAGGATGGAACACAGGTCTTGCAGGATCACGGAAAACCTTCTTAGAGTTGTCTTGACACCACTGATGTCGAGTGTGCGGGTGTTTGTAGGATGGCCTGCCACTCAGTCCAGGGGCAGGAGCAACGGGGAGATCCCACAAGCAAAGTGAACTGGGGGATGGGCTGAAGGGGCTCCAGGCAACTGAGCCCTACTCGCAGGTCCTCGGCCTTGGCCCAAACAGGAATGAGGGGCACAGAGTGCCCGGGTAACCGCTCCTGGGAGCAGTGGGGAACTGTCGGATACTTGAACTCTCAAGAGCTGGGCTCTGAGCGTCCTCGTCCAGCTGCCAACTTGGCCAAAGGCTAAGCCAGCAGATTGTTCTGTTGCCGGGCAACGCGACTTCTAAACCTGAGGGAGTGGGCATGTGAGCACATAATGGCACCAGTGACAGAGCGACCATAATGGATGAATAAGCACAGCCAGGTACCCGCGCAAGGCACCTGCTGGCAATGGCAGGAGGCGGACGTGGGGGGTCGTGCAGTAGGTACTGGAGGGAGAGACGTGGGCACAAAGGTCGCGGGAGGAACAGGTGCCCACAATGGCTGCATATTTGCCCGTGGATCACTGAAGATTCCTGCTCTCCTGCTGAGGTGGAGACTGCAGTGAGCTGAGATCGCACCATTGCACTCCAGCCTGGGCAACGAGTGCAAAACTCAGTCTCCAGATAAAAAAAAGAAAAAGAAAAAAAAGAGGCCGGGTGTGGTGGCTTATGCCTATGATCCTAGCACTTTGGGAGGTCGGGGTGGACGGATCACGAGATCAGGAGTTGGAGGCCAGCCTGGCCAACATAGTGAAAGCCCGTCTCTAGTAAAAATACAAAATTTAGTCAGACATGGTGGGCAGGAGAGAGCATGTGCAGGGGAACATCCATTTATAAAACCATCAGACCTCATGAGACTTATTCACTACCATGAGAACAGCATGGGGGAAACTGCCTCCATGATTCAGTTATCTCCACCTGGCCCCACCCTTGACACATGGGAATTGTTACAATTCAAGATGAGATTTGGGTGCGGACAGAGCCAAACCATATAATTCTTCCCCGGCCCCTCCCAAATCTCATGTCCTCATATTTCAAAAGCAATCATGCCTTCCCCTAAGTCCCCCAAACTCTTATTTCAGCATTAACTCAAAATTCCATAGTCCAAAGTCTCATCTGAGACAAGGCAAGTCCCTTCCACCTATGAGCCTGTAAAATCAAAAGCAAGTTAGTTATTTTCTAGATACACAGGGATACAGGCATTGGGTAAATACACTCGTTTCAAATGGGAGAAATTGGCCAAAGCAAAAGAGCTACAGGCCCCATGCAAGTCCAAAACCCAGCAGGCAAATCTTAAAGCTCCAAAATGACCTCCTTTGACTCCATGTGTCACATCTAGGTGATGCAAGAAGTGGGTTCCCAGGGTCTTGGGCAGCCCCGCCCCTGTGGCTTTGCAGGGTACAGCCCCCCTTCTGGCTGCATTGAGTGTCTGCAGCTTTTCCAGGCACACAGTGCAAGCTGTCAGTGGATCTACCATTCTGGGGTCTGGAGGATGGTGGCCCTTTTCTCACAGCTCTGCTTGGCAGTACCCCAGTGGGGACTCTGTGTGGGAGCTCCAACCCCATATTTCCCTTTGACACTGCCCTAGCAGAGGTTATCCATGAGGGCCCCCCCCTCCCCTCCCCCCCACAGCAAACTTTTGCCTGGATTTCCAGGCATTTTCATACATCTTCTGAAATGTAGGCGGAGGTTCATGAACGTTAATTCTTGACTTTGGTGCATCTGCAGGCTTAACACCACCTAGAACCTGAAAGGCTTGGAACTTGCACCCTCTGAAGCCATGGCCTGAGGTGTACCTTGGCCCCTTTTATCTATGGCAGGAGCAGCTGGGATGCAGGGCCCCAAGTTCCTAGGCTGCACACAGCAGGGGGTTCTGGACCCACAAAACCATTTTTCCTTCTAAGCCTCCTGGCCTGTGATGGGAGGGTCTGCTGTGAGGGTCTCTAACATGCCCTGGAGACATTTGCCCCATTGTCTTGGTGATTAACATTTGGCTCCTCATTACTTATGCAAATTTCTACAACCCAGTCTCCTGAGAAAATAGATTTTTCTTTTCTGTTGCATCATCAGGCTACAAATTTTCTGAACTTTTATGCTCTGCTTCTTCTCGAATGCTTTGCTGCTTAGAAATTTCTTCTGTCAGATACCTTAAATCATCTCTCTCAAGTTCAAAGTTCCACAGATCTGTAGGGAACTCTAGAAAGAAATTCTTATTTTCCCTCTTTCCCGCCTATCTTATGCCCGTTTCTAATACAGGTGCACAATGCCTGCAGTGTCTTTGCATAGTAAGAGTGACTTTACTCCATTTCCCAACAAATTCCTCATCTGCCTCTGAGACCACCTCCGCCTGGACCTTGTTGTCCATATCACTATTAACATTTTGGTCAAAGCCATTCAACAAGTCTCTAGGAAGTTCCAAACTTTCCCACATTTTCCTATCCTCTTCTGAGCCTTCCAAACTGTTCCAGCCTCTCCCTGTTACCCATTTCCAAAGTTGCTTCCACATTTTCGGGTATCTTTACAGCAGCACCCCACTCTACTGGTATCAACTTATTGTATTAGTCTGTTCTCACACCGCAAATAAAGACATACCTGAGACTGGGTAATTTATAAAGGAAAGAGGTTGAATTGACTCACAGTTCTGCATGGCTGGGGAGGCCTCACAATCATGGTGGAAGGCAAGGAGGTGCAAAAGCATGTCTCACATAGTGGCAGGCAGGAGAGAGCATGTGCAGGGGAGCTCCCATTTATAAAACCATCAGATCTCATGAGACTTAGTCACTACCGCGAGAACAGTATGGGGGGAACCATCCCCATGATTCAGTTATCTGCACCCGGCCCCACCCTTGACACGTGGGAATTATTACAATGCAAGGTGAGATTTGGGTGGGGACCCATCCAAACTATGTCAGTATGTTTTGACTTCTTGCTTGATTGCTAGGTTGCATAGAGGACAAACATGGAAATTAATGAAGTACCTTAATATCTGGCTTCAGATCTTAGACAGGATCAGAGGGCCAGCTCAAATTTGCAAGGAGGGGAGGTAGATCCCACCATTTTATGGGTGAATGGCAAAATCAAACAGAAATTATGTGGGATGGGAGATACTGATGCAGGCATCTTTGGAAACATTCTACTTAGCTAATTTTATGCTAGGCTTTAGGTCAAGAAGGAGAGAGAGAGCTGACATGCTGTGGTACACACTTATAGTCCCAGCGACTTGGAAAGCTGAGGCAGGAGGATTGCTTGATCCCAGGAGTTTGAGGTAGTGTGCGATGATCGTTCTTGTGAATAGCCACTAGCCACTGAACTCCAGCTTGGGCAACATTGAGACACCCTGTCTCTTAATTAAAAAAAAAAAAAAAAAAAAGGAAAGAAAGTGGTCTCAGTTTTTAATGTAAGTATTTTTAATGGGATAATGATATTTTAAGATTAATGTATATTGTATATCAGTTAACTGTAGGTCAATAATTATATAAAACTTAAGGTATGAAAAACATTTATTTTTGCTAACATATCTGTGAGTTGACTGTTCTTGGCTTGGTGAGGCTGCAAGCTGCAGATAGAGTCTAGGTATGTTTTCTGTGTGTTTGTTCCCCCTTGGATCAGTGGACTACCTGAGAATGTGTTTTTGTCACAGTGATAGAATCACAAGGAAACTCCAGTTCTGGAAGTACATTTTAAGCCATTGCTTCTCTCATGTCCACTAACATTCAGTCAGCCAAAGCACATACCTTGTCCATGGCTAACATTGATAGTATAGATAAATATACCTGATCTCTAGCAGGAGGAACTGCATTGTCTTGGGGAAAGGTTTTAGATATAGGGAGGGGTGATGAGTTGGGAACAATAATGTAGTCTGCCACAAACATATTAAAGTGTAACTGGATATGGTTGCTGCAGAATTTTGAACCTTTGTTTTAATTGTGATTTTTACTCTTTTCCCCCTATCTAGTGCCCTTTTGTAATACAGTAATTATCATGATTTTTGTCTGAACTGAAATCTTCTGAGATTAGATTGTCTACGAAAATACAGTCGATCCTCCTTGTTTTCAGCTTTTGTATTTGTGAACTCACCTACTATTTTTTGTAACCCCCAAATCAGTACTCACAGCACTTTCATAGTCATGTGTTTGCGCAGAGTGTCAAAGAATTTGAGTTTGAACAGGATGATATTCTGCCTTCTTTTTCAGCTCTCATACAATAGTCAGGTATCCTTTTTGTGGTCTATTTAATGCCATGCTTTTCCTGTTTTTGTGCTGTTTGTTGGTTGTTTTGCCATTTAAATTAACCCCCAAGCATAGTGCTGAAGTGCTGCTTAGCATTCACAAGTCCAAGAAGTCTGTGATGTGTCTTACAGAGAAAATACATGCATTAAATAAACTCCATTCAGGCGTGAGTGCTGTAGTGCCGTTGGCTGTGAGTTCAATGTTAATGAATGAACAATGTATATTATTTATTTATTCTTCATTTAATTAATTATTATTATTATTTTTTTTGAGATAGAGTCTCACTCTGTTGCTCAGGCTGGAGTGCAGTGGTGCAGTCTTGGCTCACTGCAACCTCTGCCTCCTGGGTTCAAGCGATTCCCCTGCCTTAGCCTCCCAAGTAGCTAAGACTACAGGCATGCGCCACCATGCCTGGCTAATTTTTTTTTTTTTTTTTTTTTTTGTAGTTTTAGTAGAGACGGGGTTTCACCACGTTGGCCAGGCTGGTCTCGAACTCCAGACCTCAAATGATCTGCCCGCCTTGGCTTCGCAAAGTGCTGGGATTACAGGCGTTAGCCACTGTGCCTGGCCAACAATATATATTAAATAAGCACACATACAACAAAAGTAGGTGTTGGTAAGCTTACAAAAGTGTGACCAGTAGCTTGCTGAAACCTAACTTTTTATTTGTTCATGGAACTTTCTAGACCGTAACTACACTGAATAATGAGAATCTGCTGTAATCTTTTTAGGTGCTGTAGATGAGCCATTGGATTAAATTATTACAGTATGTTTCAGACTGCTGTATGTTGAACCCTAGTGAAATGCCTCTCAAACCTTCATAAGGATCACAATCTCATGTCCTTTTTTTTTTGTTATTAAATGCCCAGTATGTGTTAGCGATTTAAACAAAATTCAAATATTTTTTTTTTTTTTTGAGACAGAGTCTCGCTCTGTCACCTAAGCTGGAGAGTGCAGTGGTATGATCTCGGCTCACTACAACCTCTGCCTCCCGGGTTCAGGCGATTCTCCTGCCTCAGCATCCTGAGTAGCTGGGATTACAGGCACCCGCCACCACGCTGGGCTAATTTTTGTATTTTTAGTAGAGACGGGGTTTCGCCAGGTTGTCCAGGCTGGTCTGGAACTCCTGACCTCATGCGATCTGCCTGCCTTGGCCTCCTGAAGTGCTGGGATTATAGGCGTGAGCCACCATGCCCGGCGTTGACTTCTTAATAATAACCATACTGACTGGTGTGAGATGGTATGCCATTGTGGTTTTGATTTGCATTTCTCTAATGATCAGTGATATTGAGCTTTTTCTCATATGCTTGTTGGCCGCATGTGTGTCTTCTTTTGAAGTGTCTGTTTATGTCCTGTGCCCACTTTCTAATGAGATTTTTTTTTTTCTTGTAAATTTGTTTAAGTTCCT
This sequence comes from Homo sapiens, assembly GCF_000001405.40. NCBI lineage: Eukaryota > Metazoa > Chordata > Mammalia > Primates > Hominidae > Homo > Homo sapiens. Next base: position 69,909,024 of record NC_000005.10, read on the forward strand.
TATCAGTGTTGGACATTAGATCTTTGTCACATGCATTGTTGCAAAAATTTTCTCCCATTCTGTAGGTTGTCTGTTCACTCTGTTGATAGTTTCTTTTGCTGTGCAGAAGCTTCAAGAAGAAAGGAATCCGATTGGTTCTGTGTCTGTCTCTTTTGGTATTCTCAGAATTATGTAGTCATTCATATAGAAAGATGATTAGGAAAATAGGACAAGAATAGCAGAAATCTACATAAAAATGTAGGAAATTAAAATTAGTTACCAGCATACAAAAAACTTCTGTATGTTATAATTACATACTATAACTCACCCCTCCTTGGCAAATATTCTCTCTCTTTTGACTTCAAAATCATGGCTTATATGTACTTTCTCTATTTCCCAGATGCAAATATAATTAATTGACTTTATTTATCTAGGAAATGTTACTCATATCTTAATTGTAGTCATTGGCTTGAGTGACGGGTTTTGGTAATTCAACTACTATTACTTGAAAGTAGTAGATTTCATAGGATACTGTTATAAAATCTTTTTAACCTCTTTTCTGATTTCAGGAGTAATTAGTAATTGTGGTTTACTGGAAAATTCAATGAATAGGGTGTTAAAGGAAGCAATTCATTAATAATATATGTAATCTATTGGGAGACTGAGGCGGGTGGATCACCTGAGTTCAGGAGTTCGAGACCAGCCTGGCCAACATGGCAAAACTCCGTCTCTACTGAAAATAGAAAAATTCGCCGGGCATGGTGGTGCATTCCTGTATTCCCAGGTACTCGGAAGGCTGAGGCAGGAGAATCACCTGAACTCCAGAGGTGGAGGTTGCAGCGAGTCAGGATCGCAGCACTACACTCCAGCCTGGGTGACAGTGAGACTCCATCTCAAAAAAAAAAAAAAAAAAAAAAAAAAAATTAAAAAATTAAATTAAAAGCGGGCTGGGCGCATTGGTTCAGGGCCGGGCACGGTGGCTCAAGCCTGTAATCCCAGCACTTTGGGAGGCCGAGGCAGGCGGATCACGAGGTCAGGAGATCAAGACCATCCTGGCTAATGTGGTGAAACCCCGTCTCTACTAACAATACAAAAATTAGCTGGATGTGGTGGCAGGTGCCTGTAATCCCAGCTATTCCAGAGGCTGAGGCAGGAGAATCACTTGAACCTGGGAGGCAGAGGTTTCAGTGAGTCCAGATCATGCCACTGCACTCCAGCCTGGGTGACAGAGCGAGATTCTATCTCAAAAAAAAAAAAAAAAAAGCAACAGAAGCAAATGAGAGTGCCTGGGAGTGGTCATTGTGGGGCCTTCCCGTTTGTGTGACCCAGGTCATGTCCCTCCCTAAGCCCTGGTCTCTCTTGCCTCCTGCAGGGCTGGTGAATTACCAGATCTCCGTCAAGTGCAGTAACCAGTTCAAGTTGGAAGTGTGTCTTTTGAATGCAGAAAACAAAGTCGTGGACAACCAGGCTGGGACCCAGGGCCAGCTGAAGGTGCTGGGTGCCAACCTCTGGTGGCCGTACCTGATGCACGAACACCCCGCCTCCCTGTACTCGTGGGAGGTAATGGTGGTTTGGGACTTGCGTAAGGGAGGTCTTTTGCCCCCATCTGGTAGCCCTGGCTTCAGCAGGAGCCCAGGACAGGTGAACGGGCAGGTGTGGTCCTCTGAGCTTTCTGATGTTTCCCACCCTTGGTGGGAGGCCCAGATTTTTTATTTATTTATTTATTTATTTATTTGTTTGTTTGTTTGTTTGTTTGTTTGTTTTTGTGATGGTCTCACTCTGTCACCCAGGCTGGAATGCAATGGCCTGATCACAGCTCACTGCAGCTTTGAGCTGCAATCCTCCTACCTTGGCCTCCTGAGTAGCTGGGACTACAGGCACATGCCACCATGCCTGGCTAATTAAAAAAATTTTTTTTGTAGGCCGGGCATGGTGGCTCACACCTGTAATCCCAGCACTTCGGGAGGCTGACGCGGGCAGATCACTTTAGGCCAGGAGTTGGAGACCAGCCTGGCCAACATGGTGAAACCCCGTCTCTACTAAAATATGAAAATTTGCAGGGCATGATGGTGCACGTCTGTAATCCCAGCTACTCGGGAGGCTGAGGCAGGGGAATTGCTTGAACCCAGGAGGCAGGGGCCGCGGTGAATTGAGATCATGCCGCAGCACTCTATCCTGGGTGACAGAGTGAGACTGTCTCAAAAAAAAAAACTCCTTTTTATAGAGTTGGGGTCTTACTAGGTTGCCCAGGCTGGTCTTGAACTCCTGGACTCAGGTGATCCTCCTGCCTTAGCCTCCCAAGGTGTAGGGATTCCAGGCATGAGCCACCTCGTCTGGTCAAGGAGAAGGCCTGATTTTGAAGGGCAGGTCCCAGGGTCAGCCAGTGAAGGGCAGAGCCTCTGATTGCTGCTTCTCTGCAGGCCCAGTGGCGACTTCTGGGGTGCATGCACGAGGGGTCTTCCTGCTGTAGGGCAGGCCAGATGGGGCTCAGGCTGTCGGGGCGCTCACACCTGGCGCTTTGGCTGTCGTAGGTGCGGCTGACTGCACAGAAGTCACTGGGGCCTTTGACTTCTACACACTCCCTGTGGGGCTCCGCACTGTGCCCGTCACCGAGAGCCAGTGGGTGAGAGCCAGTTTCATTTGCGGTAGAGGCAGCAGAGGTTGTAGAAATGCTCCTTGAGGCAGATGCCACACCCCAATTTCATGGAGTGATTTGGGCTGAGCCGAGTCTGCAGCAGGCAGAAGGCTCTGAGATGTTGTCCTAGCCTGGGCAAAGGACAATTCAGAGCTCGGGGGAATAGGGGTGTGCTCAGCACGACTGGGTGGACAGGCCGTTTGTTGTGAATCGTACAGGCTTCCAGGAGCGGGTGCCTGAGGCTTCCAGACAGGCTTTGGGAGGTGGCCAGAGGAGATGCCTGTTTCCGGGGCAGGAAATGGAGGGAGGGCCCAGGCTGGAGAGGTTCAGCCAGGCTGTCACAAGGCTTTGAAGCTTCCCATCTGAGAGCCTGGCTATTGGAGAGTGTGGGTTTGGAACTTGAGGCTAGGAGGTTCTATTCTGTCCTGTGCCAGCCACAGCCTTCGGATGGGCAGAGCAATGATGGGGGGAAGATGTAAAAGAAAAGAACTGAGGAAAGAAGAAGAAAACCAGCTTCAACAACGGTCTAGGCCGGATGCGGTGGGTCACGCCTGTAATCCCAGCAGTTTGGGAGGCTGAGGTGGGTGGATCACCCGAGGTCAGGAGTTCGAGACCAGCCTGGTCAACAGGTAGTGAATCCTGTCTCTACTAAAAATACAAAAATTAGCTGGGCATGGTGGTGGACGTCTGTAATGCCAGCTACCAGGTAGGCTGAGGCAGGAGAATCGCCTCAGGTGAACCAGGAGGCAGAGATTGCAATGAGCTGAGATAATGCCACTGCATTCCAGCCTGGGCTACAGAATGAGACTCTGTATCTCAACAAAACAAAACAAAACAAAAACACAACAGTCTGTTCTGTGGAGGCCTTGGGCAGATGCTGGGAGCTCTGAGCACGGACTGGTCCCTCTGTTGGGAGCCTCTTCCCTTCATCCCTCCTGGTTAACTTGACTCAGCATAAAGGCCATTTCTTCTAAGAGCCTGTCCCTGACTCTCCAATCGGGGATGTGTCTGTTGTCTCATAGAGTGCCCAATTCCTGCCACCACTTGTCATTTCCATTCGCAACATTTCTTTCATTGTTTGTTTTTCAGAGTCAGGGTCTCACTCTGTTGCCCAGGCTGGAGTGCAGTGGTGCAATCATAGCTCGTTGCCATCTCGACCTCCTGGGCTTAAGCGATCCTCCCCACTCAGCCTCCCAAATAGCTGGGACCACAGACGTGCGCTGCCTTGCCAGGCTAAATTTTAATATTTTTTTTTTCCCCACGAGTCAGAGTCTTGCTCTGTCTCCCAGGCTGGAGAGCAGTGTTGCGATCTTGGCTCACTGCATCCTCTACCTCCTGGGTACAAACAGTTCTCCTGCCTCACCCTCCCGAGTAGCTGGGATTACAGGCTCACGCCACCATGCCCAGCTAGTTTTCTTCTTTATTTTTTTTTGAGATGGGGTTTCACCATGTTGGCCAGGCTGGTCTTGAACTCTTGAGCTCGTGATCCACCTGCCTTGGCCTCCCAAAGTGCTCACAGGCTTGAGCCACCATGCCCGGCCCTAATTTTTAAATTTGTTGTAGAAACAAGGTCTTGCTATGTTGTCCAGGCTGGTCTCAAGCGCCTGGTCTCAAGTAAGCCTCCCAAAGTGCTGGGGTTCTAGGCGTGAGCCACCTCGCCTGGCACTTGCACCGTTTTTCTGTGCATGCATCTCCACTCCCACTGCCCAGGACCTGTGGACTTAGATTTGAGTCATTACTGAGCACCTAGCACCCAGCCTCATGCCTACCTCCCACCTCGCACTACCTGTTTGCTTGATGCATTAATAAATATTCCACCTGAATCCACAGCCCATTCACTCCTGTGTTCAAGAGCTATTTCAGGAAGTGAACCTCATTTCTGGCAGTGTTCAGTCCAGTGACCTCAGCTCTGTGTACCCGGCAGGGTGGCTACGCCTCTGGGGGAGTTGGATTCAGGGGTGGGGGAGAAAGAGTGTTGTTAGAGAGCTCGGTCTAGGACTAGAGGAACGTGCCCTTATGTAAAATACATCTCAAGTTAGGGAAGAAAGCAGCGGCTCTGTGCTTTGTTTTTTTTTTTTTTTTTCCTTTTTTTTCTTTCTTTTTTTTTTTTTGTTTGTTTGTTTGTTTGTTTGTTTTGGGGCAGGGTCTTGCTCTGTGGCCCAGGCTGGAGTGCAGTAGCGTGATTTCGGCTCACTGCAACCTCCACCTCCCGGGTTCAAGCAATTCTTGTGCCTCAGCCTCCCGAGTAGCTGGAGTTACAGATGCGTGCCACTATGCCTGGCTAATTTTTGTATATTTAGTAGAAATGGGGTTTTGCCATGTTGGCCAGGCGGTTCTTGAACCCCTGACCTCAGTGATCTGCCTGTCTCAGCCTCCTGAAGTGCTGGGATTACAGGCGTGAGCCATCGTGCCTGGCCCCCAGTTGTGTTCTGGCAGGGGAAGATGGGACAGAGAGGATGGGAGGGTGTCTGAGCCTTTCCCGGACTGACGGAACCTGTGTCTTCTCTCTTTTGTGGACAGGATGGTGATTGCTCACACCAAAGCCTTGGACCCCTCCCAGCCTGTGACCTTTGTGACCAACTCCACCTACGCAGCAGACAAGGGGGTGAGCCTGGGGGTCCCCACCCCATTTCTCCCTGCCTTTGCCTGGGCTTGTCCTGAAGCCTGCTCATGGGAACAGCTGGAAAGAACCATGTGCTGCCAGTCTGAGCTTTTTATTTTGTTTTACTTAGAAAGATAGAGACAGGGTCTTGCCATGTTGCCCAGGCTGGTCTCGAACTCCTGGGCTCAAGTGATCCTCCTGCCTCGGCCTTCCAAAGGGCTGGGGTTACAGGCGTGTGCCACCGCACTCAGCCGCAGCCAGTCTGTTTTCAAAGATGGTCTTTGGGTTAATGACAATTCTCTCTCTGCTTACTCTCCAGGCAGTGTGGCTTTCTGAATCCAAGGAGGCTGGGCATAGGGAGATGGGATTTGTTTGCCCGGTTTGGACTCAGCATTTTTTGTACTCGATTTAATAGACTCATAAAATGTCAAAGGTTTAAGTGAGCTTAGAGTTCATCTGGCCCAAACCTGGCTGATCAGAATCTCCAGGGGAAGTTTTATTGAAATGCCAGATCTCTGCGTTCTGAGATCCTGATTTAGTAACTCCAGGGTTGGAACCTGAGTTTTTTGTTTTTTTGTGTGTGTGTGTGAAGGCAAGGTCTTACTCTGTTGCTCTGGCTGGAGTGCAGTGGTGTGATCACAGCTCACTGCAGCCTTGAATTCCTGGGCCTAAGCAACCCTCTTGCCTCAGCCTTCCAAGTAGCTGGGACTCCGGGTGTACACCACTGTGCCCGGCTAATTTTAAATGTTTTTGTAGAGATGGGATCTCACTATGTTGCCCAGGCCAGTCTCAAACTCTTGAGCTCAAGTGATCCTCCTGCCTTAGCCTCCTAAAGTGCTGGGATTACAGGCATGAGCCACCGTGCCTGGCTGATACTAGCATTCTTTTTTATTTTTTATTATTTTTTTAAGATAGAGTCTTGCTCTGTTGCCCAGGCTGGAGTGCAGTGGCACAGTCTCAGCTCAGTGCAACCTCCGCCTCCCAGGTTCAAGCAATTCTCCTGCCTCAGCCTCCCAAGTAGCTGGGATAACAGGCACATGCCACCACGCCTGCGCTTGATCGTGGGAGGCAGAGGTTGCATTATTGTGCCACTCCATTCTAGCCTGGGCAACAGAGCGAGACTCTGTCTTCCAAACAAAGCGGAAAAAGATTATCTGCGAGAATGACTGCATTGGCCCCTTGGGTGGGAGGGCTTCTCCAGGGCAAGGTGAGGGGATGCCCAGTGCTGGGAGTGCTGCCTGGAGAGGAGTCAGTTCCAGTGGCGGGGGCCCTGGGTTTTGGCTGAGGACTGCGTGTTGGCAGCTGCTCTGCCTCTCACAGCCCTTCCCAGCTGCACACGTCGTGAGCGTCAGTGTGCAATCACAGGCCTGCCTCCTTTGGGCCACTTTGTGACCATGTTTTTTGCTTGTGGGGCAGGGTAATTTCAGGATCTAAATTGGTGCAGTTGGATGTTCTCAGCCCCGAGAGGCAGCTCTTCCCGTTGTAGGCTTTTTGTTTTGTTTTGTAGAAATGGAGTCCTACGATGTTGCCCAGGCTGGTCTCAAACTCCTGGGCTCAAGTGATCCTCCCACCTTGGCCTCCCAATGTGCTGGGATTACAGGCATGAGCCACTGTGCCGTGCTGATTTTCTTGATACTATTTTTTGTAGAGCTGGGGTCTTGCTGTGTTGCCCAGGCTGGTCTCGAACTCCTGGCCACAAGCCACCCTCCTGCCTCAGCCTCCCAGAGTGCTGGGATTACATCCCCTTCTTACCTTCTCTGTCAGAGGAGCCCCCACAGCATGTGAGTACTGAGTCATGCGGTCTTGTGGTTGCTGAACGGGCTCTGCTGCTCTGGTCCTAGGCTCTGTATGTGGATGTGATCCGTGTGAACAGCTACTACTCTTGGTATCGCAACTACGGGCACCTGGAGTTGATTCAGCTGCAGCTGGCCGCCCAGTTTGAGAATTGGTGTAAGACATCACAATCCCATTATTCAGAGCGCGTATGGAGTGGAAACGCTTGTAAGGCTTCACCAGGTAAGCGGTGTTGAACTTTCTGCTTGTGTATTCTCTCTGGGCAGAGATGCCACTTGCCTCCCCCACCCTGCCCTGCGCCCACTGCAGTGCTCCCCTTGCTTCAGCTTTGGGCTCACCTCCCGCTACCCTGTCCACGTTCCCTTCTCACCAGCAGCCAGGCCTCTGCCCCACTCGCTTGGTCCTCAAAGGTGGACTCCTTACTGGCCTTGTTTCCAGACAGCCTCCTATCACCCGTGCCCAAGTGGTCTTTCTAAGAAATCCAAATTTTTATGTGTTTTTGAGACCGCCTCTCTCTCTGTCACCCAAGCTGGAGTGCGGTGGTGCGATCACTGCTCCCTGCAGCCTTAACCTCCTGGGCCCAAGCGATCTTCCCACCTCAGCCTCCTGAGTATCTGGGACCATAGGCACAGGCCACCATGCCTGGCTAATGTTTTTACTTTTGTAGAGATGGGGCGTTGTTGTGTTCCCCGGGCTGGTCTTGAATTCCTGGGATCAAGTGACCCTCCTGCCTCAGGCTCACAAAGCGCTGGGATTTACAGGTGTGAGCCACTGTGCCCGGCCACAAATCAAAATTTTTGAGTCCTGTCATTGGCTCCCCCAGGCCCATAGGACAAAGTCCTAACCCCTAGTCAGGACACTCAGTGTCCTCTGCTCTCTCCTGGGTTTTCATCCTCTTCTCTTCTCACTCCTGGCCACTGATCTGTTTCCACTGCCCTCATTTGCTCTCCTGCTCTTGCTTGAGCTATTCTTTCTGCCTGGAATGCCCAAGTTGGCACCATAATCACCAACTAAAAGATCCTTTTCTTTTTATTTTTTTAGAGATAGGGTCTTGCTATGTTGCCCAGGCTGGTCTCAAACTCCTGGACTCAATTGATCTTTTTGCCTTGGCCTCCCAAAGTTCTGGGATTAACAGGTGTGATCCACTGTGCTAGCCTTTTTTTATTTTTTATTTTTTTCCTGACAGGGTCTTGTTCTGTTGCCCAGGCTGGAGTGTGGTGGTGTCATCATAGCTCACTGCAGCCTCGAACTCCTGGGCTGAAGCAATTCTCCTGCCTCAGCCTCCTGAGTAGCTGGGACTACAGGCGTGCACCACCATGTGCAGCCTAGTTTTAAAATATTTTGTAGAGATGAGTCTCGCTATCAGGCTGGTCTTCACCTCCTGTCTTGGACTCCCAAAGTACTGGGAATACAGGCATGAGTCACGACACGTGGCTGGAAAGATTCCTATTTGGCATCTGAGTCTCCTCATAGCTGTCCCCTCTGTGGGGAGGTTTACCCTGCCTGCCCCAGGCGGAGGGAACCTTCCCCGTGCTCTGCCCTGTTGCAGCCGGAACCTGGCTCCCCCAACATTCTCGCCAGGCACCGTTGTTATTTCTTTGGCTCTCTCTTTGATCGGACTGTGGGCTCAGGAGACAGGAGTCCTATTTATTGTTGTTTCCCAGGTACTCTGCAATAGCTGACACAGTACATGCTAAATAATACCTATTGAGGGCATGGGTGAGATCTTAGAGCCATGTTTAATCACTCACTTTGTCTTTTTTTTTTTTTTGAGATGGAGTCTCACTCTGTCACCCAGGCTGAAGTGCAATGGTGTGATCTCAGCTCACTGCAACCTCCACTTCCTAGGCTCAAGCGATTGTCCTGCCTCAACCTCCCAAGCAGCTGGGATTACAGGCACCTGCCACCATGCCCAGCTAATTTTTGTATTTTTGTAGAGGTGGGGTTTTGCCATGTTGGCCAGGCTGGTCTTGAGCTCCTGACGTCAAGTGATTTGCCTGCTTCCGCGTCCCAAAATCCTGGGATTACAGGCCTGAGCCACCATGCCTGGCCTGTCCTCATTTGTTTATCCATCTCATTTTTTGTCCTTCTCACCAAAGATATGTTGCTTTGTCTTGTGGGGTTTTTTTCATGTGGATTCCTGAACCCCATCCAGCCCCTTGTCCCCTCCCCAGCCAGCTCACACTCTTTTGCACAGCTCCTGGGACTCCCGTTGACACACAGGGAACAGCCACCCACAATGGACTGCACTGTTCTGTTTGCACCCTTAAATTTATCGTGCTTACAGAATGACACTTCTGCAAACTAGTCAAGTAGGGGGAAGTGATTTGTGGATATGCACCCTTGTTCATTCTCTTTGAAAAGGTAACCAGCTCTGAATTCTTTCTCCTTTTAGGAGGAGTTTCACTTGTCGCCCAGGCTGGAGTGTAGTGGTGCAATCTTGACTCACTGCTACCTCCGCCTCCCAGGTTCAAGCAATTCTCCTGCACCAGCCTCCCAAGTAGCTTGGATTACAGGCATGCACCACCATGCTCACCTAATTTTTTTTTTTTTTTTTTTTTTTTTAGTAGAGATGAGGTTTCACCACGTTGGTCAGGCTGGTCTTGAACTTTTGACCTCAAGCGATCCACCTGCCTTGGCCTCCCAAAGTGCTGGAATTACAGGCATGAGCCACCATACCCAGCCCCAGTTCTGAATTCTTAAGAAACTCGAGAGGGTCTAGGTGAGCATTGATAGAACCTCTGCAGTGCTGGGTGTGCTGGCTCACACCTGGAATGCTAGCCCTTTGGGAGACCGAGGTCAGAGGATCTCTTGAGCCCAGGAGTTTGAGACCAGTCTGCACAACATGGACCCCATCTCTACAAAATATTTAAGATGAGTTGTGGCTGGGTGCAGTGGCTGACGCCTGTAATCCCAGCACTTTGGGAGGCTGAGGTGGGTGGATCACGAGGCCAAGAGTTCAAGTCCAGCCTGACCAAGATGGTGAAACCCCGTCTCTACTAAGAAAACACAGAAATTAGCTGGGTGTGGTGGCATGCACCTGTAATCCCAGCTACTCAGGAGGCTAAAGCAGGAGAATCGCTTGAACTGGGGAGGTGGAGGTTGCAGTGAGCCGAGATTGTGCCACTGCACTCCAGCCTGGGCGACAGAGCAAGAGTCCGTCTCAAAAAAAAAAAAAAAAAAAAATAGTTGGGTATGGTCGTGCTTGCCTCTAGTCCCAGCTACTTGGGAGGCTGAGGTAGGAGGACTGTTTGAGCCCAGTAGGTCAAGGCTGCAGTCCGCCATAATTGCACCACTGTACTCCCACCTGGGTGACAGAGTGAGACCTTGTTTCAAAAAAGAACCTTTGCAATGATGGAAATGCCCCATGTCTGCACTGTCTGAAATGGTAGCCACTAGCTACATGTGGCTATTGAGGTCTTGATATATGACTAGGATAACTGAATTTATCTGGTTTAATTAAAAAAAATTTTTTTTTGAGACAGCCTTACTCTGTTGCCCAGGCTGGAGTGCAGTGGCGTAATCACAGCTCACTGCTCAACCTCCTGGGCTCAAGTGATCCTTCCTCCTCGGCCCCCCAAGTAGCTGGAGCCACAGTCATGCGCCACTATACCTAGCGAATATTTAGCCTTTTTATAGAGACTGGGTTTTACTGTGTTGCCTAGGCTGATCTTGAACTCCTGAGCTCAAGTGATCCTCCTGCCTCGACCTCCCAAAGTGCTGGGATTACAGACCTGAGCTACCATGCCCAGCCTGGTTTAGTTTAATTTCATTTTACATTCATTCATTCATTCATGAGATAGGGTCTTGTTCTGTCACCCAGGCTGGAGTGTAGTGGTGCAAACCACAGCTTTGACCTCCGGGACTGAAGCAGTCCTCCCACCTCAGCCTCCCAAGTAGCTGGGACCACAGGTGTGTGCCTCCATGCTTGGCTAACTTTTGTACTTTTTGTAGGCTAGTCTTGAACTCCTAGGCTCAAGCAGTCCTCCCACCTCGGTCTCCCAAAGTGCTTGGATGACAGACATGAGCCAGCGCGCCTGACCTAAAGACATATTTTTCCTTCTAGTGTAGTTCAGCCTTAAGACTGTATCAGCAGACAGAGACGGAAAAGTAAGAAAAATTGAGTATCAGGTTATATTTATAAATAAAGCAGTTGCTAATTGATGGTTTTTTTTTAAACCTCCTTTTTAATTCTGGGTTACATCATTCCCTGGCTGTCGTTTCTTTTTTTGTATTTTTTTTTATTATTATTATACTTTAAGTTTTAGCGTACATGTGCACATTGTGCAGGTTAGTTACATACGTATACATGTGCCATGCTGGTGTGCTGCACCCACTAACTCGTCATCTAGCATTAGGTATATCTCCCAATGCTATCCCTCCCCCCTCCCCCCACCCCACAACAGTCCCCAGAGTGTGATGTTCCCCTTCCTGTGTCTATGTGATCTCATCGTTCAATTCCCACCTATGAGTGAGAATATGCGGTGTTTGTTTTTTTGTTCTTGCGATAGTTTACTGAGAATGATGATTTCCAATTTCTCCCTGGCTGTCTTTACCCTAGCATCAGTGAGTCCTGCAGTCCCTACAGCCCCCAGTGAGGACAGATATTTTGGTCACCATCAAGTGGATCTTTATTTTTATCTAACATTTACAATTCTGCCAGTTCTTACTCTTAATTCTCTTTGCCTTGAATCCCAGGATCCACCTCTGATGTTCAGTGAAGAGGACCGGAAAAGTCTGCTAGAGCAGTACCATCTGGGTCTGGATCAAAAACGCAGAAAATACGTGGTTGGAGAGCTCATCTGGAATTTTGCCGATTTCATGACTAACCAGTGTAAGTGGCAGTTTAGCGCATGGGATAATGTACCCGTCCTCATTTTTTCAGGTTGCCTTGCCCATTCTGGACATTTTGGCTGTAAGAATATTGGAAACAAAGGGGGGAACCTGGTTTAATCCATGTAGGTTGTGTTGAGAATTTCCTAGGAAAAGTAAGTTGTGCTTAGGAAGTAGGAAAGCAGTCAGGCCCCCGCTTCCCACGTACGGTCAAAAAGCAAACATGAGAGTCTGCTATAGTGAGATGGAAATGGCTAGCTTGCCTTTTTCTTGTCTATTTCATAGCCAAGGATGAAGGAAAAACTGGACCTCATTATGGATTTACTTTTGGGATACACTCATTATTCCAGAGGAGGGTAAAAGGCTGAGAAGCTTAAGGTATTTCAGTCTGTTTTATGTTACTCATTTGCGAAAAGCAGGCTCATCGAATACAGGTGAGTTTCAACGCGTCTTGAATATGGCAGCATTTAAAAGTCTTCAGACCAGGCATGGTGGCTCATGCCTGTCATCCCAGCACTTTGGGAGGCCAAGGTGGGAGGATTGCTTGAGGCCAGGAGTTCGAGACCAGCCTGTTCAGCATAGCAGGACCCCCATCTCTACAAAAACTAAACAGATTAGCTAGGTGTGGTGGTGTGTGCCTGTAGTCCTAGCTGCTTGGGAGGCTGAGGCAGGCGGATAGCCTGAGCACAGGAGTTGGAGGCTGCAGTAAGCCATGATTACACCACTGCACTTGAGCCTGGGCAGCAGAGTGAGACCTGTCTTTAAAAAAAAAAAAGGAGCTGGGCACGGTGGCTCATGCCTGTAATCCCAGCACTTTGGGAGGCCGAGGCAGGCAGATCACGAGGTCAGGAGATCGAGACCATCCTGGCTAACAGTGAAACCCTGTCTCTACTGAAAATACAAAAAAAATCAGCCGGGCGTGGTGGCGGGTGCCTGTAGTCCCAGCTGCTCGGGAGGCTGAGGCAGGAGAATGGCATGAACCCAGGAGTTGGAGCTTGCAGTGAGCCGAGATTGTGCCACTGCACTCCAGCCTGGGCGACAGTGAGACTGCTTCTCAAAAAAAAAAAAAAAAAAAAAAAAAAAGAAAGGGTCTTCAAAGACAATAAGATCTGTGCTCTCACGTAGGGTGGATGAGGGGCTGCCAAGTTAGCAATGAATGTTTCCCATTTCTTCTTAGTTTATGGACTTTCCATAAACTCAGGATGGCAGTTTGGTTGGTTGGAGAAGGATATGGTGATGGCGGGAGTTACAATACATTACTTATAGGGGAAGATAGGCTTTTGAAAGGTTAAAGCTTAAAAGTGAGAATGGAAAAGGGATGAATGAATGAACATGATGAGGTGAGAGGGAAGAGGTAAAGGGAAAAGGAGAACAAGCAACTCTTCTCTGCGTGGCACCTGGGATGAATGGTTTCTGGGGACATCCCTGATGGCAGTTTTGTGGAGAGGTGCAAAGCTTTATGTGTTAAGAAATGAGCTGTAGGCTCAGTGCAGTGGCTCACGCCTGTAATCCCAGCACTTTGGGAGGCCGAGGTGGGTGAAAAGAAAAAATGGGCTGGGCGCCGTGGCTCACGCCTGTAATCCCAGCACTTTGGGAGGCCGAGGTGGGCGGATCATGAGGTAAGGAGTTCGAGAGCAGCCTGGCCAACATGGTGAAACCGTGTCTCTCCAAAAAAATAGAAAAAACATCCCTGTATGGTGGTGAGCACCTGTAGTCCCAGTTACTCAGGAGGCTGAGGCATGAGAATCGCTTAAACCTCGGAGGCGGAGGCTGCAATGAGCTGAGATGGTGCCACTGCACTCCAGCCTGGGTGACAGAGCTGGGTGGTGGCTCAAGATATGTTTTGTAAACCTGAAGATTTGAGATCATATAAGCCAAATCGAAACTTAATTGGCATTCATAACTTTTGGTTCTAGAGACTCCATGATCAACTAAGAGCCACCAAACATTTCCCATGTAGACTATTTTGACCATGCTGACTCTACTGACACTGTGGTTACTGAATTCACTTTATCTCTAGAAATTAATTCTTACTAATGGATGTCTGTCACTGTAAGATCCTTCTCTCCTCTGAAATAAGGAGAACATTTTAACTTCAGTAGTTTAAACTAGTGTCCTAAACTATAGCATTCAAAATGAGATAATATGCTAAAGTAATACACAAACCAAAAATCCCAGTGGCTAACACAAAAAGTTTTTCTTACTCATTTTACATATCCAGGGTAAGTCAGTAATAGACGCAGACACACCCAGAGACCAAGGATGAGTTGTGATCTGTCTGCACACATAGTTCACAATGCCTGAGTGAGTTGTGCTTTGGCCTTTAAACTTCCACTCATGTTTAATTAATAAAGATTTTGCTCAAATGCCATTTGATGATGAGTTTCATGACGATGATCAACTTTAAAAGAACTTGGAAGTACAATCCTCAAGCGTTTCTGGAAATAGCAGAACTACAATATTTGAGAAAAATATTTTTTAATGTATAAAAAATTGGCAGGGTAGGCTAGCAAGCAAGAGACCTAGAGAAAAGTTGATGTTACAGTCTCAAGTCGAAAGGCAATCTGCAGGCAGAATTATTTCCTTGAGGGATCTCAGTCTTTTAATATAATCAATTGACTGGATGAGCCCTACAATATTTTGGAAAATAATCTGCTTTTCTCAGAAATTACTGATTTTCATGTTAATCTCATCTAACAATACTTTCAGAGCAACATCTATACTGGTATTTGAATATATAACTCTTTTATCTTTTAAAATATCAAATAATACAGTTATATATACATACACACATATGTATATATGTCACCTAAATTGTAGATATCAGAAATCAGAATGCTGTGATATGAATATTTAGTATATTTTAATCATGATAAATTATACATCCTTCTACCTTATGATAATGGATTTTAAGATCTATGCTGTTAAACTCTATATTTATCCTTTAATTCATATCTTGCTTATTTTACATTTATCTGAGAATACATTGGGTCTACTAAATCTTTACTATCATTCACAAGTCTTACATCTTAAGATAACTTTTCAATAAAATAAAAATTCTTCATTGCACCTAGAAAGGAGCAGGGTTTTGAAAGCGATCAATGATTACTCTGATACCTAATATAATAATATAATATAGTAAAAATCAAAATACTTGAATGAAAAATGTAAAATTAATAGTTTTGCTTTCATTGTTTTTATTCCAGTGTCTATTTTAGAATGTTTTTACTCTAATTGTGTTTTTATGCAAAACCAAATGAGCTTTAGATAATTCCATTGATACATTACATATGAAAGTTCTCGTTAAATAGGATATAGCATATTTTACTTAAAAATCCAAATTATAAAATAAAGAGGGATTTTAAGTTGAGTCTAAAATTTTTGTTTCAATTTTGTTTTTATTTAAAGACTTGCTATAATTCTGTGAGAGAGCTATAAAAGTCTGCTCAGAAACATTATAATGTAAAATGGACAGAGAAGGACAATGAGATATTTAATTTGCCACGGCAAAGCCATTGCTGTGAAGAATGGATAATATATGTCAATGGTAATATATGAAGAAATAACACAGGTGAATAGCAGAGGCAATAAATCTGTTTTTACCACAGGACTTGTCTTACACTTTTCTCTTAGTAATAAATAAAATAATTTTCGACCAGATGGAGCTGGCTTGAAATCCTCTTGTTTATGGCAGTACATATCGGTTATGATTCAAAAAATATAGCCCATTTCCAAAAACCTGCAACAAAGAGATACTTTCTCAGGTGAGTGTTCAGATCATTATTCATTACAAAGTGTCAGTTTTGTCTTTATTGATCCTCATTATTGTAAGAAAGTATGTGGTCCTGTCTCCATTCTATTAAAACAACATTGTAGAGATTAGCACTGAGTCTTTCCAGCCATGTGCATCTGTTCATTTCCGTCTCCAGCTTGAGTTTTTCTGTGTATTACAAAATAAGAAAACAAAAATGACACAATAATCTATTTTGTCTGGTTTTGCTCTTTATTAGTAGAAATAGACAAGTGAGGAGTTGGAGGAAGAAATTGCTTCTGATCTGTTTTAGATACAGGTGAAACTCTCCCTCCCTCCCCGCCCTACCCAGTCTTTCTCTGTCTCCCTCCCTGAGCCTATTCTTGCTTCTTCCCTTTACAAATAATTAACTGCTCAGGTCATGTTGAACCAAAAAATAGCGTCTGTAGCCCCTGTGTGCTTACTTTAAGTATATGTTACTGAAAAATGCGGAGTGAGCACTTAACAACTCATTCTCCTGGGAAGCACAGTGCTACTATACCCCAAATGCTTTTCTTTATCATTTTAATTTTTATCTTCTTTACTTACATTTCCAACATCAGTTAAGAGGGTCTTGTAGTTTTCTAACTGAAAGGAGACTGTAAAATCTCCTTGCTCAAAACTCAGATGCAGAATATTATTTTTACTACAATAAATACATCTACAACAATGGTATTATATCTGGTTTATTTCAAAGTCAAGTTCTAATACAGGTAAACAAATATACTAATAAAGAGATAATGCTTTTCTCATGAAATGTATAATCTAGTAGGAATAAAGATAAACAATTTTTTTAAAAATTCTATTTCATTAAGCAAAAATGCAACTCAGAAGAATAATGTATATTAGCAGTCATTTACTATTTTTCAATTAAATTCCGATATATATGTAAAGTAAATTATTACTAATATCAAACATAGTTTAAAGAATTAGTGACTATGTGCACTTGGATCTCCATATGTAATGTACTATCAGCATCTTCACAAACACAGTAAATTTTAATATGCAAGTAAAACTTATTTTACTAAACGATGATTACTCCTTCTATATTCATATTCCTAAACACATACAGTTTCTTAATGTAATTAAGTTTTTAACTAAAAAAAGGGAAATGCATTATTGAGGCGATAGGATTACTGGGTGGCTATAAACACATCTGCTGCACAGCTGACATTTATCTTCTACAATGAGCAGTGACAATTTTATTTTTTAATAATCAGTATGGACTAATCCTGATGATTTTTTTTAACATTTTCAAATAGGGCTGCATATGGCTTAAAATTAATATATACATGTGTACCTATATAATATTCTTATTTATTAATGGACTTCCTACATAGCTCATATTGACGTTAGATTTAAATGAAATTCCAGAAGGGTTTTCTATAGGTAAGTCATACATTGGATTTCCATATTACCTATGATTATTGAAGTATTTATTTCTGTTTTTAAGACTTCAGAGCAATTTTGCTGGTCATTTGTTTTCTGTGTTTTTATTTTGAAATTGTTCTTTGAGGCATTGTCCTATTACATTTTTAAGGTATGTTAATAAAATAATATTTTTAATGAAATTTTGCCTACTGCTTTCCAGGTGAACTCTTGTTTAAAGTATTAATTCACCAAAAATTACTTATATTCAGAAAATGAACTAAAAAAAATAATATGACGTGTTCAAGAAAGTCGAACAAAAGTTACGTGATGTTTGCAACATACACAACTCCATACCCTTCTCAAATAGTAAAGAGAATAGTAAATAGAATAGGTAGTAAGCAGAGTAGGAATTGTGGAATATGGAACTCTCAGTCACTCAACTGACTTTATTTTTTAGTAATACGGGATTTGAATTATTCAAGCTGAAGCCATTAAATATTCATAGTGCTTCGTATTATAAAGTTATTGATTAATGTCTTTGGTAAAGAACACTATTATTTCTGATTACATCAAGGTCATCCCGAGGAACAGGACCAAAGCATAAAGTTTTATATATGAAATATGAGAAGTTAATACATAATTCATATTTAACAGATAACATAAATGTTAACCCCTTGGAGAATCTGAAGCTAATACCCATGTTCTTCTGGCAATTCTTTATACTGGCAATTTGGAAAATGCCAGTGTTTTATCGCTACCTATTCTTGTATTATGACATGAATTAATACATATCTGCCTCACTATTCCTGTGGGCAAAAAAAGACTGTGAATTATGTGCCAGAGAGAGATTTTACAAAATTAAATGAGGCAAAGTACTTTTCCTCTGTATACTCATTAGAAATATGCTGAGTAGTTCCTTTCAGTTCCTTTCACTTTCCGATAAAATATAATCAGTTCAGCCATATAACAGATATCTTTTAAACTTTTAATGTCCTCTGTTAGAATGAATATGATATTTGGGACCAATTCACATTTTGGAATAATGTACATACTAAGCATAAGTGAAGAATTTAAACATTAACTTGATTTAGGACTGGACTCTTAAGAGGTTTTAAAAAGTTGAAAAACGGAATTCCAACAAATTTAAATGGCTTGTTTAGGGTTTCCACAGGCAATACGGGTGGGTGCAATGGAAAGAGAATTCCTTTAATCTAAACGTGGGCTTTATTCTGGCTCTGCCACATATTGACTGTTTCATACAAATGTAACTTAAACTGCAGGTGTCATGATTTTTCACACATATACAAATAAAACAATGTTGATTATATAGGATTTGTTGAGAAAATGCAATTATGCCAAGTACAAGTATTTGGCCTATTATCTCACTTTATAAATATTAGCAATTCTTTTTGTGGAGGGAATAAATCTAACATGCTGGCTTTTAGAATTTCTTCTTATTTTTCTTTCAACTTTATTGCCATGTAACATCTTTAAGTCAATAAATCTGACAATTAGACTGTGGGTAATTTTCTTCCAAATCCATATCTTGTTTTCTCTATCCATAGTAGCATTTTAAAACAACAGAAGGGAACTTTAATTACAGTAGGTTGGGAGCCATTTTCTCCCTTTGGTCATATTTTCATTGAAATTCCTACATTGTTTAATATTAGGACTTAGTTTGAATATCACATCAACAAGGTTGCTCAATAGAAATATTATGGAATCATTTTTCTGTCATGCCACAGAACTTATTAACTGTATGTTCAAAATGCAGCTCAATTCTGATCATTTTTGCTACTTTCACCACTAGCATCCTGGTGCTAACCACCATCATTTATTGCCCAGGTTATTGAAATGGCCAGCAAACAGGTGTTTCTGATTCTGCGTAAGGCACCCTTCAGTACATCCTCAAAAGAGCAATTTGTATAATCACTTTAAAACATGTATCAGGTTATTACCTTTTTCTGTGTAAAACTCTGATCTCTCGTTTCATTCATTGTAAAAGTCAGAATCTTGCACAATGCTTTATAGATGCTCCACCACATGAAGCCCCCAATTCTTCTATGGACTTCCCTCCTTCCACTATGTAATTTTCTCACTCAGCTTCACGTACAGTATTTTCTTGGTTATTACTAAACATGCAACAGATACGGTTTGTTCTATATCTTCCTCATGCTTTTGGTCAGATGCCATTATCCCAGTGAGGTTTTCCATAGCCACTTTATTCAAATTCCAAACAATCTGTCCCCTTAGACATTCTCCATTCTTAATTTTTTGCCATTGTACTTACTACAGTCTAACACACTATACATGTTACATTTTTGCTTATTGTTTATT
The DNA here is from genome assembly GCF_000001405.40 of Homo sapiens. Lineage (NCBI taxonomy): Eukaryota > Metazoa > Chordata > Mammalia > Primates > Hominidae > Homo > Homo sapiens. Next base: position 69,928,365 of record NC_000005.10, read on the forward strand.
GTATAGTCCCTAGAATATTAGTTCCCTGAGGACAGAGATTTCTGTAAGCTTTTCCAAAGATGTATCCCCAAAGCCTAGAATGCTACCTGGCAACAAATACTTGTTATAATGAATTAGAAGTGGGTAGATTCACACATCAGAGACAGCGTAGTGTATATAATGATTTTTTAAAGCATTAGAGTCATAGATATTAGGATTTGTATTATGTCTTCACCATTTACAATTATGCTACCCTCAACAAGTTGTTTAATCTTTCCATTCCTCAGTTTCCTCATGACTCATATATTGGAAATATTGTCTACCTTAGAGCTCTTCCAAGAGTAATATTGAGACAATGTTTCAACAATGTTTAGCACATTGCTGAATATTAATACATTATTTCTATTAATGTAAGAAATTTCATAGACTTGCTAGAAATAACGAGGATGGAATATAGATGAAGATCATAAAACATGATGGAAATAAATGTTGGAAAATGTGGGTGGTATCCTTAGCACACTCTCTAACGTAAGGAGTAAAATCTGTGTCATATGACTTTATCTTTCTTCTGGAAACTAACGGAATTTAGTAACACACTTTTCTTGACCTGAGGATTTGCCCTTACCACAAAATTGTTTTTGAAACTTGAGTGTTTACAATGGCTTTTTACCAGTTCTTTTATGTTCTACCAGTTCCTCTCCAATTTACTATGGACTGAAGTCACACTAATTTGTTAAGAGCAAACAAAACAAAACAAAACAAAACAGTTATTACCTCATTCTAGCCTCAAAGCATCTGCCTTTTCAATGCAATCAAAATTAAATGCAATGAAAATTAAATGCAATCAAAATTAAATGCACAATTCTAATTTTGATGACTTTAGTCCCTGCTTATCTGTTATATTAGGCTGTTCTTGTATTGCTATGAAGAAATATCTGAGACTGGATATTATAAAAATGTTTAATTGACTCACAGTCCTGCAGGCTGTACAGGAAGCACAGTGGCATCTTCTTCTGGAGAGGCCTCAGGGAGCTTTTACTCATGACAGAAGGCAAAGCAGGAGCAGGCACTTCACATGGTGAAAGCAGGAACAAGAGAGAGAGAGTGTGTTGGGGTAGGTGCACTACCATGGAGACAGCACCAAGTCACGAAGGATTCGACCTCATGATCCAAACACTTCCCACCAAGCTCCACCTTCAGCACTGGGGATCTGGTTTCAACATGAGATTTGGGCGGGACATCCAAACTATATCATCTGTCTCCCTCATCCAAGACCATGTGATCCGTAGCTCACTTTTGTCTAGCAACAGATTAAATACAGCATTTTCTGTGTGATATCTTTGTTGAGGTCTTTGCAGATGGCTGTTTCTTTGTCCTGAAACTTTCTTCATCTGCTCTTTCAAAATGAGTGACTCTTCATCCTCGAAGTCTATGCTTATATATTGCTTTTCAGAGGAATCTTTTCTGAACTGGGCATTCTGCCTTCAACCAACTATTTTCTATTATAGTTTCCTGTTTGTGAGTTAATAGTCCTTTTGAAAATTTGACTACTCATTTACCTTCTTGGGTTATTTGAAATTATCTCCTCTTCACTAGATTCTATAGAAGCATAGCCATGCCTGCCCTCTTTACTGTTTCTCTACTGACTTGTTGCAATGAATATTGTCAGTAAACATGGAAATAAATCAGTTATTCAGATATCCTACCTTGGTGCTTGCTTAGATAACTCCACACTGTGATGCCTAATGACCTACACAGGGCTTTCTAGCAAGGAGTGACTTTCTTTCTGCTACGTGTAATAATGATCCGTCAACTTAAACATATAGTTATATTTCCAGCAGACGGTTTCTTGAAACTAATGTCCAGGGTGTAGTTATTCAAAAAAGCAAACTCTTCTCTTGATTTCTGCCATACATTGGTACTCTTTCTCTCTCCCTTTTTTATTTTATTATTTTTTTTTGAGACAGAGTCTCACTCTTTCACCCAGGCTGTGGTGCCATCCCAGCACACCCTGCAACCCATTGCCTCCCAGATTCAAGCGATTCTCCTGCCTCAGCCTCCCTAGTAGCTGGAATTACAGGCATGTGCCACCATGCCTGACTGATTTTTTGTATTTTTAGTGGAGACGGGATTTCACCATGTTGTTCAGGCTGGTCTCAAACTCCTGACCCCTAGTGATCCATCTGCCTCAGCCTCCTAAAGTGCTGGGATTACAGGCGTGAGCCACCCCGCTCGGCCTACTCTTTTATTTCTGTTTTGTCTTTCCTTTCTCAAGAAAGAAAACAAACGAAAACCAAAACAGTTTGGAAGACTTTATAGTATTCATCCATACAAAAGAACAAGATCATGTCCTTTGCAGGAACATGGGTGGAGCTGGAGACCATTATCCTCAGCTCCACCCATCCTCAGCTCCCACTAACGCAGGAACAGAAAAACAAATGCAGCATGTTCTTATTTATAAATGTGAGCCAAGTGATAAGAACACATGGACTCATAGAGGAGAACACCACACACTCGGACCTACCTGAGAGTAGCGGGTGGGAAAACGGAGAGGTTGAGGAAAAGTAACTAATGGGTACTAAGCTTAATACCCGGGTGACAACATAACCTGTACAACAAATCCCCATGACACGAGTTTACCTGTATAACAAACCTGCACGTGTACTGCTGAACTTAAACTAAAAGTTAACAAAAGGCCAGGTGCAGTGTTTCACACACGTAATCCCAGCACTTTGGGAGGCTGACATGGGTGGATCACCTGAGGTCAGGAGTTCAAGACCAGCCCGACCAACTAAATACAAAAAGTTAGCTAGATGTGGTGGCAGGTAATCCCAGCTCCTCTGGAGGCCAAGGCAGGAGAATCGCTTGAATCCAGAAGGCAGAGGTTGCAGTGAGCCGAGATTGTGCCACTGCACTCCAGCCTGGGCAATAAGAGTGAAACTCTGTCTCAAAAAAAAAAAAAAAAAAAAAAAAAAAAGTTAACAAAACGTTCTTCTCTAGTTCTAAAGCACCAACACAGAGGTGATCAAAATACTCTAAGAAGCACTGGGAAACATTGAGGGGATGGTTCAAACATCAGAGCTAAGGCCTAATTTCCCAACAGTCATTATTTCTGTGGTATTTTGCATATTAGAGACGTATAGGTTCCTCACCTAATCCTTGTTTTTTCATTTTATTTTTAATACATATGAAAGTCATAATAACAAAAAAAATTCATACATCAGCAGCTCAGCTAGAAATAAAAGTCTCAATCTACTGGAAGCCCCTGTGAACTTGTATCAAATTCCTTTCTCTCTTCATAGAGGAAATAATGACTCCCAAAATGTGGTAATGAACAAATATCTCTAATTGTTTAAAATTTAGTATATGTGCAAGTCTCCACAGACACAATCATGATCATATATTTTTAGAAGTTAAAAACGTGTCTATCATCAGGGCGTGGTGGTTCATGCCTGTAATCCCAGCACTTTGGGAGGCCTAAGTGGGTGGATCACCTGAGGTCAGGCGTTCAAGACCAGCCTGGCCGACATGGTGAAACCCTGTCTCTACTAAAAATACAAAAGTTAGCCAGGCGTGGTGGAGGGTGCCTGTAATCCGAGCTACTCAGGAGGCTGAGGCAGGAGAATTGCTTGAACCCGGGAGGCGGAGGTTGCGGTGAGCCAAGACCACGCCACTGCACTCCAGCCTGGACAACAGAGCAAAAACTCCGACTCAAAAAAAAAGTGTCTATCTACCTTCTGCTTTATTTTGTTTTATATGACATTGATGATGTCCATCTATGTTGGCCCATATAATTCTTATCAATTATTTTAAATGCTGTTTAGCATTGTACTATATAAAAATATCAAAACACAGCTCCCTTTTGTTCATTATATTGCCATTTAGTTTTTTTCTCATTTTTTGCTATTTCAACAAAAAGCTGCTATGAATGTGTATGTGTGTATATATATATTAAATGTGTATATATATGAATGTATATATATATACACATATATATGTCAGAGTTTCTCTAGGATATAAACCCAGGAACAAAATTTAAAAATCATAGGGTGTATTGGATCTTACATCACTGCAGACCCTCTCAGCATTACCTCTTGTTCCAGTCAGAGCCTTGGTTACTATTTTTATGTAGACTTTGGTCAGTTTCATAAAGATGGAAGTGATAGTATGTGGCTTCAGACCAGAGCAAGAATTCACTTTCTGCTGTGGGATTTCTCAGACAATGTTGTGTGGATTGTTGTAGGCATTTTGCTTGTTACTCATAAATGCACTGTCTAGACACATCGAGAAGTTAGCATCCATGAGGCTATGCTTGAAAAATGGAACTCCTAGAGCTGATGGATACATATTTCCCCCGTTGTTTCACTTCAGTGAATGGTCATATAGTATTCCATCACCTAACTTAATAATGTGTTCTAGATTTTACTCTCTCTCCCTATAGCACCCATCCTGTTTCTTATTCTTACTCCACAATACACTCCCAACTTAAACACACAGTCTCTTCTTTAGGTGTTGGGGGTTGGGAGTTATTACAAGATGACATGGTGTATGCATTTATTTCTTTGTCTACGTTGATTGCACTGATTTACAGTCTCACCAGCAGTTCATAAAATCCTTCCTTGCAGCTAAGATATGGGCACAAGACTAAAATTTATATCTTTAGCTGATATCTCATTCCTGAACACTCATCTCATTTGCGACTGCCTTGAATATCAAATAGGCATCTCAACCTTAGTAAGTAAAAGAGAATTCTTTATCTGCATCCTGCCAATCCTGCTTCTTTCCCAGTAATTTTTCACTCAGTAATTTGAGCCATTATTAATCTATTTTCTAAAGCTTCAAAACATGGAGTCATTACCAGCTGTTTTATATACACCATTCCAAGCCATTAGAAAGTCAATTCCATTTCACCTGGAAGTTTATTGCAAATTTGACAATTGTCTCTTACATGAACTACTAAAATAGCTTCTCAGCAGCATCTGTGTGCTGCCATTATCCATCCTTCCTCCAGTCTCTTCCCCACCAGGCAATGGAAGTCATCTCTGGCAATATAATGCATTTCACATTAGTTTCATTTTTCCAGCTGAAAATCTCAAAAGTATTTCATTTACATGCCTAATAAAAGCTAAAGATATAATCTTGCTCAGAACTATAAGCTGGCTTCTCCACCTACCATTATCCTTTGCCTTGATTACTCTGCTCTATATCATCATCTTGCATACCCTAACACATGACTTTTATACTCATTGCTCCATCTGTTATAAACATACTGATAAATAATGTTTCCTCTTTAGCAGTGATTTCCTGATCTAATCAATATTTTGGTATCATATAAACTCATTGGATTATTAGTGATTATCACTAACCTGCTATCATACAATACACATTTAATTTCTTTTCTCCTTGTTTATTGTCTAAACTGCTAGGTAGAAGGGCACTTTATCTATTCTTATCACAAACGTAGGACAACGGCTAGCACAAGGTTAGGAACTTACACGCTATTCGATTAATTGTTGTTTAATAATTGATTAAAAACTCCAGAACTTTGGGTTCCATTCTTATGATGACAATAATATAATGCTAGGGATGCCAAGTGAATAGCAAGTTTAACCAAGTTATCCTGTATGGGGAGCCACAGTTACTTAAAATGTCTGACAATCCACAGTCCTGGTGATGATGTGGAATATCACTCTCTTAATCAATGCAAACAATTTATTTAATAGTCATAGTGCTAAAGATGGCATGCCCTCCAAATGAGCAATTGCACTCTTGGTTATGCATTTATATGAATATGTATATAGGAATAGTCATGATAAAACTACTAATTATTATAAAATTTTTGGAAAAAGCATAACTATTAAAAATGAAATTGGTAACTTAAGACTACTCAATACATCAGTAAAAATGAATGAACTAAGCAAAAACATGGATGAATTTCAAAAACGAAATTTATTTTCATTATTTATTAAGAAAGAAAATTTGCACTGTTTTCAAGTCTAATACCAAACAGAACTAAATGGTATTTCTGGATAAACAAATTAGAAAATAAAATTATGAAAAATGCAAGAAAAAAATTACCACAAAAGTTGGGATAGAAGTTACATTAAGAGATGGCATGGTCTTATACAAAGAAAACCCTAAAGACTCTGAAAGACTCCTAGACTTGGCAAATGACTGCAATAAAGTTTCAGAATACAAAGTCAATGTCCAATAGTCAGTAGTATTTCTATATAGCAATAATATTCAAGCTGAGAACAAAATCAAGAACTCAATCTCATTTACAATAGACACACACACACACACACACACACACACACACACACACACACACACACATATAACTGAGAAATACGTTTAACCAAGGAGGTAAAATATTTCTACAATAAGAACTACAAAAGATGGGTGGAAGAAACCTGAAATAAAACAAACTAATGGAAAAATATCCCATGTTCATGGATTAAAAAAAATTAAAAATGACCATGGTGTCCAAAGCAATCTAAAGATTCAGTGCAATTTCTATCAAACTACCAATGTCATTTTTCACAGAATTAGAAAACAACAATCCCAAAGTGTATATGAAATTCTGAATTGAAAAAATGACCCAGATAGCCAAAGCAATTCTAAGCAAAAAGAACAAAGCTGGAGTCAGCACTTCACCCCATTTCAAATTATACTACAAACCTATAGTAACAAGAACAGCATGGTACCAATACAAAAACAGATACATAGTTTAATAAAATTAAATAGAGAACCAAGAAATAAAGCCACATACCTACAACCAACTAATCTTCAACAAAGCATGCACAAATAAACAATGTGGAAAGGATACCTTTTTCAATAAATTGTACTAGAAAAAATGGATATCCGTATACACAAGAATAAAACTGGATTCCTATATCTCACCATATATAAAAATTAACTCAAGATTGATTAAATACTCAAATGTAAAAACCTATACAATTCCTAGAAGAAAACCTAGGAAAACTTTACTGAATATCAGCCTTGACAAAGAATTTATGACTAAGTCATCAGAAGCAAATGAAACAAAAATAATAATAGGCAAATGGGACCTAAGTAAACTAAAAATCTTCTGCACAGCAAAGGAAATAATCAACAGAGTAAACAGGCAACCTACAGAACAGGAGAAAATATTCACAAATTATGCATCTAACGAAGTACTAATATCCAGAATCTACATGGAACCCAATAAGTAATAAACACATTATGTCATTACAAAGTAGGCAAATGACATAAACAAACATTTATCAAAAGAAGACATGCAGGTTGCCAACAAACATTAAAAAATACTCAAGATCACTGATGATCATAGAAATGTAAATCAATATTGAAGTGTGTATTAGTCTGTTCTCATGCTGCTATGAAGAAATACCCGAGACTGGGTAATTTATAAGGAAAAGAACTTTAATGGACTAACAGTTCCGTACGGCTGGGGAACATTCAGGAAACTTACAATCATGGTGGAAGGGGAAGCAATCAAGTCCTTCTTCACATGGCAGCAGGAAGGAGAAGAATGAGAGCCGAGCAAATGTGGAATCCCCTTATAAAACCATCAGATCTTGTGAGACTCACTCACTATCACAAGAACAGCACGGAGGGTAACCGCCCTCATGATTCAATTACCTCCCACCAGGTGCCTCCCATGACACATGGGGATTATGAGAACTAAAATTCAAAATGAGATCTGGGTGGGGACACAGCCAAACCACATCAAAAAGTGATTCATTTGACATGGTCTTCCCTATCTTCTCTCATTTAGGGTAACATTATTTCCTTGAATCAAAAGGGTATCCCTGTAGACTTTGAGTTCATCTTGACATCTTTGAACCATGGATTATCAATTTGCAAATGTTATTTGTTGAATTATTGAGCTATATTCCTTGACATGCTTTTAAGAATGATATTTTCATTAAAATAAATGAGGGACTCATCCTAATATTTAGGAAGATTTCTCAACATCATCACATACAATTATGAATTATTATGGACACAACAGTGGTAGTTTGGATTTTTATTGTGGTTAAACTTTTAGAAAGTACAAAGTATTCATAAATCTACATTTTAATATTTTATAATTCAAATGAATTTTAAGTAACTATTTTGATATTCTATAAATAAAAATGTCACCTATACTATATAAGGATTCACTCACTTCTCTCTGCATTCTCATCAATACCTGATGTGTTGTGACTTTTAAAAACTAGCCATTCTGACTAGTATAAGGTGACATTTCGTTGTGGTTTTAATTTTTATTTCTCTGATGATGAGACTGAGCATTATTTCATATGTTTGCTGTCCACTTGTATGTCTTCTTTTGAGAAATGCCTGTTTATGTACTTTGTCCATTTTTTAATGGGGTTATCTATTTTGTTGTTGTTGTTGAGTTGTTTGAATTTCTTGTCGATTCTGGATATTAGTACTTAGTTGGATGCATAGTTTGCAAATATTTTCTCACATTCTTCAGGTTATCTGTTTTCTCAGTTATTTCTTTTGCTGTGCAGAAACTTTTTTGTTTAATTAAGTCCCATTTGTCTACTTTTGTTTTTGCTAAATTTGCTTTTGAGGTCTTAGTCACAAATTTTTTGCCAAGGCCAATGTCTAGAAGAGTTTTTCCAGGTATTCTATGAGTACTTTTATATCTTCAGGTATTATATTTAATTCTTTAATTCATCCTGAGTTAATTTTGTGGATGGCAACAGATAGGGGCCCAGTTTTATTCCTCTGCATGTGGCTTTCCAATTTTCCCTGCACTATTTATTGAAGGGGATATCCTTTTCCCAGTGTATGTTTTTTTCAATGTTGTCAAACATCCATTGACTGTAGGTAGGTCCCTTTATAAATATCCACTAATAAAGTGACAAAGTGCCTTTGTCACTTTATTCCTGGAATTTCTATTTTGCTCTATTGAGTATTGTGTCCATTTTTATATCACTATCATATTGTTTTTGTTACTATAGCCTTATAGTATAATTAGAAGGAATGTAAATTTGTCCCACCTCTATTAAAACAGTATGAAAATTTTTTCAAGTATTAAAGAGCCACAATTCACTCTATCAATCCTATACTGGGTGTATACCCAAAAGAAAAAATATCATTATACCAGAAAAGATATTTGCACTCATTTATTTATAGCAGCAATATTCATAATACCAAAGATATTGAATCAACATGTGTCCATCAACAAATAACTGGATAAAGAAAATGATGTGATATACATATATACATATATACACACACATACACGCACCATGAATACTACACAGCTATAAAAAATAACATCATTTCACTTGCAGCAATATGGAAGGATAATTTTACACTTTATGTCTTAGTCTGTTTTGTGCTGCTGTAACAAAATACCTGAGACTGGGTAATTTATAAAAAATAGAAAATTATTTTCTGATAGTTCTGTAGGCAAGGAAGTCAATGATCAAGATACCAGCATGTAATGAGGGCCTTCTGTTGCACTCTCAGATAGCATTAGTTTAAATGGCAAGAGAAAGGCAGAACTCTATTTGAGAGGGCTGTTGCAACCTTACAGCATGATACATCTTGTGAAATATGGTTTTGAACATTTTTATTAAAAATGTAGGCATCAAAATCTCTACCATTTGTGTCATGTTATAATAATAACTATAAAACTGCATTATTCAGAATATGTAACAATAAAAATTAATATTAAAAAGTTTTAAAATGTATTTGCTTTTGCATATATCGTTTCTATTGATCATAACAACCAGATGTGATAACCAGGGCCAGATATTTCTACTGTTATCATTAGAAATCAAAGAAAACTAACATATTGGATGGTTTTAAAAATTATAAAAATTGTAAGTGTACATATAAATATTAACTTGTAAGTCATCTTGCAAGTATTATAATCAGATTTCATTTTCAAATCGTGATGAATCTAACATGATACCTAAGTTTGTATATTGAACAATGTGTATACATGTGCACACACTTTTAATTTATATTTTTCTCATTCTGAGTGATAATGCAGCAAAATTTAAAGAGATTACACTATAATTATGTTTAAAATCTTACTTGTACTTTTGAAACAAATCACAGGTTGAGTCATGATAACAGGACAAAATATACTTAGCTGCTGAATATAAACAAAGTATACAGAAGCGTAAATCTTGCGAGCACAAAAGTGTTAAAAACAGCAAGATCTAGAGGCTCAAGTACAAGAGAGATATATTATACCAAGAGCAGTAATCTCAAAAATTTATATCCCAAATGTGTAGACTTGATCTTATTTTCAGTCAGTGTGTTCTGTATGGAAGATGAACATGCTCCTGACAACGGAGTATGATTTAGAAAACTATATCCTGCACAGAGGGATATAAAATGTGATTATATACTGCACTTCTGTGCAAAATTTTAAACAGAATTTAATCAATCACTTTGAAACCTAGATGTATTTGTGGAACAATGACATCACTTTGAAATTATGTGTAGTTTGTAAATGCACAAAATTAATAATGTATTTTGTGTAAATGGATTACTTTGGAAAGAAACTCATAAGAACTACATTATCAGACAAAACATTCTTTGAAAATGTGTGTGCTACAAGGCAATTTGCCATTTCATTTTAATAGAATGTTCCATGCTGAAAATGTCTAACTGCTCGGAAGTGGAATAGGAGTGTAAATTTATTATCTGAGAAAAGAAAATTAATTGACACAGGCCAAAAATGTAATGGAATTAGACCCATGTGCCTTAGTGAGAACTTAGGAACTCGATCTGGGCTCTATGGAGTGACAAAATTATGCAAAAAAAAAATGAAGTATGTCATTTTTGCACAAAGCTCAGGATTTCTCAAAGGAATATTACATAAAATAATGAAGTCTCCTTTATCTCCAAGACAGTCCAGTCTTAGAACGCAATGGAACATGCCATTTGAAATAAAAAACAAATTTTGTTTTTGTTTTGTTTTGTTATGTTTGGTGCTATTTTAAGTATTTAACATTCATAAAGAGAGAATTAGCAATTAATGAGATAAAGTTTAAAAAAAATCGAGATCAGGACAAGGTAAAAAAAAATCATTCAGTCTTGCAAATCTGTTATTTAATAGGTCATGTTTTAAGAACTGGGAATACAGATACTACGTGTATTTTAAATAGAAAATTTGAAATGTACAAGAAGTCATTTTTAAATATAGTCACTCTGCTATAAAGTCAATCTCTAAAACTCAATCTTTGTGTCTAACTGAAACTGTACCCTGTGAACAACATCTCCCCATTCCCTATCCCTTGCCTCCAGCATTAACTAGCATTCTACTCTCTACTTTTAAGGGTTTGCCTTTTTTCGATTGCTAAAAAGTCTATTTTCAGTGTTCTCACAACAAAAAGATAAATATGTGACATAAGAGATGTGTTAAGCAGCTTGATTTAATCATTCCACAATATAAATATATACGAAGACATAATACTGTACCCCTCAAAACAATTATTATTTGTTTATTTAAAACATTTAAAAACAAAAAATGAGACAAATATCAGGAAAGTAATTTTATACATAAGCTAGATAATTGCCTATAGCTGCGTATGCTGTGAAATAATTTCTGTTTGAAAAGACAGGAAAAATTATATGGCAAAACCATAGTGCAGTAATAAATTTGCCATGTTTAGTAAACAAAATATAGTTCAATGTGACTGAAGCATACCAAGAGGCAGAAGAATGTGGTGTACACTGTAGTGTAGAGGAGTGTCTTAGTTTGGGCTGCTATACAAAATACCATAGATTGAGTGGCTTACAAATAACAAAAAAAGTATTTCTTACTGTTCTAGGGGTTGGAAGTCCAAAGTCAGAGTGCCAGGATGTTCTGGTTTTGGGGAGGGCCCTTTTGCGGTTGCAGACTGTTGGGTTTTTGTATAAGCACATGGGGAAAGAAGTGAGAGCTCTCTTAGGTCCCTTTTATAAGAACACTAAGCCTATTCATGAGGCCTCTACTATCACAACCTAATTACCTCCTGAAGGTCCCACTACTAATACCATTACATTGACAGTTACGATTTCAATATACAGATTTTGAGGGTACACTTTAAAAATTCAGTCCGTAACATTCTGCCCCAGGTTCCCCAAAATTCATGTCTTCACATGCAAAATGCAGTCATTCCATTCCAACAAATCCACAAATCTTAACTCATTCCAGCCTCAAGTCCAGTCTAAAGTCCAAGGTCTTATTTAAATATTACCTAAATCAGATGCAGGTGAGCTTCACGGTACAGTTCATTCTCACAAAATTTCTCTTCATCTGTGAACCTGTGGAATCAAACAACATGAACTTTCAAAATACAATGGTGAGACAGGCATAGGATAAACATTCCCATTCCAAAAAGAACCACTATTCGAAAAAAATAAAATATATGAATGCTGGATCCCAAGTAAATCTAAAACCTAACAGGGCAAACTCCATCAAACCCTAAGGTTCAAGAAGCATCCTCTTTGGCTTGATGACTCACCTTCCAGACAGTCCCCGACAGCTCAGTGAGGCACTGCTCGCTGCTGACTCTATGCACTGGACCCACTTATGGCACAGTCTTTTGTCAGGGCTGATGTCACTCACCCAGGGCTTCACTGGATGGCCCTCCCACACAGCTCCTCTGAGCATCATTTCTGTCCTTTGAAATCAAAATGGAGGCAACCTTGGCCCACCTTGCCATACCCTCTGGATTTTTGGTAAAAGCAGCAGCTGTAATTGTCTCCAAATCCCCTTTGCGCCCCTTCTTCCGTAATTTTGAAGGAGAGAATAGCACACATCCACAACTGAATAGCTCTCGGGTCCGGGCCTGTAGGGCTTAAGCATTCCGAATGTCTTCCTTTATTTCGTCCCATTATCTCTGTTTCCTTTAGTCCCAACTGGCAGTGTTTCTCCTGGTATAATCCCATTTCTAGTCATGGTTTGTGTTGAGATGTTTGATTAAGCCTGTGGTTCACACCCATATTAATCAAATCAGTAAGGGTCCGAAACACTCTTCATGTTCTCTTCAGAACACACTTTCTCACTTTTTTTGCAATATGGACAGGCTGAGAATTTCCCAGATCTTAAATTATGGTTACTTTTTCCTTAACAATTCCATCTTCAAACCTTTTTCTTTTTCTACATTTGACTCTACGGATTCAGAAGGAACCAAGCTGCTGCTTCTACATGTTGCTGAGAAATCTGCTGGGTTAAATGTCCAATTTCACTGCACACAAGTTCCACCTTCCGCAAAACACAAGAGCATGAATACAATTCAAAGAAGTTTGTTTCCACTTTTCAACATGGATTGCTTTTGCTCCATTTTCCAATAACATTTTCATTTCCATTTGAGACTCCAACAGAATGACCTTTACTGTCCATATTTTATCAATATTCTGTTCATGATTATTTAATTATTTTCTGAGAAGACAGCGTTTTCTTCTATATTTCTTTCCGAGCCCTCACGAGAATTGGCTTTTAAATTTCTTCCACAGTAATCTAGCATTTTGCATAAAACCTCATCAATCTCTGCCAATCACTGAGCCCAAAGCCATTTTCACTTTGTTTTAGGTATTTATAATAACAGCACTCCCACTTCTCATGATCAATTTCCACCTTCAGCGGTTCAGGCTGCTTTAATAAAGTTCCATAACCTGAGTGGCTTTTAAATAACGGAATGCACATCTCACAGTTCTGGAGGCTGGAAGTCTAACAGCAGAGTGCCAGCATAATTGGGTTCTGGTGAGAGAGCTCTCTTGGGTTTCAGACTGCTGCCTTCTCAATGCAGCTTCACATGGTGGACAGAAAGAGCTCTCAAGAGTCATTTTTAAGGGCACCAATCTAATTTATGAAGCCTCCACCATAATAAGCTAATTACTTCCCAAAGTTCATTATAAATATGCAGCTTATAGGTCCTGCTACCATCATACTGAAGGTTAAGTTTTCATCACATGAATTTTGAGGGGACACAACATTCAGTTGCAACAAAAAATACTCAGTGGTTTTTAATTACAATATTGATTATGTAAATACAGAATAAATTTTAGCTCTAAACATTATCCATGATGTGATTAATTAAATTACTAGTTTAAAAAATTGAATCTGTAATTTATCTTGCCTCTATAATTATTATAAGAACTTGTAAACTTTTAACTTGTTTTCTTTAATTTGACCATTTCTGAAATTGTATCTCTAAGTATTGATATATACACTTCCTAGTGCATATAAAAGTTATGCATATTTAGAGTAATAAGTAGTGTGTTATCATGTTTTTATATCAGGGCAGGAAGGGAGAAGTTGAAGAACAAAGTGTCCTTTTCAAGAACTTCAGCCCACGTATGTTTCTACAGGACTATAACATGTCACCAGCCACAAGGGCAAGGAGACTGGGCATTGTAGTTATTTGGCAGGACACATTGCTCTTTCAAACAAAAATGGCATTCAGAAACAAGAAAGTAGGGAAGAGAGGTTTTGGTTGGACAACTTGCATTGTTGTCCCTTCTTTTCTTAGACTTCCAAATTCTTGGTTTCAGAATTCTTCATAAGGTTACCCCTCTGAGTAATTTTATCAGAGGGGTAATTAAATCTCCCAAGTCCAGGTCCCCAAGCTCTTCTCAACTAGTATGACAGCAACTTGTATAGAGATGTCAATGCAGTACAAATGCTTGTTTTAAAGTTGTTTTAATCCAGCTTCTATCATTCTAAATATTGTTTTAATCCAATATTCTAATTCAGAATATTGAGAATAAACTAATCTTACATGAAATATCTTTTTTCTCCTATTATTTGATATGTGTGTCTATAAAATAACATTTTCTAATTACAGAATGTGCAAGCAAAAAACAAAAAGGGCCTGTGTCCCTAGTCCCATTTTCTTGCTTGGAGGTAACATCCACAACATTTTTAGTTTTCTGTTGTTCTTCTCTAATGCTCCCAATAATATACCTTTTTTGTGGTTATTGTTGTTATTATTGCTCTTGCATCAAGCACTATCTCTTAGTGCTCATGCACATCCTTACCGAGGTCCATTTCTTTACTCTCTGCCCCATTCCAAGTTGTGTTAGGTAGAGGATTATACTGATCAAGTCCTGTTTTTAGCTATCTTCATGACATTAACACTTTAAACCTCAATGTCTTCACTGTTCTACTGTCCTGTGAGCTCTAGCAATCTCAAGTTTCATGTCACTTCTCAGACTATGGCAATGGTAATCTGCATTAATGGCAAAATCATTAATATTGATGAAAATTTTTATTTTCTGCCCTTCCCAAAATCATCTACTTCTTTGGAATTTACATTAGCAGGCAACAATGGCAGTGGCAATACTACCTTTTGGAAGGTAACTGTAGCTCCACCCTTATCTGTAAAAAGATATGTGTTAAGACCCCCAGTTGATGCCTGAAACAGTGGATAGTAAACATGTACTATTTTTCCTACACATACATACTTATAATAGACTGTAATTTAAAAATTAGGCATAGTGAAATTTAACTAATAATTATAGTAGTTTATTAGTTAAACTACTACTAATTATTATAGTAGTAGTATTTGTTTAAACTAATATACTCATTATGGGAGTAGTATTAAACTAATAGGCTAATTTTATTAGTTTAATAATTCTATTAGTTTATTAGTTAAACTAACACTACTAATGATAATAGAATTATATTAGTTATACTAATATATTATTTATAGGAGTAGTATACTTCTATAATTATATAGGAATATAAATATATTCCTTTTACTAATAATTATATGAACATAACATAATAGAATTATTATAACAATATACTGTAGTAAAAGTTATGTGAATGTGGTCTCTCTTTCTCTTGAAATACCTTATTATTATCTACTTTTCTTTTTGTGATAAAGAAAACAGGGAGTAGGATGGACAACCTGAGAATTTATCACGTTATGGTACACAATATCAAAGTTATTATTTCTATAAATTTTATTTAATATTTTTCAAAACATGATTGACCCCTGATAGCTAAAACTGGGGAAAGTGAAACCGCTGGTAAGGGGGGACTGCTGTGTTGCTAAAAGTGTCTTCCTTTGCTAAATGTACCAAGAGTAGATTCTCAAGAGGAGTAACATAGATAGGAATTTACGTTGTAGATGGCCTCAGCTATTGCTAAATATCTACAAATTCACTTGGGAATAATATAAGCAGCCACATCAGCAACAATATCTTGAGTAATATTGTTAATGGAGCATCAGGAATTAGGGCTTTGCAATTATGAGATACATTTTTCCAAAGACATGATGCAAACATCCTTAGCAGTAGAAGAAAAAAGTTGAATTCCAACTCTTTGTCAAGAGGCATTTTTGGGAATTGTTATTATATCCAATTTTCGCCCAGGATTATGTGGCATGATAAATATGCCTTACAATAACGTAGTTAAGAATATTATAGGTAATACATATTTCATCACCTTAAGAAATGTGAATGGCTGTTTGGAGGTATATTAACATCATGTAGATGGAGGTTCAAGACTGCTGAGATAAAATTGAATACATTTAGAAAGACTGATGGCATATTTTCCTGAAGAGAATCTTTAGAAAACCAAAGAGTTAATGTCAGGTTTTCATATGTCTTAGTAGTCTGAATAAAACCTGTTAAATAATTTTTCCTGGAAGAAACATATTAATATTTAATTTTCAAAAAGTGATATTAATAGTTAATTATCCAGTTATCTGGACTTTTTCCAAAAGAGTTTATCTATAAAGAGCATCTACTCTATGAAATGTAGAAATAAACTCAAAGGATAGTAAATCAGTATTCAGTCTGTAAATATTACCTCACTGTGTCCATGACATTTGTGAACTTAGTAACCAAATTTAAGGATTTAATGTGTTTGCTTGTTGTTAACATATATGGAGAGAGAAAAATAAATGGATGAAGTTTCAGAATTTATCTAATTTTCTCCTCCATCAAAGTTAAAAATTAGCTGTTTGATTTCCTATACTGAGCTAAAATTCTCTGGCATTTTATCTTGATATTACTGACATCCTGGAAGGAGTATCTTGTTTGTTTGGCAAGTGGATTTTTTTAAAAAAATAAATTATTGCTTCATAATTTTTATTGTTTATATTTCAAGGTTATGAAAAATGCCCTTAAGAAATAGATGGTATATATATATATATAAAATATATATTTTAATCTGCATGTAGTATACCTGTTGTGACAAAAATAAACGAAAGCTTAATTTCTTGCCAAGTTGTAGACTATTACAGTATATTATTTTAAGCGTTATGCTATACATACTTCTTTTGAAAATTTATGGAGTACATGAGATGTTTTGATACATGCATAATAATCACATCAGGGTAAATTGAATATGCATCACTTCACACAGTTATCCTTTGTGTTACAAACAATCTGATTATACTCTTCTAGTTATTTTTAAATGTACGATTAAATTATTTTTGACTATAGTCACCCTGTTGTGCTAGCAAATGCTAGGTCTTATTCATTCTTTCTAACTATGTTTTTGTACCTATTAGTCTGCCCCGCTTTCCTCCCAAACCCTCACTACCCTTCTCAGCCTGTTAACCTTTATACTGTTTATCTCCATGAGTTCAATTGTTTTAAGCCTTAGCTCCCACAAATAAGTGAGAGCATCCGAAGTTTGTCTTTCTGCGCCTGGCTTGTTTCACTTAACATAATGACCTCCAGTTCTATCCACATTGTAGCAGATGACAGGAACTCATTGTTTTTTATGGCTGAATGGTATTCCATTTTGTATATGTACTATATTTTCTTTATTCATTCATCTCTTGATGGATACTTAGGTTGATTCCAAATTTTGGCTATTGTGAGTAGTGCTGAAATAAACATGGAGTGCAGATATCTCTCTGATATACTATGTCCTTTCTTTTGGTTATACACCCAGGAGTGGGATTGCTGGATCATATGATAGCTCAATTTTTGCTTTTTGAGAAACCTCCAGACTGTTCTCCTTAAGGGTCATACTAATGTACATTCCCACTGACAGTGTGCAAGTGTTCCTTTTTCTGTATATCCTCGCCAACTTTTGTTATTGCCTGAATTTGGGATAAAAGCCATTTTAACTGGGGCCTCTTAACTTTTTCCCCACACATTTCTTAATTCCTTGATGAAAAATGCTAAAAGATAAGTCACTTTCATACTTCCTAGATACAGTTATTCATTCACTCTTATTTTTTTAAGTTTCTTATTTAATAGATATGTATTAAATATTTACCTTGTCTCAGCCAATGTAATGTGTGACAGGCATACAAAGATGAATATAGCAGAAAGTTTATGCCTCTTAAGAAGCATAATGAAGTCATTTAAACAAATAATAGCTACAAATTTTGATGAGCACTGTCATAGAGGTAAGAATATTATGGTGGGGTGGGATGGAAGAAATTAAAATATGTCAATCTACTTTGCGTTGTAAGGAAAATCTTGGCAAAGAAGATACATGTTATGATTTGGCTCTGTGTCCCCACCCAAATCTCAACTCGAATTGTAATCCCCATGTGTCATGGGGAGGGACCTGGTGGGAGGTGATTAGCTCAAAAGGGTGGTTTTCTATGCTGTTCTTGTGATAGTGAGGGGGTTCTCAGGAGATCTGATGGTTTTATAAGTGGCAGTTTCCCCTGCATGCTCTCTCTCTTACCTGCCACAGTGTAAGACTTGCCTTGCTTTCCCTTCACCTTCCACCATGATTATAAGTTTAATTATAAGTTCACTTATAAGTTCAGCCATGTGGAATTGTGAGTCAAGTAAGCCTCTTTTGTTTATAAATTATCCATTCTCAGGTAGTATCTTTATAGCAGTGTGAAATGGACTAATAAGATAAACTTCAATAGAATACTTAAGAAGTTGTGGTAATCAACTAGTTTATGAATGGAAAGAATCATTTTATCAAAGGAAATTAAGAGCATAACAATGTGGCATTAAAACAGATTAGGGAGTTCTGAGGGTTGTAAGGATGATGGAACAGGTACATAATAGGACAATATGGGAGAATAATTAAAGAAGTCCTGAGGGTAGGTCACTGAGGCCTTATATGTTATAAAAGGGGGATTTTACTCTAGGAATTGGGAAAGTGTTTGAAGAAAGAGAATAGTGTGATTATATTTGCTTTTTAGTTTGAAAAGAAGTAGCCTGGAAATGAATGAGATTACAGCCAGAGAAGAGAAAGAATATATTTTGATGAAAGAATATATTTGGGTACTGATACAATAGTCCGGGTTAAAGATGATTTGGACCCTGGCACATGGAGGATGCTGTGGGGTCATAAAGGAAGAAATGGTAATAAAAATAACTAAAGTTTTATTGGATGAAGTTTTCAAGCCAACAAAGCATAAAACACAGACACAAAAACGACGTCTAAAATGATTTCTTAGTTTCTTAGTCATGTATTAGGTGTCAACCAAGACAGGGAATACAGACAGAGCAGTAAAGAGTTCAGCCCCAGACTCAATCCTATATGTGATTTTTGGGCCCATCCATAAACAATGACAAAGACTTGACCAAGTGGGTCCCACAGGGAGAGCTGCCCTCCCCACACTAGTGCATAGTCCTCTAATGGCAGTTTCAGTAAGGGCTGCAGGGCCATGCTCACACACAGATCAGCATCACTTGACTGGTGCCTCCCCTGGAGGCCTCTCCACTGTGGGACCTTGGCAGACCTTCCCCAGGCATGTTTGCCCAAGACCTCCTTTTCATGGGGAGAGGAGGAGGAGTCTTGAAGACAATTGTCTTCCTTCTGATTCAATACTCAGTGCTTTTCCGCTCCCAGCCTTTTCCTGAACTTCCATAAAACTGCAGGCAGGAGCCTGTTGTTCAGGGTTCCTTTGATAGTGAGACAACTCCACATCTGTGCTGACCCATGTGATCCTTGATAGAGCTGTTTCATGAAGGAAAAAAAGGATGGGGACTGGACCGTCAGGGCTTTTTCCAGTTTAACCTCAAAGGTTTGTTAATGTCCTTTTGTCTTGATGTCTTAATTGCCTACTCCAACACCTGGCTCTCTCTCCAGAGTAGTTAAGCTCCTGATGGCTGGGGATAAATTTAATGACTACTGTTTTGTATAAGTTGAGGTTAATCTAATTAATTTACCTAGAGGGAAAATTCTGACCTCTATCTCTGAGACCTCATCTAAAACACAGAGGTCATGAAGATAAATCTGGCTTCTGCCTTCAAGGAGCTTACAGTCTGGTGAAGATGATAGCTGGATAGCTAGACATAACAATAAAACCACAGCTGTTCCCTTGTGATAATTTCTGTTATGAGTTATGTACATTGGAATATGAAAAATATATAAATGGTACATAACCAATTCTAGGAGGTCAGGGCAAGCTTCCTGGGAGAAATGCTGTCTATAGGTAGACACAGAGAGACAAGAATCAAAGCCTCTTCTGAAGAAGGGTTAAATAAATCTCAGGCAGATAGGCTATGCATGACCTGCTTCTTTTATCTGTCATTTTTGTTGTTCAGTTACTTGCTAAATTTTAAGAATTTTATATATATATATTATATTTATAATATATTATATATATAATATACATGTATATATATATATATATCTTCTACATATCAGTGCTCTGTCAATTCAGCCTAATTCTGGCAAAAGCATTAAGGACTTCAATATTTACCAGGTTTGAAAGGGGAGCAGTCCTTTGAATTAGAATTATTTGAAAAATGTAGGGCTATTTTGAAACAACTACCCAATTGAAAATGCATGGACACTATAACTATTATACTTGCAGATGCATACAAAAATACTTTTATTGTCACATGGGCACAAAGATGTATATTGAAAGCTGTTCACTGAAACAGTATTTATAATAATGAAACCTGGAAGCAACATATCTCTTAATGGGGATATAGACAAGTAAAGTACAACATATACATGTTATAGAAAAAAATGCAGCCTTCTCAAAAGTGGGTAAGCTGTATAGATATAGAAAAGAAAAAAGCATTGTATAAATAATATGTACACTTTAATAAAAGTTGTACTAAATTTTAAATGTAATATAAATATCATACCTTCTATATATATAAAATTATCAAAAAGACTGAATTATAATACATGAAGAGTAGGAAAAAATAGTTGCACTGAGTTTTATATTTTCTGAATGTTTAAATCTTTCCACACAATATGTAATAATTATACTTTTAAAATGCCAGTAAGGTAATATATACAAATAGCTAATTAAAGCTTAATAAGAACTTTGGAAAAATCTTTTTAATAAAGGTTTTACATACATCAGGGTTACAATTAAATTTAACATGCTTTTTATTTTGTCAATTTCTTTTATTTAAAAAATACTTAAACTAACTTCCTTTTTGCTTTTTCCTATTAAAAGAAAAAGCATTTTGCCCTCATAAAAGAAAATTAGTTTCAGATTACTAGTAATTATTTAGGTACTAATTAAAAAATAATGAATCTCAGTTACTAAATACACAAATAAGGGAGTTATATGAAACTGTGCAATAGTCATTCTATGGATAGTCATATTTAAAATAAAATGAAAAGAGACTAAAATATGCATTTGTGCTTTTAACTCTGAAAACCTGAATACCTATTCAACTGTTGATTCTGAGTATTTACAGAACTTTATTTCTTCTTTGGACATGCTTTCGCAGTTTTTACCTAATGTATACACATTTTTGCCTTGTTCTTAATAATTAAATATCTGAGAAAAAGATATTCAAAAAGTGGTTTTTTGTGCGTACTCATGATAAACAGTAACATAAAAAGTTACAGAGGTCGGGCCCAGTGGCTCACGCCTGTAATCCCAGCACTTTGGGAGGCCAAGGTGGGTGGATCACTTGAAGTCAGGAGTTTTAGACCAGCCTGGCCAACATGGTGAAACTCCATCTCTACTTAAAAAATAAATAAATAAATAAATAAACAGGCATAGTGGCTCACGTCTGTAATCCCAGCTACTGGGGAGGCTGAGGTGGGAAAATCACTTGAGCCCAGGAGGCGGAAGCTGCACTGAGCCAAGATCACGCCATTGCCCTCCAGCCTGGGTGACAAAGCGAGACTCCATCTCAAAAAAAAAGAAAAGTTATAGAAATAAATATGATGATATGATTTACTGAAAGCAAGTCTCAAATGCCTAAAAAAGGCCAAACTTCCTTTGGTCTTTGGATATCATTCTGGAGGGTGGGTGAGTCTACTTTTGTTTCAAATGTGTTATTTTCATTTATTTTTGAGCAAAAATATCATTTTATAATTTACACTTATTGAACATAAATGTGGAAATACTACTAAATTGTCTCCACATGGAAAATTTCTTGTGACATGTATTTCATCTAACTTGTGAAGTTCACAACTATTTCAAAAAACAGTTAAGCTTGTTCCAAAAACTCACTGCCATCCCACCAAACACACATATGGACTTGAGAATAATTAGGCTTTCAGAAACCACTTTAGTATCCAATTAATTGTAGTTTTCTTCAGAAAGTGGTGTAAATCTGATTATATATAGTTGCTTCATGTAGTATAAATCTGATTATACACAGTTGTTTCATATAGTATATATCTGATGATATACAATTGCTTCATGTAGTTCAACTTGTTACTAGATAATCCATGTGTAATTGTCACAGAAAATCTTACGTGTACATTTGGACAATGTCTCTATCTCTGTTTCTTTCTCTCTGTTTCTCTCTCTCTCTCTCACACACACACACACAGTCCTTTACAATTACTTTGGGAAAAAAATCACAAAAAGGAAAAAATCATTAATCTGAGATTATAACATAAAATCCACAATTTGTCTGTAAACTATCTTTAAATCTATGTTTATACTTGAAATCTACTAGGCTTATGAGAGTCAAAGACTTCCAAGCTTTGAATATTCTTTTCACTTCAAAAGGAACTGAAAATCTAAATGTAATTTGGTACACCTTTTAAAATATTCACTGCTGCCTGCCAGCTAGCTGCAGGTTATTTTAGCTACTAGAAGCAGCACTAATTTGCAATATCTTTCTAAGACTATCTATAGGTAAAAATTTGACATTGGCTGACTCTAACCAATGTCAAGCTTTAGGATAGCAACGTAATCCCTAAAAGAAAAATGAGAAATAACCTAACTATCTAAACATCAAAAACAAATTAACCTTGCTTGCCCATTTTTAGGACAACATAACGGTTTCTTGAGATTTTCCAACATTTATGAAAAGATAAAAATTAAGATGAGTCATTTAATAGCATGCGTGCTTGAACCAATAAAATGATTTCTTATTTTATGAGTTGTTTTTAAAAAATGAGCCCAGATGTTTCAAATTATAAATAATTTGTCAATTTATGCATAAAGCCAAATTTGAAAAATGTGACTGGTCATTCCCATTAAGAAACTCAACTGAAAATCTGTTTCACTGAATCAAGCTTAAATAAGTAATTGTGTACTTAGATGTAGCTGAATTCTAAGAACTATTTGGACCACAACTTATAGACTATTTATATATTTTGCAAACTGTTTGCTGTTCTCTGACTTCAAGTAAGAGAGAGATATTAAGTGACAAATCATACAACGGAAAGGGAGAGCTATTAAGTGATAAATCATACAGTGGAAAGAGAGTTATATAGGAAGACTCTCCATTTTAACTCAGAATAAAATATGTAACCATCTTTAAGTTTTAATGGGGAGACCTGTGTGGCTGACTTTTTTTTTTCCCAATCTAGCTTCCTCATTTGGAAGAATGTTTTGTTTCTGTATATGAAAACTGAAGGATTTCTATTCAAGGCCACTGTGGTAGACAGAATAATGGCTTACTAAAATGTCGACGTCCTAATTTCTGGAACCTGTGAAAATGTCACCTTCCATGACAAAAAGGACATTGTAGAAGCAATTATTTAAGGATCTAGAGATGAGAATATTAAGATGGGTTATTTGGGTGTTCCAAATGTGAACCCAAGTGGAGTTCTTGTAAGACTGAGAAGATGCCTTCGAGTTAGGAAGGAGATGGGAGATGTGTTATGAAAGCAGAGGTTGGAGTGACAGAATTTCAAGATGGAGAAAGGGGTTATAGCCAAGAATCCAAGCAGCCTCAAGAGAGTAGAAGCTCTTGATTTTCACCTATGTGACTCTATTTTAGTCTTTACTTGCAGAACTGTAAGATAGTAGATTTGTGGTGTTTTAATCCACTAAGTTGGTAGTAATGTGCTCCAGCCACTATGAGACAAATACAGTATACACACACACACACACACACACACACACACACACACATATATGTGTGTGGGTGTGTATTAGGAAAAGTAGTAAATCTAAATCTAGACTTTCTCATTCTCACCTAGGTTCTTATATTTTTAATTATATAACTAGTTACATAACATTATTTATATAATACTAGTTATATAACTAGTGCTCTGTTATTTTCCTTCTATTTTAATTTTTCTGTTAAAAGAAAGTTTAAGAACATATGTATCCATATATGTATATACACATGCAGAAATATATATCTGTGTATGTGTGTGTGTTTATGAGTATATATATTCAAAGTTCTGAAACGTTTTTCAAAGCAATGCTGGCAATGGAATTCTCATTTCTATTTATCTTTTCTGTGGAGGTTTAAGTATGATTTATTTGGGAATTGCTACATTATCCTGACAAAAATATAACAGTAGTGGCAATATATAATCCCCCAAAAATGTTATATCTCCAGATAACTTTTAATGAGTTGGCATTGACTAGTATGAGAAATACAAGGCACAGAGAGTGATATGGTTTGGCTCTGTGCTGTCACCCAAATCTCATCTTGAATCGTAATTCCCATAATGCCCATGTGTTGAGGGGCCTGGTGGGAGGTGATTGGATCATGGGCACAGTTTCCCCTAGATGTTCTCATGATAGTGAATGAGTTCTCATGAGATCTGATGGTTTTACAAGTGTTTGACAGTGCCTCCTTCACATGCTCTCTCTCCCCTGCTGCCATGTAAGACGTGCCTGCTTCCCCTTCCACCATGATTGTAAGTTCCCTGAGGCCTCCCCAGCCGTGCAGAACTGTGAGTCAATTAAGCCTCTTTCCTTTGTAAATTACCCTGTCGCAGGTATTCTTTATAGCAATGTGAAAATGGATTAATACAGAGAGTCTACACATTTCTTTATATAAGATATACTTGTTTTCTGTTTATAGTTAGCAATTACAAAGTTTACAGTAAAATTTTTACTTACATTCATATAACATTTAAGTTATTCTCAAAATTTTATGCAACCATTTTAGATCTAAAGTGGACTTTGTTTTTTTCCATAGAATAAGTATTTTGTAGGACTTCTCTTCAATATTGGTGTGTAGAAAAAAAAATGTGAACTTCAAGTTTCAATCAATTAAACTTTTGCTTAAACTGAAAAACCATGCCAACACACAAAAAGGTCATCTGGGGTGTGCCATTACATTAGGATTACATACTGGTACTACACACTCAGTTGTGTAGGACATAAGAATGGATTATACTTAAACCTCTAAAGGATGGCCTGAATTAAAGTGATAGAAAATGGGAGTTAATATTGCTAGTGTTACCATGTAAAATTTAATAATTATTTGCTTAATTATTGTCTTATTAATTTAATAGTTTCTAAACAGAAATTTCATTAACAAATTAACAGGAACAGCTACAAAATTTGCAGTGTTCAGTGCAAAATTAACATATAGGACATCTTACTCAAAAATTATTTAAAACTTGACACGAATGACACCAAAGAATTAGCCAAGTGATGGGCCCCTGCAAATGAGCAGATCACATAAATCTATCCCTGAACATCAATTAGTTATAAAAAAATAAGAATTTAAGGCTGGGACCCATAGCCATAATTTTACCCATACCTGCATTTATATCTGTATTTATATACCTGTAACAGTATTTAGATCTATTTATTCACAATCTCAGAATCAGATTGTAGAGACATTTAAAGATTAACTAATACAAACTTGTCCTCTTACAAAAGAGAAAACTGAGCCGCAGTGCTTTGATTGTATCAGTAGCTAATATTAGAAATAAAAGCAACACATTATCTTAAATATTTTATGTTTTTCTTATTACTACCAGTTTAGTGCTCCTATGTATTTTGTAGTACTTCTCTTCAATATTGGTGTGTAGAAAGAAAATGTGAACCCCGAGTTTAATCAATTAAACTTTGATTAAACTGAAAAACCATGGTCAATCCCAATACACAAAAGGGTCATCTGGGGTGTGCCATTGCATTAGGATTACATACTGGTACTATATGTTGCTGCTACATGCTCTTTCACTCAGTCGTGTAGGACAGAAGAATGGATTATACTTAAACTTCTAAAGAATGACCTCAATTAAAGAGATAGAAAATGGGAGTTAATATTGTTAGTGTTGCCATGTAAAATTTAATAATTAATATAATGTCTCATATATTCCGTGGTGATTAATTGGTGTGGAATATTTAAGCCACGAGAATAAGTACTATAAAAGCAAGAATTTATAATAGGGTCTTTAATGATCAGTTCTGTTCTTACACAGCTTCTCCCCACTCCTACTCCTTGGAAGCAACCAAGTGGTATGAGTTGGCCCCTACTCACCCCCTCCCTGGTGTCAGTGGACCACATCAGGGAAGTGAGGTTATTTTTTCACTTGGAGGAAACAAAGATATGTAACTCAGTACCCTACTTTTGCCATGAGGTTGCCAGTGGGTGGAGGGAGAAGACAAACTTCCACCTAACCAGTCTGCAAGAAGGAAGTATAAGTTAGTACTCTACTTTTGGTAGGATGGTATTAGTAGGTCCCATCAGGAAGATAAACACGCACACCCACCCAGCTCTCAGGTTACACATCAATAGGGAACCATCTACGAAATAATAAGAGAGAAAAATTCTCATAATATAAAAAAAAATTCAGGACACAATAAAAATCACTTATAAGACAAAAGAACTAGGAAATCATAACCTGAATGAGAGAAAGACAACAGACACCAACACAGACATAAAAAAGGGGTTGGGGCTGGGCGCAGTGGCTCACACCTGTAATCCCAGCACTGTGGGAGGCCAAGATGGGTGGATCACTTGAGGTCAGGAGTTCAAGACCAGCCTGTCCAACATGGTGAAACCCCGCCTCTACTAAAAATATAAAAAGTTAGCTGGGTGCATTGGCACATGCCTGTAATCCCAGCTACTTGGGAGGCTGAGGCAGGAGAATCACTTGAACCTGGGAGATGGAGGTTGCAGTGAGCCAAGATCATACCGCTGCACTCCAGCCTGGGTAACAGAGTGAGACTGTTTCAGACAAAAAAAAAAAAAAAAAAAAAAAAAAAAAGAGGTTGGAATTATCTAACAAGGATTTTGAAGAAACCATCATAAAAGTGTTTAAATAAGCAATTATATATTGTATTCTCTTGGAACAAATAAAAGTTAAAATTAAAAATAAATTCAATAATGACTTATAAGTTATAAAAAGTAAACATGAACTAAATAAAATTAAAATACAATAATGGAAATAATAGATGCAGAGGATGGTCACAAAAGAAGAGAGCACAGAGCAGAAGATGGAATCAGTGAATCTGAAAACATGCCAACAGAATTTACTGTCTGAACAAGAAGAAGAAAACCGATAAAAAAAAATTTAACAGCATTTCAGGAAACTTTAGAACAATAATAAAAGAGCTAACATTCATAATCACAGGAGATATAGAAGACGAGGAGATAGAATGTGGGACTAAAAAACTATTAAAAAATAATGACTTCAACCTTCCCAAATTAGATGGAAGACATAAACCTAAATATTCAAGAAACAGAGCAAACCCTAAATAGAATACACCCAAATACATTCAATTTCTGGAAATGAAAAAAAAAAATTAAAAATCTTGAAAGCAAACAGAGAAAAATGGCACATTTCTTACAGAAAAACAATAATGTAAACCACAGCAGATTTTCCATCTGAAACCATGAAGGTTGGAAGGAAACAGATAATATTTTTGAAGTACTGAAAGAACAGAACTGTGAACTGTAAATTCAATACCCAGCAATAATATTCTTCAGGCACTAAAGTGACATAGAAAACATTGTCTAATGAAAGAATGCTAAGGTAATGTGTTGCTAACAAACTTACCTTTAAAGAATAAGTTCTCTAAACAGAAAAGAAATGATAAAAGAAGAAGGTTTGCAGCTTTTACAAACATCCATCTAAATGGGTAAAATTAAGCATAAATATAATGTATAATCAAACTTCTCTTGAGTTTTTAAGCCATTTCTAATAGTTGAAGCAAAAATTAATGACCTATCTGGTTAGATGCTCAAGGAACATAGAGGAAGTATTTAAGATAATTATATCTAAAAAGTAGTGATAGTAAAGAGACTCATATGGAAACAAGTTTTCTACACTTCACTCAAAGAGGTAAAACATCATTAACAGTAGATCTTGACATTACACATATATTATTTTAACCAGTGCAATTAATAAAACCAAACAAAATCATGTACAATCATGCACTGCATAACGATGTTTTGCTCAGCAGTAGACTGCATATATCATGGTGGTCCCATAAGATTATAATGGAGATGAATATTACCTAGTGACATTGCAGCTGAGCTGTCTTAACATCATAGTCTAACATATTTCTCACCTGTTTGTGGCAATGATGGTGTAAACAAACCTACTTCATTGCCAGTTATATAAAAGTGTAGCACATAAAATTCTGTCTAGTACTGATATTGTTTGGCTGTGTCCCCACCCAAATCTCATCTTGAATTGTAATCCTCATGATCCTCCCGTGTCAAGGGCAAGACCCGGTGGGAAGTGATTGGATCCTGGAGGCAGTTTCCCTCATGCTGTTCTCATGATAGTGAGTAAGTTTTCATGAGATCCGATGGTTTTAAAAGTGTTTGAAAATTTCTCCTAGACACACTCATTCTCTCCTGTTGCCTTTTGAAGAAGCCAACTGCTTTTATTCCACCATGATTGTAAGTTTTCTGAGGCCTCTCCAGCCATGCAGAACTATGAGTCAATTAACCCTCTTTCCTTTATAAATTACCCTGTCTTGGGTAGTATCTTTATAGCAGTGTGAGAACAGACTAATAGAGTAAATTGGTACTGGGAGTGGGGCACTGCTATAAAGATACTGAAAATGAGGAAGTGACTTTAGAACTGGGTATCGGGCAGAGGTTGGAAGTGTTTGGAGGGCTCAGAAGAAGACAGGAAGTTGTGAGAAAGTTTGAAACTTCCTAGGGACCTGTGGAATGGTTTTGACCAAAATGCTGATAGTGATATAGACAGTGAAGTCCAAGCTGAGGTGGTCTTGGATGGACAAGAACTCATTAGGAACTAGAGCCCAAAGATCACTGTTACTCTGCCTTAGCAAAGAGACTGGAAGCATTTTGCCCCTGTCCTAGAGATCTGTGGAACTTTTAATTTGAGAAACATTATCTCAAATTGGAACTTATGTTTAAAATGGAAGCAGGGCATAAAAGTTTGGAAAATTTGCAGCCGGACCATGCAGTAGAAAAGAAAAACCCATTTTTCAGGGGAGGAATTCAAGCTGGCTACAGAAATTTGCCTAAATAACAAGAAGCCAAATGTTATTACAGTAGCCAAAACAATGGCAAAATTTTTCTTGGGCGTATCAGAGACTTCCATGGCAGCCCTTCTCATCACAGACCCAGCAGCCTCTGAGGGAAAAATGGTTTCATGGGCTGGGCCTAGGGCCCCGTTACTCTGGGCAACCTCAGGACTTGGTGCCCTGTGTCCCAGCTGCTGCTACTCCAGCTCCAGCCGTGGCTAAAAGGAGCCAATGTACAGCTCATCTGTTGATTCAGAGGGTGCAAGCCCCAAGCCTTGGAGGATTCCATATGGTGTTGGGCCTGAGGGTACACAGAAGTCAAGAATTCAGGTGTGGAAACCTCTGCCTAGATTTCATAGGTTGTATGGAAATGCCAGGATGTCCAGGCCGAGATTGGTTGCAGGGGTGGAGCCATCATGGAGAACCTCTGCTAGGGTAGTGCAGAAGGAAAATGTGGGGTTGGAGCTCCCACACAGATTCCCCACTGGGGCACTGCCTAGTGAAGCTATGAGAAGAGGGCCACTGTTCTCCAGACCCCTGAATGGAAGATCCACCAACAGCTTGTACTGTGCACCTGGAAAAGCCACAGACACTCAATGCCAGCCTGTGAAGGAACTGCCCAAGGCCATGGGAGCCCACCTCTTGCATTAACATGCCCTGGATGTGAAACATGGAGACAAGGAGATTATTTTAAAGCTTTAAGTTTTAATGACTGCCCTGCTGGGTTTCAGACTTTCATGGGGCCTGCATCCCCTTTGTTTTGACTAATTTCTCCCATTTGGAATGGGAGCATTTATCCAATTCTTGTACCCTCATGGTATCTAGGAAGTAACTAACTTGCTTTTGATTTTACAGGCTTATAGGCCAAAACGTCTTGCCTTGTCTCAGATGAGACTTTGAACTGTGGGCTGTTGAGTTACTGCTGAAATGATTTAAGACTCTGGGGGACTGTTAGGAAGGCATGATGTTGGGTTGGAAATGTAAAAAATATGTGAGATCTGGGAGGGGCCAGGGGTGGAATGATATATTTTGGCTCTATATCCCCACCCAAATCTCATCTTGAATTGTAATCTTCATAATACCCATGTGTTGAGGGCAGGATCTGGTGGAAGGTGATTGGATCATGTGGGCGGTTTCTGCCATACTGTTCTTACGATAGTGAGTGAGTTCTCAGGAGATCTGATGGTTTTGTTAAGTGTTTCACAGCTCCTCCTACACACAATCCTTCTCTCTCCTGTTGTCTTGTGAAGAAGATGACTGCTTCCCATTTCACCATGATTGTAAGTTCCATGAGGCCTCCTCAGCCATGCAGAACTGTGACTCAATTAAACCTCTTTCCTTTATGAATTACCCAATCTCGGGTAGTGTCTTTATAGTAGTGTGAGAATGGACTAATACAAGTACATTTTACTTAGTAATAATAATAAACAAATATATTACATTTTTGTGTATTTACTACACCATATTTTTTATTGTTATTGTAGTGTACACCTTCTACTTATTAAAAGAAATAGGCCCGAGGTGGGCAGATCACGAGGTCAGGAGATGGAGACCATCCTGGCTAACATGGTGAAACCCCATCTCTACTAAAAATACAAAAAATTAGCCAGGCCTGGTTGGGGGCGCCTATATTCCCAGCTATTCGGGAGGCTGAGGCAGGAGAATGGCGTGAACCCAGGAGGCGGAGCTTGCAGTGAGCCGAGATCACGCCACTGCACTCCAGCCTGGGCGACAGAGCGAGACTCTGTCTCAAAAAAAAAAAAAAAAAAAAGTAATAGGCAACTGTAAAACAGCCTCACAGTGGTCCTTCACGAGGCATTTCAGAGGGCATTGTTATCATAGATGTCGACAGATCCATATGCATTATTGGCCTAGAGGAGCTTCCAGTGGGACAAGATCTGGAGGTAGAAAACAGTGATGTTGATCATACTGACCCTGTGTAGGCCTACGCTAGTATGTGCATTTGTGTCTTTGTTTTTAACAACAACAACAAAAAAATTAAAAATTAAAAGATGTAAAATTACAAAAAAATCTTAGAGAATAAGGATATAAGGAAATAAAGTATTTCTGTGTACAATATGTGTTTTAAGCTAAGTGTTGTTACAAAAGAGTCAAAAAGTTAAAAATAAGTTAAAAAGTTTATAAAGTAAAAAAGTTACTGTAGGATAAGTTTAATGTATTTTGAAAGAAATAAGTTTCTTTATAAATTTTATAAATTCAGTGTTTATAAAGTCTACAGTTTTGTACAATGATGCCCTAGGCATTTACGCTCACTCACCACTTACTCACTAACTCTCCCAGAGCAACTCCTAGCCCTGCAAACTTCATTTATAGTAAGTGCCCTAATCAGGTATACCATTTTTGATGTTTTGACTGGATTTTTTACTGTACCTTTTTTTATGTTTAGATACACAAATATTTACCGTTGTGTTGCAGATGCCTACAGTATTCAGCACAGTAACATGCTGTATAGGTTTGTAGCCTAGGATCAATAGGCTGTACCACATAACCTAGGGTGAGTAGTAGGTTATGCTATCTCTATTTACACATAGAATACACTATATGATGTTACACAGTGAAGAAATTGCCTAATGCATTTCTCAGAATGTAATTTTTGTCATTAAGTGATGCAACATTGTATTTAAAACACTATAAATAAATTAAGATGGAAACTTAACATGTTTATGTAACCCATTGGAAAGCAAGAAAAAGACACAGAGGAATAAGAAACAGAAACAAACAGAAACAAATAACAAAGTGGTAGACATCAACCACAACATACAAATTGTTAAACATAAAAGGCCTATAGAAACCAACTAAAAAACATAGATTGGCAGAGTAGTTAAAAAAACAAAAATCAAAAACGAAAAACCATGGCCAACAATATTGTCCAAATTGCATTTGTACCCCATAAATAAATAATTTTTAAAATTCTGTCTATATAAAACTAACTTCAAATACAGCATAGGTAAGATAAAAGTAAAAAGAGAGAACCAGTAAAATAATTTAAAAATGCAAGTGAGGTTATAGTAATATATCAGCTACATAAATTTTATTTTATTTATTATTATTATTATTATTATTATTTTGAGACAGAGTGTCGCTCTGTCACCCAGGCTGGAGTGCAGTGGAGCAATCTCAAACTCACTGCAAGCTCCACCTCCCAGGTTCATGCCATTCTCCTGCCTCAGCCTCCCGAGTAGCTGGTACTACAGGTGCCCACCACCACGCCCAGCTAATTTTTTTGTGTTTTTAGTAGAGACGGGGTTTCACCGTGTTAGCTAGGATGGTCTCGATCTCCTGACCTTGTGATCCTCCAGTCTCAGCCTCCCAAAGTGCTGGGATTACAGGCATGAGCCAGGGTGCCCGGCCCAGCTACATAAATTTTAAAAAGTAAAAAAAGTCAAATTGCGTTTTTAAATATTTTACATTCCATTGCCATTCAAAGAAATAACATTGTTTTCAATACGATTAAGCAAGTATCATTAGACCTAGAAATAGCCACAATCATTTCTTTAAAAGATTATTAATATTTATTTATTTATTTATTTATTTTTAGGCGGAGTCTCACTCTGTTCACCAAGCTGGAGTGCAGTGGTGCAGTCTCAGCTCACTGCAATTTCTGCCTCACCCTCCCAAGTAATTGGGATTACAGGCACGTGCCACCACATATGGCTAATTTTTGTATTTTTAGTAGAGACTAATTTTTGTACTTTTAGTAGAGACAGGGTTTCACCATATTGGCCAGGCTGGTCACAAACTCCTGACCTCAGGTGATTGGCCCGCATCAGCCTCCCAAAGTGCTGGGATTACAGGCGTAAGTCATCGTGCCCAGCTAAGATTACTAATATTTATAAGCTCTACCTTCTTTCTTGGAGAAATGACTTTATAATTTCACTTTCTAATTCAGTTACCTGTTGAAACTAAATTAAAATATATTCATATGCAAAATGCAAGTAAATAAAAACAGCAGCTTTCTCTATGCTAAAAGGAAGTTCCTTTGGAGCTCATTTCCTTGACAATGCAAGAAAGTACTTCACTGCACTATCTTCATTATGCAAATAAAGGTGCATTTTAGCTCTTTGAAGAAGAAGAGGAAGAACATGTCTCTCAAATGGCAGGAAAGAACAAATTTCCTTAAGGAAGAGTGAGGGAAAGTTCATCAACACCAACCCTAGGTACATCTTCATTCAGACTTGAAAAGCTTTTGAATAGCGTCTGTTTATTCCTGTTAGAACTGAACTGGCAGGAAAAGACAATGGAGAAGCCACAAAGAGGAGTAGCTAGGTAGCAGCATTCAGGTCCACAATGCCTGGATTTCATTATTATTATTCTACTGTATCTTCAGGCAGTTTATGTAAATCATGTTATTGAGTTCTCTCATCTGGAAGATGAGAGTACTAATAGTTCCAGCGTTCTTACATTAGTGCTGCTGCCATTAGTTATCATCATTTAAGTGTCTGTTCTTATTGTTCAAAGAGTGACTGGCAGTTGAGAGTCCCTGGGACCTGAAGTAGGGAGGTAGAGAATTTTGCATTGGAGTATACTGTTATCTTAACCTTGGAGGCCTGAGTGTTCTTAGGTAAAAGACTGCTTTGGAGGCTGCAAATGGAACTAGAATCCCACCAGATCACAGCCATCTGACTTGGTTGCGTTTTTATGGAAACCAGCGTGTTGAGGATGTGAGACTGATATAAAAGCACTAGGATATTCACAGGGTAAAAGTCAGGAGGATCATAACAGCACAGTACTAGAGAACCAGTACGTAGTGGTGTGATGAATGAAAGCCACTGACATAACTTTCGCATCTTGTCTTCCTGTATTCTTTCTTTCTGTGACAGTTGTTGAGATCATGACCTCTTCTGGAATGGTGTTCTCAGAAGTCCTTGGACAATCAGGGTGTACTAGGAGAAAACATGCTGTGAGATGGGATGAAAGTCTTCAGGATGGACACTATACTTTCTGTTATTGGAGGATTCGGTAGTTTGAATAAGCGTTTGAATGAATAAAATATTTGAGTTGAGGACTAAATTCTGATTTTTTTTTTTCATCTTGCCCAAATTCCTATTTAAAGAAACTGGGAGTCAGCCCTACGAATGATAACATCTCTTTACATGGGTTTTTTATTAACCCTATATAATGTGGCTTGCTTTCCAACCTGACTCTGGTACAGCATCACATAACAGACAGCAGACCCTGAAGGATATAAAAATATTTTGCCCTAAAATATATTTCTTTGATGTCTTTTGAAATGGCTGTTGCAAGGCCAGCAAACTGAGGTAGAGGAAATTTGCATCTATGGAGAATCTTCATTAATGCAGCCATGCTTCCCCTTTCTATGCCTTTCCAGGACCTAGGAGTGATTGAGAGTCTGATACCTTTAAAGGTCTGAAAAGAAACATTTACCATCTATTCTCTCTGAGGGCCACCTATGAGGCTTCATCTACTTAATAAGATCCTTGGTCTTTCCCCCACTCTTATCTGAACTCAGGCATTCCTTTCTATCGATTTCAAGACTTTAGACGATAGCATAACTCTCTCAACCAATTGTCAACTAAAGGATCCCTAAAAGCCCCTTATGACGTACAAGCTCCTACCCTGACCTACCTGCAATTACCTGCAGTTGGTTGTCTCCTTGGAATGTATAAAACCAAAGTGTAACCCGGTTGCCTTGGGCACGCTTTCAGAACCTCTTGAGATAGTGTAACCCAGGCCTTGGTCACTTATACTGGCTCTGAATAAACCTCTTTAAATATATTTTGACAGAATTTGGTTTTTGTGTATTTTTCTGTGTATTTCTACCTCTGAGAAGAGGAGTAATTTATACTCTTTAAAAATCATGGTCAGGTATGACTGGTGCTAGAATGAGGATGAAGGGAAGAGAAAGGGAAGAAATAATTCTCCACTCTTTGTTTCCAATTTTAGTTCTTTAAAGTAAAAGTACAAAACATTTTGTAGAGATGTAGTTTGTGGTGGCATGGTTGAAAAACTTCTGCAGTTTATGATTCCTCCACTACAGTGTGATAATGTTTTAAATAGCATTTAAAATGTAGATTCTGTCCAATCCTTACAATTAACTTTTTTATTGTTTGGAATCCATGAAGTTGGTATATGCATGAGCAGATACATATTTATTTAAGAAAAAAAATTAGGCCTTACAGAAAATTGGTTTCTCAGAGACATGATAAAAGTTACCAGATAATGTCTCTCAGACTATATCTATGAAAAAATACATAACCAAATAGACACCAATTGCAAATGAATTAATTACATTGAAATTCTAATAACTTTCATTTCCTAAACTGACATTGATGGAAAAGAATTCTAAGATATAAAATAAGCTCTACTTCATCCTGCTTTCAATAGCACATGATTTAATCAGAATATATAAGTAATACTGTTGAGCACATAAATATTATTTTCATTACTTGATGATAATTATGACTATTTTCATTGCTATAATTTTGGTCATGCCATATTGATTAGCAATAAAATATATACTTAGCTAGAGAGGCAGCTAATCCAAAACTTTTGGGATTTCTTTTTTTTTTTAGATTATTGGTGCTCCTCCTCCTGTCATTGAGGTTAAAATTAAATGTTACATATTCCTTCTCTGTGTATGTGTATCTTATTTCCTCATATTCTACCTCTTCAGAGTAGTGTGTGTGAGTGCATGCACACACACTTGCATGTGAGAGCTTCTAATATCTAAATTAATGTTGAATCATTATTCAGAAACAAAGAGAGCTAACTGTTATCCTGACTTTATTCTTTATGAAGAAAAATACAGTGATTCCAAGTTACCAAGTTAGTGCTGCTTTATTTATAAATGAAGTAACATTTTACAAGTTGTGCATAAGTTAAAATTCAGAAATAAAACTTCATCCTAAAACTCTGTGTGTTGCTTTAAATAATCAGAGCATCTGCCTACTTAATTTTTTTTGTGTGGGTGCACAATAGATGTTTAATGAGATCCTGTCATCTGTCTGCTTTTTTATTGTAAAACAGGAGGGGTTTTAATCCTGGAGGAACAACTGATGTACCTCTGAAAAAGAGAGGGATTAGTTATTAATTGAATTGAGGGTTGTCTTGTCTTAGTAGCTTTTATTCTCTAGGTACTATTTGATTATGATTGTGAAAATAGAATTTATCCCTCATTAAATGTAAAATCAACAGGAGAATAGCAAAAACTTATGAGATAGATGAACATTGTGTGAGTGGCATGGTTTAATTTGTTTGGAAGAAGCACTTGCCCCAGAAGATACACAATGAAATTCATGTTATTGAGTAGAGTAGTAATACAGTGTGTTCCCTTGTGAAGTTCATAACCAAGAATTATTTTAGTAGTGGATAGGTAGGCTGAATAATTGACTTCCTATCATTTTCAGGTTCTGTGTTTGATTTTTTTTACATATTAATTTCTTTGATCCACATTAAGCTCAGTTATGTATTTCCATTTTATAAATGAAAAAAAAAAAAATAGGCACTTGCAAATGTCAGATCACTTGCCTGTGGTCATTCGGGTAGAGATTTGTGAAGCTAAGTTGGTCTTAATCAAATGTCAAGCTTTTTTTTTTCTTATAAAATATAGATTTTAATATGAGTTTTAAAATAAAATTAATTAGAAAAAGGCAAATTACTCAATATATAAAATGTATTGCATTTGTAATAGGTAGGTATTTCATTTTCTAGTTATGGTGGGATATTATTCAGACTATAATTCCCAATGAAAAAACTTTAAAAAATGCTAGTGATTGCACATTTAAAACACCTTTTAAAAAGCATTGAGAGCTTATAAAATTTTAATAAGTGATCAAACCAAATTTGAAGAGAAAAGAAGAACCCAGAGAGGTAAGGATATAACCTTACCAGTTGCAATTTGCCGATCTCTACAAATATTAATATTTATTTTGACAGTTTCAGGGTGAATGAGAAAGAAACCAAAACCGAAGACTAGCATATGTTAAGTCTTCTTAAGGAGCCCTCCCTTAAAAGATTGAGATGACCAAATCTTATACCCTCAGCATAAGGTGAACCAGACAGACCTAAAGCAGTGGTAGCTTGGATCCACTACTTGGGTTTGTGTGACTGCGTGACTCAGGTAATCTCAAAAATTGAACATTTTTTTAAGGTGGTCCTACTCGTATGCCCAGGTGTTAGGGAGAAGCAAATCTGAATGCTTTATAAAAATACCCTGAAGCTAAATCTTACAATATTCTCAAGAACACAGTGAAACAAGGCAAAATAAGTTAAAATCAACAAAAACAACATGAAACATAATTAGACCCACAAAGACTTCAAACATTGGACAATATCAGAGAAAGATAATAAATATTTTACTCTTTAAAAATTTAGTTAAAAGCTTAAACTAATTGTAGAGAAAAAACTGTGTTAGTATTATATTGTGGATGAAATAAGCAAAACATTTAAAATACAAATGTGATTACTTAAATTAAATATAATAGATAATTTACCACCAGATTAGATACCATTGAAGGAATAATTAATATACTGAAATACAGGTCAGTAGAAGTTTTTTTCAATTCAGCATGGAGATGTAAAAAATGAAAATTAATGCAAAAAATAAGGGCACAAAAAGAAATGAGTAATTTTGATCAGAAATGTATTAAAATTAATAAACTGGAAATTTGACATTTAAAAAAAAGCATTGTCGTCCAAGTAGATGTGTCTATTAAATAGTTGTTCTCATATCCAGTAATGTAATTATTATTCCCCCTCATGCAGTTCAGATTCTGGGGTAATCTTTAGACATCAGTTTTATCTTTTATATTATTTATTCTGTTTACTACATTTTATTTTGCTAATGATATTTTTAATTTCTGACATTCTGGAGTATTGCTTGTAAAAGGTATTTTTAAAGATATTTTATGGTTATTTTTGTGATTCCTATTCCTGTATGGACACCAAGGCTATTGACATTTTCTTTAGTTTCTTCTGTTAATTCTATTTTCTTAGTGTTTATATCATTTCATAGATAGGATATTCTTTATTTTTTATTTTTATTTAAATATTTGGTGATTCTTGGTTTTCTCAGCCATCTATTGTCAAGTGTTCTTATTAAGCATTGTTATTAAATAAAGATTATTTCCTCTAATCACATGAGAATCTTTATTTCCCCCAAGTAATTGAAAATTGCAATGCCATGCTGCCATGTGGTACAGCATGGGTTTGGGCTTGCTTTCTTCTTTTTTTTTTAACTTTTATTTTAGGTTTGGGAGTACCTGTGAAAGTTTGTTATATAGGTAAACTCGTGTCATCAGGGTTTGTTGTACAGATCATTTTGTCACCTAGGTACCAAGTACTCAACAATTATTTTTCCTGCTCCTCTGTCTCCTGTCACCCTCCACTCTCAAGTAGACTCCAGTGTCTGCTGTTCCCTTCTTTGTGTCCATGTGTTCTCATAATTTAGTTCCCCACTTGTAAGTGAGAACATGCAGTATTTTCTAGTATTTGGTTTTTTGTTCCTGTGTTAATTTGCCCAGTATAATAGCCTCCAGCTCCATCCATGTTACTGCAAAGAACGTGATCTCATTCTTTTTTATAGCTCCATGGTGTCTATATACCACATTTTCTTTATCTAAACTCTTATTGATGAGCATTGAGGTTGATTCTATGTCTTTGCCATTGTGCATATTGCTGCAATGAACATTTGTGTGCATGTGTCTTTATGGTAGAATGATATATTTTCTTCTGGGTATATATGCAGTAATGCGATTGCTGGTTGGAATGGTAGTTCTGCTTTTATCTCTTTGAGGAATTGCCATGCTGCTTTCCACAATAGTTGAACTAACTTACACTCCCACTAACAGTGTGTGTTTCCTTTTCTCCACAACCTGCCAGCATCTGTTATTTTTTGACA
The DNA here is from genome assembly GCF_000001405.40 of Homo sapiens. Classification (NCBI taxonomy): domain Eukaryota; kingdom Metazoa; phylum Chordata; class Mammalia; order Primates; family Hominidae; genus Homo; species Homo sapiens. Next base: position 69,967,716 of record NC_000005.10, read on the forward strand.
TTTTAATAGTAGCCATTTTAACTGGTATGAAATTATATTTCATTGTGGTTTTAATTTGCATTTCTCTAATGATCAGTGATATTGAGTTTTTTTTTTTTTTCACATGCTTGTTGGCTACATGTACATCTTCTTTTGAAAAGTGTCTGTTCATGTACTTTGCCCACATTTTAGTGGGGTTGTTTTTCTCTTGTAAATTTGTTTAAATTCCTTATAGGTGCTGGATTTTAGACATTTGTCAGACGCATAGTTTGCAAATAGTTTCTCCCATTCTGTAGGTTGTCTGTTTATTTTGTTAATAGTTTCTTTTGCTATGCAGAAGCTCTTAATAAGTTTAATGAGATCCTGATATGTTTAGGCTTTGTATCCCCACCCAAATCTCATCTTGAATTATAATCTCCATAATCACCACATGGAGAGACCAGGTGGAGGTAATTGAATCTGGGGGTGGTTTCACCCATGCTGTTCTTGTGATAGTGAATGAGTTCTCACGAGATCTAATGGTTTTATGAGGGGCTCTTCCCAGCTTTGCCTGGTACTTCTCCTTCCTGCCGCCTTGTGAAAAAGGTGCATTGCATCCCTTTCACCTTCTCCTATAATTGTAAGTTTCCTGAGGCCTTCCCAGCCATGCTGAACTTCAAGTCAATTAAACCTTTTTCTTTATAAATTACTCAGTCTCTGGTGGTTCTTTATAGCAGTGTGAAAATGGACTAATGAAGTTCCCATTTATGAATTTTTGCTTTTGTTGCAATTGCTTTTGACATCTTAGTCATGAAATCCTTGCCTGTTCTAAGTCCAGGATGGTATTGCCTAGGTTGTCTTCCAGGGTTTTTCTAATTTTGTGTTTTGCATTTAAGTGTTTAATCCATCTTGAGTTGATTTTTGTATATTGTGTATGGAAGGGGTCCAGTTTCAATCTTTTGCATATGGCTAGTTAGTTATCCCAGTACCATTTATTGAAAAGACAGTCTTTTCCCCATTGCTCGTTTTTGTCAGTTTTATTGATGATCAGATAATCATAGCTGTGTGGCTTTATTTCTGGGTTCTCTATTCTGTTCTATTGGTTTATGTCCCTGTTTTTGTGCCAGCACCATGCTGTTTTGGTTAACATAGCCCTGTAGTATAGTTTGAGGTCAGATAGCCTGATGCTTCCAGCTTTGTTCTTTTTCTTAAGATTGCCTTGGCTATTTGGCCTCTTTTTTGGTTCCACATGAATTTTAAAACAGTTGTTTCTAGTTTTGTGAAGAATGTCATTGGTAGTTTGATAGAAATAGCATTTAATCTGTAAATTGCTTTGTGCAGTATGGCCTTTTAATGATATTGCTTCTTCCTATCCATGAGCATGATATGTTTTCCATTTTGTTTGTATCCTCTCTGATTTCTTTGTGCAGTGTTTTGTAATTCTCATTGTAGAGATTTTTCACCTCCCTGGTTAGTTGTATTTTACCCTAGATATTTTATTCTTTTTGTGAAAATTGTGAATGGGATTGCCTTCCTGATTTGACTGCCAGCTTGGTTACTGTTGGTTTATAGAAATGCTAGTGATTTTTGTACATTGATTTTCTTTCTAAAACTTTGCTGAAGTTTTTTTTATTAGCAGAAGGAGCTTTGCGGCTGAGACTATGGGGTTTTCTAGATATAGAATCATGTCAGCTTCAAATAGGGATAATTTTACTTCCTCTCTTCCTATTTGGATGCCCTTTATTTCTTTCTCTTGCCTGATTACTCTGGCTGGGATTTCCTATGTTGAATAGGAGTCATGAGAGAGGGCATCAAATCTACACATATCAAATACTAACCTTGAATGTAAGTGGGCTAAATGCCCCACTTAAAAGGTAAAGGGGGGCAAGCTGAATAAAAAAGCAAGACTCAATGGTATGCTGTCTTTGAGACCTATCTCACATGTGATGACACCCATCGGCTCAAAATAAAGGAATGGAGGAAAATCTACCAAGCATGTAGAAAACAGAAAAAAGCAGGGGTTGCATCCTAATTTCAGACCAAACAGACGTCAAACAAACAAAGTTCAAAAAAGACAAAGAAGGGGCCGGGAGTGGTGGCTCACACCTGTAATCCCAGCACTTTGGGAGGCCAAGGTGGGCGGATTACAAGGTCAGGAGATCGAGACCATCCTGGCCAACATTGTGAAACCCCATCTCTACTAAAATCCAAAAAAAAAAAAAAAAAATAAGCTGGGCTTGGTGGTGTGTGCCTGTAGTCCCAGCTACTCGGGAGGCTGAGGCAGGAGAATCACTTGAACCCGGGAGGCGGAGATTGCAGTGAGCTGAGATTATGCCACTGCACTATAGCCTGGCGACAGAGTGAGGCTCCGTCTCAAAAAAAAAAAAAAAAAAAAAGACGAAGGGCATTACATAATGATGAAGGGTTTTACTCAACAAGAAGACCTTACTAACCTAAATATATATGCACCCAACACAGGAACACACAGATTCATAAAGTAAGTTCTTAGAGTACAAAGAGGCTCCCACACAATAATAGTAGGAGACTTTAACACACCACTGATAGTCATAGACAGATCATCAAGGTAGAAAATTAACAATGATATTCAGGATCTGAACCCAACATTCCACCGAATGAGTCTGATAGACATCTACAGAACTCTCCATCCAAAAACAACAGAATATACATTCTTCTCATCTCCACATGACACATGCTCTAAAATTGACCACATAATGCCTTTCTTTTCAGTGGTCCATATGTAAGTCTTTTGAAAGTGGCAGCATCTCTACTGCTCATGCTTGTTGCAAGGAACTCTACTGAATACAAGGAACTTTACTAATCTCTAATGCTTGTGAGTAGATTCTGAACTCATCATTTAGAAAGCTAAACTGGGGGCTTTCTTCCCAGAGCAAAGACATAAAACAAACCTCAATTGAGCGTGGGACAGGGAGTCATGTGCTATAAACTTCTTGGACAGTTCTTATTCTATGGACCAATTACCATTCCCTTGTATCTCTAATTTTGGGATTATTTCTGGATTAAAACACAAAAAAAATCAGACTGTAAAAAGTCATCATTTCTACCAGTGTGAGAATATGTATTCCTCACCTTTACTGGGATTCACTGCCAGTATATATGCAAATGACTTATACACACACATACACACACGCACATACACACACACGTGTGTGTGTGTAGGTATGTCTGTAATAGGTATTTATATGTTTGCCTGTCTTTCTATTAGAATTGAGATACAGCAAAATGCACAGAAATTAAGCATTCAATTTAGTAAGTTTTCACAAATGTACATATTTAATCAATATCTCAATCAACGCAAAAACCATTGTTTCACCTCTGAAGATAATTTTTAATCTTTTGCAAATTATTGAGACTTATTTAATGACCGAGACTACACAGTCCTTCGTAAACATTCCATGTAAATTTGATAAAAATATTTCCATGAAATTTTTTGTGTAGTGTTCTAAAACTTGAAATTAGACTACATTAGTTGATAGTATTATTAGAATCTTCCAAATCCTTACTAATTTTTATATGTTCATCTATTGTTTATTTTGAGCCGATGATTAAAATCTTCAACTATGAGTGAAAGTCTATTTCTCTGTTTAGTTCTGTCTGTTTTTACTTCATGCATTTTGACACTCTGTTATCAGTTGTATAAACATTGAGAATTATAATGCATTGCTAATGAGCTTAACCTTTTATCATTCCATCTCTGATATTTCAGCTTATTTTGAATCCTACTTTCTCTGGTATTAGCCAGCTACATCAGTTTTACTTCCTTTCATTTTCAACCAATTTTATGACTCCATCTCAAAAAAAAATGCATTCATTATACAGAGCATATAGTTTTGTCCTTTTTAAATCCAGTCTCAAAATTGCTAGCTCTTAATTTAAGTGTGTTATGGGTTGAATTGTCTGCCAAAAAAAACATACGTTGAAGTCCTTACCCCAGTAATTAAGGATGCAACCTTATTGAAAGATAGGATCTTTATAGATGTAATCAAGTCAAAATGGGATCATTAGAGTGGCCTGTAATCCAATGTGACTGGTGGCCTTATGAAAGGGGGAAATTTGGACACAAAAATGCCACCAGAAAGCACAACATATGAACATGAAGAAAGCCATCTAAAAGCCACGGAGAGATGTCTAGAACAGATTCTTCTTCACAGCCTTTAGAAGGAACCAGTACCTTGAATTCAGACTTCTAGCCTTCAGGACTTGAGATAATACATTTTTGTTGCTTGAGGCACCTAGTTTATGGTACTTTGTTATATAACCCTAGGAAACTAATATAAATGTTCAATCCATTTACATTTAATCAGTGATGTCAGTGTTGTTAAATCTACCATGTTACTATTTGCCTACTATTTTCTTATTTGGGTGTTGTTCTCTTCCCTTGGTTGTTGATATTTCTTTCTTCACCGGTTCAGTGTTACCTTCCTTAGAGTAAATGGATATTTTTCAATATTTCATTTTAATTATGCTATTGGCTTTATACCCTTCATACATGTGTTCTTGTTGATTCGATGTTCTTGGATCTCTGCATTGAAATTTTTCATCAAAATTTGAAAACACTGGCAATTATTTCTTCAAATATATTTTTTCTTTCCCATTTTCTGACTCATCCTTTTGAGACTTCATTTGTGTATAGGTTTGATGGCTTGATATCCCATGTCATTCAATCTCTTATTTTAATCATTTTCCTCTTTTGTTTGAGATTAGATAAATTCAAAAATGGTTTTCAAGGTTATTTGTCTGCTTTTCAGAGAGCTGAAATCTGAGAGTATACCCTGCCAGTGACTCTTTCATTGTATATTTTGCACTTGTTACTTCAACAATGTTCATTTCTCAAAATTACCTTTTTCGTTCTATCATTGTGACAATATCTCCATAGTCTAAGGACATATTCATAATATATATCTGTTGATTTCAATGCCTGGGTCATTATGATGTATGTTCTATTGACTGCTTTTTTCCCCTTGATTATTTATTAAATTTTCCTGCTCCTTTGCGTAACTTGTATTTTTGACTAATACACTGTAGAAAATCTAGACGTTGTCTTCTTGTAAAAGGCCCTAAGATAGTCCTTTGAAAGCTGTTAAGTGGCTTCCAGATCCTTTTGATCTGCCATGCCTGGTTTCATTATTTGTTAATGAAAATCTCTTTCATTTTTGTTCTTAAAGATAGGACATAGTCTTTACTGAAAGAAATAGTCCTTGTTCTTAATGCCTGGAATATTCCGTAAAATATCTTCCCTGTGGCTAGTCAGTAACCCAAACATCTCCTTGTCCTGTTACTACTGATATCTTATTCCCACAGTATCTGCTTTCAGCAGGTCTTGCAGATGTTAACCCTGCTCAGGTATAGAGCAGCTTTTGACGAAATTGGTGCCAAATACTTATTCTGGCTTCTGTAGGCCTACCCCATGCCTCTTTTTCCTTTCCTATACAAATTTCAGCCACTTCAGCAGCTCTTAAATAACAACCACTTAAGCAAGTGTAAGCTATTTACAAATATCGATAGATAGATAGATAGAGAGAGAGAGAGATGATATAGATAGAGATTTAATTGTAATTTTAGATTCAGGGGGTATATGTGCAGGTTTGTTACAAAGTTATATTGCTTGCTGCTACTGTTTGGGCTTCCACTGATCCTGTCACCCAGGTAGTGAACTGAATACCTAACAGGAAGTTCCTTGGCTCTTGTCCCTCTACCCCTACCTCTTTTTGGAACCTAATTAAACTAAGAGCTTCTGCATAGCAAAAGAAATTATCAACAAATAAGCAGACAACCTACAAAATGAGAGCTTTAAGCTTTAATTTCTTCCTCTAAACTCATTATTTTTAGAGTCTGCCTCCTTGTTTAATGGGAGAAAAAGTGCCCCTAGTCACATTCTCTGGTTAAATGTGGTACTTACCTCACAGCTTTCTTCTCTCTTGAGTATGAAAAACTTGTACTTCTTGTTTGATGCATAAAATCTGGTTCCTCATATATGTTGCCCAGTTTTATCATTGTTTATAGTGAAAAGGCAAGTCCCTCCAATAATTCTATTATGGCCAAAGACTAAAGTGCCTCTGATATGACTTATGTCCTTCAGAAATTGCTTACTCTTTAGTCTGTTGGTAGAATTCTTCTCAACTTTCCATAGTTATTTTAATAAGTACTGTATTTTCCTATTTCAATGGCAATCTGGAATAAAGGAGAAATAAATGTATTTGTTTGGTCCATCTTTGTGTATTCAAACTGTTAAGTCATTACTTTTCACGTCCACTACACATATTACTGCACAGTAATTCCTTGTTTACACCTATAATCTCCCTCTCCTGTTTTCCTAGTTTCTATTCAAGTATTTGGGGTAACTGATATTTCTTAAAACAATATGTATTCTTGGAAAGAGATGTTTCTAGAATCCCCTTCTTAGGTGACTTATTAGGAAAAATTATAAGAATAAGAACGAGAATAGAGAAGAAAAGTAATTGAAGACATCCACTTCAACTCTAAATCCCCATAGGAGAAAAAAGGCTAGCACTTATTTAAATGCCCTTCTTAGGTGACTTATTAGGAAAAATTATAAGAATAAGAATGAGGATAAAGAAAAGTAATCGAAGATACCCACTTCAACTCTAAATCCCCACAGGAGAAAAATGGCTGGCACTTATTTAAACTCATCTAGGGTTTAGTTTTGCTGATGTTGTTTTTCCAATAATAATCTGTTTCAATTATTATAACAGCAATTTCAGTGAAATACGGTACTTACCAGCTAAGTTTTACACAGGGAAGCACTTTCCTAAACACTTCCCCATCCTTCTTCAAAGTTTGAATCCAAATCTTTTGTACTCCAGGGCTTATTTTGTTTTTCCTACAGCATTCTGCCTTTCTAGAATTAGCACTAGTTACCCTCAGGAAAAGCAAATACATGGACCCATAAAATAATCTTTGGAAGTCTTTCTTCTCCTGCTGGTTACCAAATTATAATCTTCTTATTGTAATAATAAAATAAAATACAAAATAAAAAGAACTATTTTACTCTAATAAGTTTCCCATTAAGCTAAGCCTGCTTTTGTTGTATTAGAGATTAACATATGTAGACAGTGTTCTTTTTGACTGGAAATGGGGATTAGTTATGGTTCAAGTAATGCATAAACAAGATGTATTTTTAAAAATACGTCATATTTATGCATTATATTTAAGCAGCCATTTGTAAAAAGCTGAAACTTATTAGAAAGTGAATTCTTCATAATCATGTGTGTATTTTCAATGTTTAGGATTATTTGTTAGCTTAGGTATAGACTAGATTATTTTTCTAAACAAACAGGAATAAGAAATATAGGTAGTAAAATTTACATGACCTGGTAAAATTTAAAATATCCATTCTGACTAACAGGCAGTGATGAGAACAATAAATAAAATATATCTTGGTTTAAATTCTAAGTAAATATATTTGACAATATAAATATAAACATACTCATATGAGTGAATTGCTTCTAATTCTGGCTTTTAGCTAAATAAGCACTTAATGCTAGTAAGAAAAATACATTATTTCATAAAGATAACAAATTCTTTCAGAAATAGTAATTATATTTTTAAAGAGTTTGGGGAAAATAGAAGTGTATACTCTAATCTTATAGCAAAGTTTCTGCTAAGTTTTTGTGATGCCAGTGTTTTCATTATGAATCATTTCACTGTCAAACAAAATGTACGCTGTTGATTAAACAGAGGCAAAAAGAGACGGAAAGAAAAAGGTATATTAAAAAAAAGACCTTTGGTTATTCTGGCTGCCACCAATTGCTTTCTTGTTTCAGCTGAATTTTGAAGTAGCTAATCATATTTTGGCATTTTCTTGTCATCAAAGCATTTCGTGAAATTATCCCATTACAATGTTTTTCTCAGAGGCAAAATTAACATGGTTGACAGTTTAATTGACATATTTCTTTTTCGTTGTGTGCCTTTGCCAATTAAACAAATTGCACCCTATTTTGATGTTCATTTTGTTAATTATTTGTAAAACTGTAGACTCTGATTTTTTTTTTTTTTAATTTTCAGGTGTCAGTTTCTTGGTCGGGAATGAAAATAGTGCCAACCTGTGATACCTTCACTCTAATTTTACTTTCTGAGGAAGTTTTCTGTAATAGTTATTTGGTGATAATTATTAATACTGGTGAGTTTTAAAATTTTTGCTTTCAGCAATTTTCCATTTTTTTCAACATACTTATATCGCAATGAGGCAACCAAATATGAATCCTGAGAATGAAGATGGAAAATGAATATTTTAATCCAATATCGAGTTGTTCTTTCAACATTTTTAGTTTTAGTTTTAATCGAAAATATAAAGTTACATAATTGTGTGAGGAATAATTTTTGCAGAGAAATTTTTAAAAATTCACAAAAGGAAAAAGAAACCTTTACCATGAGTCTATAACATTGAAAGACTGTGTTTAAGTTATTTTAATAAAGCCAAACCAACACTTTCAGCAGGAACTAAATGGCAGCATCTGATTTCACGCTGATACATATGTATTAGTGTGGTGCTCACTTTTACCCTTCATTTTACCTTGGGTCTTGCCATTTTCTTTCTTTTTATTTTTATGTTTTTTTGTGTTTTGTTTTCTTTTGGAAGAGGTAATTTTTAGGGAGAAAAAAAACACTTTTTCCTCATAGGTCGATTTAAAATGTTGGCCTTACCTTAATCTCCTCTCTCAAACTCAATCCACTATGTAATGGGTCAACATACTTTTCTGTGAAGGAGCAGATAGTAAATATTTTAGTCTTTGCAGGCCATATGGTCTCTGTTGCCAGCTCTTCCATTGTGGTGTGAAAGCAGCCATAGACAACACAGAAATGAATAAGTGTAACTGTTCCAATAAAAACAGATGATATGTTGAATTTAGCTCACAGAGTTTAGCTTGCTGCCCCTGCAGGAGGCCTTTGGAGTAAAAGCTTCCTGAGAGGAGGACTTTTTGTCTTTTTTGCTCAAGTTCTAGCTCCAGTACCTAAAATAGTGCCTGTCAACGTAGGTATTGATGAATATTGGAACCTGTTGAACATACACCTAAAATAAAACATTTGGCAAGATACAGTACTACACAATTTGGAGAACACTTGGCTCCCATAGAAATCAAAGCCTTCCTGAGTAATTAATTATTTGGCCTGATGATGAATTACTGTGCCTGAGATGATAGAGCTAATTTATTTTTCAATTCACTCAGGGGACACACGTTATTTTCACTGTGAATTTGGTTAAAATGAAAAGATTTCCTGCTCTAAGTCCTGGATAGACCTTTATGTAATAGCATACTCTTCACTCTTTTTGAATCGCATGCAGTTGTCAGACTGGATGATTTCCAGACAGAGGTTCCAAGTCTTTCATCATGTTTGGGTTAAAGACCTCATTAACATACTAGTCCTGCCATTTGAGTCTGTTCTCTTCACGGAATATTTTCACCTGAATCAGTGGGTATAATTCATCAGTGTCTGGTTGCTTCAAGTTATTTTTCTTAATGCTGATGTTAATGCATGCCCATCTTTATGCCTCAACACATTGCACAATGAAAAACAAAAATTATTTTGGAAGACACAGCTGACATCTATATGAAATATTCAGTATCAGTGATTGAACTTCAGCAAGCTCCTGTGGCCAGCAGGGTTTTACGGAGGTGCAACTGCTCTCCCACGATCACTTATCATAAAGCCAGAGACAATTGGGCCAATGTAGCCTCTTGCCTGCTTTTGTGTACAAAATATAAATAGAATAGAGCAAATAAGGAAAAATAGTCCCGCAGCTGGAAGGCAACTTTAAAGAAAAATGATGTTCATAGCTGTCTTGCCAGTAGCTGGCAAAGCAGTTTTTATAAGACATATTTAATGTTTACAACCACTTGGAGGCTGGGGAAGGAGTAATACTTTGAAAATATGTTTAATGTTGTGAACCACTCTGTGGCCGAGAAGCAACTCCGGCTAAAATATATTTAATGCTTAGAGTCATTTGGCGGTTTCGAAAAAAAGAAACTTCTTGTTAATTTTTAACATTTATTGCTGATCAGTGGCTGCTAAAGTAACTATCAGTACAGCATGATTTATATTTAGGGACACGCTGTGCTGCTACTAAAACAATTCATACTCTTCTCTCAAGGCTACACAAAAAGTGTCAATAGCATTACCTTTGCAATTGCACCACTAATAAAAACATAGGAATCAAACAGACGAATAAAATGCTCCCTGCCCACACAGCCATAACATCCTATGGCCCTGAAAATAGTTCTGCCAAGCTGCGTGCAGTGGACACTTCACGGCTGGCACAGGAGAGATCACAAGGCCTTGCTCAATTTCATCAAAAGTGTTAAAGCGACTCAGCAGATTGTGAAGCACAAGTGGAAGCTGATAATTGGTGTTTCTTACAAATCAACGGCTTGTCTCCACACATCAAGGTAAAGGCGTCCTCTACACCAAAGAAAATGTAAATTGGGATAGAAGGTCATTATGTTTTTAAATAAACTTGGTTAAATTTGTAGAAAGGGCAATGGTAAATACTGAGCTCACATGTCAGATGGAGAGAAAACTTGAGAAAAGGGAAGAAGATAATGAGCTGGAACCTTTACCATTTAGACTTTCTCTGGCTAGCTTTCTGAGAATGATCATCAAACTCTTATGAGGACCCTTTCCAATGTATTGACTGCACTTCCCCAGGGATTGTGGCAAATGGTAAATATATATTTTCTCCTTGCTACTTGCAATAACCCTGCTCATAAAGTGTTACTATTATTCACTTGCAGGTGAGAAAATCAATGTAAAAGAGGAGAAATAACCCACACAACCACATACAACTAGGAAATGATAGATGGATCTGAAAAAAAGGATATGCACTCTTAACAAGTTCAACACCCAAGTACTATTGCAAGTACCAGCTGTATTTCATGGAAAAAAAAAAAAGAATAACTCAAAAGGCAGAACGAAGAGCCTAGAGGTCAGAGATGAGAGGCATGAATAATTATTCACAGGTGTTGAATATAATCAAATGACTTGCAACATTTACCACTGGGATTTTAAAATGTGGTGGACCAATCATTCTTTTAGTCTGTGCATTTTCCCATTTTTTTCAACAGGAATGTCTAGAGACATTATTCCTGTTTTGCCACTGTATTTTTGGTGAATGTGTAGTAAGTAACTGGCCTCTTTAGTATCACAAAGCTGGATGAAGAAAATGTGGTACATATACACCATGAAATACTATGCCGCCACAAAAAGGAAATGAGATCATGTCCTCTGCAGGGACATGGATGAAGCTGGAAGCCATTATCCTTAGCAAAGTAACGCAGGAACAGAAAACCAAACACCACATGTTGTCTCTTAGAAGTGGGAGCTGAACGGTAAGAACACATGGACACAGGGTGGAGAACAATACACACTGGGGCTTGATGGGGGGTGGAGGGGAGGGATGGGGAGCATTAGAAAAAATAACTAATGCATGCTGGGCTTAATACCTATGTGATGGGTTGATAGGTGCAGCAAACCACCCTGGCACATGTTTATCAATGTAACAAACCTGCACATCCTGCACAGGTACTCCAAAACTAAAAGTAAAAAAATCTAAAAGAAAAAAAAAAAAGAATTAAACCCAAAATCACTTCCCCATCTGGACTTGATTTAGATGAAAAGCTTCTGGACTTTGAGCTGATGCTATAGTGGGTTGAAAATTTTGGGGTCCTCAGAAGGGGATGAGGATATATTGCATGAGAGAGCAACATGAATCATTGAGAGCCAGAGTATAGAGAGTGGTAGGTAGACTGTAGGAGAGCCCTCAATGATCCCGGCTTTCTTGTATTCGCGTTGCACTTACTTGTATAATATGGCAGATGGGATGTGATGTCACTTTCAAGATTAGGTTATAAATAGACTATGGCTTCAATCAGAGGGTTTTCTCTCTGTCTAGCTCTCTTTTGGGTAGTTCATTCTGAGGAAAGCCAGCTGCCACGTTATGATGTAGGCCTGTGAGGTCCACGTAGCAAAGAACATATGGAAGATTTCTACCACCCCCTAACTAAGCCTTTAGATCAGACCGCAACCCCAGCCAACAAGGTAGCTACAAACTCTTGAGAAGCCTTGAGACAGAGGTACTCAATAGAGCCATTCCTATGAGAAACGTAAGTATCTGCTGTTTTACACCGCTAAGGTTTTAGCTAATGTATTATGCCATAATAGATAAGTTATATACAACCTTTATCAAATAATAAAAGTAACCATCATCAGTAATGAGACAAATCAAAAACCATGGCCCACCCAACAGAACATAATGAGGAGAGTACAGAATTGCTTCTGGGATATTTCTGACAAAGATGTATATGCTTCATTCATACATGAGGAAACATCACACATACTCAAGATGGGAGAGCCATTCTAAAAAATAACTAGGCAGAAATCTTCAAAAATATTAAAGTCACGGAAACCAAGAAAAAATATGAACCTGTTTCAGATTAAAGGAAACTAAACAGACCTAACATTTTAATACAATGTTTGATTTTGAACTTGAACTTTTTGTTATATAAGACACTATTGAGACAAGTGCTAATGCTTGAATAGGGCTGAAGGATTAGATTATAATAATACATTAATGCAAATTTCCTGATTTTAAACATTGTAGTTTGATTGCACAAGGAGAATGTCTTTATGTGTGGAAAATAAATAGTCAACATTCTGTCTTCAAGCTTCTGAGAAAACTCTGCTTTTAGGGCATAGATAGAAGTGGATGATAATTCACCTGTTCCTCTGCTACTAATTGAGCTGCTCTCTGTTTCCATGGCTGGCTCATGGGATGAGAGAATATATCTAGTTTTTTATGTTTCAATTTGTCTCTCTATGGCATTTTTGTGAAAATAAGGAAGTGTGGAGACTTATATATGTTTCTAAATTGTAATAGTTCATTAATGTAAAGTACAGACAGTCTTCACTTTTCCTTCTTAGACCGTTTAAATATGGCCACGAAACAAGTAGTCTCTGGTTGGCTGGGCACTGTGGCTCATGTCCTTAACACCAACACTTTGGGAGGCCGAGGCAGGCAAATCACTTGAGGTCAGGAGTTCGAGACCAGCCTGGCCAATGTGGCAAAACCCCATCTCTTCTAAAAATACAAAAATTAGCTGAGTGCGGTGGTGCACACCGGTAATCCCAGTTACTCGAGAAGCTGAGGCAGGAGAATCACTTGAACATGGAAGGCAGAGGTTGCAGTGAGCCAAGACCGCACCACTACACTCCAGCCTGGGCAATAGAGCAAGACTCCATCTCAAAAAAAAAAGAAAAAAGAAAATAGTCTCTGGTTAAATAACCTCTGAAAGACTCCACCAAAAATTTCATCTTAGCATTTCTCCCCAAACTTCATGTAAAATAAAATAGAGTTGAGAGAAAAATAGAAAGGCAAGGGAGTACCTGTTCACTATTTTTATTAAACCAGTGTTCTACTTTATTTTAGGTGTATCTTTTCTTATTTAAATGTCAGCTAAACTTTCTTTTTAAGATATTGAATGAAAGATGCCCATCCTTCAGGTTTCGTTTAAGCAAGAATCCCCATTCTCAAATAATATAATATAAACTTTCCAAATTCTTAAGTAGATCATCTGAGATTGAAAGCTAAGTTTAACTTTCTCAAAGATATTTTAGCCGCCATGACACCTAGACAAAGTGGTATATTAAATTCTGATTAATTTGGTCCTAAAGCACCTAAGAATCATTCTTACTTTCTTATCCACAGGGGTTATTAAGTTTTCACATTAAAAAAAATCCAACAGTGAATAATACTGCATTGGGGTTACTGTAATTGTTAAGTAAAATAAGAAATACAAATCTTTAGTTAGATCACATGGCACCTGACTACTGCTTAGAAAATGGTAAGACTTACTACATAAATCATGAGTCACTATTGACATCTACTATATCATATCATAGGTTAGGTATCTAATTATAAATAGTCAAATCAGCTGACTCAAGGTGGCATAGCTCAAGCAGAGGAAGATAATACAAGTTGAGTATGGATTTAACACTCTAAACCTGTCAGCACTGTAGGAAAAGTAACTTAAAACTGCACACCCCACTTATGCATAATCATCAGATATAAAGAGGGTACATTCCTGTAATTTATTGTTGCTCTAGTGATCTTAAAGAATTAAGTCCACATTCATAAAGTCCAAACTTGTCTCCAAGGATTTGCTTTGACTTTGGGAGTATCTGGATCATTAAGTAATTTCCGGAGGTCAGAGTAAAAGCTTTTTATCTCTAAATATTACTTCCCTGGAATATTAGATGTAGCAGAAGTCAGTAACGGAGTGACCTTTCTCTTAAACAATTCATAGATTCACTGAAATTTTCTTCAACTTTAGGAAAATTAAATATATTCCACAGTGCTGTAAGTCTTAAATATTGATTTTCCTCTGAAATCTTGACTCATCCTACCCACCAACATTCTCCCTTTGTACACTATGTTCTTTGTAATGTTCATGTTACACAAGTGAAAATTAGTAACATTAGTAAATTTTCATTGCAGGTTTATTTGTTCATATTTCTGGATATATAATCCATTACTGTTAAACTTCATATCAATGTTCCGATATTTCTTCATCTTATGTTTTATGTTACAAAACAGGTTATTTCACTATATGTATGTTTAATTGATTAATTCTTCCCTTTTTTTGGAAATGAAACAGCACTCTCAATTATTGGGACAGAAAAGTTATTTCATAGGGAATACTTCAAACACTGATATCTACAACAGGCAGTAAGATTCGTCACAACAATTGGTATACTGTCAATATACCATACAAAGTTCCATCTGGTCTTGATTAAAAATTATTTTAGTTTTCTCAGGAAAATGATACAGAGGGAGAATTGCCTAGATTATATGAGAGAAAAAAAAGTAGAGAGAAACATAATGTTTTCTTAGATTATTACAGCAGTGAACTATTTCCACCTGGTAAGAAGGGTGCACTTGAGAATGGGGTTCAAGTACTCTAGGAACATAGATGTAAGTTCTGGATGCACAGTAGTTGTTGCTTAGCTGTAAGCTGGAAATTTCAAGGCAGAAACAGCAGATACCACAACTATAACTGGGTCTCCTTGTTTTTTGTTTTATGTGTATACGTGAGATTATGGGGAAAGACAAAAGTAATGCATAGAGATTTATTTTTTAACATTCAATTCATAAGCAGTGTTTATACCTCTTTGTACTTACTTGAAAAGTGTATATTATGTAAATTTAGTATAAAAACACTTGGACTAATTCATACCATGTGGTAAAATTTCACATTCAAAAGAAATACCCTTCTGTTATTAAAAATAAAAAAAAAAGGAGCCAGGAGGGTGGCTCATGACTGTAATCCCAGTGCTCTGGGAAGCCAAGGTGGAGGGATCATTTGAGGCCAGGACTACTTGAGAACAGCCTGGGCAACATAGCTAGATCCCTTCTCTACAAAAAGTAAAAAAAAAAAAAAAAAAAAAAAAAAATAGCTAGGCAGGGTGGCACATGACTGGCTATTAAGGAGGCTCAGGTGGAGGGATCTCTTCAGCCCAGGAATTTAAGGCTTCAGTGAGCTAAGATTGGGCCATTGCACTCCAGCCAGGGCAACAGACCAAGACCCAGTCTCAAAATAAATAAATAAAAATGAAAGAAAGCAGTGCACTGAAAATCAATTTAAGTATTTACTGGAGTTGTCTTGAAGGCCCAATGGGAAATGTCAGTAAGGGCACATGAGAAAACACTTTAAGAACCTATTCTTCCAAAGATCTTTCCAGTATCTTATGACAACACAGTAAATTATACCCACTCCAAATGCAAAAGCTGAAACTACTCTGCTTTCTCACTTACCTACACTTTTGACTTTCGAAATACATTTCTCTCTTCGGATATGAGCTGCAAACTCCTTATATAAAGGCTCCAACTCTGCAGCCCTAATTATTCTAGTTGGCCCAAGAAAAATCCTAATTGTTTTATCTAAGGAGACGGAATTTTCCAATACTGTAGAGGCATGTGTGTGTGTTTGCTTTAAGGAAGCTGTTTTGGTAATAAAAAGTCACTGAGGGTCATAAATTCATGTTAACACATCCAGTGTACATGAAGTAGGCACCGAGTTAAACTATTTGTCTACTATATAGCATGTCATCTTAAAAGCCTTATTTTTTCCTCAAAATATTAACTTTATTTTTCTCCCTGTAAAATCAAGACACAGTTAAAATGTAGCCTTCCTCATTTTCTGGGAATACTTTCTAACAAGATATGCTTCTTTCCAATTGGACTTCTAAATTTCTAGCAATTCTAACAGTGCATAAAAGAGGCAACCCCAAAAGTGTAGCAGGTACTGAATAACAGATTTGCAGCCTTGGGTATCCACATTAAAATTTGAAATCTAAGTGAATTACTTCAAGCTGATTTCTTAGGTCAAGGAGAGATTATGGTCCTTAAATGCCTGATAAGGTCACATACACAATTTCAAGTGCATTATAGTAAATCCATGTGACAGCTCCTACAGCTACTAACCTGCTTCCGCCCTCACGGTAACGTGCACAATCTTCATCGCATGTCCTGGGTGGTGGTAGGAGCAGTAGAAACCCCCTGGGTCATGTCAGATTTAGAAAATATAAGCAATGGCTCATACACGAATTTTAAGTTGTAACCTACATGTGATAAGTTGCTTTATCTTCCAAATGTAATAAAAACCAGAAGTTACTTTGAAATAAATTGAAGGATTAGCAGTGGTGACTGAGGAATAAAAATTATAATTTAAAATTGTCCTTAAAGCTGGAATTCTTAACTTATTGACCTTATATCCTACATATTATAGGACTTTGTAAATTTAGGCTGATATGGAAATGTATATTTATATCAAATTTAAATTTTTAGAATGATGGTGCTACTATATTCTAATTGTTAATTTGATAATTGTAATTGTAATTTGTTAATTTGTTCTAATAATATTTTCATGACATTATTCATTTGCTGCTTGGCTTGATGGCATAACAAGTATGGGTTATTTACCCTGAAAAGGAAACAGTATCACCCTTCCAGAATCTCTATTTACAGCTACAGAAGATGCAACACACCTGTTTCTGGACCACTTCCAGATCAGATGTGATGCATGCTTTAGATCATTTACTTTGATCTAGGAATTACTGTCTGGCATTTCGTGGTGTAGGGTAGGTGTCTCCAGCACTGTATAGGTGTCTGGAATTGAGATAAGAATCAATTTCAATACAAAATACATTTTTTGCTTAAAGCACGCAAGGATTCTATGAATTCAGGTAAATTCACAGGGTGGAAAACAGGAACTAATGTTATATATTCCTGTAGTTATCTTCATAATGAAGCAGAAAGAAAAACAAAAAAGTTACAAAAATAAATGAAAAGAACTGTATTTTCTAGAATTGAAAAATAATTCTTTTAGATGATAGATAAGATGTTTACATCAACCTGCAAAAAGTCAATGTTGAAGAGGTCTCATTGTATCTCACAGAATTTTGATTTGCCTACTCACCCACAGGAGACATTTCTGGGACAGTAGCAACATAAGGTCCATCCCAAAACTTTGGCTCATTATCATTAATATCCTGCACTTTGATGATGAATTCTGATTCAGGCTCCAGGGGCTTTCTGGTTTCTATGTCCACAGCCTGAGCACGAAGAGTGTAGAAAGGTTTTTCTTCTCTATCTAGGCTCCTTATTGCATGAATGTCCCCTGTGGTTTCATCAATGGTAAAAACGGTGCCAGCGCCATCTCCTGAGAGGGTGTATTTCGCAGTGCCCTCTCCCTTGTCTAAGTCGGAATGGAGCTTTAGGGAAGAGAGGGAGAGAGAGAGGAAGAGAAAGAGAAGGACAAAGAAAGAACACCATTAAAAGGATGTTGCCAAATTAAAAAGTCATAATTTGCAATACAATTCCTTTAATCAAAAATGTTAAATAAAAATCTTATGGTTCTGTTTTCTTGTTTTTTATTTCTCCAACTTCTTTTTATAAAAATTTCAACACAAAAAGTTGAAAACTGCAATGAACACATATACATATACATCCAAACATTCCTCCATTCGTCTATTAATCTGCTTGCCTTATCAGATAGGTCTCATATCCATTCTTCTGTTCATCCTTCTCTTAACCCATTTTTTTTTTGAGGTGTTACAAAGATCAGAACAAAAGTACAACCTCAGATATAGCAGCAGGCAAAAAAAAAAACAATAAATTTTGAAAATTTGTATTTAGTTCTTCTGTATCCCTTTGGGATAACATTTTCATAAAATGAAATGCACAAAACTTCAGTGTACTTATTGTTTCATTTTAAATAAACATTGCAATAAAAATAAATTAGCTCATAAACACCACAAAATAAACTTTCCAAGTGTTCTGAAGATGAAATCAATGACCTGAATCCAGTGGGAGATAGTGCAAAGGAACTCAGAAAACACTAAGCATTTTCATTTGTAAAGAAGGGAAAAATCTGGCAAATCAAGAGGTTTTCAGTGATATAGGGCAGAGCGTCTCATTTTAACAGGCTGAGTTTGAATGAGTTTACCACTATGATTGGTAGAATCACTGATTATCCTTTCAGATTCACAAATAGCTTGTTCCAATTCATTCTATATAGAGAATATTTATGTTGAGTAATATAGGAAAGCATTGAAATTCTGCTAATTTTTTTTTTAAATTCAACACATGTATGGTACATTACATTATAGCATGGAATAAGATACACATGAATAAGCGATAAGGAAGAGAACTAAAGAGTAGAGAGAATTATCAGTGTAATGCCATAAAGCAGCGTTGTTCAAACCGGAGACCAAGAATAAATGAAAAATGGACACAGTCTTAAAAGTATATAAATTATGTGTAAATAAATATATACATAAAATATTACATAAAATAAAATAGTACATCATATACAATTTTCTAGTAGTATATATTTGTATAAATATATTCTTATGCATAATATAATTATATATACATAACAGTCAAATAATATTTATATTAATTTTTATGCAGATGCTGATTTAAATGTTTTAAACTATTCTTGCTCATTTGGGTATAGCCATTTGATTTCAGCATCCAAATTTTTACATGTAACAGCTTTTTCCAGACAACAGATCACCCAAAAGAAAATTAAACTTTTGCAGCATTTCTAACCATTTGGGCTACGCCTTAAAAATCTGCATATGAGCACTGCTCTTTGCAAATCATTGCTTAAGAATGAGTTCTGTTTTCCTAACATTTCAACACACACAAAAACTCTGAAAATATTTTAAATTATATAAATATCCTGTTGCAAATAAGCTTCCTGTGTATTAGTATGAGTAATTATAGCCCAAATAAATACAAGTTCAACTGTGGCTACATCTTTGCTCTTAAGCTCAAGAGCGTGCTTTAAGTTCAATAAAATAATATCATTGTTCATATTAATGTTATTAAGGTAAACTTATTCATTTTGTGACCCTGCATTTCCTTCAATATTTGTTCTAAAACTGTTTTGTATGAGAGTATAAGCATAACCATAAAAACCTGGTTGGGTAATATAATAAAAATAATGTGGCAACAATAAGAGGGAACAAGATTTTGACGTTCCTTTAAAAGTTTCTGTATATTTTACTTAAGTATAAAGAAAATTGTTATGAATGATAGGAGGAAGGATTTTTGTCCACCTATTAAAAAAAAACTGCTGTGAAGCATAGGAAGTTTCAAGCATAAAATCAAGCAGTAGATAAATGTTCTTTGAACTTATGAATTTCAAATTATAAATTTCAACCATGCTATTAAAGATATTCAACACAGTGGATATTCCTTTTGCTTTCAAATTTATCTAAATATATGAGACAGGCAAAAGCTCAATGCAAAAGGCATGACTTTATAAAATGGATCCATTTTGCCAATAGCTCAAAGAATTATGGTAATATTGTGGGAACTGAGTGAAAATTCAGAGTAGGTTTTGAAATGTGATACAAGTAGAATTTTAAAAAGAAAAAAGAAAAAAATTTCTGTATTTAGCTAAAATCATAACTGTTTCCTTTGCAAACTGACATAAAAATGAAGAAGCAAAATGTGTCTTTAGTTATATCCAAGTTCCAAATTCAAGTTAATTACTGCTGCTCCTCACTCTTCTACCTTTTCCTTCAAATTTAAAGATGGGCTTTGCAGAGATTAAAGCTTCAGAAAAAAATATGGGAAAATATGTTAAAATGTTGACCTGAAAATGAAGTGGATGACTATAAAACTCTTGAGAGAATTAGACTTTTTGTAGCAGTTTATTACATGATAATACCTTAAAGGAGATCACATTCAGTGACCTGCGTTGACAGGTAATATTTAAAATTAAGTATTAATGCTGATTAATTCAGGCAGATGGGTGGTAGCCTAAAGTATAGACATTTTTCCAATATTAATTTTGATATTAAATAAATGACATCGGCTCTTGTTGGATATTGTAAAATTTCCTTTACTTCAACTGTAAAATAATTTCAACAGTGAAAGGTATAAAGTAAGATGAAAATTTCCATCATGATCTTACCTAGAGATAACTTCTCTTTTTTTGAGTCGGAGTATCGCTCTCGTTGCCTAGGCTGGAGTGCAGTGGCGTGATCTCGGCTCACTGCAACCTCCACCTCTCGGGTTCAAGCAATTCTCCTGCCTCAGCCTCCAGAGCAGCTGGAACTACAAGGCGCATGCCACCATGCCAGGCTAATTTTTGTAGTTTTGATAGAGACAGGGTTTCACCATGTTGGTCAGGCTGGTCTCAAACCCCTTACCTCAAATAATCCGCCCGCCTCAGCCTCCCAAAGGGCTGGGATTATCGGCATGAGCCACTGCGCCCTGCCTTCTTTGTTAATTTTATATGTTTCGGTTATGTAAATATATAACTGAAAGGGTAAATATATATAAATACATATTTACTGCACATTTATATTGATATATATTTCTCTGCTTGTATCTATCTATATACACACTTTATAAATAAATGAGTCAAGATTTTTAAAACAAAATACCAAATTTTTCAGTATCATTTGAAATTTTTCAAAATTACTTTTTTAAAATTTCTGCATATTCATTCAGTGAAGTTGAATGATCCAGTGGGCACTCTGTATTCCTTCATAAACTGTGTGGTGAATGTGCGTGTGTGTATGTATGTATATGCACGTGTTTATGTGTTTTCTGGGGTTAATTTCCTTAAAATAAAAAGGCAACTGTCAAGACTAAAGCTATAATAATTTTTATGAATCTTAGAAAATGTTGAATTTTTAGTGATTCCAGAAATTGATCTCTATCGATGAAACTGCTTTCTCAAATACGTCAGCAATGGGATTCAGGCTTTGCTTACAATGTGAAGGAAGTTCTTAGTCTCATTTGCACAAAGAAGGAAGGAGGGCTAAAGATAAAAAGAACTCATAGTCTTTTCCATAGTTTTGGGTCATGTTCACTGTAAAAAAAAATCACAAGATGCCATTTTTACACAGCCTTTTTAATCTACACATACGACAAGCTAATAATTCCAAAAAAATAATTTCTTTCCTTTGTAGCCATTTAAAACTAACAGCTAGAAATATTTCTTCTTCCAATTATTAAAAATAAGCTGTTTCTGAGTCGGTGCTGACTACATTTACTGATTGAAGCAGCCAACTCCAAATATACCATCTTTTAGTATTGACACTTAAAATAAAACTTCTCCCCAGAAAAAGAGTTCTATAAATGATGGCTGTAGAAATAGGCACTGTCCAGGCAGTTGTTTTGTGGAAGTAGTGTTGTTATTTTCTGGTGTTTTCCAAGTCATCTCAGATGGTGCGTGAAAATGAGATGCCAAAGAAGGCTTAAAAAAGATACCCTGCACCAGCTTCAGAATGTAAGCAAATCTTTCATTCCAGCGCTTAAAAGTTTTGAGAAAGCTAATCTAAAGTTAAATGTTTACTAGCATCTCTCCGATTATATTTTAGAAACTACTGCACAAAAATAAAACAAATTTCTTATTTTCTCTGGGTTGAAAAGTGCACATAAAATGGAAAATGCTTTTTATACCACTATTTCCAGCAGGGATTTTATTTTCATTTGTCATTTGCCAGCCTGGGGTATGTTGGGAGAAGGAACAATTGATTTTTGAAAAGGTGCATTTGTGTGAAAACCAAAAATTGTGTTCAACAAATACTACTACTAACCCATATGTGGATATATGTGTTTTATACATGAGTAAAAAAAAAAAAAAAACATACATATATGTATGGCATATATATATATATATATATATATATATATATATATATATATATGCTATAGAAATGCCATCAAGTTACCAGTTTACTTCTAAATGTAACTGCTTAATATAAAATATGCATCTTTTTGTAGTACCTAATTCTTGCAATTCAGTGTATTTCCTGGCGAGAGGCAGAGATGAACAACCCTGGACAGTTACCACATATGGCTCTTATGAGGTAATGAGGATGGTTGTGATGAGAAGGGTAAAAAATAAAAAAGTTATTACAAAACATTTTTCAAGGAATTTTCCAAAAAATGATTTTAATATTCTCTTTGCTTATGGAATGATATTTAAAACCATGATTTCTGTGTCCTTTAAAATGACTTCTGATTTGTGAATTGTTCTCTGTGCTCCAAACTTCTTTTATTTGTCCCTGTGTTTATGCTCATAACCATTCATTTCCCTCTTTTCCCACTGACTTAGCCTCTGGGGTTGTAAAGAAGTTACTCGTTTATTTTTGTGTATGTGTGGGGTTTTGTCTTTTGTTTTCTGAGAATAAAGTATATGAGATCATGGAAAAAATCAGAAAACGAGGAAAATCATAAATTCATTACCAAAATAATTTCTGATTTGGTATTATAGCTCTGCAAATTACTTCACTAATTGTGTTCATAGGTACTATGGTACACTGTACACTGTTTTGTAACTTGCTTTTTAGATGGATTATATCATATTTTTCTGTATCAATAAATATGAATTCATTACATCAGTTTAAACTGATCAAAAACATTTTAATCAAAGTAATACAATTAAATTGCTAAATATCATAGGGAATCGAAGAGTTTATAATCCCAAACCATACTCTTTCTTTTCCTAGCCAGCTGGGGACATTTTTAATTGTTTCTATTTTCATTCTTTCTGTTTCAGTTCTTATAAAAATACATATATAAAATTGGCTAAATGATTAAATGTTATAGTAGTTCTTTAATTATAAATTTGAATAATATTTGTTGACTTCCAAACTGCATACCCCTTGCCTTGTCCAAGTAAAACTGTACCATCGTTTATTCTCTGTGTTGTCAATAAAACA
Source organism: Homo sapiens (assembly GCF_000001405.40). NCBI lineage: Eukaryota > Metazoa > Chordata > Mammalia > Primates > Hominidae > Homo > Homo sapiens. The sequence goes on from NC_000005.10 coordinate 69,990,978, forward strand.
CTAAGTGATATCTGAGTTTCTAAATTTCAGTTCACTCATAGAATGTATCCTTTTTTTTCTTCTTGCCTCCAACATTTTATTATGAAATTTTCAAATTCATGATAAAAGTATATAGTATTCATCTGTATACTTACCTCCTAGTCTATATATTTTTTACATACTGTTTATAATTGTTTTATTATTTTCTACCCATTTGTCTATCTGTTAACCCAGCTTAATTTTTGATGCATTTAAAAGTAGGTTGTAGATACAAATAACCATCACCCTAACACCCTTCAATACAATGTTTACAGTTGTTTTTTTGACATTGGAATGTATCTGTGGTTTCTCTATTTCATAGGATCATAGCATTAACACCTTTACACTTCCCCTTACATCTCCTTCCATTTCTTCTCCCCGTCCGCCACCAGCTTCCATCATCTGTATTATACAGAATCTGTCCTAAAAAATTCTGAAGTAGGCCTTAGGTTTTTTTTGTTTTTTAAAGGGTCTTGTTCTGTGGCCCAAGCTACAGTGCAGTGGCACAATCTCAGCTCACTGCAGCCTCTGCCTCCTGGGCTCAAGTAATCCTCCTGAATAGCAGGGATTACAGGCACAGACTACCATGCTTAGCTAATTTTTCTATTTTTTTATTTGTAGAGATGGGGTTTCATCATATTACCCAGGCTGGTCTCAAACTTCTGGGCTCAAGCAATCTACCTGCCTATGCCTCTGAATGTGCTGGGATTACAGGTGTGAGACACCCTGTGTGGCCAGGCCTCTTTTTAAAAATAAGCCTGATAGTTAATTTTATATGTCAATTTGACTGAGCCATAAGTTGCCCAGAGATTTTGTCAAGCATTATCCTGGGTGTGCCTCTGTGGGTGTTTCTGAATGAGATTAGTATTTAAATCAGTAGACTGAATAAAATAGATTGCCTTCCCTAATGTGGATGGGCCTCATTCAATAGCTGTGGGAATGAATAGATCAAAAGGGCAAACCCCTCCGTGAGTGACAGAGATCTCTTCCTGCCTGACTGCCTTCAAGCTGAGACACTGGAATTTTTTTTCTGCCTTTTGACTTCAATTAAAACATTGGCTTTTCCTGGGTCTTGAGCCTGCCCGTCTTTAGACTAGAACTAGAAGCTATCCTGGGTCTACAGTTTGCCAACTGCATACCTTTGGACTAGTCAGCCTTTATAATTGTGTGAGCCAATTCCTTATAACAAATCTTTATATATCGATATATAGAGATATATATTGATATATATATATATATACCTATATAGAGAGATATATCTATATATCTATATAGATATCTATACCTATATAGAGAGATATGTCTATATCCATATATAGATATATAGAGATCCATATATATCCTCTATATATGGATACATCTATATATAGAGAGATCTCTCTAAATATCTCTATATCTATAACTATATCTACATCTACATCTATAGCTATATCAACATCCAATTTGTTCTTTTTCTCTGAGAACACCTACTGATAAATAAGTTTCTAAGTTTTGTCTATCAGTTGATGCTAAAACATTAAAAAAAGAGAACAACTAATACTCTTTTTACACTAATTAGAACAATGTAAGCCTTTTTGTTTTATTACCAAATAATTTGTATTTCCTATGTAATTGCTGCAGTTTTATTTTGCATATAGATTTTTTTTCCGTAACATCTTTGTCTGTTAGTGGTTTTATTTATGAATAAATAAATCCTTAGATTCATCCCACTTCTGAGGTCAGACATCAAATCTTTTCACTACATGCCTCTCTTTGGGAGGTTTCTTTCTTGCTAATCCAAACAAGAACATCTGCACAATTGTCAACCTGGAATTTACTTTATTAATCTCCTGGTTTGGAAACACTTTTTCTTGGATGTTATATTTACTTTAGTTTACTATTTTGTTGGCTTGCACTAATTTTATATGATTTCTTAATAATGAGTGTATGTTAGACATTTTACTTGAGTCTTTTCATATCACGGTATGCCTTTATTTTACCCTCATATATAATTAATTTTCATCTGGGCATATATTTCCAGATTAGAAATCATTTCTTTTCATACATTTTAAGGAATTTATACATTTGCATCTGAAATTGTATTCATTATCTTCTAGAAACCAAGAGTGGACTTGGTATCCGTCTGATTATATTTTCTTTGTTGGTAAAGAGCCTCTTTTTTCCCTTTTTATTTTCATCTTCTCTTTCTCTAGTGTTTATAATCTTATTTTTATGAATGTAGTCTAATTATTTAGAACACTGTCTCCGAGTATGTGTTTATTTGGGTTTGTGTTTTGAACATTGCCTCCAGGTGCGAGTTTATGTGTGTTTATGTTTCCTATTTGAGGTTGGACACTTAGAAAATTTTCTCAATTCGAAAACTATTTTCCTTCAGCACTCAGAAATTTTTATCAAAGATTATTTCCACGATTATTTCCTGTCCTTGGTTTTTCGTGTTCTTAACCTAGAATTCAATTGTTTAATGTTAGACCTTACACATCTTCAATGTATCATATATATTTCACTCATATTATTTATTGTCATATCTTTTGGACTATTGTGTGAAAGCAATAAATGTATATTACTTTATTTATTGGTAATGCTCTTCATTTTCAAATTTAATACACACAAATTGTGCATACCCACACACATATACCACAGATATATTCATTTTCAGGATTTCTTTAAGTGTTATTTTAAAAATAATCATATTCTTATTTTGTGAACTGTGGGATTTCTTGAAACTTTTTGAAAACTCTCATTAGTCTGTGTTTGTGTGGTTTCTTTAAATTATCTCTTCCTTCAGAATTACTTTTGTGTTTTGAATTTGAGTCTTTGCCATTCATAAGGCGGGCTTTCCTTGAATACCAGATAACTCTGAGTTTCCTGTTCATATTTAAGAATAAATAACCTAATTTGAAGTTTTGAGTTTTTGAGTTGTATTTATTGATCAGAGTTTTGGCCTAGAATGAATAAAAGAATCAATCATTTCTTCTACTTTCAGATATTCGGTTGGGGGTGTTCTAAGCACAATGGTGTCCCAACACTGTCCTAATTCTTTGCAGGTTACCTACAGAATAACGTCTTTTAAAAATTATTTCTTTATTGTTTACATTCTGGTCATTAATGCCTATATTTTATGCATTCTCAAGCATATAGGAGAAATTCTGTATATAGAATATTAGTTCATCTCTGTGTTTTTCCTGGCAAATTTTATGCCTTTTCTTTGGAATCACTGCCAAATCTGGGTCTCTTTCAGAGCTGTGCCTTCATTGCTGGAGCCCTCTCAGTGTAAACACTCGCATATAGCTCCTTTGGGCTTGTTTAAACAGTCACCAATCCTTCACCTATGTGCAATGTTACAGAAATTGGCCATCTTCTCTGATGACCTCTACGCCACTCCCTCCCATCAGAATTACGGGTTGTTATTTTTGTTCCTCTGCTATAAATTACTGATGCTCTCTGAAGAGGAGTTAAAGGTGTTTGGGAGGTACACCATTTCCCTGTACCAAAATCATATTAAGTAAAACTTGAAATCAACAGAAAAAATAGAAGTAATTATATGATGAAAATCTATATTCTCACAATCTAGATTAAACCATTCTCAACATTTTGTTGTATTTGCTTTACTTTCATATATGGATGATTTGAAAATAATTTACAAACATCATACCAACTCACTACACAATATTTCAGCACCAGTTTTCTGAAAATAAGACCTTTTCCTGCATAACCACATTGTCACAGTTTCAGTTAAGAAAATTAATTAAAATGCCTGTTATCACTTAATAATGGGTCATATTCAATACCCCCACTTCTCTCTCCAAATATCTTTGTAGCATTTTCTTTCTTTGTTTTCTGAACACGAAGCCCCATAAGTTTCAAGCATTGCATTTGGATTAGTGTCTTTACTTTCCTTAATATAGACGGATCACATATTTAAATATTAACAATTTATTTGTCATTATCTTTTGTCATGGAACTAGGTCCCCATTTTGAATTTTTCTGCTGGAATGAGAAACTTCCAGACATGTGGTCTAAATCTTTATTGCTCTATCTGTTTTACTATCGCTCTTCTTCAGTCTCAAAACATATATGGACAAAAGCAATCACATAAAGGTCTGTCCTACTTAATATGGACATCTTTATAAAAGCAATTACAGAATCTTCTGATAGATCTATACACACATTCAGATGTAAGGGATATGTTTCTTATACAGGATACTCTCAGTACATTTTGTTATAATAATCACGTATAAGTGGTAAGACCCATTACCATTCTTGAAATCTATGATTATAAGTGATGTAGAATGGTTTAGTAGTTAGTGATTGAGATTTAAAGTAATATTGTCACTGATTTGTTTACTTACACACAGGATTTACTCACTTAAACCAGCCAATATGAGTATAAGAAAATTTTGCGTGAGTTTCTTTGTCTGAAATAATTTTATTATGTACAACACAAACTACTTTTGCTAGATTCTTCCTGGTAAACTTATAAAACACTTAGTGTTTCCTTTTTTGAAGTTGCCTAGTTTCATGCTAATACTTATTCTGAGCTCAAGAACATCATAGTGGCCATTATATTAACTACAAAGCCATTAGATTATACTTAAGGTATTTATAGATGAAAGAAGATCAGACCCAAAGATGATCTATAACTCTGCCTGAGTAATGTTATGCAAATTGTTCTCTTTTCAAAGTCACCGAATGCCCAAGAATATTTAACATTCTATGCTAGTCTACTCTCCTGAGGTGACTCATTTGTTCTCCCTAGTTTAATTGTTGCTATATGAGCAAGAGGGATACCACTTTACAAGGTTAGGAATTCCCTCTAACAGCCCAATGTGCTTTGAGAACTCCCCTGCCTGAGTAACAGACCCAGAGCTATTTATCATCTGGAAATATTTCACCTTATATTGAAGAGAGCAGAAATCCATCTCAAAAAGGCCCCCAAGCATCCCCAGTGTATGCCAAAGAAGCTCACAGAAGAAAAAAGAATATTTGCAATGCTCAAGAGCAAAAAAGCTTATGTGCTAGGATATATTATACATCCTGTTATAGAAAAAAAAATATGCTATTCCCCCAATGCTGTCTTTTATCTTTCTTACTTTGCTCGAATATTGCCTTCATGGCTACATATAAAAGCCATCCTATTTTCTCAGATTGTCATATTTTACAACTTTAGCTCACTCCAATTATAATCTCTCATTTCAAAGTGTCACAATATGTGAATAAGAACTTCTATAAAAGTTGGAGAGGTCACTGGCTTGGACCCAGGATTTGGGAAGAAAAATATGAGAGAAGGTTAAAATAACTTCTTTCTTACTTTTCCAACATTGTAAAACATATTTCACAAGCTCGGTTTTAGGGAAAAAATTTCCAGACAATAAACCATTCATATCAAATTTTCAGTAATGGAATCTCTATTTTGAATAACAGTAAATTTGATGTATCATTTCAAACAATGTAGTTATTTTTCAGAATACTACATAAATGTATGTGATTTAGTCTAGATTTAAAAATAAATGCCAATAATAATCAGTTATTAATAACAATACATTACTATAGTTAGATATCATTTCTTAATTTATTGTTAGCATTTCTTCATTATTTCCATTATTAGCTCTTATCGAATATTATATACTATGTTAAATGCCTTATAGGTTTTATTTAATTTTGACTAACCACTGATATGCTATCATGAAAAATCTAGTAATAAAATCTTTTTAACTGAATTCAAATAGTCCCAAGTGCAAAATAAAATTTTAAAAACTATATGTCCTACACTAATTTATTTGCATATGCACTTAATAATCCCAATAAAGCAGCTTAACCCAAATCTGAACTCGAATGTAAACTCCATCTAACCTAATTTCTTTCTGTTAGTCTTTATTATCATAGTCACTTCTATTTATGTTTTATTTTCTCCTTTATTTTTTAATTTTTTTTTAATTTTAAATACCCTTTTATTTAATGGTATAAAATGTCTGGCTACATAAAATCAAATCAATTACGATAAGATAAATATAAGTACGATTTCAAAAAAAGCTAAATCTAGCTAAAAATTCTACATTTTTAACACATGCGAAGTATACATGATTTATTAGTAAAATGTAATACATTGGGAGTAAAACTTTAAAAAATATTTGATATATTCACATTTCTTAATTGCAGTATAGACAAAATGACCTACGAATCAAGCATTTTGTTCCACGGTCTCTACTGTTAGCTGTATGTCTCAGAAACAGCTTCTTTCTCAAGAGAGAACAAGAGGGATAATGCTGGATCTAAAGGCATCATCTGAAGAAGACAAAGATATCAACAATCGCAACTATTTGGCTTTCTGTCCATCACTGAGACTTTTCATAATCTTCCCTTCATAAATAGGATCTCTTGATCAGAACAGAAAAGTTGAGTCTTAAATTTCCTGTATTTATTTCTGACTGATACTGAGGGAAGTGCAAATTTGGTTGCTATGATTAAACTCCTTGATTGTTCTTAATGGGACTCTTTTAATAAGTCAAACATTTTTGCATCTAAGTATATTGATGAGCGCCACTTTATCTCAAATGTTTACACATACTAGGGAAAAGCATCTGCAGTTTCTGAACTCTTTGTGAATCAGTATCACTTTTTCATGTTACTTCAGAGATCAATATTCAGTGCATTGGTTTTATTTACCATCTTTTCTCCCAGTTGATCTTGTAATCATCAGAAAGGGAAAAAAAAATCTCCTTCACAAAGCCCTTTGCGACAAACTTATGTAAATAATAATCTAAGGACAGCTAGAAAAAAAATACACCATACAGGGGAATAGATCCAAAATTGATATCTGCCTCACCTGTATCACCTATTGTATTAGTAACTGGAAAGGTAAATAAATAGCAGAGACTAGAATGTTTCCAAACGTAGTCGTGAAAACTACTCCCCTCCTCCCCCCATATAACACTACAACAGGTTACTTTGGTTACAGGATATGACAATAGCTCTGCAATATCAGAAAAATGCCTGCCTGGCGCTGCGGCTTATGTCTGTAATCTGAGCACTTTGGGAGGCTGAGGTGGGCGGATCACTGGAGGTCAGGAGTTGGAGACCAACCCGGCCAACATAGTGAAAACCCGTCTCTACTAAAAATACAAAAATTAGGTGTGGTGGCGGACGCCTGTAGTCCCAGCTACTTGGGAGGCTGAGGCAGGAGAATGGCGTGAACCTGGGAGGTGGAGCTTGCATTGAGCCGAGATCACTGCACTGTACTCCAGCCTGGGCGACAGAGCGAGACTCCATCTCAAAAAAAAAAAAAAAAAAAAATGCCTACAGTAGATTAGAAATAAGGAAAAGTTGCTTGATTTCCTAATTTTCAGGGTATAAGAAGAAATCTAGGCTATCCATGGGCATTCCCAGAAACATCAAGGTTTGCTAAAAACAGAAAATCGGAAGTAGAACAAAAAAAGCGGTGGGAAAAGCATTTAAGACATTGAGGCAAGCCGTGAGGAGTTTGTCAGTCTAAAGGTTGAGTAGAGGACCTTTAAGAAGAGGGAGACAAACATTAAATTTTCAACTTTCTGTAGTTTGATATAATACTTTCCAAGTTCTAGGGTTTCATTAAAACTTCACAAGCTTTTGGATTTTTTAACAAATATTAGGGCTGTGCTTCATGCTTGGGTTAATATGGGGTGAATAGAAGGAACAGCTGGGGAAGAAGAGATAAGAGACAGATTCTCTAGTAGAAATTAGGAGAAACGTAAGAATCCTATACATCTGCGTATATTTGAGGAGTCTTTAGAGTTCACTGAAGTTCATGGATCGGACGTTATAGCCATTTTAATGTATTTTCATTGTGACAGGATTGACTTTAGAAGGCTTAAGAATTTTGACGAAGAAAAAAGGGGAAAAAGAAGGCATAATAGAGAGAAAGGAAGGAAAGAAGAAAAGACAAAAGTGTAGCCACAAAGTTGTCAACAATAAGAATTGTATAAGAATACATATTCTTCAAGAAATGAAAATAATTAGAACACACATTATGCCTAAATACGTTTTAAGAAATCAAATAAACATGTAGTTTCTAATGGAAGTTCTTCCATGTATTAGTAAATTCTTCCCACAAAGCAGTTTATCTATTTATTGTGAAAGCGATTGAGTTTTGCAGTACCAAGGGATCTTTTGCTTTTAAACCAGTTAATTAGTTTTTATTAGATGCAATGCAATGTTTTGACCAGACTTTTCTCTGTGCTTTTGGGTGGGTTTCCCTATTAGCAGGTAAAACATTTATCTCTTGACTAAAAGTAGATGACATCTTTCCCCAACCATGAGTCCTCAGGTTGTTACAGAGGCTGCCTTCCTGTCTCACTCTGTACCCCCCATTGCCTCTCCGAGTTTAAAAAGGAAATGATTAATTAGTCAAAAGAATATGTCAAAAATGTAACATATTATGTTTAACATAAGTAACTAATGATTAGTCAAAAAGAATATGCTAAAACTTTAACACATTATGTTTAACATAAGTAACTATATTAAAATTTAGAATATATTTATGATTTCCAAATCAATGGTTTGTTTTTGCAAAACCTGCACCAGAATGAAATGACCCTACAAAGTGGAGATAATATAAAATCCTTTTTTTCCACTGAAATTTGTTTTAGATAATACTAATTCTATCAGTGGCTTTCTTTTACCCTTAAATGGATGTTAAATTAGTTGAGAGATGTGTTCAATTCACAATATTTGAGAATGGAGCAATATGATACACTTATATCAAATCCCTTTGTGTAATCTTATTCTTTCTCTGGCTGTTGTACACTTTTCCACCACCTCATATTTAATTTGTATCCTTCTTTCTGTCATTTGCTGTGGATTTTTATCAGAGTTGGTCTAACTTTAGAGGTCGAAGTTTTCTTTTCACAGGGATATGAAATTAGACACAATCATACCATATTTAGTGATTTCTGTGTTTTCACCAGATCAAACACAGATCACATGGTCCATGCTCAGCAATGGTTTAATGAACTAATGAATTTATAAAGGAACGAATGCATGCACATATAGCAAGCCCATCTTTAAATTTTGTTGTTGTTGTCGTTTGAATTTTTGTTTGGCATATAGGGTGTATACAACATAAAAAGAGTTAAAATCCATGATCCTGAACATCAGATATTTGTGGGTTAGAATCCGAAACTGATCACTTATTACATTTGTGTTATTGTGTAAATTACTGAATTTCTTCATACCTCAGAGTCTTCATATGTAAAATGTAGACTATAATATTTATATCATAAATTTGGAGAATACTGTAGAGAATTTGGCTTCACAGTTTGTTTTCCTTCATTTCTCTCCCTTCATATCCAAATAAGCCCAGTATAGCAATATTCCTTTCTATTTATATTAACTTATATAAATGTGCATGAGAAAACTGATTGGATTCAATAAGATGGTAGAAAAAGCTATCAAGCTTCTATATTTTGCCAGGCAACTTTCTAATGGCTTTATGTGTCTAAACCCACTTTAATACTCAGAAAAACACTATGATTACAATCCTTCTATTAGCATTCTCATGTTGTAGATACAGAAATTGAGGGACAGGCAGGCTAACTTGGCTCAAGACACACAAGTAAAAATATTCAGAGCAGAGATTAAACCAGGTTGTCTAACCCCACGTGTCTTTGGGACTAGCATTTAAACTGACTCATCTCACTTTTAATTTGATAATACAATGCCATTAACAGGAAAAAAAACTTTTGAAATATCTTGAGAGAAAAAAACCAAAAAAGCTGAATCTATGTTCAGAGAATTGAATTAGCAATAGATATAAACTACCCAAGTTTTCGTTTTGTGACATCAATTTGAGCAAAGCCAGATTTGTATTACCCTGAATGCATTAATAACAATAGTATCATTGAAAAATACTTTCGACTGCCCATTAGTAATTGTACTAGGTACTAGAAAACACAATTTAGTAATCGCTCCCAGGGAGTCAGTTTTTTGAATAAAATATTTTTCTATGGTTGTGCACATTGTGCCATAATTTGCTTTGAAAGACATAAAATCCATCATATTAAAAAGGTAATAGAGTAACTCCATTTAATAACAGAAATGGTCATTAAAATATCTACATTCTTTCTCACAATGAACTAATAACTACACAGATTTGTGCATGTGTATGAAGACGTTTATATGTGTTTTATGTGAGAGAAAAAAATGAAAAAATGGTATTTTCTTGTGCTCAGACAAGCACAATTTTTGCAAAATAAATACAAGGCCAAATATATATATTTATTTATATATATATATACTTGTTATATATGTATATATAGGTTATATATATATTTGTTATATATATAACAAATATATATATAATTTGTTAAATATATAACATTTATATATATGTATATATATCTCAATGCTCTTAACAATGCTCATAAGAACACAATCTGAAATTACAGTGTCTGCTTATTTTCAAGGGTGGTTTGAAGGTGACCTATTTTTTGTAGCATCCATCACTGTGGGGATTGCTTAGTGTGTTAAAGCATGAAGCCGCCTTACCGAAGTCTTCTATTTCCTTTCCTCATTCTATAGTAACTACTTCAAATGGATTTGAATGTGTAATATCACAAATGCAGAAAAAATAAATACAAGAACTTAGCTTGTTTTCTTTGCATTATGAGTCAAGTTTTTTTGTCAAATTTACTGCTAAGAATTAATATTTCATGGTCTTATATCTTGTAATAGTATCATAAATATTATCTTACTTGCATAATAATTTATACATAATATTTATTTTCTGCCCCATAGTGTGAAAATGAGTAATCTTAATCCCAAAGATAAATATTAACTATCCTGTGTAAGAAATGCAGTAAGTTACATCTTGTTTCTAAATACAGGTTAGTGAGAGATCATTTTTTTAAAGCTCTCATTATAAACATATTAAGAAAGGAATCATTCTCAGAGTTTACTTATTTCCCAATAGGTTAATAGGATTCCCAAGAAACTGCCAAAGAGATAATAGTTCCATTTTGACTTTAACTTAAAAGAAAAAAATAAAATAAGAAGGCAAAAATGCAAAAACGAAAAAAATAGATGTCACAGATGCTATAACTTGAACTTTGACTGTTTTAGCAAGTATATACTATTGAATGCCTGACTGAAATAAATTGATTTCAGGCTGTTGCATTTTTAAAGGTCAGAAAGTTTTTTTTTTTTTTTTTTTTTAAATGAGTTTCAGGATTATGAAAGCAGGTGCTTAAGTAGAGATTGATTGAAGCCTTAAATGTTGAATATTTCTTTTAAAGTTTGGTTGCTTTTCAGAAGCTACTAATTTATTATTATTATTATTAAGGTTCTCCTAATGATTCTTGGAGTCCATGGAATTATGTGTGTGCATACGTGTTCGTAGAACATTTTCTTAAAACTGACACATGAATGTTATTGACCATAGAGGTGCATTATTTCCGAGATTAAAAAAAAAAAATTAGTTTTCTTACTGATCATCCACTGGTTTTTACAATTTTTCCTTCTCCATGTATCGTTGGTTTCTTATTAAGGTAAGTTACAGACAGAACTTATAGATGGAATTTCCAAGACTAACCAGGGTCCAAACATACTTCAGTGTATTATTTTACATCATAAAACTTGATGTATTAGTCCATTTTCACTCTGCTGTAAAGAATTACCTGAGACTGGGTAATTTATAAAGAAAAGAAGTTTAATTGATTCACAATTCTGCACAGCTGGGGAGGCCTCAGAAAACTTACAACCTTGGCAGAAGGCGAGGCACATCTTACATGGCGGCAGGAGAGAGAGAGAGAGATAGCCAGGGGTGAAGTGCCACAATTTAATACCATCAGATCTTATGAGAACTCACTCACTATCAGAACGATGAGGGGGACATCTGCCCTCATGATCTAATCACCTCCCACTAGGCCCCTCCTCCAACATGTGGATATTACAATTCGAGATGAGATTGGCGGGGGGTGGAGGGTGGACATAGAGCCAAACCATATCACTTTAGCTTATCAATACTGAACTAAATCAAAATCAAACCTGAATTTTCAATTATGACTGAAATGTAACCTACAGAGTAGTAGGAAGTATTCTACAACAGACTCCTAGATTTCTCTCCCCTGAGTGTCCATATCCTGCATAATCTCCAGGACTGTCAGGACAATGGATTTTATTACTATGCTTATGCTATGTCATATGACACAGTTAATCTTCAAATAAGATTATTTGGGTGGGCCTAACCCTATCACATGAGACCTGTAAAGCAGAAAGTTTTTTCCAAGTGTAAGAAAAGGAAGTCCAAAACACATGCTCCAGCCAGCTTGGAAGAAAGCAAATACATGTGTTAAAGCTGTGGATGCAGAGAAGCCACCTGCAGGAGTTGAACTACCTACACCCCAGCTCACAGCTGGCAGTAACAAAGGAAACCTCAACCTTAAGAGAGCAAGGAAGTGTCTTCTATCAACAATATGAATTATCTTCAAAGCTGCTTCTTCCCTAAGAGCCTCAAGAGATGAACACAGCCCTGCTGACACCTTGGTTTCAATCTTGTGAGACCCTGAGCAAAGAACTCATTCACACTGGGCTGAATTTTTGCCTGCAGAACTGTGAGTTAATAAATAAGGGTTATTTTCAGCTGCTAAGTTTATGGAAATTTGAAATGCAGCAATAGAATACTAGTACAGATAAATACTGAAATCTAATATTTGCATTACTTCACTTAAAAAGAAATCATGCCTTAAGAGTAAAGAGAATTTTTATTTCTCGGTTATGTGCTATAGTTCTCTGATACATTTTAATTTGTTTGCTTATTTATTTTTCCCTGCCAGTATCCTCTCTCCACTATTTCTGGTTGACACTTCTGCCCCTTCGTTTTATCAGTGTTTTGATACCTATCCTCTCTGTGAATACAGTGATATTGGTAATTACTGTATTTTGTCCCTTACCCACAGGCTGAGCAAGAGTCTTAGGTCTGGCCAATAATCATGGGCAGCTTTTTAGAAAAAAGAGTAGTTGCTTCATTACTCAGATGGTCCCCACCTCATCTTGTGCACTGGACAATGTAATAGAGTTCCCTCTAAAAATGGAGAAAATAGAGACTACACACAAAGGGAGACAGAGGTAAGAAAATTAAGAAAAGGAGAAAGAAAGGAGTTCTGACCACATGATGTCAATTCCAACAAGTATTCTTGACTTTTCCACATATAATGTACTCATCAATCTCTTACTCTGAATTTGTTTTTGTTACTCTAAAGAACAACAACAACAAAAAAGAAAAACAATATTCGGCCTAAGTGACCCCCAAAACACAATTTCCTACTTTCTTTTCCATGCAACTGGCATTTATTGAATACTCATTGTATTCAAGTTTCACAGATTTGGAACAAGTTCATCATTACGTCCCCAAAGGTAACCTGGGAAGAGAAACCTTGTTCCACATCAAAGTCAGTACAGCAGGTTTTGCTACTGCTTCATCATTTATACAGTTGGAAACAACTCTGTTTCTTCTACTAGGTCAAAGTGAAATTGAGAGGCGAAGCCGGCTGGGCTTCTGGTCTGGTGAGACTTGGAGAACTTCTCTGTCCAGCTAAACGATTGTAAACATACCAATTAGCACTCTGTGTCTAGCTGAAGATTTGTAAACACACCAATCAGTACTCTGTAAAAGCGGACCAATCAGCACTCTGTAAAATGGACCAATCAGCAGGATGTGGGCAGGGCCAAATAAGGGAATAAAAGCTGGCCACCTGAGCCAGCAACGGCAACCGAGTGGGGTCCCCTTCTACACTGTGGAAGCTTTGTTCTTTTGCTCTTGCTGCTGCTCACTCTTTGGGTCTGCACTACCTTTATGAGCTGTAACACTCACGGTGAGGGTCTGCCACTTCACACCTGAAGTCAGTGAGACCAGGAACCCACCAGAAGGAAGACACTCCAGACACATCTGAACATGGGAAGGAACAAACTCTGGACACACCATGTTTAAGAACTGGAACACTCACCGCCATCACGGCTTAGTGCTTGAAGTCAGCGAGACCAAGAACCTACCGGAAGGAACCAATTCCAGACACAAAATGTCAGCCAATCCAAACTTATGAAGGAGGGAATTCTGGGCTGTTGATCTAGTGTGTAGTGAGCTCAATATAGAGGACAGAGCTTTCATCATGTAAATTGATATGCAAAGGCAAATGAAACGTGGTGTGTACTTCCTACTGATGCGTCAGGGTATAGGCCTCTTTTTCTGCCATTCAAATAATGGAAGTTAATTAAATTTTAAACAAATGTATAGATTCATTAGTTTTACTGTGCTCCATGCCAGTATTCTCCAACTCAGCCATCCTAAGCATTTTTTAAAACAGGGGATTTTTGAAAATGAAAGCTTAGCAGCCACCTCATTATGCTAAATGTCTGTGGAAAAATGCGGGGCCAGGGTTCAGTTTCTCCCCACTCCCCTTTCCCAATTCATAATCATAGGCACACACAGGAGGTATCACTGTAATTCACAGAACACATTTAAATCTTCTGCTTGAAACTTTGTGGTACCATTATTTGGCTACTCCAAGCTAACCTCTCTCCTATCCTTTTCTGAGGGAAACACTTTGTGCTCAACATAATTTTTGTTTCATTCCAAGTTTTGATGCTGATTGCATAAAAAACAGCCCACAAGTACTGCTGTATTTTTAGTTTAAAACAGGCTTTATTTACTGCCTTATAAAATGTTGAGTACTTTTGCTTCCGTGATCATGCTATGCTTACAGATATAAAAATTGCCGCCCATTTTATGTCTTGAATCCTTCCCTGAATAGTCGGCATAACATTTGTTGGTTCTGAGTACACGTTGGTGCTAATGAAGCTTGAAATTTATTGACCTTCTCGTAAGAAGGAGAATAATAAGATATTTGAGCAGTCGGCTCAGGTACTTATAAGTTCACACACACGTGTTTTTTTTTTTTTTTTTTTTCTTCCAATGCCTGCTTGAAGTGTAGACCATGTCTTTCGTACTAGAACTATTTCTACTACGATTCTTGAGCTGGCCATTCTAGAGCTTTGCACATTCCTTGTCTGAAGGGATCGGCCCTGGCCATGCCAGCTGCCTCCCAGCCATAGGTAGCTCCTAAACCAAATTATACTTGTGATCAGGTATTGCAAAAATAATGTTAGTGTAATATAAATTGGTAAGAAGAAAGTATAGATTTTAAAAGAAAACCAAATGGTTTTCATGCATGGCTTCTGTCGGCATAAAATCAGGCCGCTGGAACTAGGAAGTTCCTTAGAGAACATTGTTTCAATTACTTCAGTTCACAAATGAGGAAATTGAGAATCAGGAAGGCTAAGTGATTTCCCCAATATCATAGAGCTAGTTAATTACAGAAATCAGAATAGAAACTGGGTTATCCAATCCTCTGCCCAGGGTTCTTTCCATTACACCAAATAAAATTACCTGCTGCTATTTGGGCTAGATGGCTCATTATAGGAGCCTTTTAATGTTTCACAAATCAAAATATTATGTTCCTATAAAATTTAAAACAGTTAAAAATAAAACAAGTTTTGTTTTCTGATGGTTTCAGATAAAATACATTACATTAAATGGATTTCATATGTAAATGTGTTACCGCATTTATATGAGGAAAAAGTTCTACCAGAAAGCATTAGGAACTGAGAATTGATGGCTGCCAGGATTAGAAAGGATGACATCAAGTTCAAGCTCCAGTAGCAACACAGAAAAATATAACATGGAGTAAAATTAGTAGATAGAAGCGTCATTATCTGACTTGGGTATGTTTGAAGAGAAAAATGTAAATCAAAAGAAATGGGATTATTTGTTTATTAATAATGACATTAATATTTTCTATTTGAATAATTGCTATAGACCTGTGAATTATTTTATAGATATTATCTTCTTTGACATTATTAATAATCGTTTTCTTCTTAGCAATCAAGATGAGGGGGCTAAACCTTGGGATATTAAAGTATTTGTCCAGCATATTGCAGCAAACAGGTTCAGAGTCTGGGAACAAAACTCAGGTGTCCTGACTTTGTCTCAATAATACATATTCTCTGGTTTTATTTTAAATTTTACTGTAATCTATTTTGGAAGCTTTTCAACAATGAAAAAGAATACTGTTCCTCCAATATTTATCCCTGTTTAAAGGGCCCAAAGTTGTGGTCATGAAGAAGCAGTAAATGATGAATATTTTCTGCATTTCACATCTTTTATCACATGTTATATATTGTGGGGCATAAAATTTTATGAAATTATAGTTACATGCCTGAAATGGATTTTAAATCTCTTCATTTTCTGTGTCAAAAGTGACAGCTGTAAACCTGAAAAATTAAAGCTGCGGTGTAATTCATCTTATCCATAAATAGTTTACTATACATTATACAGTTTGAAGTAAACAATAGACCAGACTTAAAAATGATATTTTTCCATGGAAAACTATGTGATAAATACTAGAGATGCCATGAATATAACTGAAATTATATCACTTAAATATAGACAGAAGATTCTCTACTTTCTTCTTTTACCTTCTTTCTCTCATACTCAAAAGATATGAAAATGTCAAATAATATGCATATTTTAAAGTTGTTTGCACTGCAAATAGATAAACGAAATCGATCTGCAAATTTCCAAGCTAAGAGATGATTATATCTAAAGTAATTCACCTGATTATTTAGGATTGCCTGCAAAATCTACAATGATTTTATTCCTCACAATATTGTTTTCCAATTTGGGGTAGGAGCTAAAAGTTATTGTATGACATCAAGTGATTTGAGGGATGAGAATGTGTTTCCTTAGCGGGAAAACTTGCTGAAAAGAAGAGAGATTTTTTAAAAAGTTCTTGCTTTGACCTGTCTGGATCAGATGGTTTAAGGCTACAACACGAGGCCAATATCTGTATGTGAAGGAGACAGAAACATCAATGTTTGGAGTATATATTGACCTTCATTCTTACTTTCTCCTTATTCTCTTATGTAACTGTTAATTTTTCCCTTCCTTGGCTCTATGTATTTAATTATAATAAGCTTTACCTACAAGCAAAACAAACCAAACATGAACAATGAAAACTACTTTTGGTCATGTAGCAGAAACAGCAGTCAATAAAGGAGAGAATGAAACTAGAATCTTTTTTAAACTAAATCTGAGAAGAGTGTAAGCTTTCAAAATTTTAAATATATATATACATTTGCACTTCAGTGATAGTGCAATTCCAGTCCTTCCACCACAGATCATGTGTGGTTTTATCTATTAGCATAATGTTAGTTTTCTCTTGCATCTTATGTTGAGTTTACGTAGTACAGAGGACACAAATAGTTCCCTGCTTAAAATGAGAACTAATCCTTTTGTGTTATTAATAATTACAATATCAAAGTTTACATTAAAATTTTTAAAAATGTCTGTACAAAATATCAGAAAAATCAGCCTACTTCTTTATAATTGGCTGGGTAAAGTTGCATTGATGTTAGATCTTTATAAAATATTTTAAGGGTCAGCATTTTAAGCAGAATAGCAGTAAATAGTTCCTTACATAAAAGCAAACTTAAACATATGACAGTGTCTTCTCGTGTGTCATTTGAATGAGGGAACCACAGTTGGTCTCCTGAGAAACTGTTCTACCCTTCATTTCATGATACACAGTACCCTAGGCTCTGTCTTTCTTCGTTCTTTTCCTTCTCAAGGGAAGGTTTCTTCCTTCAAAATGAGGCATAGATAAAGAAGGATCTTATATTTACTATAACTTATGCATGTTTAATTGTTTTAAAACATCATACAGAGAAAATTAAATACCACAAACGAAAGTATTTAATCTTAAAGTTTGCCTTAACGGTCTCCATTTCCATTCACAGTGCTTAGAGGTGAAGTGCTTCCACCATTTACAATTTGCAGCAGGACATACTGGCAGGAAATCTTTATTAAAGCAATAGTAGCCCTTTCCTTTTTTCTTTATTTATTTTACAAACCAACCCTTAGTTACTATGCTTTAGCTGAGACTTACCAATTTTTCTTCAAGTATCAATTAAGGTAGACATATTATTCATCATGAGAGAATTACCATTCAGTATTCTCTGGGTGCTTTTTCTCACATACTTGTATCTTGGTCTTAAAAATGAAGCACCAACATTTAAAAGGCAAACATGAGACCATCTCTTCTGAGACTGCCATTGTATCTAATATTGTCTGATTCAAAATGTGGGTCTAAAAGCAAATGAAAATTGACTTTCTTTTCCAGCTCGGCACACAAACCCATTGAACTGTCCCTTCAGGTTTGATGCGCTATCAGTTAACACTGCACTATCTTCACAAGAAATATGATTTGACCTGAGAAGAACTGCAGCAGCCTGAAACATATATTCCCAGATCATGTCTCTCAGAGTACTGTAGCCATTAAATGTCTTCCATAATGTTCGTGATAAATCTGAGTATTAGTGAACAATATCTGTTAAAGGCATCTCTTTGGAACTTCAAGTCTAGTGTACAGGTGCGCATCTGCAATGGGATTTTCCAGTCATAAATGTCGATAGGTCAATCTATCAAGGTTTTCCTCAAACAAGTATATATACTCAGCACTAGTGAAGTTTTATTTTTTAGAATTTATTTTGTATCTCTAGGTGGATATAATGTAGAATATCACTTAAATGCATAGACTTTAAAATCAACTGCCTGGGTTTGGTGCTATGACCTTGGGCAAAATAATTAACTTTGTATGTGTAAAAGGGAAATAACTGTGGCAGTTGGGAGAATTAAATAAAATAATAAAAAGTTAAGAGTTTAATACAATGCAAATACTTTGCACTACTAGGCATTACCTAGTATTTCCTTCCACCCATTTGTGTCTAGTTTCTTTTTCCCATGGTTGTTTGAGCCGATCTGCTCATTTGCTGTTATTAATGAAGTTCAGTCACAGTGTAGAAATGTGACTCCTGCTATTTGCTTTTTCTTTTCTTTTTTCTTTTTAAAATTATTTTGTAGAGATGGAATACTGCTATGTTGCCCAGGCTTGTTTTGAACTCCTGGCCTTAAGCTAGTCTCTCGCCTTGGCCTCCCAAAGCTCTGGGATTACAGGTGTGAGCCACCACACTCAGCCCCATGTGCTGTTTCTTATGCTTAATGTTTTTTGGTTATTTTTTTTTTATCTTTGACAGCCTGAGCCAATATCTATGTGTACTAGGAAAATGCCACACAGAACACTGAGCCTGGCATCACATCAGCCGTTGGCCTGAGTGCAAATGATATCTGCAAGACCAAACAGATAAAGCTATATGTATAAGTCTCAGAAAGAGTAGGAGGACTCAACTTTGGTGATCACTTTATCAAGTTAATCTCAACAAATAAGCAAGGGGTGGGACTCAACCTCTTCATTCTTACTGTAGCAATCTGGAATCAGTCCATCACCATGACTGATGGTGTAAAATGACATAATTACTCATTAATCTCCACTTAGAAAGTATATATTGCTACTGGCTGGAAATACTGCAGCAACCAGGAGGACCTTCACATTTCTACCATGTAGAAGAATTAAAGATTATTACATTCTGTCTTCAAGTGATGATCGGATAGTGCACAAATATTTTACCTGCCATACATATAAATTCAGCCAATGTGCAATTTAGTTTACAATATTCTTCAGCTGCAAAAGGGTACTTATACTTTCTTTAATATCTATTCAGCTCGAAAAAAAGCCTATCATATCTATTAAAATCAATAGACTTTTTACTTTGCATTTGTTGTTTACTTACATTATTAGAAAAAAGAAGTAATCAGTACTGTAGAAAATTTCATTGATGCAGTTTTCCTTTTCCTGAATATTTTATAAATTAGAAAATAAAGGCCAAGACATATTAAATAACTTGCCCAATCCTAGGTAGCTGGAACATAGGGAGTAAAAACACAGACGTGACTTCACCCTCTAAATTTGTCACCATTAATTGTTGTAGCTTTCAGCAAATGATTACTTCAGAACATTAAATCATAAGACAATGAGATACACTATCTTTTATTTCACTGAAGCTAGTGAACATCTATTTTAAGCAATGTCTTTAACAGTTTCTTAGCCTTTTGGGATCTGATTGCAAAGTTGTTAATGAGCATGACAGCCACCGCTAGAGGCCTACCTGATATCCCGTTCCCCTTCTCCTTATTAATAGAATCCTTCCATAGTCACAGCATGTATCATCAATGGCTGTGTTTTGCCCAATTAAAATGCTCACTCCTCCCAGAATGCCTCAGAGCTAGAGTACACATGTGACTTCATTTCACCTTATGCAGTAAACATGGGAAAAATCTTTTGGGGCTTTTTAGGAAAAGTTTTTTTAATTATTTTATTCTATTTTTTAACTTTTAGGTTCAGGAGTACGTGTGCAGGTTTGTTATATAGGTAAATTGAGTGTCATGGGGGTTTGGTGTACAGATTATTTCATCACCCAGGTTATAGGCATGGTACCCAATGGCTAGGTTTTCATTCTGCACCCTCCTCCTTCCCTCTGCCCTCGAGTAGGCCCTGTCTGTTGTTCCTTTCTTTGTATCCACCTGTATTCATACTGCATGTACTTTTTGCTGCTTTTTTTTTTAATCTCTCCCATTTTTTCCTTTGTCTTTTCCATGGCTTGCCAAAATAATGATTAGAGATGCAGAAACTGGTTTACGATCATAAAAAAGAAAGCCACATGTTTGATTGAGAAATTAAAAGGTCCTTTTTTGATGTTATCATGGAGTTGCTGTATAAGACCCAGGATGCCAATCTTTGGGTTGCTGTATAAGACCCACGAGAAAAATAAATCCTTCTTTGTTTAAGAGATTATAATTGGATTTCCATTCTGTGCTGCTGAATCCAAATCTGACCTAGGAGATTACTAGGTCAGTATTTTTCTTCATGCAGCAGTGTTTATACTTGTAAAAGTTATTTATGACTTTATAGGAAGAATCATATCAATGTAAAACATATGTAAAAGAGAGACTCCAAAACTCATTTAGTTTGCTCTATACTAGTCAGTAAATAGAAAATGAAAAATATTCCAAACATTTTTATTGATAGTCAATTAATTTTGTATTTTTAAATGACAAATGAATACTTTATGCAAAGAAAACTTATTATGAACTCTCTAATAAATAATGAAACAATTATTTTGTAAAGCATTTTAAAAAGACAAGAACATTTAAAGGGAAATGATCTGTATTGAGAATACAGAGCTACCCTTTTGTTACAAATCAGGTAACTGTTCTATATACTATTTTGCATAAAACTGCTATAAAGTTTGTATTTTAATAATGCAGTTTTCCATTTTGTAAATATATTTTCTTACAAAATATGAGATGCATTTAAAAATGATATTTATTCATTGGATTTATTCTCCATATCCCTTAAAATTCAATTAAATCATTTACAAATTGTCTGGTTTTAACTTATCTGATTGAACATCTGTAAATAATGTGTTTGAGCAAAATTCACTTTTTTATAAAATTGCAAGTATGGGTATCTTTTAGGGACATGTGGGTGACTCTTTCAATATAGAAGATCACACAAAATTTGGCCATAACACGTCACATATCTCCATAGCCTAGAGACACATCATGAAATAAAGTATTTCATTAGCCTGCTGGGACAAGATTCAGTGTGCACAGCAATATGGAAAAAAAAAATCAATATAATGAACATTTTCATAAGCTCAGATTTCCTGATTAAAGTATGATTCTCTGAAGACTGCTTCAAAATGGATATAAATATAAGTACTTTCTCACTGAGCACTCTAAGAGAAAGTTTGGAACACATTCTATTTTGAACATTATAAATTGTGCTTTCAAAAATGATATATAGCTAAAGAAAATTATTTAAACAAAAATGGGCTTTTGATTTAGTGGATATATGCCTAAAAACTGTATATTTTTCATTTTAATAATACCTGTATGGGAAATATATATGGGTGTTAAGGGATCTTATTGCCAGTCAGAGAATGGAATTTGCTTTTATAAATTTATGAATAATTCTTACCTTATATAATATATATAAAATTTTCAGTATGATGCATGTATATTAAAATGTATAAAAAGAACTATAATCGTCACATTTTCTCCAAGCATTTACGTGAACAACATGTGAGCTGGGAAGAGAATCAGAGGTTTATTTAACTGGAATTAGTTAATGAAGTCATCTGTCACTGTTAATTTCTTGCCTTGCTATTCCGTTATCAAAGCAACTGAAATGATCTTAAAAGCCAACCATTACAATCATTAATACTCAAAGTAAATATTACATTTATAGATGCAGTAATCTCAAACCTAGCACTTTCATTCAATCATAGATTCTGTCATATGAAGAAAGCCAAAGAGACAATTTCAGAGTAAACATTGTTAATGGAAATTACGTTTTGAAAGGGCCTCAATTACATTGGCAGTGGGCCGTCCTCTGAGCACCATAAGAAAATGTAATTTCATTGAATAATTCTAGTGTTGCATTGACTGGAATCAAAAAGTGAGTAATTCATTTGTACTTATAAAAGGAAAAATACTTCACTACCACACAGAAAGTGGAGAAGAAGCACACTGGACTGTGAGCTTCTAAAGGGAATATTTCCCCGAGACCCATCTTCATAGTCAATAAATAAATGTTTATTTGTTTCGTTTCATGAAAGAATAAATGATCAGTAGGCCCCTGCTTCCAAAAAAAAAAAAGGATTTACATTTAGGTTAAATTCCAGAAGTGTAATACTAAGAAGTGTCTTTTTTAATTTAAAGCTTCATGCTATGTTAAAACATTTTTGGCTCAAAATTATCTTCTTTTTTTGTCCCATTTCTGTCTGAGCACTTTGAAATAGTAATTTAGTTTTACAAATGGAAATGATTTGACTAAGAACAGGAGGGTCTGATGCAGAAAAAGCCTCAAATCCTGGATCCAGATTCAATGTATTTATCTTTATATCAGTGAATGAGAATACAAATGTACGCATTAAACCTCAGTCCATTTCTCTTCCATTCTTCTAAAACAGCCACCCATTAATTTCTTACCTCTGTTCATTATTAAGCAGAACACATATGGTTTGCATTTTCATAAGACACTTGTAAACTATTCCTTCCTCATGCTGTTATTTTGTGGTAATTGTCAAAGCTACTTATGAAGCCACTCTCAGTGCATAGAAATCCTACACTGAACCCCACTGGAGAAATGAGGGGACTAGTGTATATTGTTAGCAATAGGAAGGCTCCTATTTCACTCAGTAAAACCTAAATCCTTGGAGTGGCCTTCAAGTTCCTACACTTTCTGGCCCCTACACTCATTCCCACTGTTTCCTTAACCTCATTTCCTATTACTCTCTTCTCGCTGTTCATGCACGCTGCCCTGCCACCTCAGGGAGTTTGCACTGCTGTTCCCATACCTAGAGTGCTATTCCCTAGATATCCGCATGGCTAATTCTCACTTCTTTCAGTCCACATTGTTGCTGAAATATCAACCAAATTGAGTATTGTTGTCAATCCCACTTTATTTTGTATTATAAGTACGGGGGTACATGTGCAGGTTTGTTACATGGATGTATTGGGTAATGGTGAGGTTTGTGCTTCTAATGTACCCATCACCCATAAAGTAAACATTGTACCCAATAGGTTATTTTTCAACCCTCATCTCTCTCCTATCCTCCCCACTTTTAGAGTCCCCAATGCCTATTATTTTCCTCTTTATGTCCATGTGTACTCATTGTTTAGCTTCCGCTTATAAGTGAGAATATGCAGTACTTGATTTTTCGAGTTATTTCACCCAAGATAATGGCCTCCAGCTCTATATGTGTTGCTGCAAAACACACGATTTTATTCTTTTTATGGCTGGTATATGTACCATATTTTCTTTTTTCTTTCTTTCTTTACTGTATTTATTTATTTATTCATTTATTGAGACAGAGTCTTGCTCTGTTACTCAGGCTGGAGTGCAATGGCGCAGCCTAGGCTCACTGCAGCCTTTGCCTCCTGGGTTCCAGCGATTCTCCTGCCTCAGCCTCCTGGGTAGCTGGGATTACAGGCACCTGCCACCACACTTGGCTAATTTTTTTGTATATTTAGTAGAGTCAAGGTTTCGCCATGTTGGCCAGGCTGGTCTCGAACTCCTGACCTCAGGTGATCTGCCCGCCTCGGCCTCCCAAAGTGCTGGGATTACAGGCATGAGCCACCGTGCTCGGCCCTAGTATGTACCATATTTTCTTTATCCAGTCATCCATTGATGGGCACTGAGGTAGATTTCATGACTTTCCTATTATGAATAGTGCTGCAATAAACATAGCAGGCAGGTGTCTTTTTATAAAAATGATTCCTTTTCCTTGGTGTAGATATACAGCAGTGGGTCAATCCCATTTTAAAATGCAACCTGCTTTGACCTCAAACACTCTTGATCTTTCTAATTGTTGTGATCTACTTAAAAAAAAAAACCCACTGGCCATTTTCTAATGTATTGTATTAAAACATTTTTACCTGATATTTATTGTTTCTTTATCATTCTACTGGACCTTAATTTCTATGAGAGCAGAGGATATTGTCTGTTTTACACTGCAAATATACCCAAACCACTCAGAACAGTGTTGTGTTTACTGCCACTATCAGACACTTTTTGAATTAATGAATAAATTTATAATCAGTCCTTCAATTATTTTTTCCTAAATTGCCTGAAATTGTATACCTAGTCAACTTACTCTCCTACTCTCTGCAATGGGTTTTCAAATGTATTCAAACTTCTGGTTACCTTAGAACTTCTAGTGCCATCCCTTTACCTTTGCAGCTTATAGGTCACCTTTGTTCTCAGGTTGGCTCAATCCTATGGAAAAGCTTTCTATCCTCTTTCTACCAACTACTAAAGCTGTTTATCATTTTCTTTTGGAAACATCTTTCTTTGGCTTCTGAGGCATCCCACAGACCAGATTTTCTATCTCCTCATCTGGCCCTCTTTATCAGTTTCCTTTGCATGGTTATACTTCCTTGCCCCACTTATTGGGTAACTCTATGTCTGTGTTTCAGGCCACCTCTCTACTTTTAATTTTTTTTTAAATATAGATGGGGGTCTCATTATATTGACCAAGGTGGTCCCAAACCCCTGGCCTCAAGCAGTTCTCCCATCTTGGCCTCCAAAAGTGCTAGGATTACAGGCATGAGACACTGTGCCCAGCCAAGCCCACCTCTCTGCTTATTTGAAATGCTTTCTCGGGTAATTTCATTCATTTTTACAGCCTCAATCCTTATTAATACACCTAAATATCCCTCTCATCTAAACTTCTGCTTTTAAGTTCCAGTCTATTGTTTCAGTCTCTACCCAGATGTCTCAAAACTTTATGTCTATAAATGTGTAAATAACAAGAACTTGATCTATTTAGAAATTATATAATAGTAAACATTACTCATAATTTAACTGTGAAAACACCACAGTTTTGAATCTTATGTCTGAAGGCTTTAGTGAGTTCACCTATAGATATAACATTTGCAAACTAATAGGTGAGAGATTGGGCTTTGAGTCAGATATTGGTTTGAGTCCATGCTCTGTTCTTTTTAACTTCATTAGTTTTCTTATCTTCTCTATTTCTCAGGGTCCTCATCGGTATAATCTGATCACTGACAGTAACTAGCACATTAGGTCGCTCTAAGCATGAAAATAGGTAATGCATGTGAAGTGTTCACACTGTAACAACCTTGCATTAATCCCTCAGAACAGTTTTTTATTATTATTAAAATTAGTATTGTTTTATTTTCCTGTTTATCTCAAATTATAAACTTTATAAATAATATGAGTCATTTTCTTTAATATTGGCCTATGAATCATAAACAAATAATTCATAGGCCAATATTAAAGAGAATGAACTCATGTTATTTAAAATTATTTATTTACACTTTTGACAATAAAAACAGAATTACCAACCAGTTGCATTCAAGTCACTAAATTAATTGTTTTAGAAAATCTCTATTCTTGGATTGCATAGGAAAAATCTAGTGTAACAGTAGATAGCACTATATAGGGAAACCAATAAAGGTAATAAAAGACAGATCCTGGACTTATCTTCTCGTGTATTAACATTAAATGAGGATGATAACAAGCTCAAGAGATCTGTTATACAACGTGGCGACCATAGTTAATAGCAATGTATTGTATAGAGTGCTTGAAAATCACTGAGAGTAGATTTCAAGTGTTCTCACTTTAATATCTGGTAAGTATGTGAGGTAAGCCATATATTAATTAGCTTGATTTAGCCATTGCACAATGTGTACATAGTCCAAAACATACTGTTGTACACCATAAATATATACAACTTTTTTGTTAGTTAAAAAAATAGTAAAATGATGATGACAAACACAGACCAGGAAGTAATAGTGTGGCTTCCACTAAGCCTATTTTATAAAAATAAAACATTCTGTTGTTTGTATCAGTTGGCCTGCAAAATCCAGAAAAATTATTCCCGTTTAAATCATAACACTTTCTGGTTTCATTTAATTCCACTGTTATTGTTAGGTTGAGAAATGTAAATAAATGTATAGAGATGCAAACTGAAAATAACAGGGACTAAACCTTCTCCCCATGGTTTCCCAGGAAGAAGATGGTGAAGTTAGAAATTCTTCCTAGTTTCCTTTCATTTATACAAAATCACACAGTAGCTAGGCTATATAATGTTTTGGCTGATGATTTCAATGCCTGTTACACATATCATTTTGTTATTTTGCGGCTTTTCTGGTTTTTTTCATTATCCTTCATCTGTCTATTTTCAGTTGCAAAGGAAATGTTTGTGTTGTATATGTGTTGTGTACATGCATGTTTTGAGATTGAGAGAAAAAGAGACAGACAGACACACAGGGACAGAAAGAGAGAAAACAGGAGCTCATACTGATTTTGTATTCATTAGAAGGCAAGCCCCATGAAGGTGGTAGATGTCCTGCTTTCCTCGCTGCTGTTATTTTTGTATTATCTTGATGCTTTTGGCACTCACCATATATTTGTTGGCTGTGTCGTGAAATGACATTCCCTGCTTTCGGAATTATGAGGAGGAGATGAGTTACTTATAAAAGCACTTAGAATTCTGCTCACATGAACTATACAATTTTTTTTTTTTTTTTTTTTTTTTTAGATGGAGTCTCGCTCTGTCACCCAGGCTGAAGTGCAGTGGCATGATCTTGGCTCACTGTAACCTCCACCTCCTGGGTTCAAGCAAATCTCCTGCCTCAGCCTCCAGAGTAGCTGGGATTACAGGCGTCCACCACCACGCCTGGCTAATTTTTGTATTTCAGTAGAGATGGAGTTTCACCTTGTTGGCCAGGCTGGTCTCCAACTCCTGACCTCAAGTGATCCGCCCACCTCTGCCTCCCAAAGTGCTGGGATTACAGGCGTGAGCCACTGCACCCAACCTACAAGCTCCTTAAATTGTATTTTTATTATGAAGACCCTCAAGTTTCACAGCCACTTGAGGTTTGATCATATCCTTTGTTTTATCTATAAATTTGCTCAAAGAGACTTCCCTCTCCATCTGTTTGTGATAGTTTTGTTGGGAACTCATTTCCATAGAACTTTATCTGAGGGAATATTTGAGGACTGGGCTTAGGGTACATTCCTCAGCATAGGATTTGGGTTTGCATGTCCCAGATATCTGGGATTGCTCCTGACCTGAGACCATTTTAAAACCACATTTGGGACTTTAAGGTCTTCTGGGACCCTTCCCCGGTGTGAAGGAGAGCCCATGGAGAAGAATTCTGCCAGGAGTCTTCTCTTTCCCTTCTCTACACAGAACAGTCTCTGAGACAGTCATGGTTATCTTCCATCCTCTTCTATGGGGTAGAACTTGCTTAATTTTTTGAATGTTTTAGTCTCATTTAGGGGTGCTAATCTAAGCTCTACCTGGACTATGTGGCCATAGTCCTTGTTTACTGTCTCACACTTGGGTGTGGCCTATTAAATCTCAAACTCTGCATCGATGGGACCCCAGTGGTGTACTTCTAATGCCATCAAGAGAACATGATGCAAGAAGCTGAGGTGACTAATATTCCCTGTTCTTACACTCTGGATCTACCACCACTAAGGCCATGTTCTTTCAGGCTTCCCAGCTAATGAATAAGCGAAACAGAATTAATAATGCCAGCTCATCCTTGTAGGATGTGCACTCCTCTGACTTTGGCTACAGGACTCACCATCTCTCTGGCCAACATTACTGTTTTCAGAGCTGCCCTATTATATGAGGGCCTTCCTGCACGCCCTACTTCCATTCACAAATTTCAGCCTTGCATCAAAATCCAAAGGCTCTGCCTGTCTTCTCTGGCACCTTCCCATTGATCCTTCACAGAAATTTCCCCCCCAAATTTCTCCAACATATAATTATAACTTGGTGATTAGAACTGACGAGTAAGTAGCAAACACTAATCTAGGACAAGCATACTTTTCAAAAGGAATGTTACTTGTTGATTGTAACTTTTAAGAATTTACTTTACATTAACATCAACTCAACTGTGCAGTAAAAATAAATAAATCATTAATTTTAACATTTTTATTTTTAACGTTATGTGTTCTAGAAGAAAGTTTGTAGTTGGCCCGGCGCGGTGATTCATGCCTGTAATCCCTGCACTTCGGGAGGCCGAGGCAGGTGGATCACTTGAGGCCAAGAGTTCCAGACCAGCCTGGCCAGCATGGCAAAACCTCATCTTTACTAAAAATGCAAAAATTAGCTGAGCGTGGTGGCGGTTGCCTGTAATTCCAGCCATTTGGGAGGCTGAGGCAGGAGAATTGCTTGAACCTGGGAGGCAGAGGTTGCAGTGAGCCAAGAAACTGTCTCAAAAAAAAAGAAAAAAGAGAAAGAAGGAAAGAAAGAAAGAAAGAAAAGTTCTAGTTTCTCACTTTACGAGAAATGGGTCAGCACTGTCTTTTC
Organism: Homo sapiens; assembly: GCF_000001405.40. Classification (NCBI taxonomy): domain Eukaryota; kingdom Metazoa; phylum Chordata; class Mammalia; order Primates; family Hominidae; genus Homo; species Homo sapiens. Next base: position 70,019,832 of record NC_000005.10, read on the forward strand.
CATATCAACATAAAACAATTGTGTGGGCTCTTTGACTAAAAATATAAAATGTACCTGAGAAATGTATATACTAAGTTATTTTTAATCTTGATGAACTATTGCTTTACCAACATATTGGAAGCTGTGTTAGTAGTGGCCTAATTTTCCAGAATTTTGATGATGCATATATGTGAGTATATCTTAAGCTAATGAAACTAATTAATGGATTGTAAAATTTTCTCTTTTGCTTCTCCCTTTTCCATGCCAGTTTTCACATAAATAGGACAATATCTTCTTACTTTTCCTGTCATCATGAGAATGCTGGACTAAGAATTTATGGGCATTAACCCCCCCATCTATTTAACCACCTATATTACATGTGTCCCTGATGTAACCTGAGCAAACTTAGCAAGTCTTTTATTCTGGGTGAATGCCCCGCTTCACCCAAATCATGAATGCTCTTTGCTTCATGGAACTCTATTGCTTTTGTTCCCAGAACCAATTATATCTTAGCTAATCTCTTGCCCCTTTAATTATCCTTGATAGTTTTCCAAATAAAATATGCAATCTGTGAACACTTTATTAGTCCCACTCTCTGGTTTATCCATTCATGGGTAAGGATACAGAATTGTCTGAATCCAGCTTATTATAAATTCATTATTCTCAATTGTGCCCAATGACAAAATTTTCCTTGCCCTGGGTCAACAATATTCTCAGTCATCTCTACTATTTAACTGTAAATCTCAAACTATGTGCTGTTTAGAATTATATGTGCCTATCCCATTCTGCCGGACGTACGTGTTCTTTTCTCCATGAGATTTACATCCTGTAATGCTCTGATTCAGAATTTTGGGGCCCAATCCCTATTCATTTGTGTCTTAACAGTCTTTGAAGGGATGTTTGACTTCAAGGATTCCTTGAAGTTTCCCTCTGAGCAAAGGTGAGATGCCTTTTGATTCATGCTTGCGTCATTACTAGCCCAGGTTTAGCTGACTTTTTTAGTGTAGGATTTGCAATTAACACACAATAAAGGCTCTCTGAACTTTAGTCTCTTTTCGAGGGAAATAACCATAAACATACTGCCACTCAGTACAGATGGAGAGGTTAGTGAAAATAAGCAGCATTTATGAAGGCATGCCAGAAGGACTATGGGCCAGCCATTTTCTCTGGATACTGGAAATTCTTCCTGTAATGAAGCCAGACCTGCATAGAGTATTAATACTCAACCACACAAAATTCAGATCTTACAGAAGTGCTTTTACAAAATATTCTTACAAAGACTCAGAGGGGGAAATTACAAGAAAATATTCTGTGAAACATCAGATTATTTACTTAAAGTTATTGTTGATGGCCATTATTTTCAGTACTCTTAGAAAAAGGATAATGAGAGATTTTTTTATTATGCAGCTAAAAGGAATAGTTTTGCCTTTTATTGAACAAAACAATTGTGTGTATGTTCATTTAACTTCTGGAAGATCTGAATCATGTAATTGTATCTGTTTTTTTCTATTTGTGGATAGACAGAACACTTAGAGCCACATGTGGAATACATTGCTAGAAACTAATTCTTCTTGGCATGGACTTTGTATACTAACTTAGTCCCTGGTTTCAAAGAATTTTTATTTTTCTTTCATTTTGATGTCCTCATCTAATTAATTTTATTGTATTTCATTCTGTTGGGTTATATGCAATTATAAGGCACAAAGTCTTACTGAAAAAAGAACATGAAATAAGCAAATATGCAAAAAAGATTAATATTCTATGAACAGTTCATATCTCATGCTTATACATAACTATCAAAGCACACACAATACTTGACATTTTATACATGTTCAGCAAACATTTATTTACCAAATGAAGAAAACTAGGGATTGGAAAACAAAGCTGTTTCTTCAATATTTTTTATTTATTAAAAAATACTACTAGAGTTTGTAATCCTGGCTGACTTTTATCTCAAAAGAGTCAACTCTGTATTATTGAAGTGCAGATTAATGGTTTAAATATTAATTGCATCCAAAATTTACATATTCTTATATAATTAAAATATACACTATATTTTTGAAAAGTTTAATTATTAACGATCAGTTTAACAACTAGAGATATAAGAATATATATGCTATTGGAATTTGTGATTAGCAAATTCCACTTGGAGTCTGCAACGTACAATGACATGCAAATTCCATTTTCCATTGTTTGTATTGTATTTTTAAACATCAAAAGAAAAAATGTTTTTAACTTTAACTCTAATATAATGTTGTCAAATAAGTGAAAGAGTTGTTAGACTTTAAAAAAACACATTACAATAGTGAGAAGCAGAATAAGTTATTTGTGATATGAAAGAGAAAAATGATGAGTTAATATAATTTTAATTCCAGTTGAGTTAAGAAAATGAAAAAGTGCATCATTGTCTCTTCTACTTGCAAATGATATTTCTTCTATTTTTAAGAGAGTAAAATTTGTCTTTCAGTTGACAGTGAGTTACAGGTGAAAAGCTTTTACTCTGATGTTTTACAGAACTGCTAAAATGTCCATGTGTTATTCTATAGAGAATTGTAATAGAGTTTAGTAGTATAAAAGTGTGAAAGATGTTTTTTACCTTAATATATGATATTTACTTGGTTGAGTTATATAACATTCAAAAATAGAGAATTTGGAGCCTGAAAACCTTGATTTCAGTTTAGCCTCCACTACTTACTGGATTTGTGACCTTAAGCAAGTTATTTCATTTTTCTCAAACTGGGTTTCCTCTTAGATGAAAATAACAATATCTACCTTCCTTTCATGTGATTTATTGAGACCAAATTGGAGTAATAGATAGTATAACTAGAACTTGGTTTTAAGTTATTTAAACATTATTTACTAGGTAAAACTTGTGCCTGTATAAAAATGAGAAACTTTATCTCTGAATGCAGATGCCATGTTTTCATTATTTGATAGAGATAAATAAACATGGAAATTGTATTACAATTTATACCAAACTGCAAGGGGCCAGGTGAGTCAACCAAATTATACGGACATGTCAAAACATGCTGTTTTACTTTGTTTTCATACTGCTATAAAGAACTGCCAGAGACTGTGTAATTCATAAACGAAAGAGGTTTAACTGAATTACAATTAAGCATGGCTGGGGAGGCCTCAGGAAACTTAGGAAATCATAGCAGAAGTTGAAAGGGAAGCAAGGAAACTTCTTCACAAGGTGGCAGGAAGAAGTGCCGAGCAAAGCGGGGAAGAACTCCTTATAAAACCATCAGATAACCTGAGAACTCACTCACTATCACAAGAACAGCAAGGGGCAAACCACCCCCATGATTCAATTACCTCCACCAGGTCTCTCCCTTGCTAGGTGGGGATTACGGAGATAATAATTCAAGATGAGATTTGGGTGGGGACACAAAGCCTAACTATATCACATTGAGTGAATGCATGCATATTCTTAAATGCAAAAATTGTAAATACATATATAAATAGATAAATAGATGTTTAGTGGAATGTAGATTTCTCTAAATATCTATGCAATTTTCATGAATATGAGGTGCAGGAACAATAACATTAAGAGTATCTAATATTATCTCAGCTCATACTGGCTGTGGTGTAGAATTCATAAGAGGAAGGCAGATTAAGTTCCCATTTCTTAGCTATTCTTAATATAAAGCAGTTTTAAAAACCCTGGTTATAGGATCCTATGAGACAAGCCTTAAAGGTATCTGATTGATTTAGATATAAATGACATATGGTTTTTTTTCTTATTATCAAGATGTTTTTGTAAATCTCATCTTTTTAAAGTGTCTCTTAATACACTTCTCTTTTTAACATTGGCTTCTAGAAAAAAATAATGAAGTAAGAAAAGAAAAGGGATTCTACATCTTGAGTGAGAAATTGCCTTATAAAAATGAACAAATAGAGGCTGGATGCAGTGGCTCACACCTGTAGTCCCAGCACTTTGGGAGGCTGAGGCAGGCAGATCACTTTAGGTCAGGAGTTCAAACCCAGCCTGGCCCACATGGTGAAAACCCATCTCTACTAAAAATGCAAAAATTAGCCAAGTGTGGTGGCACGCACCTGTAATTTCAGCTACTTGGGAGGCTGAAGAAGAAGAATTGCTTGAACCCAGGAGGCGGATGCTGCAGTGCACTGAGATCACGCCACTGCACTCCATCCAGCCTGGGTGACAGAGCAAGACTCCTCCGTCTCAAAAAGCAACAACAATAACAACAAAAACAAATAGAATAAGTGAAGAGATTTGATCTTATAATTGGTTGGAATATCCCATAACACTGCACTGTTTATGTTTGCACAATAATGAAAGTTCATTGAGTACATGTTCACTGACATATATGGATCCTCAGAAATATATATCTTAAACATATATATAAGTATATATAAATGTATACTCATACGCATAACTCAGATGTATGCAAAGACTTCATATATCTAGAATGTATATTGTGTATATTCTATATAATATGTAATGGAGGTTGATAGACATAACCTTTTCTTGATGGTGTAGGTTAGAAATAACTGGTTCATTTAGGGTAGGGCAGATTTCACTTGCACTGATATGGACAAATCAGTGTTAATGACAGAATGCAATAGAGTCATCCTGCTATGTAAACAGAAGCATAGATAACAAATAATACAAAATATGATAAAAGTTTACCTCATTCATAACATCATTTATCTGACCCTTTCCCGCAATTTATCTGGCCTATCTGCCACCATTTAATTAAAAAAATTACAGTGATTATATCATGACTGCTTTCAAATCTCACTGTACAACTCTAAAAACATACACTTATTTGATAGCCTTGAATTTCAGCAGAAAAGATAATACTTATAAGAGGTATAGACTTTAAAATATATCATATTTGTGCAGAATATTTTAAGTTATAAATATGTATGCATAAGGCCTAGTTGATGTAACATTAGTATAGATGCTACAAATGCAAGTTCATTAAAGAATATTAAGATATTCTTCCCTGTAAATCTAAGGAAGCAAAACAATGGGAAATTTCTCAAAGATCTAAAGCAGGAGATGAAATAGGGACAAACTGAGTGTTTGCTCAACCGTAATTGTGAAGCAATCAGTTTAATTTTCTCACAGTTGATTTTGTTTAATTAGGAGATGACATTAGCTAACTTTGCAGTTCTACATCGTTGCAAAAAGGACAGAGGAGGTTTTGACATATTGTGCCTTTACTATTAAAGAAATATCATTCAGTGAGTTTTTTGTACACATTTCTATTTGTGTGGTTTTTTTCACTGAAAATAATGCTTTTAAATTTCAGAATACAACAGCTTAACTTATCACATAATAGAGATATACATATTGTATATCCCTTTTAAAATTAGTGCTAATGTAGCATGAGGGAAATGTAATTCAACAAGCTCGGAGCCCCGGCCGAGCTTCGGAGCCCCGGCCCAGCCCCGGCCGCGCACGCGCAGTGACGCGCCGGCCATGCCGGCGGCTGTTGTCGGGCCTCCAGCGGGCGGGGCCGTTGGCGGAGCAGAGGGGAGGCGCAGCCGGGCGGAGGGCCCACGAGGGCTCAGCCTTCCCGGTCAGCGGTGGTGACGGTATCCCAGAGTGCCAGAGAACCGTTGCTTTTCCGAGTTGCTCTTCTTCCAGGCTCCGTTGGTGGTCGGCATGGCCCGTGAGTGGGGGTGGGAAGCGGCGGCGAGCGTCCGGCGTGGGAGCCTAGCGCTGAGGCGCGGCGGGCGGGGGAGGCGGAGTCCGGCTGGAGAATCCCCCTGGGTCGCGCAGTGCGGGGATCCCCGCTTCAGTCGGCAGAGAGAGAGCTCGCGGGTGGTTCCGGTCCGGCTTTTCAGGCCGGACGGGTGCCTGCCCCTCAGGTGCGAGTTTGTGCGGTAAAGAACACACCCCGGAGATGTGGACACGGCCGCCCCAGGAGGGTCCTTGTTTGGAGGTACTTTATAGCTGATACCTCAAGTCTTAAGGCCTAATGAGGACCGGGAACTCCAGTGAGTCGCCTCCCTAGTTCTTTTGTTTGGCGCTCGCAGGTAGTAGCCGAATAAACAGGAGGCTTTAGAGCCGGTCCTAAATTTGATGTTCGTTTGTACCAGTCCTAGGTGTTAGGTCAGTCTGTTCTGCAAAATGAAAACAATGAAGCCTACCTTGCAGGGTTGTGGCTAGAATAAGGATGTAAAGGCCCACACTGCCTTTCGCAGACTTACCTTCAATCTGTTCAGTCTCCATCCACCCCTCTCCGCCTCTGCATGGGGATAAAGGTAACTCTCAAATGATGGGCTGAACTTGTGATCTCTGTATCTAGCTTTCTCTTCCACCCACTCCCCTCAAAAGCCAGAACTTATTTTGGGATACCGGCCCAAGATTCGAATATCTGTTTTAAAATATCTGGTATTTATAGCTAGTGACCACCTAGATTGGTATGATAATACTCTTAAGTCTTTAAGTGTTTAAGCCACTTCCTTATTGTCAGATCTAGGAGCACCATCAATCTGTTACTCTGCTAGTTTATCTATGAAAACACAAACTAAAGATGCATTTAAATAAGGCCTGTTTATTGGAATTATTAATAATTTTGGAGATGGGAAAAGAGCATGACTGTTTGACTTTGTAGGTGGAAATCAACGAGAACTTGCCCGCCAGAAAAACATGAAGAAAACCCAGGAAATTAGCAAGGGAAAGAGGAAAGAGGATAGCTTGACTGCCTCTCAGAGAAAGCAGAGGTACGTGGTACTAATTTAATTCTAAAGTCACTGACGTTGTGATTGAAGCAACATTTTGGGCTGGGTGTGTTGCCTCATGCCTGTAATCCCGGCAGTTTGGGAGAGTCGGGAGAACTGCTTGAAGCCAAGAGTTTGAGACCAACTTGGACAACATAGCCAGCCCCTGTATCTACAAAATATTTTTTTAAATTGGCCAGGCATGGTAGCACATGGCTGTGGTCTCGGCTACTCTGGAGGCTGAGGCGGGAGAATCGCTTGAGCCCAGGAGGTTAAGGCCGCAGTAAGCTGCGATTGCACCACTGCACTCCAGCCTGGATGGCAGAGTTAGACCCTGTCTCAAAAAAAAAAAAAAAAAAAAAAAAAGAAGGCCTCATTTTGGGGAACAGAAAGCATTTTGTTAAGCCCTTGGTAGAACAGGGCCTAATGATTTGTGCCAGGCGGACTAAAACCACGTGGGGTAGACATCCCAACATATAGATAAAAACGTAAAGCTCTGAAGCTATTATTTGTTTCACAGAGACTCATGCAGCTCCTCCACAACCATAAGAACTTTTTATAGGCTGGGCGCGGTGGCTCACGCCTGTAATCTCAGCACTTTGGAAGGCCAAGGTGGGTGGATCACCTGGGGTCAGGAGATCGAGATCAGCCTGACCAACATAGTGAAACCCTATCTCTACTAAAAATACAAAATTAGCTGGGTGCAGTGGCACATGCCTGTAATCCCAGTTACTTGGGAGGCTGAGGCAGGAGAATCGCTTGAAACCGGGAGGGGGAGGTTGCAGCGAGTGAAGATTGTGCCATTGCAATCCAGCCTGGGTACTGAGCGGGAAACTCTGTATCAAAAAAACAAAACAAAACAAAAAAAAACAACTTTATTCAGCAAAATAACATCTTCTATATGCAAAACACTGTGAGGTGCTAGAGTTACAACATTTTCAAAGTAGACAGCCTACCCAAACTACTCTGAATGACAAGGGACTCAATTATTAATATATAATGATAATAGTTCTCAAGAAGATACAAAAAAGTATATGCATAATAGCTAGCTGTGCTGATTTCTGAAGATCCATTGCATTGGAGAGAATTCATGTACATAGCCTTAATATATGACTATATGTGCCAATGTAAAACTGCTACAGAAATACTTTAGACTGCAGCTTAAGTAAAAAAAAGTACACTCATGTTTCTAAAAGAGCTAATCAAAGCTTAATTTTATTCTCAAATGATTTTGTCCATATGGAACTTGGAGGTTAAGCGAATAACTGACTGCATGTGCTTCAGTGTGGCTTGTTAGGGGTTCTCAATCCTGGCTGCACATTAGAATCACCTGGGAAACCTTGACAGCTACTCAAGCCTTGCGTTATGCTCAGTTTTGATTTTTTGTTTTTTTAAAAAATTGAATTACAATAGTTGTACATATTTTGGGGGTACATGTGATCTTTTAATACCTGTATGTGGGCTGGGTAGTCCCAGCCACTTGGGAGGCTAAGGCAGGAGAATCACTTGAACCTGGGAGGCGGAGGTTGCAGTGAGCCGAGATCCTGCCATTGCATTCCAGCCTGGGTGACAGAGTGAGACCCTGTCTCAAAAAAACAACAACAAAAAGAAACTGGCTTGGCGTGGTGGCTCATACCTGTTAGCCCAGCACTTTGGGAGGCCGAAGCGGGTGGATTACCTGAGGTTGGGAGCTCAAGACCATTCTGACCAACATGGAGAAACCCCATCTCTACTAAAAATACAAAATTAGCCAAGTGTGTGGCCGGGCGCGGTGGTTCACGCCTGTAACCCCAGCACTTTGGGAGGCCCAGGCGGGCGGATCACGAGGTCAGGAGATCGAGACCATCCTGGTTAACACGGTGAAACCCCGTCTCTACTAATAATACAAAACTTAGCCGGGCGAGGTGGCAGGCGCCTGTAGTCCCAGCTACTTGGGAGGCTGAGGCAGGAGAATGGCGTGAACCCGGGAGGCGGAGCTTGCAGCGAGCCGAGATCGTGCCACTGCCCTCCAGCCTGGGTGACAGAGCGAGACTCCGTCTCAAAAAAAAAAAAAGCCAACTGTGGTGGCGAACACCTGTAATCCTAGCTACTCGGCAGGCTGAGACAGGAGAATCACTTGAACCTGGGAGGCGGAGGTTGCGGTGAGCTGAGATCTCGCCATTGCACTCCAGCCTGGACAACAAGAGTGAAACTCCGGCCGGGCGCGATGGCTCATGCCTGTAATCCCAGCACTTTGGGAGGCCAAGGCAGGAAGATCACGAGGTCAGGAGATCGAGACCACGGTGAATCCCTGTCCGTACTAAAAATACAAAAAATTAGTCGGGCGCAGTGGCGGGCGCCTGTAGTCCCAGCTACTCGGGAGGCTGAGGCAGGAGACTGGCGTGAACCCGGGAGGCGGAGCTTGCAGTGAGCTGAGATCGCGCCACCGCACTCCAGCCTGGGCGACAGAGCGAGACTCCGTCAAAAAAAAAAAACCTTTATGTGTACAATGTGTAATGATCAAATCGGGGTAATTGGGATATCTCTATGCTCAAACATTTATCTTTCATCCAGTTCTGATTTAATTGGTCAGAGGTCGAGCATTAAAAAGCACCCTAGGTAAATTTTACTGTACTTAGGTTATGCCTTTTTTTTTTTTTTAAAGGCAGAGTCTTATTCTGTTGCCCATGCTGGAGGGCAGTGGCGTGATCTCGGCTCACTGCAACCTCCACCTCCTGGGCTTAAGCGATTCTCCTGCGTCAGCAATCCAAGTAGCTGGAATTGCAGGCGTCCGCCACCATGCCCAGCTAATTTTTGTATTTTTAGTAGAGACTGGGTTTCACCGTGTTGGCCAGGCTGGTCTCAAACTACTGACCTCAAGTGATCCACCCGCCTCGGCCTCCCAAAGTGCTGGGATTACAGGCGTGAGCCACCACGCTGGCCCAGTTATACCTTTTTTTTTTTTTTTGAATTTTTTTTTTATTATTACGCTTTAAGTTCTAGGGTATATATGCACAACGTGCAGGTTTGTTACATAGATATACATGTGCCATGTTGGTTTGCTGCACCCATCAACTCATCATTTACATTAGGTATTTCTCCTGATGCTATCCCTCCCCCAGCCTCCCAGCACACCCAGTTATACCTTAAACTGAACTTAAAACAGCTCCCAGGTGATTCTAATGTGCAGCCACTATTAAGAGTCATTGATAAATGAGATTAAAGACCTTAATTTAAGGCAAAGGTCCTGACACCTTTTTTTTTTTTTTCCCAGATATGGCGTCTTACTCTGTGACCCAGACTGGAGTGCAGTGCCACAGTCTCGGTTCACTGCAAGCTCTGCCTCCCAGGCTCAAGTGACCCTCCCACCTCAGCCTTCTGAGTAGCTGGGACTACAAGGGCACACCACCAAGCCCAGATAGTTTTTATATTTTTTGTAGAAACGGGGTTTCATCATGTTGTCCAGGCAGGTCTTGAACTTCTGGGGTCAAGTGATTTGCCCACCTCAGTCCCCCAAAGTGCTGGAATTACAGGTGTGAGCCACTATGCCCGGCCCTAACATTTATTATTAAAGTGATAAGCTTTGTCTTCAATTTCTGTTGACTCACATTAGAGTAAAAATGAACATGGTATGAATCAGTGACCCTGCAATAGTATTTTTATTGGAGAACCTAGTCTAGCTTGGTTCAGAAATTGTCATTGTTTACCAGATATGCACTCCTTATAAAATTCTATGCTAGACATTCTATATACATTATTCTTTATTCATCATAACTCTGAAAAATGGTATTAGCACTAATCTGTAGAATAGGAAACTGAGGCTCTGAACTTCAGTAACATTACTAAAGTTACACAGCAAGCACAACAGAGCTTGGTTTCAAATAGAGAAGTAACTGTCATGGTTCTTTTTCCACTGTACTTCATTTCTTTATAGCTATGTTTTTGTTTTTGTTTTAGTGAAAGCAAGTTTATTAGGAAAGTAAAGAAATAAATATTGGCTACTTTATAGGCAGAACAGCCTGTAGCTGTGTTATTTTGCCTTTCTTCTTTATTTTTATTTTATTTTATTTTATGTTTTTGAGACGGAGTTTCGCTCTTGTTGCCCAGGCGGAGTACAATGGCGCAATCTCAGCTCACCGCAACCTCCACCTCTCGGGTGCAAGTGATTCTCCTGCCTCAGCCTCCCAAGTAGCTGGGATTACAGGCATGCACCACCATGCCTGGCTAATTTTGTATTTTTAGTAGAGATAGGGTTTCTCCATGTTGCTCAGTCTGGTCTCAAACTCTCGACCTCAGGTGGTCCGCCTATCTCAGCCTCCCAAAGTGCTGGGGTTACAGATGTGAGCCACTGGCCTATTTTGCCTTTCTTCTATTCCCTTGTTTTTGCTATTGGCTTTACAGAAATATCTTACCATCATGGCTGTGGAAATCAGTTTAGCATTTCCTCAAAAAGTTAAAACAGGCCAGGCTCAGTGGCTTACACTTGTAAATCCAGCACTTTGGGAGGCCGAGGCGAGCGGATCAACTTGAGGCCAGGAGTTCGAGACAAGCCTGGCCAACATGGTGAAACCCTGTCTCTACTAAAAATACAAAAATTAGGTGGGCTTGGTTGCACATGCCTGTAATCCCAGCTACTTGGGAAACTGAGGCAGGAGACTCGCTTGAACCAGGGAGGTGGAGGTTGCAGTGAGCAAAGATTGTGCCACTGCACTGCAGCCTGGGCAACAGAGCAAGACTCTGTCTCAAAAAAATAAATAAAAAATTAAAAAGTTTGAAACATGAGGTTAATAAGTCAGAGTTGTGGGACTTTAACCAGAGCTGGTAGAGTGCTTGACACACAGTAGATGTTGAATGCATGGCCGTTTAGTCTGTTTTTAAAATATGGGTCCATGGACTCATGAATCACCTAACCCAGGTAGTCTGGTCATAGTTCACAGTTTATATGGCATGTGTCAGTTTGACTGGAGATGAGAAGGGTTAAGGGCTGGGCGCAGTGGCTCACACCTGTAATCCCAGCACTTTGGGAGACTGAGGCAGGCGGATCACAAGGTCAGGAGTTCGAGACCAGCCTGGCCAATATGGTGAAACCTCGTCTCTACTTAAAATGCAAAAATTAGTCGGGTGTGGTGGCGCATGCCTGTAGTCCCAGCTACTCAGGAGGCTGAGGCAGAAGAACTGCAAGCAGGAAGTGGAGGTTGCAGTGAGCCAAGATCGTTCCACCGCACTCCAGCCTGGGGGACAAAGCGAGACTCCGTCTCAAAAAAAAAAAAAAGTACCCTGAACATCCAGCTTTTCTTTATTGTAATCCAGTTTTAGTGACTAGCTTTTGGGCTTTTTTGCTTGTAAGAAACTGAAATCCTTCATAATATCTATGTTCTAGTCGTAGATACCAGTTAGGATACCTAGGAGAGTTCTTAAATGCCTCTTCTTTCAAGGAAAAAAATTAGAATGAATTAACTAGTTAACAACCAAGAGTAATAGCTATTATTTCTACATGTAGCTGCCTAATGTCACACACTTTTATATATTCATAGTGATTCCTTGTAACAACCTTGATACATATTGCCCGGATTTTGAAAGGGCTTTGAGGTTATTTGCCCAAGGTCATGATAACAGAGATGGTATTCAGAATAAGATCTGACTTCAAAGCCTTTCCAGTCTGTCTTTCCATTTTGTCTCCAGCCATGAAAATGGAAAGACAAAAAAGTTTATATCCTCTTTTAAATTGTCTTCTAATACACTGAATGGGTTATGTGTAGAAACCAAGTGAGAATATATAATTGGTTTTTCTGTAACAACTTATAGACTTTTCCCTCATTGTAGGGACTCTGAGATCATGCAAGAAAAGCAGAAGGCAGCTAATGAGAAGAAGTCTATGCAGACAAGAGAAAAGTGATGACTGGCTATTTGGAAAACCTGGGTGCTACTGCCAACTGGGTGTATCATAAGCTCTAAGATCAAGATTTTGTAGAGTGGACAGTCATTACATATGTTATAACTTATCCTTTAAAAACTATTTTAAACTTTATCCTTTCAGCTTTACTTAGTGCGATGTTTTAGAAGCAGTCTTCAAAGAATAAAACACTAACCATGCATGTGACATATTGGTGAACATTATTTTTATTATTGAACATTCATATATAATTTATTAGGTAATATGATCAGATAATAGGATCTCTTATATAATAAAGAATCTTTGTCATCAGCTTTGTTAACATAGTTTTTTTTTCCTCACAGTTTCTAAGGATAAGGATAAAATAGATCTTTGAAGTAAACTTAAATATATAATAGAAGTTAGGGTCCATTTGTATAATTTTGCTTTGAAATCAAGTTAAAGGGCCAGGTGCGGTGGCTTATGCCCACAATCCCAGCACTTTGGGAGGCCGAGGCGGGCGGATCACTTGAGGTCAGGAGTTTGAGACCAGCCTGACCAACATGATGAAACCTCATCTTTACTAAAAATACAAAAAAAAAAAAAAAAAAAAAATAGCCAGGTGTGTGGTGGCACATGCCTGTAATCTCAGCTACTCGGGAGGCTGAGGCAGGAAAATCGCTTGAACCCAAGGCAGAGGTTGCAGTCAGCAGATATTGCACCACTGCACTCCAGCCTGGGCAACAAAGCAAGACTCTGCCTCAAAAAAAAAAAAAAATCAACTTACAAAGCTTGCTTGAACAATTTACAACAGATACTTCAAACCACTGGAATAGAAACTAAGTGGATGTAAACTGAGGTCTCAGTTCTACTTATAGCTTTAACATTTTTTGGAATGAGTACCATATTTTCTGTTCTCAGCCTCTTCTAAAACTTGAGTCTTGATGGTAGTTATAAATTTGGAAATATGTAACCTAGAGAAATTAAGGTTTGAGACCTTGCTGCACTCTGAAGTAAACACAAAACTATGTCAGAGAGAATAAAAATGCCATTGTAGTAGTAAATAGAATAACTTAAAGTATTCTACAAATACTTGATTTTTCACATAATGCAATTTAACAAATTTTTCTGATCACCCAATATGTCAACCACTATCTGAATGGACAGATCTTGAAGTTAGCCTAACACAATATCTTGTGATTTGTCTCTTACCAGTGGTACCACCCATAAATAGGCTAGAATTTTTTGTGTCTAATACTGAATTCGACAACCAGGAAGTTTTTTGGGTTTTTGTGGGGTGTTTTTTTTTTTTTTGAGACAGAGTCTTGCTCTCTCGCCCAGGCTAGAGCGCAGCAGTGCCATCTCGGTTCACTGCAACCTCCGCCACCTGAGTTCAAGCGATTCTCCTGCCTCAGCCTCCTGAGGAGCTGGGACTACAGGCGCCCGCCACCACGCCCGGCTAATTTTTGTGTTTTTAGAAGAGATGGGGTTTCACCATTTTGGCCAGGCTGGTCTCAAACTACTAACCTCAGGTGATCCACCCTTCTTGGCCTCCCATAGAGCTGGGATTACAGGCGTGAGCCATCCCACCCGGCTGCAGTTTTTTAGCCTGAGTTTCTATCTTCATATTAGCCTAGATTTTTCATTAAATTAAAACATTGTTCTGGATCTTTGGTTAACTTTAGTCTTCAGAATATTCTATGATGGTAGTCACAAAGGCAAAAATTAAGTAGCTTAAGTTACATTCTAATAAAAGAAATAATAAAGAAATCTGATTGTACCACAAAGATTCTTTGTGGGCCTGGTTTCTGTAATTCTGTCTCCAGAATTTCTACACAGACTAATAAGCCATAAGTACAAAAAAACTTTTCATGCTTTAAGCTCTTTTCTTTGCCTTTTTTTTTAAATGAATAATTTCTTTAGTTTATCCTGTGGAATGGAAGAACTTTAGACCTTTTAATTCTTATAAATCGAGGGAAAGCTACGTTTCCAAAATAAAATGGATATTAGAATAAGGAAGATCTCTAGTTTGTAATCAATCATTAGTACTTTTTTTTTTTTTTTTTTGAGGCAGGATCTCGCCTTGTCACCCCGGCTGAGTGCAGTGGCACGAACGTGGCTCACTGCAGCCTCAACCTCCTGGGCTCAAGTGATCCTCCTGCCTCAGTCTCGTCTCCCAAGCAGTTGGGACTACAGGCGCATGCCACCACGTCAGGCTGATTTTTATATTTTTGGTAGAGATAGGGGTTTTGCCATGTTGCCCAGGCTGGTCTCCAACTCCTGAGCTCAAGTGAGCCACCTTCCACCTCTGCCCAAAGTGCTGGGATTACAGGCGTGAGCCACCATGCCTGGCCATTCTTGATTAATTTTTATGGCATTTAATTAAATAAATTTATTGTTAAGAGGTTTGATTTTTAACTGCAATATGACCAGATGTTTCCTCAAAGCAGGCGGAAAAATTATCGGAGAGGAAGAAAATTAAGTCTAATTGTTGGAGTATATTGACACCTATCATGTGGTATATTGTAATATATATATATATGCAATACATTGACACCAATCATGACACCACCATGTGGTATAGTTAAGGTAACTAAAAGTAGCTGAACTTATAAAGAGGGAAACAGGTCAATTATAGGATACTAAGGGAAAATACAGGTGAATAGCTTTTTTTTTTTTTTTTTTTTTTTTTTTTTTGAGACTGTGTCTTGCTTGCTCTGTTGCTGAGGCTGGAGTACAGTGGCACAATCTCGGCTGACTGCAACCTCTGCATCCCGGGTTCAAGCAATTCTCCTGCCTCAGCCTCCCAAGTAGCTGGGATTACAGGCGTGCACTACCACACCCAGCTAGTTTTTTTGTATTTTTAGTAGAGACAGGGTTTCACCATGTTAGCCAACCTGGTCTCAAACTCCTGATCTCAAATGATCTGCCTGCTTCGGCCTCCCAAAGTGCTGGGATTACAGATATGAGCCACCATGCCCATCCCTGGAGAATAATTTTAATTATTATTATTATTATTATTTTTTTTTTTTTTTGAGACGGAGTTTCGCTCTTGTTGCCCAGACTGGAGTGCAGTGGCGTGATACTGGCTCACCGCAACCTCTGCCTCCCGGGTTCTCCCACCTCAGCCTCCCGAGTAGCTAGGATTACAGGCATGAGCCACCACGCCCGACTAATTTTGTGTTTTTAGTAGAGACGGGGTTTCTCCATGTTGGTCAGGCTGGTCTCGAACTTCTGACCTCAGGTGATCCGCCCACCTCGGCCTCCCAAAGTGCTGGGATTACAGGCATGAGCCACCACGCCCAGCCTTAGGAGAATGATTGTAAAAAGTAAATTCATGTAATGATTTTATTTAGTTTGGATATTGTTAGGGCTTGTTGCTAAAGAAAGATAAAATTATTAGGTGAGATAGTACCAGATTTAGAATATAATTTGGAAAATACCAAACTCCATGGAACCCTCCCTTTAAACATCAAAAATCGTATTTTGCATCATTCTTAGGAGGTAGTGCGTTATCATTAGCAATTTTCATTAAGTCCTGCTGAAAATGAGAAGCAGCAGCCATTACTGCCCAAGATACACTGTGGTCAGTTTTATCAGTTACTTTTTTTTTTTTTTTAAACAGAGTCTCGCTTTGTCATCCAGGCTGGAGTGCAATGGTGCGATCTCCGCTCACTGCAACCTCCACTTCCGTGCCTGGCTAATTTTTTGTAGTTTTAGTAGGGATGGGGTTTCACCATCTTGGCTAGGCTGGTCTCGAACTCCTGATCTCAAGTTATCCACTCGCTGGCCATCAGTCATTTATTTTTGAATGCCTCTTCTATTAGTAGCATGTGTAAGAAATTGTGATCCATTTATCAAACTAGCCAGTTTTTGAAAATAGGGCTAAAAGGAAACGTTGATTTCTGACATTTTCCAAAAACTTAAAAAATTTTTATATAGGCTGGGCACAATAGCTCACGCCTGTAATCCCAGCATTTTGGGAGGCCGAGGCAGGTGGGTCATTTGAGCTCAGGAGTTTGAGACCAGCCTGGGCAACACAGAAAAACCTCATCTCTACCAAAAAAAAAAAAATTAGGTGGGTGTGGTGGTGCACGCCTGTAGTCCCAGCTACTTGGGAGGCTAAAGTGGGAGGATCACCTGAACCCAGAAGGTCAAGGCTGCAGTGAGCCGAGATTGCACCACTGCCCTCCACCCTGGGTGATAAGAGTGGGACCCTGTCTCAAAACATACACACACACACACACACACACACACACACACACACTCTCTCTCTCTCTCTCTCTCTCTCTCTCTCTCTCAAAAACACTTGGTCTGTTATTTTTACGAAATTGTCAGTCATAGTTATCTGTTAGACCAAAGCTGAGTAAGAACATTTATTACATTGCCTCCTACAACTTCATCAGCTAATGTATTTGCTATATAGCAATTACATATTGGAATATATTATCTTTAGAGATGGCCAAGTCATAAAACTGTCACTGAGAAAAGGAGAATGACAATGTGTATGCTCAAATGTACTTCCCTATAAATTTCCAAAAGACATGAAACTTACTACAGGTTTGTTTTTTTCACACCTTCACTTCTTAAAAACAAAAAAACTTTTACATAGCAGTAACTAATGCACATTAAAAGTTTATAAATAGCCTGCTATTGGATCATTTGCTTGGAAAAGTTGAGATTTTCAAATTTGATTATAACATAACTTTTGTAGAAATACACGGCCAGGTGCAGTAGCTCACATTTGTAATCTCAGCACTTTGGGAGGCTGAGGTGGGAGGATCGCTTGAGGCCAGGAGTTTGAGACCAGCCTGGGCAACATGACAAAACCCCATCTCCTCAAAAAGCACAAAAATTAGCCAGATGTGGTGGTGCACACCTGTAGTCCCAGCTACTTGGGGGACTGAGGTGGAAGGATGGTTTGAGTCTGGGAAGTTGAGGATGCAGTGAGCCAAGGTCATGCCACTGCACTCCAGCCAGGGTGACAAAGTGACACCCTGTCTCAATATAATAATTTTAAAAAGGTGCCTGTAATCCTAGCACTTTGGGAGGCCAAGGCGGGCGGATCACGAGGTCGGGAGTTCAAGACCAGCCTGGCCAATATGGTGAAACCCGTCTCTACTAAAAATACAAAAATTAGCCAGGTATGGTGGTGTGTGCCTGTAATACCAGCTACTTGGGAGGCTGAGGCAGGAGAATCGCTTGAACCCGGGAGGTGGAGATTTCAGTGAGCCGAGATTGCACCACTGCACTCCAGTCTGGGTGACAGAGCAAGACTTCATCTCAAAGAAATAAATAAATAAAAAACAAGGCCGGGCATGGTGGCTCATGCCTATAATCCAGCACTTTGGGAGGCTGAGGCTGAGGTGGGCAGATCACCTGAGGTCAGGAGTTCAAGACCAGCCTGGCCAACATGGTGAAACCCCGTCTCTACTAAAAATACAAAAATTAGCCAAGCGTGGTGGTGGGCGCCTGTAATCCCAACTACTTGGGAGGCTGAGGCAAGAGAATTTCTTGACTCTGGGAGGCAAAGGTTGCAGTGAGCCGAGACTGCACCACTGCACTCTAGCCTGAGCAACAGAACAAGACTCTGTCTCAAAAAAAAAACAAAAAAAAAAACATACAAACCGAATTTCCATTCCACATACTACTCTTGCTGTTTTACCACTTGGACAAGACTGCTTGCTGGTACATAAGTTCTGGAACACTTCCTTGCAGCAGTCTGGCTGAGCCTTGGTATTTAAAAGAAATTTACCTACCAGCCTGGCTATAATTGACATAATCCTATTAAATACTTGCCTTTTATGAACATATATCACATGACATAAGTTTTTGTCAAATACTTTTTTTTTTGGTCAAAGACTGTAGCCTTATACCACTCAAGGGGGCTGTTAGGGTAGCTTATGAATGGATATTTCATACAGAGTTACGTATTTAACCCATTTCCTGTTTAGAAAATAAAAGTGGCCAGGCGCCGTGGCTCACGCCTGTAATCCTAGCACTTTGGGAGGCCGAGGTGGGTGGATCACGAGGTCAGGAGATCGAGACCGTCCTGGCTAACATGGTGAAACCCCGTCTCTACTAAAAATACAAAACATTAGCCGGGCATGGTGGCAGGCGCCTGTAGTCCCAGCTACTCGGGAGGCTGAGGCAGGAGAAAGGCATAGACCCGAGAGGCGGAGCTTGCAGTGAGCCGAGATCATGCCACTGCACTCCATGCACTCCAGCCTGGGCGACAGAGTGAGACTCCGTCTCAAAAAAAAAAAAAGAAAAAAAGAAAAAAAAAGTGCAGCTGGCTGCCAGCGCTCATTTAATTTTACATAAACACACTCTGAGGTTGACGCAAATTAATTTTCAATGTGAAAATACACAAACTGTTCTTAGAGTTATTTCTAAACAGAACTTGTCTCTAATCCTAATATAATGGAAATGTATATAATGTTACATTAGGATTAGAGGCAAGAGTATTCTTGGGGCAAACGGGAAATGGGTTAGTATATACTTGAAGTAATATAACCACATCTAACCTGATTTCATGATATATTGGAATTTTTGGTTGCAAGCAACAGGATCAGATTAATGAACTTACTGATAAAAATCTTATTTGAAAGAATGAGAGACTCCAGAGTCATGGAAAAGTTGAGGACTCAAGGCTTTGGAAAGGTCAAGAATTGTAACAGTTTCAGGTATCTTAAGAGTAGGTGTTATGAGGTGTTTGTTTTTGTTTTTTTTTCTTACAGTGCTGATATCAGGTTGAACTTCTGACATGTATATTTAGTTTTTATGTCACTTGGAGTGCCTCCAACTGAAGTTACATGGGTTAGGTACCCATCCCTCAGCAAGAGGAGGGCAAGTTGATGGTAAAACCAACTCTAGTAAGGAGTAGGTGGTCCCCTGTATTAGTCCGTTCTCATGCTGATAATAAAGACATACTCGAGACTGGATAATTTATAAAGGAAAGAGGTTTAATTGACTCACAGTTGTGTATGGCTGGGGAGGCCTCAGGAAGCTTACAATCATGGCAGAAGGGGAAGCAAATACATCCTTCTTCACATGATGGCAGGAAGGAGAAGTGCAAAGCAAAAGGGGAAAAGCCCCTTATGAAACCATCAGATCTCCTGAGAACTCACTCACTATCATGAGAACAGCATGAAGGTAACCACCCCCATGATTCAATTACCTCCCACCAGGTCCCTCCCATGACACATGGGAATTATAGGAGCTACAATTCAGGATGAGATTTGGGTTGGGGACACAGCCAAACTATATCATCCCCCAAAAAATTTAGGGTTCTTTGCCAAAAGGAAGGGAGAATGGATGCTGAGCAGACTAAAATAATATATTTTAATCCCTCTTATTGAAAAGCTAAGACTAAATTTTTAAAATTGTATGTTTTTGTTTTTTTGAGACGGAGTGTCGCTCTGTCGCCCGGCTGGAGTGCAGTGGCGCGATCTCAGCTCACTGCAACATCCACCTCCCGAATTCAAACAATTCTCCCACCTCAGCCTCCTGAGTAGCTGGGACTACAGGAGCATACCACCATGCCCAGCTAATTTTTGTATTTTTAGTAGAGATGAGGTTTCACCATATTGGTCAGGCTGGTCTCGAACTGACCTCAGGCAATCTACCCACCTTGGCCTCCCAAAGTGCTGGGATTACAGACATGAGCCACCACGCCCAGCTAATTCTGTATTTTAAGTAGAGACGGGGTTTCACCATGTTGGTCAGGCTGGTCTCGAACTCCTGACCTCAGGTGATCCGCCAGCCTTGGCCTCCCAAAGTGCTGGGATTACAGGCGTGAGCCACCGAGCCTGGCTGTATTTTTAAATACAAAAATTTGCCAGGTATTGTGATGGGTGCCTGTAATCTCAGCTACTCGGGAGGCAGAGGCCGGAGAGTCACTTGAACCCAGGAGGTTGCAGTGAGCTGAGATCACACCACTGCACTGCAGCCTGGGTGACAGAATGAGACTCCATCTAAAAAAAGAAAAAAATGTATTTTTTAAAATACATGATATGGCAAATCATAAAGGTGGTAAGCATCTGAAGTGTGAGAAATAATCATGCAGCTTATGCAGTTTTTGTCTCTACCAATCTTTCAAACCCTCAAACTGCAATGCTTGCTCATTATAGAAAATCTGGGAAAATACAGTAAGTTCTAAATTTCCATAAATTCTAAATAGCATCTCTTTGAAAACTAACTCCTTGGGCATTTATCCCAGTGAAATGATAATAAACAGCCAGCATTTGAAATGTATATTTCAATGACTCGTATATGAATACTATGTTCAGATCACAATAAAGGACATTTCCAGCACCCTCTTAGATAATGCCTCCCATCTGATTATCACCATAGATTAGTTTTGCCTGTTTTTGAATTTTTTGTAAATGGGATCACACGGTATGTGCTGTAGTGAGCCTAGCTTGATTTGCTCAACGTTACGTCTAAAAGAATTCTCTATTTTGCTGCTATGCAGCAGTTCAGCCTTTTTCACTGTTGTGTAGCATTCTGTTATATGAATATACCATAATTTAGTTACTCTACATTTCATGGACCTTTGAATTGCTCCCACTTTGGGGCTGTTATGAATAATGCTACCGTAACATTTTTATATATCTTATGATGGTCTTAAACACGCTATCTACTGAGTATATGCCAGGAATGGAATTGCTGGGTCATAGGGTGTGTGTCTATACACACACATACACACATTTTTTAGTAGGTACCATCAAACAATTGCATTTTTGTTGTTTTTGTTTTAGTTTGTTTTTAATGACCATACCATTTTACCACCAGCAATAAAGGAAGGTTCCATTGCTCCATACCAGCATTAGGTATTATCAGTCCTTTTATCTTTAACCATATTGGTGGGAGGTAGTGGTATCTCATTGTAGTCTTAATTTACTTCCATATACTTAATTTAAATACACTCAATTTATATACACACACGTATACTCTCTCAGCCTTCAGTAAGCCAGTCCCATTCCCCTGAACTAACCAATGTTAATAATGGTATACTTCTCTCAGTGCTCATGCAAACATGCATACACACACATACACATAAATAAGGGGTGTGGGAATGTATTTGATTCTGAGAGCTGCTGTAACAAATTACCACAAACTTAGTGGCTTAAAACAACAGAAATATTTCTGTTCACAGTTCTGGAGGCCAGAAATCTGAGAGCAAGATGTCAGCTGGGCCACACCTCCCTCTGAAGGCTCCAAGGGAGAATCCTTGCTTTCCTCTTCCAGCTGCTGGTGGCTCCAGGTATTACTTGGCTTATGGCAGCATAACTCCTATCTCTGCCTTTGTCTTTGTGGTCTTCTTTTCTGTCTTCTTCCCTTCTTTTTATGAGGACTTTTGCTGTTGGATTTAGGTTCCATTCTAACCTAGGATGATCTCATTTGGAAATCCTTAATTTCATCTACAAAAACTGTTTTCCCAAATAGGTCACATTCACGCATATCAGATGGACAGATGTATCATTTTGGGGTCCACCATTCAACCCACTACAAGGAGTTTTTTAAACAAAAATAGGAAACTTAGATGTAACTTAGCACTTTTTTTTTTTTTTTTTGAGATGGAGTCTCACTCTGTCACCAGACTGGAGTGCAGTGGCGCCATCTCAGCTCCATGCAACCTCTGCCTCCTGGGTTCAAGCAGTTCTCTTGCCTCAGCCTCCTGGGTAGCTGGGATTACAGGCACGCGCTGCCACACCCAGGTAATTTATTTATTTTTTTTTTGAGACAGAGTCTCGCACTGTTGCCCAGGCTGGACTGCAGTGGCGTGATCTCTGCTCACTGCAACCTCCGCCTCCCGGGTTCAAGCGATTCTCCAGCCTCAGCTTCCTGAGTAGATGGGATTACAGGCGCCTGCCACCACGCCCAGCTAATTTTTTGTATTCTTAGTAGAGATGGGGTTTCACCATGTTGGCCAGGCTGGTCTCCATCTCCTGACCTCGTGATTCACCCGCCTCGGCCTCCCAAAGTGCTGGGATTACAGGCGTGAGTCACAGCCCCCGGCCATAATTTAGCACTTTAAAAAATAATAGCCATGTTGGGCCAGGCGTGGTGGCTCATGCCTGTAATCTGAGCACTTTGGGAGACCAAGGCGGGTAGATCCCTTGTGCCCAGGAGTTCAAGACCAGCCTGGGCAACATGGCGAAACCCCATTTCTACTAAAAATACAAAAATTAGCTGGGGCGAGGGGATAGGCCGAGTTCCGGGTGTAAGGGGGCCATTAGGGAGAGCAGAGCGAGGCAGCTGATCTTCCGGATTGGGGGCCTTGCCCGGAAGCTGGACCTCACGGAGATGAAACGGAAGATGCACGAGGATATGATCTCCATACAGAACTTTCTCATCTACGTGGCCCTGCTGCGAGTCACTCCATTTATCTTAAAGAAATTGGACAGCATATGAAGATTGGACATCACATGTGAATGCATGATATGAAGAGCCTGGTTACAGTTTCTACTGTTCTCTGCAAGTAAATAGGCCCAGAAAGGTATAAGAGACTCTTTGAATGGACATAAAAATTCTGCTTGTTAAGAACAAGTTGAGCTCTGGTAACTGATCTTAATAGCTAAAATATAAAAATATTTGGGAAGTCTGAAATGAGGTCTCCTGGCCCTGGTGTGCCCTTAATGCCTGTGACAGTTGGCCTCTGTGAATATTGGTATAATTGTAAATAATGTCAAACTCCATTTTCTAGCAAGTATTAATAATTAAGGGAAGTATGTCTGAAATGGCACTGTCTTGTCAGTCATTTCTGTTTACCCTTCTGTCTGGAGTGTATTTGTGAAGAGTCCCTTATAACTTATGTTTTATGGACATCAGCACATAACCACAATGACATTGAAGCACAGGATCATTAGTCTATATTTTATTTTATTATTTTATTTATTTATTTATTTATTTTTGAGATGGAGTCTTGCTCTGTCGCCCAGGCTGGAGTGCAGTGGCACAATCTCGGCTCACTGCAAGCTCTGCTTCCCAGGTTCACGCCATTCTCCTGCCTCAGCCTCCCGAGTAGCTGGGACTACAGGTGCCCACCACCACACCCGGCTAATTTTTTGTACTTTTAGTAGAGATGGGGTTTCACTGTTTTAGCCAGGATGGTCTCGATCTCCTGACCTCATGATCCACCCGCCTTGGCCTCCCAAAGTGCTGGGATTATAGGTGTAAGTCACCATGCCCAGCCCATTAGTCTATATTTTTAAGTAAACATACCAATTAAGAAAGAAGCCAAAAACCAAAATTAGCCAGGTGTGGTGGCACGTGCCTGTAGTCCCAGCTACTTGGGAGGCTGAGGTGTGAGGATCACTTGAACTCAGGAGGCAGAGGTTGCAGTGACCCAAGATGGTGCCGCTGCACTCCAGCCTGGGTGACAGAGTGAGACCCTGTTTCCACAAAAAGAAAAAAAAAATAGCCGTGCCTGTACTTCAGTACTTACAAATTTAACTTTAGTATAGATGTACAGTAATTTATTCAATCATTTCCTTACTCATAGACAATTAGGATGTTGCAACTTTTGCCACTACAAACAATTCTGCGATGTGGATTATCGTACTTATTCCCATTTATTGGTGCTTTCATTTCTATAAGAATGGATTTTTAAAGATAGAATTCCTTGGGAATAGTTATGTCAAAGCCAAATATAATATAGAGACAAATCTCTAAAAACATTTTATTTGGTAAGCAAGAGCTGCAATTCATGGCATACACACAGACCGGGCTGATCATTGGTATGATCAGGAGAATAAAGGGAAGGTTGCGGCCAGGTGTGATAGCTCATGCCTGTAATCCCAGCACTTTGGGAGGCCGAGGCGGGCAGATCACCTGAGGTCAGGAGTTTGAGACCAGCCTGACCAACATGGAGAAACTCCGTCTCTACTAAAAATACAAAATTAGTTGGGCATAGTGGCGCATGCCTGAATCCCAGCTACTCAGGAGGCTGACACAGGAGAAATGCTTGAACCCGGGAGGTGAAGGTTGCAGTGAGCCGAGATCGCGCCATTGCACTCCAGCCTGGGCAACAAGAGCAAAATTCCATCTCAAAAAAAAAAAAGAGAAGGTTCCGGGTTTTATGAGAAAGAACAGTATTACATACTGTTTTGGAAGAAAGCTCATTCACACTAGAGCTTGTGGGAGCTAGCAAGCTCTGATTGGTGAGCGATGGTGGTAGGTAAAACCAGTCTTAGAGTCATGGCAGTTCATTTTAGCAGCTATTAGGTAAAACTGGTCTTAGGGATACAGAAGGCTGGTTCAGCAGTTGGACTTGTGGAAAATTTAATTCTTGAAGCAGATGCTGTGTGCCCCGAATGCTTCTTCCCCCTGGCCCTTCAACTCTGATTTAGTTGAGTATTTCAAGAATGACCCAATTTATGTAATCAACTTTCACAGGTATACATGTCTTAAACTTTAAACAGATGTTTTGGGTTTTGTTGTTGTTGTTTTTGAGACGGAGTCTCACTCTGTTGTCCAAGCTGGAGTGTAGTGGTGTGATCTCGGCTCACTGCAACCTCCGCCTCCAGGGTCAAGTGATTCTCCAGCCTCAGCCTCCTGAATAGCTGGGATTACAGGCGCCCGCCACCACGCCCAGCTAATTTTTGTATTTTTAGTAGAGATGGGGTGGGGTTTCACCATGTTGGCCAGGCTGGTCTTGAACTCCTGACATCAAGTGTTCTGCTCACCTCAGCCTCTGAAAGTGCTGGGATTACAGGCGTGAGCCACTGCGCCCGGCAGTCTTTCCTTCTTTTTTTTTTTTTTTTTTTTTTTTTTAATGACATGGGGTCTTACTTTATTACTCAGGCTGGTCTCAAACTTCTGGCCTCAAGGAATCTTCCCACCTTGGCCTCCCAAATTGCTGGGATTACAGGCATAAGTCATCATGCCTGGCTACAAACAGATATTTTCAATAAGAGGATAAAAGTTCATTTCCCCATACTTTGCTAACATCAAATGTTATTAATTCCTAATAGTTTTGCCAAACTGAGAGGAAAATGGTATGTTAGTTTTTCTGGGTTTTCTTTCTTTTTAATTTTTTTTCTTTTTTATTCATCGCAACACTATTCACGATTTTTTTATTTTTTATTTTATTTATTTATTTATTTTTTTTTGAGACAAGGTCTCCCTATGTTGCCCAGGCTGGTCTTGTACCCCTGGGCTCAAAGGATCCTCCTGCCTCAGCCTCCCAAAGTGCTAGGATTACAGGCATGAGTCACCACGCCTGGTTCACAATTTCTTTTTGTTTTTACCAAAGGCAGGTATATTCCTGAAATTTTTTGTTTTTTTGTTTTTTTTTTGAGATGAAGTCTCACCCTGTCACTCAGACTGGAGTGCACTGGCACGATCTCAGCTCACTGCAACCTCCGCTTCCTAGGTTCAAGCGATTCTCCTGCCTCAGTCTTCAAAGTAGCTAGGATTATAGGCGCCGCAACCATGCTCAGCTAATTTTTGTATTTTTAGTAGAGACAGGATTTCACCATGTTGGCCAGGGTGATCTCAAATCCTGACCTCAAGTGATCCGCCTGCCTCAGCCTCCCAAAGTGCTGGGATTACTGGCATGAGCCACCGTGCCAGGCCCTGAAATGTTATCTTAGTTATTAATTTGCAATTCCTTGGCTCTAGAGGTTGGGCATCTTCTCAGATCTCTAGTGGACATTTGGATTTTCTTTTTGGTGAACTGTCCAGTTTTTCTCTCTGCTTTACAATCTTTATTATATGCAATCTTCACATGTAGGTACTACCATTTTTTTAGTTTGTTTTTGAAACAGCATATTGCTCTGTTGCCCAGGCTGGAGCACGGTGGCAAAAACATGGCTTACTGCAGCCTTTGACCTCCTTGGCTCAAGTACTCCTCCTGTCTCAGCCTCCTGAGTAGCTGGTACCACAAGCCCATACCACCATGCCCAGCTAATTTATTTTTGTAGAGATGGGGCCTGACCATGTTACTTGGGCTCAAATGATCCTCTCCCACTCAGCCTCCCAAAGTGCTAGGATTACAGGCATGAGCCACCATACTTGGCCCCTTTTTTTTTTTTTTTTTTTTTTTTTTTTTTTTTTTTTTGAGACACAGTCTTGCTCTGTCTCACAGGCTGGTGTGCAGTGGCACGATCTCAGCTCATTGCAACCTCCACCTCCCAGTTTCAAGTGATTTTTGTGCCTCAGCCTCCCTAGTAGCTGAGATTACAGGCATGCACCACCATGCCTGGCTGACTTTCATATCTTTAGTGTTGCCATGTTGGCTAGGCTGGTCTCAAACTCCTGACCTCATGTGATCCACCTGCCTCGGACTCCCACAGTGCTGGGATTACAGGTGTTAGCCACCACCCCGACATTATTTGAAACTTTTATTTTATCATGAGAGAGTTCCAGGAGTCAACTGAAGAGAGATTTTTGGTATGAAAATTACATATGCAAAAAGACTGATTCCAGTACATGAAATTAAATTCAACATTTACATTAAATGCCTTCAAATATGGTAAAATGGTTTCTTTTGGCAGTTTACCTCATTATGTTTTGAATGATTTGTCTATCATATGAAATAACTTTTATAAATATAGTAACTCAGGCCTGGGCACAGCGGCTCAAGTGGGAGGACTGCTTAAGCAACCGAGTTTGAGACCAGCGTGGACAACATGGGGAGACCCCTTCTCTCCCAAAAAATAGCTGAGCATGGCAGCGCACTGTTAAAGGAAACAGAGTTTCTTTGGTGGGTGATTAAAATGTTCTGGAGTTAGATAGTAGTGATGGTTGCACAACCTTGTGAATATATTAAGGTTTCCGCTCTATCTACCATTCAATTGTACTCTCTAAAACGATTAATTCTATAGTATATCAATTATATCTCTAAATAATAAAAACAAAAAGAAATGGCTGGGTGCGGTGGCTCATGCCTGTAATCGCAGCACTTTGGGAGGCTGAGGCGGGCGGATCACAAGGTCAGGAGTTTGAGACCAACCTGACCAACATGGCAAAACCCAGTCTCTACTAAAAATACAAAAATTAGCTGGGTGTGGTGGCACACGCCTGTAATCCCAGGTACTCGGGAAGCTGAGACAGGAGAATCACTTGAACCCGGGAGGCAGAGGTTGCAGTGAGCCACTGCACTCCAGTCTGGGTGGCAGAGCGAGACTCCGTCTCAAAAAGAAAAAAATTAAAAAACAAAAAGAAACCTGGTTCTATATTTTGTTTAAATTTATTTTTTTAACCATCATGTAATATGTCCAGGTAATTTGTTTAAATTTTGACATCAAATGCAATTGTGAGAATTTTTATGATTCAGAAAAATCTAAGCAAGCTTTATAAAAACATACTTTTTTTTTTACTTTTTTTTTTTTTTCTGAGACACAGCCTCACTCTGTCGCCCAGGCTGGAGGGCAGGTTTTCATGTTTATCTGTGAGATGTACCTTTGGCACATTACTTTCCTGACATGAGATTTAAATTTTTTTTTTTATCTTGTGACAATTTAACTTTTTTGACACATAAAAATTGTACATATTTATTTGTTTGAGATGGAGTCGCACTCTGTCACTCAGGCTGGAGTGCAGTGGCGTGATCTTGGCTCACTGCAACCTCCGCCTCCCGAGTTCAAGTGATTCTCCTGGCTCAGCCTCCCAAGCAGCTGTCATTACAGGCCTGCACCACCACACCCGGCTGATTTTTGTATTTTTAGGAGAAACAGGGTTTCACCATGTTGGCCAGGCTGGTCTTGAAGTCCTGACCTCAAGTGATCCACCCACCTTGGCCTCCCAAAGTGCTGGGATTATAGGCATGAGCCACCGTACCAGACCCCTAAAAATTGTATATATTTAAGGTGTACCATTTGATGTTTAGATATACATTGTGAAATGATTACATTCCACATATTACCTCTACAGAGTTACCATTTTTGTACACTTGGTCAACATCATCCCATTCTCCCCTTCCTCCACAGATATTTCTTGTATACTATATAGAAGCCAAGGGTATTTTGGGGGAAGAGCTCAAAGTTCCTTTCGTGGAGTTAAAAATATATATATACTATGTACATATAAGCCATTTAGCAACCCTAGATGCTTAATAAAGAATACTGGAGGCCCGGTGTGGTGGCTCACACCTGTAATCCCAGCACTTTGGGAGGCCGAGGCGGTCGGATTACGAGGTCAGGAGTTCAAGACCAGCCTGGCCAACATGGTGAAACCCCATCTTTACTAAAAATACAAAAATTAGCCGGGTGTGGTGGTGGGCGCCTGTAATCCCAGCTACTCGGGGGGCTGAGGCAGAATTGCTTGAACCTGGGAGGCAGAGGTTGCAGTGAGCTGAGATCACGCCACTGCATTCCAGCCTGGGTGACAGAGCAATACTCTGTCGCAAAAAAAAAAAAGAATACTGGAGGCTGGGCGAGGTGGCTCACACCTGTAATCCCAGCATTTTGGGATGCCAGAGGCGGGCGGAATATCTTGAGCTCAGGAGTTCGAGACCAGCCTACACAATATGCTCCAAACGCCGCCTCTACAAAACATACAGAAACTAGCCGGGTGTGGTGGCGTGCCCCTGTGGTCCTAGCTACTTGGGAGGTTGAGGCGGGAGGATCGCTTGAGCTCGGGAGGTCGAGGCTGCAATGAGCCGAGATGGTGCCACTGCACTCTGACGACAGAGCGAGACTCCGTCTCAAAACAAACAACAAATAAGGTTGGGGGATCAAATATCTTCTAGTGTTTAAGGATCTGCCTTCCTTCCTGCCCCCATGTTTGTCTTTCCTTGTTTGTCTTTATATAGATCAAGCAGGTTTTAAATTCCTAGTAGGAGCTTACATTTACTTTTCCAAGGGGGAGGGGGAATAAATATCTACACACACACACACACACACACACACACACACACACTGGAGTTCGAGACGAGGCCTAAGCAACATGCCGAAACCCCGTCTCTACTAAATACAAAAAATAGCTGAGCTTGGTGGCGCACGCCTATAGTCCTAGCTACTGGGGAGGCTGAGGTGGGAGGATCGCTTGAGCCCAAGAAGTCGAGGCTGCAGTGAGCCGAGATCGCGCCGCTGCACTCCAGCCTGAGCGACAGGGCGAGGCTCTGTCTCAAAACAAACAAACAAAAAAAAAAGGAAAGGAAATATAACACAGTGAAATGAAAGGATTGAGAGAAATGAAAAATATACACGCCACAAATGTGGGAGGGCGATAACCACTCGTAGAAAGCGTGAGAAGTTACTACAAGCGGTCCTCCCGGCCACCGTACTGTTCCGCTCCCAGAAGCCCCGGGCGGCGGAAGTCGTCACTCTTAAGAAGGGACGGGGCCCCACGCTGCGCACCCGCGGGTTTGCTATGGCGATGAGCAGCGGCGGCAGTGGTGGCGGCGTCCCGGAGCAGGAGGATTCCGTGCTGTTCCGGCGCGGCACAGGCCAGGTGAGGTCGCAGCCAGTGCAGTCTCCCTATTAGCGCTCTCAGCACCCTTCTTCCGGCCCAACTCTCCTTCCGCAGCCTCGGGACAGCATCAAGTCGATCCGCTCACTGGAGTTGTGGTCCGCGTTTTTCTACGTCTTTTCCCACTCCGTTCCCTGCGAACCACATCCGCAAGCTCCTTCCTCGAGCAGTTTGGGCTCCTTGATAGCGTTGAGTGGAGGCCCTGCCGCGACTTGGCAGTAGCTTATTTTGTTCACTCCTCTCTGGCTGGTGTGGGGGAGGTGGGGGCATTAGGCCAGGGTGAAGCAGGGGAACCACTTAGGAGTCTGTTAAGATGATCTGAACTTCAGAACAAGATGTTATTAACAGAGTGAAAGTATTTGGATTCTGGGTATATTTTGAAATCGGAGGCAACAGGTTTTTCAGATAGATTCGATAACGGAGGTTATCCTGAATAGTTGAAAAGATAAAGTTGCCTTTTGCTGAGGTGGGAAAGAGAAGATTGCCAGTAGAGCAGGTTTCTCAGGAGTTCAGTCTTGGGCATAGCATGGTAGGGGTGAATTTGGCTGGAGTGAGTTGGAGAGTAGGAGAAGAGAAATCCAAGGCAACATTTGACCAGCCTGGGCAACATAGTGTGACTCCGAGTCTGCAAAAATTAGACGGGTGTTGTGGTGCGCGTCTGTGGTCTCAGCTACCTGGAAGGTTCAGGCCTTGGAAGGCTCAGGGAGGTGGAGGCTGCAGTGATCTGTGATTGCGCCTCTGCACTCCA
Organism: Homo sapiens; assembly: GCF_000001405.40. Lineage (NCBI taxonomy): Eukaryota > Metazoa > Chordata > Mammalia > Primates > Hominidae > Homo > Homo sapiens. The sequence goes on from NC_000005.10 coordinate 70,050,533, forward strand.
GCCTGGGCGACAGAGCCAGACCCTGTCTTAAAACAAAATAAACGGCCGGGCGCGGTGGCTCAAGCCTGTAATCCCAGCACTTTGGGAGGCCGAGGCGGCCGGATCACAAGGTCAGGAGATCGAGACCATCCTGGCTAACACGGTGAAACCCCGTCTCTACTACAAATACAAAAAATTAGCCGGGCGTGGTGACGGGCGCCTGTAGTCCCAGCTACTCGGGAGGCTGAGGCAGGAGAATGTCATGAAGCCGGGAGGCGGAGCTTGCAGTGAGCCGAGATCGCGCCACTGCACTCCAGCCTGGGCGATAGAGCAAGACTCCGTCTCAAATAAATAAATAAATAAATAAATAAATAATAAAAACATCGGTAGGCATATTTCAAGGAATTCTATTTAAAAAAAATTTTTTTAGAGACAAGTTCGCTCTCTGTGGCCCAGGCTGGAGTACAGTGGCATGATCCTAGCCCATGGCAGCGTTGATCTCTTGGCCTCAAGCGACCCTCCTTTGGAGTCGCTGGGCCTAAAGGAGTGAGCCACCACGAAATTTTATTATAAATGGAGGGTAGAGAAATTGGGCAATAAATGGAGGGGGAAGTGAGTTAAGAGGAATTTTAATTATGTGTGTGTGGTTTTAAAAGAGGGGGGTCTTGCTCTGTTGCCCAGGCTGCTGGGGTGCCAGTGGCGCAATCATGAATCACTACAGCCTTGGACTCCTGGCCTCAAGCTATCCTCCCACCTCTGCCTCCCAAAGTACTGGGATTACTAGTGTGAGCCACTGCACTAAGATAGGAGCAACATGTTTCAGCATGTTTGTGGGTTGATAGGAAAGATGAGAATGGGAAAGTTGATGTCGGAAAGAAGACAATGGCTAGAGCAATGTCCTAGAGTAGGTAAGAAGGGATGGATTTGGCCTTTGTTGGAAACATTAGCGGTTCTTTTGGTGACAGCTATATAGTTAACACATCTATGATACGTGAATGGGCAGATAGGATGGCAGGAGATTTTGAAAGTTCTCTTGATTCTTACTGTTCTCTTAGTGAAAGAAGCAAGGTTATCAGCTAGAAGCTGGGATGGGAGAGGAAAGAGAAGATGGGAAGTAGATAGTTCTTTAGAAGAGTGGGCAAGGGTTGGACTAGGGAAGTTTAGTGGAAATATTGCTAGGCAACATAAAGAGCCTACTTGAGATTCGTGGTCATGAGTTGAAGGAGACCAGACAGCAAGATTGTGTATGAGGGCACCCACAGAGTAAATGGAGAGTTGAAATTAATGCAGTTGTGATTTTACCACGTGGATATGAAGAAGTGAGGGGGAGAAGTACAAAGGAGTTCTCTTAATGATTGACCATGGAATTTAAGCTGGCTAAGAAAGGAAGTGAGAGGCCGGGCGCGGTGGCTCACGCCTGTAATCCCAGCACTTTGGGAGACTGAGGTGGGTGGATTACCTGAGGTCAGGAGTTTGAGACCAACCTGGCCGATATGGCGAAACCCCATCTCTAATAAAAATACAGAAAAATTAGCCGGGAATGGTGGCAGGTGCCTGTAATCCCAGCTACTCAAGAGGCTGTGGCAGGAGTATCCCTTGGACCCAGGAGGTGGAGGTTGCAGTGAGCCGAGATCACGCCACTGTACTCCAGCCTGGACGATATAGTGAGACTTCACCTCAAAAAAAAAAAAAAAGAAAGGAAGTGAGGATTTTAAGACCCTGAGAGACAGTTTAAAAAGTGGGAGGATCGGCCGGGCGCTGTGGCTGACACCTGTAATCCCAGCACTTTGGGAGGCCGAGTTGGGCAGATCACAAGGTCAGGAGTTCGAGACCAGCCTGGCCAATATGGTGAAACCTTGTCTCTACTAAAAATACAAAAATTAGCCGGGCATGGTGTCACGTGTCTATAATCCCAGCTACTCGGGAGGCTGAGGCAGAAAAATTGCTTGAACCTGGGAGGCAGAGGTTGCAGACAGCTGAGATCACTCCATTGCACTCCAGCCTGGGCAACAAGAGCAAAACTTTGTCTTTAAAAAAAAAAAAAAAAAAAGAATACAAAAATTAGCCGGGCGTGGTGGCGCGTGCCTATAATCCCAGCTACTTGGGAGGCTGAGGCAGGAGAATCAGTTGAACACGGGAGGCGAGGTTTGCAGTGAGCCGAGATTGCGCCACTGCACTCCAGCCTGGGCGACAGAGCAGGACTCCTCTTGGAAAAAAAAAATTAGCTGGGCATGGTGGCAGGTGCCTGTAGTCTCAGCTACTAGGGAGGCTGAGGCAGGAAAATCACTTGAACCCGGGATGTGGAGTTTGCAGTGACCCGAGATCGTGCCACTGTACTCCATCCTGGGCGACAAAATGAGACTCTGCCTCAAAAAAAAAAAAAAAAAAAAGTGGGAGGATCAATGTACTGCCAGTCCTAATGAAGTGGAATGATTGTCCCCATCAAATCACTAGTAGGAGTAAGTTGCAGAGCCTAGAAGGTGATGGTTAAGAGAGTGGGATTCTTGAAACTGCATTTATGGAGAGGTTGTGGTTATTGGTTATAATAAATAAATACAGTTGAAGTGAGTGAGTAGCTGAGATTTGGGGATGTATCAGTTCATTCTTACACTGCTACAAAGACATACCTGAGACCAGGTATTTATAAAGATAAGAGGTTTAATCAGCTCACAGTTCTGCTGCCTGTACAGGCTTCTCTTGTGGAGGCCTAAGGAAACTTACAGTCATGGTGGAAGGTGAAGGGGAAACAAGCACAGTCTTCACATGGCCAGCAGGAGAGAGAGAGAAGGGGGAAGTGCTACATACTTTAAAACAACCAGATCTTGTGAGAACGCTTATCAGGAAACAGCACTTGGGGATGGTGCTAAATCATTAGAAATCACCCCCATGATCCAGTCGCCTCCTACCATGCCCACCTCCAACACTGGGGATCACAATTCAGCATGAGATTTGGGTAGGAACACAGAGCTGCACCACATCAGAGGATGTACAAGATTGTGGTGGAGAGGAGTTTAGAGACCTGCAAATATAGGGTAATTGAAGGGATCATCTACATGGATATTTAAATCACCAAAAATTATGACAGGAGTAGTGTTGGAGAGAGAACTGCGATGTAAACATTAAGGAATGAGGAAGAGTGACTCGGTAGGCTGTAGGTGACTGCAATAGGAAACGATAATAGACTGTGAGTCTGGTGACAAGATTTTCCTTCTTTCTTTTTTTCCCCCCCCCCGAGACAGGGCCTCTTTTTGTTGCCCAGGTGGGAGTGCAGTGGCGCGATCACGGCTCACTACAACCTCCTCCCAAGCTCAAGGGATTCTCCCACTTCAGCCTCTCAAGTAGCTGGAACTACAGGTGCTGACCACCATGCCTGGCTACTTTTTGTCAGGATTTTCAAGGCTGGGAATTTTGAGAGGGGAATGGAGGAGAATAATCTGAAAGTGCAAGTAAGGAGCAGGGAAGATTTCTTTTTTCTTTTTTTTTTTTTTTTTTGAGTCGGAGTCTGGCTCAGTCGCCCAGGCTGGAGTGCAGTGGCGAGATCTCCGCTCACTGCAAGCTCCGCCTCCCGTGTTCACGCCATTCTCCTCCTTCAGCCTCCCGAGTAGCTGGGACTACAGGCGCCCGCCACCACGCCCAGCTAATTGTTTTTTTGTATTTTTAGTAGAGACGGGGTTTCACCGTGTTAGCCAGGATGGTCTCAATCTCCTGACTTTGTGATCCGCCCACCCCGGCCTCCCAAAGCGCTTGGGATTACAGGCGTGAGCCACCGCGCCAGCCAGAGCAGGGAAGATTTCTTCCCCACATCTCCAGTAGGTACAGTGATATGAAGTGTGTGGAGGAGAAAAGAGGAAACATCTATCATTTGAGATGGCTGCGAAAGGAAAAGGCATCCTCAGGGAGCTAGATTTTACTTAGAGCAAGAAATGAAGGGATGATTCAGAGGTTAAAAGAGTGGATTTTATGAATTACTCAAGGGAGCACAGTGGAAGTTTCAGGAAGTGGTAGGAGAAGGTAGAAGATGGCAGGGTGTTGGGAATAATTTGAGAAATCTGAGCTACTGGAAATGACTGAGAATCAGATATAAAGGCAGTCCTGGTGGTCCGTTCTGGCTGCCGTTGCTGTGTAACGAATCTGCCAAAACTTAGTGGCTTGAAACAACAAAGAACATTTTATTATCTCTCATTGTTTCTGTGGGTTAGGAATTTGTGAGAGCCGTGCTGGGCAGTTTTCGTGCGGCTGTCTCGTGGTTGCACCTACATAGTTGCTAGAGCTACAGTAGCTGGGGACTGAGCAGCTAGGGATTGGCAGGCTATCTCTTTTTTTCATGTAGTCTCATGAAGATTTCTTTATGTGGTTTCAATGTGTGGGCTGGTTTGGATTTCCTTATAGCATGGTGGCCTCAGTTGGATTGCTGTTTTGTGATCCTTTTCATCCCTCCTTGTCCTGTCCCCAGACAACCACTGATCTACTTTCTGTCACCATAGATTAGCCTGCATTTTTAAGAATTTTTATAAACGTGGAATGATAGAGTACCTTTTTTGTCACGTTTCTTTTATTTATCATAGCTATTTTGATTTTCATCCATTTTATTGCTGAGTAGTATCCCATTGCATGTATATACTATACTGTATTCATTCGCTTGCTTGTGAACATTTGGGCTTTTTCCAGTTTGGGACTGTTAACAAGTAGAGCCACTATGAATATTAGTGTATAAGACTTCATATAGCCAAGGCTGGCAGATCGCTTGAGCCCAGGAGTTTGAGACCAGCCTGGGAAACATGGTGAAACCTCTATTTTTATTTTAAAATCAAAAATTAAAAATTTTCTATAAAAAATTTTAAAGAAGACTTTGTATAGACATACGCTTTCATTTTTCTTGAGTGAATACTTAGGTCTCAGGGTAGATGTATTTTAAGTCTTTAAGGAGCTGTCAAACTCTTCCTCAAAGTGGTGGTTGTACCATGTTACTTTTTAATATAACAGAGATTAATTGAGCAAAGAAAAATTCAAAAGTTGGACAGCCCCCACAACTAAATAGGTTCAGAACAGCTCCCCCATTTTGCATTTTGACCAGCAATGTATGAAAGTTCCATTTGCTCAGTGTCCCTGCAAACACCTGGTATGGTCAGTCTTTTTAATTTTAGGCATTATAATAGATATAGTGGCTTCTTGTGATTTTAATTAGCATTTCCTAATGACCAGTGCTGCTGTTGATCATTTCATGAGTGTATTTGCCATCCGTATATCTTTTTTGGTGAAGTGTCTATTCAAATCATTTGGGTTTTTTTTTTTTTTGTTTTTTTTTTTTGGAGACAGTGTCTCACTCTGTCACCCAGGCTGTTGTGCAGTGGTGCAATCACACAGCCTACTGCAGCCTCCACCTCCTGCGCTCAGTCTTCTTGTCTCAGCCTTCTGAGTAGCTGAAATTACGAGCACACGCCACAATGCCTGGCTAATTTTTTAAAATTTTGTAGAAACAAGGTCTCATTATGTTGCCTGGGCTTGTCGTGAACTCCTGGGCTCAAGCAATCTTCCTGCCTCAGCCTCCCAAAGATTGGGATTGCAAGTATGAGCCACTGCACCCGGCCAACTTACCCATCTTTTAATTGAATTTTTTTGTTGTTGAGGTTTGAGAGTTCTTCATGTTTGCTGGGTACAATATCTTTATCAGATAGGTAACTTGCATGTATTTTCTCCCGGTTTACACTTTGGTTTTTCATTTTGTTAACAACGTCTTTTTAAGAACAGAAAATCTTAATTTTGCTGAAATCTAATTTTTCAGTTTTTTCTTTGATGGTTTTGAGAGAGGAGGTAAAAAAAGACTAGGTAAGCCGATAGTTAGACAGAGTCCTCGGTAGAACTTCCCTTCTAACAAAAAGCAGCCCAAGAAATCACTTCTCTTCTAACAAGGAGCAGCCTGGAAGATCGGGCTGTAAACATGTATAAGGAAGCAGCTCTGGCACAGAGGGGGAGCTTCCTGGGTAATCAGCAAGCTTCACATACGTAAGGTGGGTATGTGAAGTAAACACAGTATGTGAAGTAAACACAGTGGACCTTAGTACATACTCAGATAAGGAAGCTGGAAGCTTGCATGTTGTGAGTTGTTGGGGTTGCCTGCAGCTGCACGGAGAGAAAGGGGTACCTGGGGCCAGGCATGTCCACCATGGTGGCTCCACCTCCCCTTATTTAGCACATGCACAATAGGAAAGAGATAAGCAATGTGGAGTAGCTCAGGCCAAGGACCTGCCTGCATAATAAAAGGTTGGGGTGGGGGATGCCAGAGATTCACGCTCTGTGCAGATGGCAACACCTGGTCCTAACTGGTTTTTTGCTCCCTATGTGTAGATAAGCTACCCCCTTCCCATTAGCTCATTTATAAAAATGCTTGCATTTCACTGTGGAATGGGAACTCTTTTCAGGACCTCTCTCTGCAGGAGAGAGCTAGTCTCTTTCTTTTGCCTATTAAACTTCTGCTCTAGCCTCACACCCTTGGTGTGTCAGCGTCCTTGATTTCCTCAGCGTGAGACCAAGAACCTCGGGTGCCACCCCAGGCAACAAGGCCATTTCAGTTTGTTCTTTTGTTATAGGCAATCCATGATCACAGATTTTTCTCTCTTTTTTTTTTTTACACAGTTTAGAGTTTTAGTTTTACACTTAGGTCTGTAATCCATTTTGTATTAATTCTTATATGTGGCTCAGTGTAGGTGGAAATTTGGTTTGTTTTTGCATAAGGATTTCCAATAGTTTTACCACCATTTCTTGAAACTACTATGCTTTCTCTATTAAACCACATTTGTAACTTTAGTTAAAATCAGTCACATATATCACAGGGCTATTTCTGACTCTCAATTCTGTTACATTGTCTATTAGTGTATATTGATGTCAGTACTACACTTTTAATTACTATTGCTTCAGGGTATGTCTTGTAAACCAAAAATAAAATTATAGGCCCCCCCCGCCCCTGCACAACCAACTGAATGGACCCATCCTCTCAGCCAAGGGCATTCCAAAATTAACCTGAAAAACTAGTTCAAGCCATGATGGGAAGGGGGAGTTGGACATGTCTCATCACACCCTACTACCTTTTGGAATTACTGATAGAACAGACTCTTAAAGTCTGAAAAGAAACATTTACAACCTACCCTCTCTGAAGCCTGCTACCTGGGAGCTTCATCTGCATGATAAAACCTTGGTCTCCACAACCCCTTATGGTAACCCAAACATTCCTTTCTGTTGATAATAACTCTTTCAACTAGTTGCCAATTAGAAAATCTTTAAATCTTCCTATGACCTAGAAACCTCCCTACCCCCACTTTGAGTTGTCCTGCCTTTCCTGACAGAACTCATGTACATCTTACATATATTGATTGATGCCTCATGTCTCCCTAAAATGTATAAAACAAAGCTGTACCCCACCACCTTGGGGACATGTCATCAGGACCTCCTGTGGCTGTGTCATAGGAGCGTCTTTAACTTTGGCAAAATAAACTTTCTAAATTGATTGAAACCTGTCTTAGCTACTTCTGGTTTACAGTCTTAAAGTTAGATAATGTAAATTGTCCAGCTTTGGTTTATTTTTGTCCTTAGTAGTTCCATATAAATTTTAGAATCAGCTTTTCAATTTAATACACTACTTTCCTCTTAGATCCACAATTAAATATATTTGATGCTAACAATTCTGTTTTATGTTTTTCGTTTTTTTTTTTTGAGACAAGAGTTTCGCTCTTGTTGCCCAGGCTGGAGTGCAGTGGCGCGATCTTGGCTCACCACAACCTCCACCTCCCAGGTTCAAGCAATTCTTCTGCCTCAGCCTCCCGAGTAGCTGGGATTACAGGCATGCGCCACCACGCCCGGCTAATTTTGTATTTTTAGTAGAGACGGGGTTTCACCATGTTGATCAGGCTGGTCTTGAACTCCTGACCTCAGGTGATCCACCCACCTCGGCCTCCCAAAGTGTTGGGATTACAGGCGTGAACCACCATGCCTGGCCAGTTCTGTTATTTTTAAAACCCAAGTTTCCCTGGTCATATCTTGGTTGGATGAAGCGTATTTTCAATAGATTACCCTGGAAAGGCTAGTGAGTACGGTATTCTTCTACATTTTAGACTTTTCTTAGTCTTGCTACTTCAAGGACAGCTAGGCTGCATATAAAATTCTTGGCTCATACTTTTTCCCCATAAATTTCTATGAGAAAGTCTAATGATAACTGATTTTCTTTATTTTGTAACTTAGTCTTTTTGCTTAGAGGCTCTCTGAGGATGGGAGGGGGTTCTTCCTCCCATCCCTAGGAATTTTTCTTTTTTTTAAATTCCTAATCACTAGACCACCAGGAAGATTGTTTGTTTTGTTTTGTTTTTATTCTTCAGGGACCCCATTTATACATACGTTAAATAAATACTGTTTGCCAATGTATCAACCATTTTGCTTCTTATTTATTTTTGTTCCTTTGGTTCTTTTTCATGGCTTTGCTTTGGTGCTCCTTAGATTTTCAGTCAGATGTATTTGTCCTTGGGTACCTTGTAATCAGTATTACCTTTTCTTCTGTCGCTTTGTTTTCTGTTCGTTTTGAAATTACTTGTTTCCTGGTCTGGCAATAACAGTTGAGATATGAGGAGTTTGAGCTGCCATCTGTCTATGTATCTTGCTTTAAGACTGCACTCTTCTATTGATATCACTGGCCTTGATTTTGTGATTTCTTTATTTCTTCAGGACCACCCTTCATTTTCTACTGTTTGCTTCCTTTTTTTTTGAGATGGAGTCTCACTCTGTCACTCAGGCTGGAGTGCAGTGATCTTGGCTCATTGCAACCTCTGCCTCCCGGGTTCCAGCAATTCTCCTGCCTCAGCCTCCCAAGTATCTGGGACTACAGGTGTGCACCACCATGCCCGGCTAAGTTTTGTATTTTTAATAGAGACGGGGTTTTGCCACATTGGCAGGCTGGTCTCAAACTCCTGATGTCAAGTGATCCACCCACCCCACCCACCTCTGCATCCCAAAGTGCTGGGATTACAGGAATGAGCTGCCGTGCCCAGCCTCCCCCCTACCCCCCTTTTTTTCTTTCGAGACAGAGATTATAGGTGTGAGCCACTGGACCCAGCCTGTTTTTATTCCTTTTACCAAATCTCCAAGGAATATCTTCCCTTCCAAGTGCGAATGTAACCTTAAGTCAGTTAACCTCTTTGTGATTACTTTTCTTATCTGCAAAGTGACTTAATGATCTTAAGTACTTTTTTTTTTTGAGACAGGGTCTCACTGTCACCCTGGCTGGAGTGCAGTGGCACGATCTCTGATCTCCACTCACTGCAATCTCCTCTTCCCTGGTTCAAGCGGCCCTCCCACCTTAGCCTTCTGGGTAGCTGGGACTACAGATGTGAACCACCACGCCCAGCTAATTTTTGTACTTTTTGTAGAGATGGGGTTTTGCCATGTTGCCCAGGCTGGGATTATTAAGTACTTTTTATCATACAGCAAGATTGACATTTTATATTGGAATACATTTGTCTCTATATAACGGAGATTAACAGGAAAATGACAAGCCTGGGTGCGGTGGCTCATGCCTGTAATCCCAGCACTTTGGGAGGCTGAGGTGGGAGGATCACTTGAGGTCAGGAGTTCGAGACCAGTTTTGCCAAGATGATGAAAGCCCATGTCTACTAAAAATACAAAAATTAGCCCAGCTTGATGGTGGGCGCCTATAATCCCAGCTATTTGAGAGACTGAGGCAGGAGAATCACTTGAACCTGGGCAGCAGAGGTTGCAGTGAGCCGAGATCATGCCACTGCACTCCAGCCTGGGTGGCATAGCGAGACTCTTGTCTCAAGAGAAAACAAAACAAAACAAAAAAAAAACAGGAAAATGACAAAAAGTAATATTACAACTCAGTGAATTTTATAACAAACTTTTTTGGAATTCATTGACTAATACTATACCAAATCCAAAATACTCTCTAGTATACCAAATCCAACTCTACCCTATAGTATAAATTGGATTCTATTTGGACTTGTCTCACTAATCCCTCATACAGTGTGTTTTATTTTTTATTGAAGTAAAAAAATTTGTCATTTTAACCATTTTTAAGTATATAGTTCAGTAATATTAAGTATGTTCATGTTGTTGCGCAATAGATCTTCGGAAGTTTTTCGTCTTGCAACCTGAAACTCTACCCATTAGCAAATTCCCATTTCTCCTTACACTTAGCCCTTGGTAATCATCATTCTTTTTTTTTTTTTTTTGAGATGGAGTTTTACTCTTGTTGCCCAGGCTGGAGTGCAATGGTGCAATCTCGACTCACCACAACCTCCGCCTCCCAGGTTCAAGCAATTCTACCTCAGCCTCCCGAGTAGCTGGGATTACAGTCATGCACCACCACGCCCGGCTAATTTTGTATTTTTAGTAGAGAAGGGGTTTCTCCATGTTGAGGCTGGTCTCGAACTCCTGACCTCAGGTGATCTGCCCACCTCGGCCTCCCAAAGTGCTGGGATTACAGGCGTGAGCCACTGCGCCTGGCCCATTCTTTCTAATTCTATAAATTTGACTACTTAGTTACCTTACATAAATAAATTCTTATAGTTAGTGTTATTTTTGCTTCCATGCCTTTTTTGTTGTTGTTCATGCTCTTACTTGGAATGCGTTCTATTTTGTCTACCTATGCACATCCTGTTGGGTTTTTTTTTTTTTTGGGGGTTTTTTTTGTTTTTTTTTGTTTTTTTTTCCCAGACAAGGTCTCAATTTGTTACCCAGGCTGGAGTGCAGCGGCGCCATCTCCACTCACTGCATCCTCAACTTCCTGGGCCCAGGTGATCCTCTCGCCTCAGCCCCTGCAGGTAGCTGGGACTATAGGCATGTGCCACCATGCCCAGCTAAATTTGGTTTTTTTGTTTGTTTGTTTTTGAGACAGAGTCTCACTCTGTCACCCAGGCTGGAGTGCAGTGGCACAATCTCAGCTCACTGCAATCTCTGCCGCCCGGGTTCAAGTGATTCTCCTGCCTCAGCCTCCCAAGCAGCTGGGATTACAGGTGACTGCCACCACGCCAGCTAAGTTTTGTAGTTTTAGTAGAGATGGGGTTTCACCTTGTTGGCCATGCTGGTCTCGAACTCCTGACCTCGTGATCTGCCTGCTTCTGCCTCCCAAAGTGCTGGAATTACAGGCATGAGCCACCACGCCCGGCCAGAATTTTTGTATTTTTAGTAGACACAAGGTTCTTACCCTGTTGCCTAGGCTGGTCTGGAAGTCCTGGACTCAAGCAATTCACCTGCCTTGGCCTCCCAAAATGCTGGGATTACAAGCCACCATGCCCGGCCTAAATCCTGTTGTTTTGTTTTGTTTTATTTTGTTTTGTTTTGTTTTGTTTGTTTTTTGAGACAGAGTCTCGCTATGTCTCTCAGGCTGTAGTGCAGTGGCGCGATCTTGGCTCACTGCCACCTCTGCCTCCCAGGTTCAAGTGATTCTCCTGCCTCAGCCTCCCAAGTAGCTGGGATTACAGGCATGTGCTACTATGTCCGGCTAATTTTTGTATTTTTAGTAGAGACAGGGTTTCACCATGTTGGCCAGGCTGGTCTCGAACTCCTGACCTCGTGATCCACCCACCTCGGCCACCCAAAGTGCTGGGATTACAGGCGTGAGTGGTTTTTATTTCTTAGGCCGGTTTCCTCCATATGATCTTGCAGTAGACATTAATTTCTTTCCTTTTTAATTAAAATACTGTTTGTATTTCACATTTTGATGTTTGTTAAGATTTGTTTTATATTGTTTTTTGTTTTGTCTTGTGTGATAGTCTTAAATCCCTAGTTAGATAATAACTGGAGAGTACCATGTTTCTATATATCTCTCAGTGACTTGCACAGTGCTAGCAGATAGTGCTAAAAAATTATTTATTATTATTATTATTTTGTTATTGTTGTTGTTGTTGTTAGACAGGGTCTTCCTCTGTCACCCAGGCTAGAGGGCAATGGGATGATCATAGCTTACTGCAGCCTCCAACAACTGGGCTCATGTAATTCTCCTGCCTCAGCTTCCCAAGTAGCTGGGATTACAGGCATGAGCCACCATGTCTGGACAAAAATATTTCCAGGTGCAGTGGCTCATGCCTGTAATTCCCACACTTGGGAGGCCGAGCGAGGCTGGAGGATCACTTGAGCCTAGGAGTTCAAGACCAGCTTGGCTAAGATGGCGAGACCCCGTCCCTACAAAAAATTTTAAAAACTAGCCAGGCATGGTGGCATGCACCTATATTCCCAACTACTCAGTGGGCTGAGGTGGGAGGGTCATTTGAACACAGGAATTTGAGGGGAGAAAAAAAGAAGAGAGAAAGAGAAGTGAAGGAAGGAAGAAAGGAAGGAGGGAGGGAGAGAAGAAAGAAACGAAAGAAAGGAAAAGAAAAGGAAGGAAAGAAAATTGGTACCAGGAAAGCAGGAAAGGGAAATGGAAGTAAAAAAATAATAATAATAATAAAATGAAAATTGGTTAGTCACTATTAACAATTTGTATCCTTATAATCTGGAAACATTATAATTTCAAAAGAAAAAATATTCTTTGGATCATAGGTTCTGAGGTCAGAACAGCATTCCCGTAGTCTAGATGAAGTCAAGTTTTATCTGATCTTAATTGAAATAAATATAGCTGGCCTTGAACAAATCTACTCATGGTATGTGGATAGGAATTAAATTGTAGGGGCATTCACTTGATGGCATTCATTCTTAGAACATTTACCTATGTCTAGCTTTTGGAGTAAAGTCACATAACCTCTAACCAGGTAAGTTTCCTGTGGCTTTATTTAGGATTTTAAATACTCATTTTCAGTGTAATTTTGTTATGTGTGGATTAAGATGACTCTTGGTACTAACATACATTTTCTGATTAAACCTATCTGAACATGAGTTGTTTTTATTTCTTACCCTTTCCAGAGCGATGATTCTGACATTTGGGATGATACAGCACTGATAAAAGCATATGATAAAGCTGTGGCTTCATTTAAGGTATGAAATGCTTGCTTAGTCGTTTTCTTATTTTCTCGTTATTCATTTGGAAAGGAATTGATAACATACGATAAAGTGTTAAAGTACATGTTATTCAGTTTTCATTTTGAAGATTAGATGGTAGTATGAGTTAGTTAAATCAGGTGATATCCTCCTTTAGAAGTTGATAGCCTATATATGTCATCCTTTGTGGAGGCAATTTAAATAAAATTTAAAACATTTATTCCTGGCTGGGTATGGTGGCTCACTCCTGTAATCCCAGCACTTTGAGAGGCTGAGGCGGGTGGATCACCTGAGGTCAGGAGTTTGAGACCAGCCTGGCCAACATGGTGAAACCCCGTCTTTACTAAAAATACAAAAATTAGCCAAGCATGGTGGCACGTGCCTGTAATCCCAGCTGCTTGGGACACTGAGGCAGGAGAATTGCTTGAACCTGGGGGGCAGAGGTTGCAATGATTGCACCACTGCACTCCAGCCTGGGCGATAGAGTGAGACTCCATCTCAGAAAACGAACAAACAATGTATTCCTTTTAGTATTTTTACATTGTATCAAACTATGGAAGTCCTCTAATTGAGATTAATAAGAAAAAGACAATCTGAATTATAATTTTAAACATTTAACAAGCATGTAGTAAAATAATGATGAAGATAAATAGCATTAGTACAGCAATTAATATTTGTAGCATGCTGACAGTGCTCTGTGTGCGTTTCATATATTAAATTACTCTAATCATCCCAAATCCTGTAAGTTGGGTATCAATTCAAGTGTTCCTATTGGGTAGGAATATACAGTTCTTTTAGGAAATGTAGTATGGTTCTGTGTCTCAAACAGGACACTTACACAGTTGGCCAACATCATCACCTTCTCCATTCTCTGAGATGTTTAGTCTTACTGAGCACTAAATATGGGTCATCAATAGTCCAGACTACCTTGAGCAAACAATAGTCCAGACTACCTTGAGCAAACAGAGCATATACTCATACAGTGTATAAAGAGCACCAAGCATACAGATTTCATGTCTTTCTCATAGTTACTCTTGTAACATGAGCTAAAGATCAGACCTCTATGTCACCTTTGTAACTGATTTCTAGATTTTTTTTTTTTTTTGAGATGGGGTCTTGCCCTGTCACCCAGGCTGGAGTGTAGTGGCGTGATCATGCCTCATTGGAGCCTTCAACTCATGAGCTCAAACAATCCTCCTACCTCAGCTTCCTGAGTAGTTGGGACCACAGGTGTGTGCCACCACACCCAGCTCATTTTTGTATTCTTTGTAGAGATGCAGTCTCACCCTGTTGCCCACGCTGGCCTGGAACTCCTGAGCTCAAAAGATCCCTCCGCCTTGACCTTCCAAAGTGCTGGGATTACAAGCATGAACCACTGCACCCGGCCTAGATTTTTAAATGTGCTTTCCAGTATACACTGAAACTAGAAGTCGACTAAAGAATTACCAAGAGAATTCTATAAAATAGAGATTGAAATGGGGCTCGATGTGGGATGGGTTGGTGATATTGCAGGGAGAAGTAATCTGAGTAAAGGAGGAAAAGAACTGATTTGGGAAAACGATAGTTTTAGTAGTGAGTTTGAGTATGAATTAAGTTGAGATTGAATTTGAATTAAGTTGAGGTTGAATATGAATTAAGTTGAGGTTGAGTTTGAGGTATGAATTAAGATGTGAAATTGATCATTGGAAATGTTAGATTGAGAAAAGTCACAGCTGGATTAATAGCTTCAGAAGTGTGTTTGCAGACAGTTGCAACTAAAGTAATAAGAATAGATGGCCTTGGCCGGGCGCGGTGGCTCACGCCTGTAATCCCAGTACTTTGGGAGGCTGAGGCGAGCAAATCACGAGGTCAGGAGTTCAAGACCAGCCTGGCCCACATGGTGAAACCCCGTCTTTATTAAAAATACAAAAATTAGCTGTGCACAGTGGTGCACGCCTGTAATCCCAGCTACTCGGGAGGCTGAGACAGGAGAATCGCTTGAACCTGGGAGGTGGAGGTTGCAGTGAGCTGAGATCAGTGTGACTGCACTCCAGCCCGGTGACAGAGTGAGACTCTGTGTAAAAAAATAAAATAAATAAAATAATGGCCGTAAGCAAGTAAAGAAGGATGGCCAGCTCTTATTGGGAATGCCTAAATCTAAGGCTTGATCAGAAGTAATGAAACCGTTGGGGCCCTACATTGCTATGACATCCAAAGGGCCATGAATATCAGGAAGAAAGATAATTAACAGGGTCTAATGTTACAGAGAGGTTGAGAGCAAGGAGATTTGATTAAAAGGGTCTTTAGAGCTGATGTCAGGTGTATGATGCCTTTAAGAGCAGTTTTTATAGTGCAGGGGGTGGTCAAAAGAGAAAATAGGTGCTTTCTGAGGTGACGGAGCCTTGAGACTAGCTTATAGTAGTAACTGGGTTATGTCGTGACTTTTATTCTGTGCACCACCCTGTAACATGTACATTTTTATTCCTATTTTCGTAGCATGCTCTAAAGAATGGTGACATTTGTGAAACTTCGGGTAAACCAAAAACCACACCTAAAAGAAAACCTGCTAAGAAGAATAAAAGCCAAAAGAAGAATACTGCAGCTTCCTTACAACAGGTTATTTTAAAATGTTGAGATTTAACTTCAAAGGATGTCTCATTAGTCCTTATTTAATAGTGTAAAATGTCTTTAACTTAAGTGATTAGTACAGTGTTTCTATTGACATATACTTATACAACTTCAAAAACAACTATTAAATTTTCTGTTATTTAGGAACATGCATATTAGTCATGAAAGTATAAAGAATTAGATGGGAATGATAAATGCTAAAATCAGGACATGTGTTCCATTTGTGAATGGAAGGCAGGGAGAAGGTGCCGTTTGGAAGGAGTACCCAAGAGCCGTAAGCTGAATTGGCAGTGTTTTACATCTTAAGCTGAGAGATAGATTTTTTTTTCCCCTTTTTCTTTAAAAACTCTAAAACTGTTAATTCCAAGGAACCCAGAAGTCTAGGTAGATTATTTCTGCTAGTTAAAAGCAGTAGTCCTGAAAGCTGAATATTTTGGTGTCTTTTGAGCCAACTTTAGTTTCATCATTACCAAGGGGGAAGAGAGCTAACAGTTGATGAGCACTTGCTCTAGGCCAGTCCAGAGTGCTGGGCACCATACGCATTTTATCTCCCTCCCGCTATTCACAACAAATATGGGAGGTAGTTTATATTATAGCCATCTAATAAGATGGGGAAACTAAGACTCAAAGAGATTCAGAAACTTGTCCATGATTATAAATGTAAGAGAGTTGGAATTCAGATTTATGTATTTAGACCCCAAGCCTTTCTCATTACATCATTTTGCCTTCCAAATCTCTACCCTCTATCCTTCACCTCCCCACTGATCAAAACGAGATGATAGTTTGCCCTCTTCAAAAGAAATGTGTGCATGTATATATCTTTGATTTCTTTTGTAGTGGAAAGTTGGGGACAAATGTTCTGCCATTTGGTCAGAAGACGGTTGCATTTACCCAGCTACCATTGCTTCAATTGATTTTAAGAGAGAAACCTGTGTTGTGGTTTACACTGGATATGGAAATAGAGAGGAGCAAAATCTGTCCGATCTACTTTCCCCAATCTGTGAAGTAGCTAATAATATAGAACAAAATGCTCAAGAGGTAAGGATACAAAAAAAAAAAAATTCAATTTCTGGAAGCAGAGACTAGATGAGAAACTGTTAAACAGTATACACAGTTGTCAGTTTGATCCACCGAGGCATTAATTTTTTCTTAATCACACCCTTATAACAAAAACCTGCATATTTTTTCTTTTTAAAGAATGAAAATGAAAGCCAAGTTTCAACAGATGAAAGTGAGAACTCCAGGTCTCCTGGAAATAAATCAGATAACATCAAGCCCAAATCTGCTCCATGGAACTCTTTTCTCCCTCCACCACCCCCCATGCCAGGGCCAAGACTGGGACCAGGAAAGGTAAACCTTCTATGAAAGTTTTCCAGAAAATAGTTAATGTCGGGACATTTAACCTCTCTGTTAACTAATTTGTAGCTCTCCCATGAAACTTTTGTAGCTTAAATACACAAGAATTTTTTGAAAAGGAAATAAGATAATGATGCAAAATAGTTAATTTTTTAAAAAAATGTTAGACACTGCAGTGGATGCAACAAAATACTTTATATGAAAGATTTATCCAGTTAACTTTTGTGGAGTATTAGGTATTAGACTAATAATTAGCACACTTACTTAAGTTAGAAAGTATAATAATGCGCCGGACGCGGTAGCTCACGCCTGTAATCCCAGCACTTTGGGAGGCCAAGGTGGGCGGATCACAAGGTCAGGAGATCGAGACCATCCTGGCTAACACGGTGAAACCCCATCTCTACTGAAAATACAAAAAAATTTGCCGGGCGTGATGGCGGGCACCTGTAGTCCCAGCTACTCGGGAGGCTGAGGCAGGAGGATGGTGTGAACCCCGGAGGCAGAGCTTGCAGTGAGTCAAGATCGTGCCACTGCACTCCAACCTGGGCGACAGAATGAGACTCCATCTCAAACAAAAAAACAAAACAAAACAAAAAAAAGTGTAATAATAATTTATCATTAGCTGGATGATATGCTGTTGTTTCCCATGTCACCTGTATAAGATATGTAAAATAAGAACACATTATTTACATCTAATATAGATAAAATCCTGAGGCGCTCTCAGATTGTTTTGTAGAGTTCAAATGTAAATATTGTTTTCATTTATGGTCCTTTTGGTTATAAGTAACAGAAATCAACTCTAAAAAGATTTTTATTATAGGTTAGATTATGTCATGGAACCTTAAGGCTTGTCCCTTTCTAGTTCTTTTGTGTAAAGCGGTGATTTCTTCCATGGAGGGAATGGTATTTAGGCAATTTTTTTTTTTTTTTCGAGATGGAGTCTTGCTCTGTCGCTCAGGCTGGAGTGCAGTGGCACCATTTCAGCTCACTGCAACTTCCACCTCCTGGGTTCAAGTGATTCTCCTGCTTCAGCCTCCCAAGTAGCTGAGATTACAGGCACCCGCCACCACACCCGGCTTATTTTGTATTTTTAGTAGAGATGGGGTTTCACCATGTTGGCCAGGCTGGTCTTGAACTCCTGACCTCAAGTGATCTCCCCACCTTGGCCTTCCAAAGTGCTAGGATTACAGGCGCCTAGCCTAGGCAGTCATTTTCAAAAAACAAGCATGACTCACCAAAAGTTTTAAGATTTTCTGTGATAATGTTCTTATTGAGGCTTACATTATATTACAGTTTCTTGAATCTAAAATGATGTACCCTCTTAGAATATATACATCATGCTTCATTGGTCTCAGGGGGCTGATTTTTATAAGGAGAGATTTGCTAGTTTTCACAATATGTCCTCTAAGTTGGCATGTATAGCTAAACAGGCTTTCATAAAAATATACAATTTAGTTAATGAAATTTGGGATATAGTCTTTTATGATTGAAATAATTTTGCTAAATAGACTGTCTCTGATTTATTAGGTAATCACCACTCTTATTTTGTTTTACTTCCTTAATGTCTACATAGAAAGGAAATGAGAAAAATCCAGAGGTTGTCATTTGACTTATGAGTCTGTTTGACTTCAGGATTTGGTACATGAAATTTCACTTAATCTTTTTGATATGTATAAAACAAATATTCTGGGTAATTATTTTTATCCTTTTGGTTTTGAGTCCTTTTTATTCCTATCATATTGAAATTGGTAAGTTAATTTTCCTTTGAAATATTCCTTATAGCCAGGTCTAAAATTCAATGGCCCACCACCGCCACCGCCACCACCACCACCCCACTTACTATCATGCTGGCTGCCTCCATTTCCTTCTGGACCACCAGTAAGTAAAAAAGAGTATAGGTTAGATTTTGCTTTCACATACAATTTGATAATTAGCAGAATAGAGGATTGTAAAATGTCATTGTAGAACATCCCTTGGGCCAGATTCTAATGGGTAGAAATTTGAACTAAACCTCTGGGTTTTGTTTGTTTTTAATGCCTTTCTGTTACCCAGATGCAGTGCTCTTGTAGTCCCAAGTCTAAGCTCTAGGTTGCCTTCTTTCCTGGCAGAAGTTGGTGTCTATGCCATAAGGAGGTAGTTCCTGTTAGAAGGGATTTAATTATACCTTATATAAGGAATTAGTGTTTGCCCTTCTAGGTATAGTTGGATGTTAGCTTCTGATGTAAACTGGATTTCTTTTTCTTTCTCTCTCTTTTTTTTTTTTTGTTTTGGAGGCAGAGTTTTGCCCTTGTACCCCAGGCTGGAGTGCAGTGGTGTGATCTCAGCTCACAGCAACCTCCGCCTCCTGGGTTCAAGCAATTCTGCCTCGGCCTCCCAAGTAGCTGGGATTACAGGCGACTGCCACCACACCCGGCTAATTTTTGTTTTATTAGTAGAGATGGGGTTTCACCATGTTGGCCAGACTGATCTTGAACTCCTGACCTCAGGTGATCCACCCGCCTTGGCCTCCCAAAGCGCTGGGATTACAGGCGTGAGCTGCCGCACCCAGCTGTAAACTGGATTTCTAATGGTAGATTTTTAGGTATTAACAATAGATAAAAAGATACTTTTTGGCATACTGTGTATTGGGATGGGGTTAGAACAGGTGTTCTACCCAAGACATTTACTTAAAATCGCCCTCGAAATGCTATGTGAGCTGTGTGTGTGTGTGTGTGTGTGTGTGTATTAAGGAAAAGCATGAAAGTATTTATGCTTGATTTTTTTTTTTTACTCATAGCTTCATAGTGGAACAGATACATAGTCTAAATCAAAATGTTTAAACTTTTTATGTCACTTGCTGTCTTTTCGTCCTCGTTAAATTTAATTTTGTTGGTCTTTTGTTGTTATTGGTTGGTTTTCTCCAAATGCTAGCTATGTTAAGAAATTTAAGGCCAGGTACAGTGGCTCATGCCTGTAATCCCGGCATTTTAGAAGGCTGAGGCAGGAGGATCACTTGAGCTCAGGAGTTTGAGACCAGTCTGGGCAACATAGCAAGACCTCGTCTTTGTTTAGGGGAAAAAAAAGAAATTTAAGTAGGAGATTATATAAGCAAAAATACAATTAATTTCCAGCATTCACTATATAATATAAATCTCCAGACTTTACTTTTTTGTTTACTGGATATAAACAATATCTTTTTCTGTCTCCAGATAATTCCCCCACCACCTCCCATATGTCCAGATTCTCTTGATGATGCTGATGCTTTGGGAAGTATGTTAATTTCATGGTACATGAGTGGCTATCATACTGGCTATTATATGGTAAGTAATCACTCAGCATCTTTTCCTGACAATTTTTTTGTAGTTATGTGACTTTGTTTTGTAAATTTATAAAATACTACTTGCTTCTCTCTTTATATTACTAAAAAATAAAAATAAAAAAATACAACTGTCTGAGGCTTAAATTACTCTTGCATTGTCCCTAAGTATAATTTTAGTTAATTTTAAAAAGCTTTCATGCTATTGTTAGATTATTTTGATTATACACTTTTGAATTGAAATTATACTTTTTCTAAATAATGTTTTAATCTCTGATTTGAAATTGATTGTAGGGAATGGAAAAGATGGGATAATTTTTCATAAATGAAAAATGAAATTCTTTTTTTTTTTTTTTTTTTTTTGAGACGGAGTCTTGCTCTGTTGCCCAGGCTGGAGTGCAATGGCGTGATCTTGGCTCACAGCAAGCTCTGCCTCCTGGATTCACGCCATTCTCCTGCCTCAGCCTCAGAGGTAGCTGGGACTACAGGTGCCTGCCACCACGCCTGTCTAATTTTTTGTATTTTTTTGTAAAGACAGGGTTTCACTGTGTTAGCCAGGATGGTCTCAATCTCCTGACCCCGTGATCCACCCGCCTCGGCCTTCCAAGAGAAATGAAATTTTTTTAATGCACAAAGATCTGGGGTAATGTGTACCACATTGAACCTTGGGGAGTATGGCTTCAAACTTGTCACTTTATACGTTAGTCTCCTACGGACATGTTCTATTGTATTTTAGTCAGAACATTTAAAATTATTTTATTTTATTTTATTTTTTTTTTTTTTTTGAGACGGAGTCTCGCTCTGTCACCCAGGCTGGAGTACAGTGGCGCAGTCTCGGCTCACTGCAAGCTCCGCCTCCCGGGTTCACGCCATTCTCCTGCCTCAGCCTCTCCGAGTAGCTGGGACTACAGGCGCCCGCCACCACGCCCGGCTAATTTTTTTTTATTTTTAGTAGAGACGGGGTTTCACCGTGGTCTCGATCTCCTGACCTCGTGATCCACCCGCCTCGGCCTCCCAAAGTGCTGGGATTACAAGCGTGAGCCACCGCGCCCGGCCTAAAATTATTTTTAAAAGTAAGCTCTTGTGCCCTGCTAAAATTATGATGTGATATTGTAGGCACTTGTATTTTTAGTAAATTAATATAGAAGAAACAACTGACTTAAAGGTGTATGTTTTTAAATGTATCATCTGTGTGTGCCCCCATTAATATTCTTATTTAAAAGTTAAGGCCAGACATGGTGGCTTACAACTGTAATCCCAACAGTTTGTGAGGCCGAGGCAGGCAGATCACTTGAGGTCAGGAGTTTGAGACCAGCCTGGCCAACATGATGAAACCTTGTCTCTACTAAAAATACCAAAAAAAATTTAGCCAGGCATGGTGGCACATGCCTGTAATCCGAGCTACTTGGGAGGCTGTGGCAGGAAAATTGCTTTAATCTGGGAGGCAGAGGTTGCAGTGAGTTGAGATTGTGCCACTGCACTCCACCCTTGGTGACAGAGTGAGATTCCATCTCAAAAAAAGAAAAAGGCCTGGCACGGTGGCTCACACCTATAATCCCAGTACTTTGGGAGGTAGAGGCAGGTGGATCACTTGAGGTTAGGAGTTCAGGACCAGCCTGGCCAACATGGTGACTACTCCATTTCTACTAAATACACAAAACTTAGCCCAGTGGCGGGCAGTTGTAATCCCAGCTACTTGAGAGGTTGAGGCAGGAGAATCACTTGAACCTGGGAGGCAGAGGTTGCAGTGAGCCGAGATCACACCGCTGCACTCTAGCCTGGCCAACAGAGTGAGAATTTGCGGAGGGAAAAAAAAGTCACGCTTCAGTTGTTGTAGTATAACCTTGGTATATTGTATGTATCATGAATTCCTCATTTTAATGACCAAAAAGTAATAAATCAACAGCTTGTAATTTGTTTTGAGATCAGTTATCTGACTGTAACACTGTAGGCTTTTGTGTTTTTTAAATTATGAAATATTTGAAAAAAATACATAATGTATATATAAAGTATTGGTATAATTTATGTTCTAAATAACTTTCTTGAGAAATAATTCACATGGTGTGCAGTTTACCTTTGAAAGTATACAAGTTGGCTGGGCACAATGGCTCACGCCTGTAATCCCAGCACTTTGGGAGGCCAGGGCAGGTGGATCACGAGGTCAGGAGATCGAGACCATCCTGGCTAACATGGTGAAACCCCGTCTCTACTAAAAGTACAAAAACAAATTAGCCGGGCATGTTGGCGGGCACCTTTTGTCCCAGCTGCTCGGGAGGCTGAGGCAGGAGAGTGGCGTGAACCCAGGAGGTGGAGCTTGCAGTGAGCCGAGATTGTGCCAGTGCACTCCAGCCTGGGCGACAGAGCGAGACTCTGTCTCAAAAAATAAAATAAAAAAGAAAGTATACAAGTCAGTGGTTTTGGTTTTCAGTTATGCAACCATCACTACAATTTAAGAACATTTTCATCACCCCAAAAAGAAACCCTGTTACCTTCATTTTCCCCAGCCCTAGGCAGTCAGTACACTTTCTGTCTCTATGAATTTGTCTATTTTAGATATTATATATAAACGGAATTATACGATATGTGGTCTTTTGTGTCTGGCTTCTTTCACTTAGCATGCTATTTTCAAGATTCATCCATGCTGTAGAATGCACCAGTACTGCATTCCTTCTTATTGCTGAATATTCTGTTGTTTGGTTATATCACATTTTATCCATTCATCAGTTCATGGACATTTAGGTTGTTTTTATTTTTGGGCTATAATGAATAATGTTGCTATGAACATTCGTTTGTGTTCTTTTTGTTTTTTTGGTTTTTTGGGTTTTTTTTGTTTTGTTTTTGTTTTTGAGACAGTCTTGCTCTGTCTCCTAAGCTGGAGTGCAGTGGCATGATCTTGGCTTACTGCAAGCTCTGCCTCCCGGGTTCACACCATTCTCCTGCCTCAGCCCGACAAGTAGCTGGGACTACAGGCGTGTGCCACCATGCACGGCTAATTTTTTGTATTTTTAGTAGAGATGGGGTTTCACCGTGTTAGCCAGGATGGTCTCGATCTCCTGACCTCGTGATCTGCCTGCCTAGGCCTCCCAAAGTGCTGGGATTACAGGCGTGAGCCACTGCACCTGGCCTTAAGTGTTTTTAATACGTCATTGCCTTAAGCTAACAATTCTTAACCTTTGTTCTACTGAAGCCACGTGGTTGAGATAGGCTCTGAGTCTAGCTTTTAACCTCTATCTTTTTGTCTTAGAAATCTAAGCAGAATGCAAATGACTAAGAATAATGTTGTTGAAATAACATAAAATAGGTTATAACTTTGATACTCATTAGTAACAAATCTTTCAATACATCTTACGGTCTGTTAGGTGTAGATTAGTAATGAAGTGGGAAGCCACTGCAAGCTAGTATACATGTAGGGAAAGATAGAAAGCATTGAAGCCAGAAGAGAGACAGAGGACATTTGGGCTAGATCTGACAAGAAAAACAAATGTTTTAGTATTAATTTTTGACTTTAAATTTTTTTTTTATTTAGTGAATACTGGTGTTTAATGGTCTCATTTTAATAAGTATGACACAGGTAGTTTAAGGTCATATATTTTATTTGATGAAAATAAGGTATAGGCCGGGCACGGTGGCTCACACCTGTAATCCCAGCACTTTGGGAGGCCGAGGCAGGCGGATCACCTGAGGTCGGGAGTTAGAGACTAGCCTCAACATGGAGAAACCCCGTCTCTACTAAAAAAAATACAAAATTAGGCGGGCGTGGTGGTGCATGCCTGTAATCCCAGCTACTCAGGAGGCTGAGGCAGGAGAATTGCTTGAACCTGGGAGGTGGAGGTTGCGGTGAGCCGAGATCACCTCATTGCACTCCAGCCTGGGCAACAAGAGCAAAACTCCATCTCAAAAAAAAAAAAATAAGGTATAAGCGGGCTCAGGAACATCATTGGACATACTGAAAGAAGAAAAATCAGCTGGGCGCAGTGGCTCACGCCGGTAATCCCAACACTTTGGGAGGCCAAGGCAGGCGAATCACCTGAAGTCGGGAGTTCCAGATCAGCCTGACCAACATGGAGAAACCCTGTCTCTACTAAAAATACAAAACTAGCCGGGCATGGTGGCGCATGCCTGTAATCCCAGCTACTTGGGAGGCTGAGGCAGGAGAATTGCTTGAACCGAGAAGGCGGAGGTTGCGGTGAGCCAAGATTGCACCATTGCACTCCAGCCTGGGCAACAAGAGCGAAACTCCGTCTCAAAAAAAAAAGGAAGAAAAATATTTTTTTAAATTAATTAGTTTATTTATTTTTTAAGATGGAGTTTTGCCCTGTCACCCAGGCTGGGGTGCAATGGTGCAATCTCGGCTCACTGCAACCTCCGCCTCCTGGGTTCAAGTGATTCTCCTGCCTCAGCTTCCCGAGTAGCTGTGATTACAGCCATATGCCACCACGCCCAGCCAGTTTTGTGTTTTGTTTTGTTTTTTGTTTTTTTTTTTTGAGAGGGTGTCTTGCTCTGTCCCCCAAGCTGGAGTGCAGCGGCGCGATCTTGGCTCACTGCAAGCTCTGCCTCCCAGGTTCACACCATTCTCTTGCCTCAGCCTCCCGAGTAGCTGGGACTACAGGTGCCCGCCACCACACCCGGCTAATTTTTTTGTGTTTTTAGTAGAGATGGGGTTTCACTGTGTTAGCCAGGATGGTCTCGATCTCCTGACCTTTTGATCCACCCGCCTCAGCCTCCCCAAGTGCTGGGATTATAGGCGTGAGCCACTGTGCCCGGCCTAGTCTTGTATTTTTAGTAGAGTCGGGATTTCTCCATGTTGGTCAGGCTGTTCTCCAAATCCGACCTCAGGTGATCCGCCCGCCTTGGCCTCCAAAAGTGCAAGGCAAGGCATTACAGGCATGAGCCACTGTGACCGGCAATGTTTTTAAATTTTTTACATTTAAATTTTATTTTTTAGAGACCAGGTCTCACTCTATTGCTCAGGCTGGAGTGCAAGGGCACATTCACAGCTCACTGCAGCCTTGACCTCCAGGGCTCAAGCAGTCCTCTCACCTCAGTTTCCCGAGTAGCTGGGACTACAGTGATAATGCCACTGCACCTGGCTAATTTTTATTTTTATTTATTTATTTTTTTTTGAGACAGAGTCTTGCTCTGTCACCCAGGCTGGAGTGCAGTGGTGTAAATCTCAGCTCACTGCAGCCTCCGCCTCCTGGGTTCAAGTGATTCTCCTGCCTCAACCTCCCAAGTAGCTGGGATTAGAGGTCCCCACCACCATGCCTGGCTAATTTTTTGTACTTTCAGTAGAAACGGGGTTTTGCCATGTTGGCCAGGCTGTTCTCGAACTCCTGAGCTCAGGTGATCCAACTGTCTCGGCCTCCCAAAGTGCTGGGATTACAGGCGTGAGCCACTGTGCCTAGCCTGAGCCACCACGCCGGCCTAATTTTTAAATTTTTTGTAGAGACAGGGTCTCATTATGTTGCCCAGGGTGGTGTCAAGCTCCAGGTCTCAAGTGATCCCCCTACCTCCGCCTCCCAAAGTTGTGGGATTGTAGGCATGAGCCACTGCAAGAAAACCTTAACTGCAGCCTAATAATTGTTTTCTTTGGGATAACTTTTAAAGTACATTAAAAGACTATCAACTTAATTTCTGATCATATTTTGTTGAATAAAATAAGTAAAATGTCTTGTGAAACAAAATGCTTTTTAACATCCATATAAAGCTATCTATATATAGCTATCTATATCTATATAGCTATTTTTTTTAACTTCCTTTATTTTCCTTACAGGGTTTTAGACAAAATCAAAAAGAAGGAAGGTGCTCACATTCCTTAAATTAAGGAGTAAGTCTGCCAGCATTATGAAAGTGAATCTTACTTTTGTAAAACTTTATGGTTTGTGGAAAACAAATGTTTTTGAACATTTAAAAAGTTCAGATGTTAGAAAGTTGAAAGGTTAATGTAAAACAATCAATATTAAAGAATTTTGATGCCAAAACTATTAGATAAAAGGTTAATCTACATCCCTACTAGAATTCTCATACTTAACTGGTTGGTTGTGTGGAAGAAACATACTTTCACAATAAAGAGCTTTAGGATATGATGCCATTTTATATCACTAGTAGGCAGACCAGCAGACTTTTTTTTATTGTGATATGGGATAACCTAGGCATACTGCACTGTACACTCTGACATATGAAGTGCTCTAGTCAAGTTTAACTGGTGTCCACAGAGGACATGGTTTAACTGGAATTCGTCAAGCCTCTGGTTCTAATTTCTCATTTGCAGGAAATGCTGGCATAGAGCAGCACTAAATGACACCACTAAAGAAACGATCAGACAGATCTGGAATGTGAAGCGTTATAGAAGATAACTGGCCTCATTTCTTCAAAATATCAAGTGTTGGGAAAGAAAAAAGGAAGTGGAATGGGTAACTCTTCTTGATTAAAAGTTATGTAATAACCAAATGCAATGTGAAATATTTTACTGGACTCTATTTTGAAAAACCATCTGTAAAAGACTGAGGTGGGGGTGGGAGGCCAGCACGGTGGTGAGGCAGTTGAGAAAATTTGAATGTGGATTAGATTTTGAATGATATTGGATAATTATTGGTAATTTTATGAGCTGTGAGAAGGGTGTTGTAGTTTATAAAAGACTGTCTTAATTTGCATACTTAAGCATTTAGGAATGAAGTGTTAGAGTGTCTTAAAATGTTTCAAATGGTTTAACAAAATGTATGTGAGGCGTATGTGGCAAAATGTTACAGAATCTAACTGGTGGACATGGCTGTTCATTGTACTGTTTTTTTCTATCTTCTATATGTTTAAAAGTATATAATAAAAATATTTAATTTTTTTTTAAATTAGCTGTATCTGTGATTGTATTTCTTTTTTGCATATTATTTTGCCCTTTGGCCCATATTTTGATATGGATGCCACCATAGCATTTTGTGTATGTGCATGTGTATTCCCACTTAATGTCACATTTTTCATGTCTTTACATATTCTTATTTTTGTTTGTTTTTGAGACAGAGTCTCGCTCTGCTGCCCACGCTGGAGTGCAGTGGTGCAATCTCAGCTCACTGCAACCTCTGCTATCCGGGTTCAAGCAGTTCTCGTGCCTCACCCACGTGAGTAGTTGGGATTACAGGCATGTGGCACCATGCCCCACTAAGTTTTGTATTTTTAGTAGAGATGGAGTTTCACCATGTTGGCCAGGCTGGTCTCAAACTCCTGCCCTCAAGTGATTCGACCACCCTGGCCTCCCAAAGTGCTGGGATTACAGCCGTGAGCCACCGCACACGGCCTCTCTATTTATTTCTATACATAGCTTTTCACATTATATTATGTTTATATATTGTTTATATCTGTATTTCCTCTTTCATTAGAGAAAAGGTAGTACATCTTATTCTTCATGGTGTCTACAATATCTGGCAGTTTTTGGAAGTCAAGCGTGAGCTTAGAGCATAGACTGGTGGGATTGTCAAAGAAGAGGGCAACTGGAAGAGAACTGTCAGTTATTTTTGGATCAGTCTTTAATTCATCATGACGGGTTAGGCATTAGTTGTATTTCTTGCTAATTTTGAAGAAGACTTATTAACAAATCCTACATTAGGTAAATGGTTTTGAAAGTTGAGTTAATCATAATGGTGTTTGACCTAGGACTATTTTTAGGCCCTATTTATCTTAATATCGAATAATGAAGCAGCTTCCCCCTTAGATATAGACAGAAAACATCAAAGCCACCACACTACCTGGCTGGATTTATCCTAGTAATAAAATCAAAACTGAGCTAGTTCTCTGGCTTTCATTGTAATAATTGTCCTTGTGGTTGTAAGGAATCTAGATGAAAATTACATGGTCTGTTCTACAGCCACAGCTGTACCTACATTCAGAAGACAGACAAAAGTTGCTGTGTTTGAAGAGATCCTTCATTAAGGGATCAGACAGAGATTACTTTGAGACATATTCTAAGTTTAACTTTTCTGCAGGGTTGCCATTAACAGAAATAAACTACAGAGTTAATTTCTTTTTGTTTTTGATACAGTCTAACTCTCACCCAAGCTGGAGTGCAGTGGCGCAATTTCAGCTCACTGCAACCTCTGCCTCCCAGGTTCAAGCAATTCTCCTGCCTCAGCCTCCCGAGCAGCTGGGACTACAGGCATGTGCCACTATGCCTGGCTAATTTTTGTATTTTTAGTAGTAGAGACGTGGTTTCGCCACGTTGGCCAGGCTGGTCTGGAACTCCTGACCCCAGGTAATCCACCTGCCTCGGCCTCCCAAAGTGCTGGGATTACAAGCTTGAGCCACTACGCCTGACCCAGAGTTAACTTTTTAAAAAAGTTTTTATGAACTTAAGTCTTGTGATGTTTGAAATAATGGATTCAATTTAGACATCAAATTCCAGAAGTTACTAAGAGCAGCTGGGCGCGGCAGCTCACACCTGTAATCCCAGCACTTTGGGAGGCCGAGGCGGGTGGATCACCTGAGATCAGGAGTTCCAGACCAGCCTGGCCAACATAGTAAAACCCTGTCTCTACTAAAAATACAAAAATTAGCCCGGCATGGTGGCACGCCCTGTAGTCCCAGCTACTTGGGAGGCTGAGGCAGGAGAATTGCTTGAACCCGGGAGGTGGAGGTTGTGGTGAGCCGAGATTGTGCCACTGTACTCAAGCCTGGGCTAAAAAGCGAGACTCCGTCTCAAAAAAAAAAAAAAAAAAAACACGTTACTAAGAGCAACTCTGGGCCAGGCACGGTGGCTTACACCTGTAATCCCAGCATTTTGGGAGGACGAGACAGGCGGATCACTTGAGCCCAGGAGTTCAAGACCAGCATAAGCAACAACGCAAAACCCCTGACTCTACAAAACATGAAAGAATTAGCAAGGCATGGTGGTGCATGCCTGTAGTCCCAGCTACTGGAGAGGCTGAGGCAAAAGGATCACTTGAGTACAGGAGGTTGAGGCTGTGTAATGAGCCGTGTTCACACCATTGCACTTCAGCCTGGGCAACAGACTGAGACCCTGTCTCAAAAAAAAAAACCAAACCAAAGCAACAAACAAAAAACAAGAGCAACTCTGCTTCTGTACACTTTTTTTTTTTTTTTTGGTAGTGACATGATCTATGTTGCCCAAGCTGGTCTCGAGTTCCTGGGTTCAAGCCATTCTCCCACCTCGGGCTCCCAAAGTGCTAGGATTACAGGCATGAATCACCATGCCCAGCCCTTCTGTACACTTTTCACAGTGTACCCTTTTGTGTTTTTTAAAATGTTTGTGTATACATTTATTGTGAATTTTTAAAAAACATGTAATTAAGGCCAGGCATGGTGGCTCATACCTGTAATCCTAGCACTTTGAGAGGCTGAGGTGGGTGGATCACCTGAGGTCGGTAGTTCGAGACCAGCCTGGCCCAACATGGTGAAACCCCATCTCTACTAAAAATACAAAAAAAAAATTAGCTCGGCATGGTGGTGGGCGCCTGTGATCCCAGCTACTGGAGAGGCTGAAGCATGAGAATCACTTGAACCCAGGAGGCGGAGGTTGCAGTGAGCCAAGATCGTGCCACTACACTCCAGCCTGGGTGACTCAGTGACTGTCTCAAAAAGAAAAAAAGTAATTAAGTTCTGTCATGATATATCATCATTACCCTTTTTGAACTTTTAAAATTTTTTATCTTTAGAGGTAATTCATATAATGTTCTTCAATAGATAAGTGCTTTTCTGTCAATATATCTTGGAGAACACACCATATCAGTATTTAAAACTCTCATTCTTCCTATTTCTCCACATCCTCTCCAGCACCCGTTGTTTCCTGACTTTTTAATGATTGCCATTCTAACTGGTGTGAGATGGTATCTTATTGTGGTTTTGATTTGCATTTCTCTGATGGCCAGTGATGGTGAGCATTTTTTCATGTGTTTTTTAGCTGCATAAATGTCTTCTTTTGAGAAGTGTCTGTTCATGTCCTTCGCCCACTTTTTGATGGGGTTGTCTGTTTTTTTCTTGTAAATTTGTTTGAGTTCATTGTAGATTCTGGATATTAGCCCTTTGTCAGATGAGTAGATTGCAAAAATTTTCTCCCATTTTGTAGGTTGCCTGTTCACTCTGATGGTAGTTTCTTTTGCTGTGCAGAAGCTCTTTAGTTTAATTAGATCCCAGTTTTGGCTTTTGTTGCCGTTGCTTTTGGTGTTTTAGACATGAAGTCCTTGCCCATGCCTATGTCCTGAATGGTAATGCCTAGGTTTTCTTCTAGGGTTTTTATGGTTTTAGGTCTAACATTTAAGTCTTTAATCCATCTTGAATTAATTTTTGTATAAGGTGTAAGGAAGGGATCCAGTTTCAGCTTTCTACATATGGCTAGCCAGTTTCCCAGCACCATTTATTAAATAGGGAATCCTTTCCCCATTGCTTGTTTTTCTCAGGTTTGTCAAAGATCAGATAGTTGTAGATATGCGGCGTTATTTCTGAGGGCTCTGTTCTGTTCCATTGGTCTATATCTCTGTTTTGGTACCAGTACCATGCTGTTTTGGTTACTGTAGCCTTGTAGTATAGTTTGAAGTCAGGTAGCGTGATGCCTCCAGCTTTGTTCTTTTGGCTTAGGATTGACTTGGCGATGCGGGCTCTTTTTTGGTTCCATATGAACTTTAAAGTAGTTTTTTCCAATTCTGTGAAGAAAGTCATTGGTAGCTTGATGGGGATGGCATTGAATCTGTAAATTACCTTGGGCAGTATGGCCATTTTCACGATATTGATTCTTCCTACCCATGAGCATGGAATGTTCTTCCATTTGTTTGTATCCTCTTTTATTTCATTGAGCAGTGGTTTGTAGTTCTCCTTGAAGAGGTCCTTCACATCCCTTGTAAGTTGGATTCCTAGGTATTTTATTCTCTTTGAAGCAATTGTGAATGGGAGTTCACTCATGATTTGGCTCTCTGTTTGTCTGTTATTGCTGTATAAGAATGCTTGTGATTTTTGTACATTGATTTTGTATCCTGAGACTTTGCTGAAGTTGCTTATCAGCTTAAGGAGATTTTGGGCTGAGACAATGGGGTTTTCTAGATATACAATCATGTAATCTGCAAACAGGGACAATTTGGCTTCCTCTTTTCCTAATTGAATACCCGTTATTTCTTTCTCCTGCCTAATTGCCCTGGCCAGAACTTCCAACACTATGTTGAATAGGAGTGGTGAGAGAGGGCATCCCTGTCTTGTGCGTGTTTTCAAAGGGAATGCTTCCAGTTTTTGCCCATTCAGTATGATATTGGCTGTGGGTTTGTCATAGATAGCTCTTATTATTTTGAGATACGTCCCATCAGTACCTCATTTATTGAGAGTTTTTAGCATGAGGGATTGTTGAATTTTGTCAAAGGCCTTTTCTGCATCTATTGAGATAATCATGTGGTTTTTGTCTTTGGTTCTGTTTATATGCTGGATTACATTTATTGATTTGCGTATGTTGAACCAGCCTTGCATCCCAGGGATGAAGCCCACTTGATCATGCTGGATAAGCTTTTTGATGTGCTGCTGGATTCGGTTTGCCAGTATTTTATTGATGATTTTTGCATCAATGTTCATCAAGGATATTAGTCTAAAATTCTCTTTTTTGGTTGTGTCTCTGCCTGGCTTTGGTATCAGGATGATGCTGGCCTCATAAAATGAGTTAGGGAGGATTCCCTCTTTTTCTATTGATTGGAATAATTTCAGAAGGAATGGTACCAGTTCCTCCTTGTACCTCTGGTAGAATTCGGCTGTGAATCCATCTGGTCGTGGACTCTTTTTGGTTGGTAAGCTATTGATTATTGCCACAATTTCAGAGCCTGTTATTGGTCCATTTAGAGATTCAACTTCTTCCTGGTTTAGTCTTGGGAGGGTGTATGTGTCGAGGAATTTATCCATTTCTTCTAGATTTTCTAGTTTATTTGCGTAGAAGTGTTTATAGTATTCTCTGATGGTAGTTTGTATTTCTGTGGGATCGGTGGTGATATCCCCTTTATCATTTTTTATTGCGTCTATTTGATTCTTCTCTCTTTTCTTCTTTATTAGTCTTGCTAGCGGTCTATCAATTTTGTTGATCCTTTCCAAAAACCAGCTCCTGGATTAATTTTTTGAAGGGTTTTTTGTGTCTCTATTTCCTTCAGCTCTGCTCTGATTTTAGTTATTTCTTGCCTTCTGCTAGCTTTTGAATGTGTTTGCTCTTGCTTTTCTAGTTCTTTTAATTGTGATGTTAGGGTGTCAATTTTGGATCTTTCCTGCTTTCTCTTGTGGGCATTTAGTGCTATAAATTTCCCTCTACACACTGCTTTGAATGTGTCCCAGAAATTCTGGTATGTTGTGTCTTTGTTCTCGTTGGTTTCAAAGAACATCTTTATTTCTGCCTTCATTTCGTTATGTACCCAGTAGTCATTCAGGAGCAGGTTGTTCAGTTTCCATGTAGTTGAGTGGTTTTGAGTGAGTTTCTTATTCCTGAGTTCTAGTTTGATTGCACTGTGGTCTGAGAGACAGTTTGTTATAATTTCTGTTCTTTTACGTTTGCTGAGGAGAGCTTTACTTCCAACTATGTGGTCAATTTTGGAATAGGTGTGGTGTGGTGCTGAAAAAAATGTATATTCTGTTGATGTGGGGTGGAGAGTTCTGTAAACTGCTTCAACCACTGTGGAAGTCAGTGTGGCGATTCCTCAGGGATCTAGAACTAGAAATACCATTTGACCCAGCCATCCCATTACTGGGTATATACCCAAAGGACTATAAATCATGCTGCTATGAAGACACATGCACACGTATGTTTATTGCGGCACTATTCACAATAGCAAAGACTTGGAACCAACCCAAACGTCCAACAATGATAGACTGGATTAAGAAAATATGGCACATATACACCATGGAATACTATGCAACCATAAGAAATGATGAGTTCATGTCCTTTGTAGGGACATGGATGAAATTGGAAATCATCATTCTCAGTAAACTATCGCAAGGACAAAAAACCAAACACCGCATGTTCTCACTCATAGGTGGGAATTGAACAATGAGAACACATGGACACAGGAAGGGGAACATCACACTCTTGGGACTGTTGTGGGGTGGGGGGAGTGGGGAGGGATAGCATTAGGAGATATACCTAATGCTAAATGAGGAGTTAATTGGTGCAGCACACCAGCATGGCACATGTATACATATGTAACTAACCTGCACATTGTGCACATGTACCCTAAAACTTAAAGTATAATAATAAAATAAAATAAGAAAAATGCAAAAATTAAAAATTTAAAAAAAAGCTCTCATTCTTTTAAGCACTTACAGGATATTCTTACAGATGTGTACCACGCTTAATGAATTGAGCTCTTGTGGATGAGAGTTTAATTTGTTTCTAATCATTTGTTATTTAATAGTACAGTCAGCATCTTTAGGATTAAGTATCTAGAATTAGAACTACTGTGTTGAAGAGGCTATTGCATTTAAATTGTTTTTTTTTTTTTTTTGATACGGAGTCTTGCTCTGTTGCCCAGGCTGGAGTGCAATGGCGTGATCTCAGCTCACCGCAACCTCCGCCTCCCAGGTTCAAGCAGTGCTCCTGCCTCAGCCTCCTGAGTAGCTAGGATTACAGGCACACGCCACCATGCCCGGCTAATTTTTGTATTTTTTTAGTAGAGACGGGGTTTCACCATGTTGGCCAGGCTGATCTTGAACTCCTGACCTTGTGATCTGCTCGCCTTGGCCTCCCAAAGTGCTGGGATTACAGGCATGAGCCACCGTGCCCGACCTACATTTAAATTTTAAACAAAAGTTTGCTAAATTGTTTTCAGTAGAGGTTATATTAATCTATATTTATACCAACATGGAGAGTTTGTTTCCTGCAAAATAGCCAATAATTTATCAAACCTTTGAATCTTTGTCAATTGAATAGTTAAAAATGATTATCTCATATTTGTACATTTTTATCTTATTGTGAAGTTCAGCACCTTTTCATGTGTTTAAGAACTTTTAATTTTCTGTTGTTTATATGGTCTTCCCATTACCATTTTAACTATTTGTTTTTATTTTCAGAGTTTTTGCTTATAAAATTTTATTTACAGTCAATTCTCTTTATTTGTAGAATCTGTATTTGTAAAGGCACCTACTTGCTAAAATTTATTTGTAACCTAACATCAATACTCATGGCAGTTTCATGGTTTTTCATGGACATACACAGAGGTGAAAAATTTGAGAACCTTACCCAGATATTCCCAGCTGGGGTTGAACAGTGCTCAGTTTTTTGTGTAGCTTTCTTACTATAAACAAGTGTCCTTTTTGAAAGCAGTTTATATAGTTCTACATTTTTCACATTTTTGTGCCTTCTGTTTGTGATTTTACTGTTTAAAGTGATTCCCAAGCATTGTGCTGAAGTGCTATATAGTGGTATTCCAAGGTGCATGCGGGCTGTGAGGTGCCTTAGAGAATACATGTGTTAGATAACCTTTGTTTAGTCATGAGTTATAGTGCTGTTGAGTGGGAGTTAGATGATGATGAGTCATCACTATTTATTATTATATTTTTTGAGATGGAGTCTCACTCTGTCACCCAGGCTGGAGTGCAATGGCATAATCTCGGCTCACTGCAACCTCCTCCTCCCGGGTTCAAACGATTCTCCTGCCTCAGTCTTCCCAGTAGCTGGGATTATAGGCACCCGCCACTGCACCCAGCGTAATTTTTGTATTTTTAGTAGAGGTGGGGTTTTACCATGTTGGGTAGGCCAGTCTTGAACTCCTGACCTCAAGTGATCCACCCACCTTGGCATCCCAGAGTGCTGGGATTACAGATATGAGCCACCATGCCAGGTCTATATTTATTAAATAATGTGTCTTTAAACAGAAACAGATATAAAACAAGCTTACGTATTTATAAGTTGGTGAAAATGTGACCAAAGGCTTACAAGAACCTAACCCTGTATTTCTGTTAGGAGCAATGGCTCAGTATTCACTAATTTGCGTGTTTGTGGCAACTTCATAGAACATAACTACCTCAAGTAATGAGAATTGACTGCATTCTTTTTCAAGTCATTTTATAAACAATTTACAGAAGAATAAAGGGATGGTGAAAATTAACTTTGTTAGCAATTTTAATGAGAATCCAAATATAGGAGACCCACATTTTTTCCCATATTTTCCCAGTTTTGAATGTTTATGTATACCTAAAAGGCATTACATCCTTTGAAAGCAGCTGTCATTATGCATGAATCTGGAACATACCTACCTTTAAATACGGATTTTGGATTTCAAATGCATCTCTACTATGTTCTACCTTATTATTTGTATTCTTCATGAACTCACTTTGTCAAAATGCAATACTTTTTGTTTTTTAATTTATTTTTATTTTTTGTAGAAATAGGGTCTCACTGTGTTGCCCAGGCTGGCCTTGAACACCTGGCCTCAAGTGATCTTCCTGCCTTCCAAAGTGCTGGGGACGGTAGGCATGAGCCACCACACCTGTCCAAACTGCAATACTTCTGAAAACTTTAGGGCTCATAGTTTTGTTGAAGTGATAGATGATGGCTATATTCTTTGTTACATAACAGCAAAACATTTTTGTTTTTACATTTATAAATACCAATTAGAATGACTTTCAGTGGATTGGTTTTCATTTTTCACATCATCTTTACCTTCCTGTTACTTTGTGTACATATCTGTCTTTCATACTTGTCCACTTACAAACTTTTTCAAGTAAATTCTGGTGTTACAAGCATAAAAGATGAAAGAACGTTGTCACATGGTCACTTGTCCTTTTAGCAATTATGCGATGATTCAACTGTTCTAGGTACAACTAGAGGGAGAGTATCCCAGGCAAGGGAGATAACAAATAGAAAGGCCCTAAGACACAAGTGTATTTAACATGTTTGGGGAACAACAAGGAGTTAATCGTGGCTGGAGTGGAAGTAAGGAGGAGAGATTAAGGAGATGGAGCTAAGAGAGGTAGTCAAGGGCCAGGCCATATGTCAGCGATAGTAAGGTCTTCAGCATTTACTTTTTTAAGCTGGGAGTCCATGGAAAGGTTTTGAACCCAAGGTATAGCATGATCTGACTTACAGAAAGAGACTTCTGATTGCTGTGTTGAAAATACACCATAGGTTTGAAGGGAGGAAACAGGCTGACTAGTTAGAGCCAGTGTGGGTAGTGGTGGTTGGATCTGAGTATATTTTCCAAGTGGAGCCACCAGGATTTTTCAGTAGATTGATTACATGTGGTGTATGAAAGAGGAGTGTCAAGTGTAACTCCGAGATTTTTGGCTTATGCAACTGGAAAAATAAAGTTAGAATTTAATGAGATGGAGGTCTGCATAAGGAGTACTTTTGTGGCAGGAAAGAAATTGGGTTTTGAACATGTGAAAATTGAGATGCCCATTAGTAGAAGTTGGATGTGAATAAAGAGTCCAGGCCAGGTGCAATGCCTCATGCCTGTAATCTCAGCACTTTGGGAGGCCAAGGCAGGAGAATCATGTGAGCCCAGGAGTTCAAGACCAGACTGGGCAACAAAGTGAGACCCCGTCTATATTATAAAATAAAAAAATAGTTCAGAGGAGAGGTCTGGGCTAGAGATGGAAATGTAGAAGTTAGTAAATTTAAAGCTGTTGAACTAGAGGAGATAGCTGAGGAAGTGCATTCAAATAGAGAAGATGTCAGAGGAGAACTTTGGGGTTCTCTCAGTGGTTAGAGATAGGATATGAGGAAAAACAGTGCAGGAGACTAAGGAGGAGCTCTCATTGAGTTAGGAAAATCAAGAGGGATGCCCTGGAAGCCAAATGAAGGCAGTGTTTTGAGGAAGAGGGGTGATGGGCCATGTGAAAGCCAATAGGTCACATGCTGCTAATGGGTCAACTAAAGTGAGGACTGAGAAGTATTCACCAATTTAGCAATGTGGAGCTCATTGGTGACCCTCATAAGAGCTGTGTTG
Organism: Homo sapiens; assembly: GCF_000001405.40. NCBI lineage: Eukaryota > Metazoa > Chordata > Mammalia > Primates > Hominidae > Homo > Homo sapiens. The sequence continues at coordinate 70,087,649 of NC_000005.10, forward strand.
GTGGAATGGAGGAGGTAAAATCCTGGAGGGAGAGAACATAAGAATGAGAGAACAGTTGACAGTGCATGTAAACAACTCTTTCACGGAACTTTGTATTTCTGAATTTTTGTTTATTTGGCTATTAATAAAATCATATCTGATATAGCTTTATTTTAGTAAGGTTTGTTTTTGTGGGACTTCAGTTGTGTATACACATATAATATGTGTGTGTATGTATGTGCGTATGGTGTTTTGATGTAAAATTTATTATTGTGGGTCATGGTTAAAAAAAAAGCTTGAGAATGAGGAGTTAGATCAAGAAATAGAAGGAAAGTTGACATAAGAAGTTGTGGATGTAGGAGATTCTACCATGTAGACACAGTGGAAGGATTTAGGGAGTTGGAGCAGGTTGGGATATGTGATCAGAAAGCGGGAGTTTAGCTCTCTCACTTGCCCCTGCTTTTACCATGTGATGTGTCTGCTACCCCTTCACCTTCCACCATGACTGTAAGCTTCCTGAGGTCTCCCTAGAAGCCAAGCAGATACCAGCACCATGCTTCCTGTAAAGCCTGCAGAACCATGAGCCAATTAAACCTCTTTGTAAATTACCCAGTTTGAGGTATTTCTTTATAGCAGTGCAAGAATGCCCCAATACAGAAAATTGGTACCGAGAAGTTGGGCATTGCTATAAAGATACCTGAAAATGTGGAAACAGCTTTGGAACTGGGTAATGAGTAGTGGTTGGAAGAGTTTACAGGGCTCAGAAGAAGACAGGAAAATGAGGGTAAGTTTCAAACTTTTTTTTTTTTTTTTTTTTTTTTTTTTTTTGAGACGGAGTCTTGCTCTGTCGCCCAGGCTGGAGTGCAGTGGCGTGATCTTGGCTCACTGCAACCTCTGCCTCCCGGGTTCAAGTGATTTTCTGCCTCAGCTTCCCAAGCAGCTGGGGTTACAGGCATGCACCACCATGCCTGGCTAATATTTTTGTATTTTTAGTAGGGATGGGGTTTCACCATGTTGGCCAGGCTGGTCTCGAACTCCTGACCTCAAGTGATTCACCCACCTCGACCTCCCAAAGTGCTAGGTTTACAGGCGTGAGCCACCGCTCCCGGCAAGTTTGGAACTTCTTAGAGACTAGATAAGTGGTTGTGACCAAAATGCTGATGGTGATAGGGACAGTGAAGTCCAGGTTGACAAGGTCTCAAAAGGAAACGAATTTATTGGGAACTGGAGCAAAAGTCACACGTTATGCCTTAGCAAATAACTTGGCTGCATTCTGCTTGTGTCCTAGGGATCTGTGGAAGTTTGAACTTAAAAACTATGACCTAGCGTATGTGGCAGAAGAAATTTCTAAGCAGCAAAGCATTCAAGATGTGGCCTTCTGCTACTAACAGCCTGTGCTCAGATGTGGGGGCAAATGAATGACTTAAATTTGGAACTTACATTTAAACAGGAAGCAGAGCCTAAAAGTTGGGAAATTTTGCAGCCTAGCCAGGTGGTAAAAAAAAAAACCATTTTCTCCAAGGAATTCAAGCAGGCTGTGGAGCAACCACTTGCTGATATTTGCATAACTGAAAGGGATCCAAGTGGTAATATCCAAGACAATGGGGAAAAGGCCTCAAAGGCATTTCAGAGACCTATGGGGCAGCCCCTCCTGTCATAGGCCCTGAAGCCAAGGAAGACTGAATATTTTCCTGGGCTGAGCCCAGGGCCCTGTTGCCCTGTGCAGCCTCAGAACACTGCTCCCTGCATCCAGATGGCTCCAACTCCAGCAGGGGCTCAAAGGGGCCTAGGTACAGCTTGGGCTGTTACTTTGGAGGGCATAAGCCATAGCCTTCACAGCTTCCATTAGGTGGTAAGCCTGCAGGCACACAGAATGCAAAAATGGTGAATTCTTGGTAGCCTCTGCCTGGATTTCAGAGGATGTATGGAAAAGCCTGGGTGTCCAAGCAGAACCCTGCTGCAGGAGCAGAGCCCTCACAGAGAGCCTCTACTAGGGCAGCATGGAGGGGAAATGTGGGGTTAAAGGCCCCACGCAGAGTCCCTACTGGGGCACTGCCTAGTGGAGCTGTGAGAAGAGGGCTACTGTTCTCCAGAATGGTAGAGCCACTGGCAGCTTGTACCCTGCACTTGGAAAAGCCACAGACACTCAACCCAGCCTGTGACAGCAGGCTGAACTCTGCAAAGCTATAGGAGCAGAGCTGCCCAAGGCCTTGGGAGCCCAACCCTCATATCAGCGTGCCACATGGAAACCAAGGAGATCATTGTGGAGTTTCATGATTTAATGACTGCCATGCTGGGTTTTGAACTTGCATGGGGCCTATAGCCCCCTTTTTTGGCAGGTTTTTCCCTAATGGGAATATTTCCCCAATCCCTGAACCCTGATTGTATGTTGGAAGTAAATAATTTGTTTTTTATTTTATAGGCTCATAGGTGGCAGGGATTTGCCTTGTCTCAGATGAGACTTTGGATTCCTGAGTTAATGCTGGAATGAGTTAAGACTTTGCGGCACTGTTGGGAAGGCATGGTTGTATTTTGCATTGTGAAAAGGACATAAGATTTGGGAGGGGCCAGAGGTGGAATGATGTGGTTTGGATATTTATCTCTACTTATGTTGAATTTTATCCCGAGTGTTGGAGATGGGGCATGGTGGGAGGTGTTTGGATCATGGGGGCAGATCCCTCATGGCTTGGTGTTACCTTTGTGTTGTTACTGAGTTCTCGTGAGATCTGGTCATTTCAAAGTGTATGAAACCTGCCCCCTGCCCCCCCACTGTCTCTCACTTGTTTCTGCTTTCATCATGTGACATGTGTGCTCACCTTCTGCCATGATTTTAGTTTCCTGAGGCCTCCCTAAAAGCCGAGCAGATGCCAGCACCATGCTTCCTGTAAAGCCTGCAGAACCGTGAGTCAACTAAACCTCTTTTCTTTATGAAAGAAAAGGAAGGAAGGGAGAGAGGGAAGGAGAAAAAGAGAGAGGGAGAGATGGATGGAGGAAGGGAGGGAGGGCTTACAACCATGAGGACAGTTTTTAGGTCAATGAGGGATGACTTGGGAGTCCTATGAAGACTGATGTAAACTAGAATAAAGGGCATGATGAGCTTATGATTCAAAAGTATTTTGTCATAGAAATAGTTTGTTTTCTGTAAAAGAACACAGTAAATATTTTAGCTTTGTAGGCCACTGAGTCTCTGTTGCTTTAAAAAATGTGAAAACCATTCTTAGCTTGAGGGCTGGACAGTCCAGGGCCATACTTTACTGACCGCTGCTTGAACTAAACGCTGTTAGAAGCAGCTCTGGAAAAATAATTTGCATGGAATCTTATGATTTTTTTTTTTTTTTTTTTTTTTGAGGCAGAATTTTGCTCTTGTTGCCCAGGCTAGAGTGCAATAGCGCGTTCTTGGCTCACTGCAACCTCCGCCTCCTGGGTTCAAGCAATTCTCCTGCCTCAGCCTCCCGAGTAGCTGGGATTACAGGAAGGCACCACCATGCGTGGCTAATTTTGTATTTTTAGTAGAGACAAGGTTTCTCCATGTTGGTCAGGCTGGTCTCGAACTCCCAACCTCAGGTGATCCACCCGCCTCGGCCTCCCAAAGTGCTGGGATTACCAGCGTGAGCCACTGCACCTGGTCAAGTATTATGGTTTTTTAATAGTATGCACACATGGGACAAAACTCAACTGGTATAAAAGGGTATGCAGGAGAAAAAAAGCAAACTTCCCTCTCTCCCTTTTCTGTCCACCAGCCATCCTGTTCTCCTCCCTAAACTCAATTATGGTTGCCTGTTTTTTATATAAGTTTTCCATGAATTTATAAATACATCACGTGCATATATCCTGTCAGTCAATATTAAGAAATTACTAGGTTATTTTGTGTTTATGTGTGCACTATTAGATTTAATGAGTTATGCTAGTTGTTGCCTCTTATATCCACATTCAGTCTTCATTGTCTGTTCTGTAATAATAGATCTGGGCCCTGTAAATACCTCTCCCATGACAGTAAGCACAGAGTGAAACTTTGTCAATCGAGGGTGCTGCTGACACACTGAAGGGGCAAGGGCTGCTTTTCCTGGTTCCATTGTGCTCCTCTAGGCAGACACCTGCAACACCTGTGCCATCTGCAATACCAGCTCCTGTAGCACATACACTCTGCCTCTGCAGCACCTCGTTCTGGCTGCACACTTCTTGGGCGGTGCCTAACTTCAGCAGCACCCAATGGTCAGCAGCGCACAGTACCCCCACATGAATGGCTTCCCTTGACATGCACAAGGTCCCTTCTCTGCAAAGTGCCCCAAGCCCAGCACCTTCTCCAGCTGCAACTCCACAGCCTCAGCAAACCTCTGTCTTTCACAGCTGTGTCCTCTCACACGAAGTCTGGATCTCAGCCCGGATCTCAGCCCTGAGCTTTCTTCTTTGAGTTGTTCTGTCTCAGCCTGGGGTGAAAAGCCCATATCGGCTGTTCCCTGCATCTGCCCAGGCTTCTCTTTATTCCTTACTACCCAATCCCCATTCCAATCCTCTGTTAATAACTCTTACGGACAGTCCCCAACTCATGATGACTTGACTTAGGATTTTTCTACTTTGCAATGGTGCAAAAGTGATCCGCATTCAGTAGAAACTGTTCCTCAAGTACTCATACGACCTCTATTTTTCACTTTCTGTACAGTATTCAATAAATTGCGTGAGATTTTCAATACTTTATTATAAAATAGGCTTTGTGTTTATGATTTTGCCCAACTGTAAGCTAATATAAGTGTTCTCAGCGTGTTTAAGGTAGGTCAGGTTAAGCGATGATGTTTGGTAGTTTAGGTATATTAAATGCATTTCTGACATACAATATTTTCTACTTACAATGGGTTTTTCAGGATATAACCCTGTTGTAAGTTGAGGAGCATCTTATTTTATTTATTTATTTATTTATTTGAAATGGAGTCTTGCTCTGTCACCCAGGCTGGAATGCAGTGGCACGATCTTGGCTCACTGCAACCTCTGCCTCCTGGGTTCAAGCAATTCTCCTGCCTCAGCCTCCCAAGTAGCTGAGACTACAGGTGCACACCACCATGCCTGGCTTTTTTTTTTTTTTTTTAATTTTTTTTTGTATTTTTAGTAGAGACAGGATTTCACCATGTTGGCCAGGCTGGTCTCGAACTCCTGACCTCAAGTGATCTGCCCACCTCGGCCTCCCAAAGTGCTGGAATTACAGGCGTGAGCCACTGCGTCAGGCCGAGCATCTGTATATTAAACTTTCCCCATTCAAATTTCTGTGTGGTTTCTGTCTCCTGACTGGATTCTGATATAATGCTTAACAACCTTTCTAATTACAAAGGTATTACATATAAAATCAGACAAGCAAGAAGACAATCCATCCCACCTTCTAGTACTCTTGCCCTCCAGAGGTAGCTCCAGTTAATATTTTAGTGCTAAACTAGATTTATTTTTGTTTTAAATAGAAAAATAATGCAGGCACGAAAGTAAAACAAAAAACAGTACAGAATGGGAGAGACTGAAAAGTAAGAATGGCTTCCAGGCCCACTTCCTAGAGGTACGCACTATTAACATTTTTAGATATAAACTTCCAGAAATTTTTTTCCAGTTTTATTTAGGTATAATTGACAAAATTATTTATATTTCAGTTGTACAACATGGATGTTCAACATGTTTTGGTGTACATATACTTTCTGATATTATAAATGGTTACCACAAGCAAGCTCAGTAACATATTCAGAAATTCTTAATGTAGCTAGCAATATAAGTGGTTTTGTTTTTTGTTTTGAGACAGACAGGGTCTTGCTCTGTTGCCCAGGCTGGAATGCAGTGGCGCCATCTTGGCTCACTGCAACCTCTGCCTCCCGGGTTCAAGCAAGTCTTGCGTCTCAGCCGCCCTAGTGGCTGGGACTACAGGCATGTGCCACCACACCTGGCTAATTTTTGTATTTTTAGTAGAGATGGGGTTTCACCATGCTGGCCAGGCTGGTCTCGAATTCCTCACCTCAAATGATTCGCCCGCCTCAGCCTCCCAAAGTGCTGGGATTACAGGTGTGAGCCACCGCACCCAGTCATAAGTGGTTTTCTAAACAAATGAGACCACACCATACATACTGTCCCTATATTTCATACTTGGGCAAGGGGAGGGGAGTTGACTTTTTTCTTAGTGAGAATAAAAATGAGGATAAAAGTATGGTTGTTTACCAACTTATAGTAGTATCATGAATTTCGAATGGTCTTCTGGCCGTTCAGAAAACTACTTAACTGGTAGGAACGAAATTCTGGACACTGACATTGATATAGACACTCATATCAAATATAATACTATGAAATACTATGATATGGAAATAATATGCAATCACTAGAGATAAAATATTTTCTACCCAAGTAGAGTGGATTCATAAGAAAATTCTAAATTATAGCATATGTTGAACTCTGAGAAGCCTCTGGAATGAAGTCATTTTTCCCTAACCCCTGTTTCCTCTTTATATTGGCAGTGGATAAATGGAAAGTAAGTTAACTCTACTGTACCAAAGCTAGTTCAATATAGAAAACAGGTTCTACAAGGATTAAGGAACATCTCTTGGCCCACAGAAGATTCATGTGGATCCTGTGTTAAACCCGTTTCATCCATGTATGAAAGTGATTCAACCGTTAAGTTAGCCATTTATTATATAAATTGAATACTTCTTCCATATTGTGGCTTTTAGATAGATTGGCAGACCTGTCCCCAACCCCTTCCCTGTTGACCATGGACAATGGAGGGTTTGCTGTATAAACCTGATTGAAGGGTTTGCCTTTAGCTGGGGTGGATTACTCAGGGACCTCAAAGGTATTGGTGATGATTTATTTCTTGAGCTTGGTGGTGAGTATGCAGGACTGTGTTTTGTTTTGTTTTGTTTTTTAGCAAGCCTTACACATTTTCTTTTGTATGCAATATTTAATAAAATAATTTTGGATAATTTGGTTTTTAGCATTAATCAACAACTTTTTTTACATCCTCAATATGCCCCAAGACAAATTATTGATTCAGCAGTTTTTAGCTGAATCTTTTATTTCTGAATGATTGGAGAGAACGGCAGTATCCATTTCTGGAGAATAGTTAAGTACTTAGATTGAGGATGTCTTTCTTTCATGACATTAAGCAATGCAATATCATCTGCATCCAAGAGCCAACTTAACATGTTCAGTCTAATGAGCCTTGGTAGTCGTAACACACATTGACTCAAAGACTTGACTGTTGTGGCCTGAGCTTTGATACACTCTGTGAAATGCCTGGAGATGTCCAACTCCTGCAAGTTTGGCATGTTGTCCAGTGCTTGAAAGAAATTTCTGTATCCTTCCTCTGTAATCTTGTGATTGATTGAAAGCTTTAGGTTCTCAAGTTTCTGGAAACCTCCACTGATTGCTACTTTGGCTACAAGAACAAAACATTCATGAAAATAGAATCATAAGGACTTCCATTTCAATAATGGTAGACAAGGTTATTTGAACCAGCCTCCTCTCCCACCACTACTGCTAGTAGGAAGTACTCAATATAATTTTGTTTTTTGAAATGGGGTCTTGCTATGTTAACACAGGCTGGTCTCTTTTTCTTTCTTTCTTTTTTTTTTTTTTTTTTTTTTTTTTGAGATGGAGTCTCGCTCTGTTACCCAGGCTGCAGTGCAGTGGCATGATCTCAGCTCACTGCAACCTCCGCCTCCCAGGTTCATGCCATTCTCCTGCCTCAGCCTCCCGAGTAGCTGGGACTACAGGCGCCCGCCACCATGCCCAGCTAATTTTTTGTATTTTTAGTAGAGACGGGGTTTCACTGTGTTAGCCAGGATGGTCTCGATCTCCTGACCTTGTGATCCACCCGCCTTGGCCTCCCAAAGTGCTGGGATTACAGGCGTGAGCCACCGCGCCTGGCCATCACAGGCTGGTCTCAAACTCCTGGACTCAAGTGATCCTCCTGCCTCAGCTTCCCAAGTAGGTGGGATTACAAGCACGTGTCACTGTGCCCAGCTTAATATAATATTTTGAAAATATCTCCTTAAAAACCCCAAAGAGCTGATGGGTTAATAAAGAACCACCTGGCAAAAATCTAAGGGAGAAGCAGAAACCAAAGAAGTACAGCCAAGCCTAAAGCACTGACGCCATTGTGCTGAGAGTTTCACCATCCTGGACAAATATGAGCTTCTCTTTTGGTCTCACAGGAGGTCACATGCCAAGGTACATCATGCCTACAAACCAGACTAAATTGGCAAGTCACAGTGGCTCACGCTTGTAATCCCAGCATTTTGGGAGGCCGAGGTGGGTAGATCACTTGAAGTCAGGAGTTCGAGACCAGGCTGGCCAACATGGTGAAACCCCATCTCTACTAAAAATACAAGAATCAGCCGGATATGGTGGTACATGCCTGTAATCCCAGCTACTCGGGAGGCTGAGGCAGGAGAATCAGCTTGAACCTGGGAGGTAGAGGTTGCAGTGAGCCAAAATCCCACCACTGCACTCCAGCCTGGGTGACAGAGCAAGACTCCGTCTAAAAAACAAAAAGAGAAAACAAAAAAAAAAAAATCCAGACTAAATTACAAGGGACTTCAAAGAGTGTAGCAATTATGTCTTCCCCTTTTATAGAGAAGGGGGTGTGACATTCCTAAAGCCATGTCATCCGACTGTCCACTGCTATGCCCTATTTCTGTTGCCCAGAAGGGACCCTCCTGTTTTTGAGACTAAGGGCTCTGAAGGAAATGGAAGCCGGGCACACCCTGTGTTCTCAATGAACACAGGCTGACTAGACTTTGGAATGGGTACCAAGCAGAGTTCTTGTTGTTTGGTTTAGGGGTTTTTAAAAAAAAAAAAATTTTTTTTTTTGAGACAGGGTGTCACTTGGTTGCCTAGGCTGGAGTGCAATGGTTCAGTTATAACTCACTGCAGCCTAGAATTTCTGGGCTCAAGCAATCCTCCCGCCTCAGCCTCCTGAGTCCTAGCTACTCAGGACTAGCCACCGTGCTTGGCTAATTTTTCAATTTTTTATGGAGACAAGGTCTTGCTATGTTGCCCAATCTTGTCTCAAACTCCTGGCCTCAAGCAGTCCTTCTATCTTGGCCTCCCAACGTGTTGGGATTACAGGCATGAGCCACCATGCCCAGCCTTGTTTTTAATTGCTAAACCTCTTTTTTTTTCTAACTTGGGCAAAGGTTAAGTTTGGTTTCAATCTAGAATCCATGGCTGTAGCTTGACTGAGGTTAAACAACAGAGGTACTGAGAAAATGTCTTCAGCTATGTCCTGAATAGGTATCTTCAGTAACATTCAAGAGATATTTCTCATTCCCCCACATGAAAGACACTTCTGGAGGGACTTGAAGAAAGACTCAGGTCTTTCACATCCATTCCCTTCTTTCCCCTGTTTCAGCATAACTCCCACTTCATATTGTGTGATTAGCCGGTTCTGTGATGTGTCTGAATGCTGTCTCCTACAGGTAAAGTTTAAGCATTACTGACTATAGGCAAACAATGGCCTCTCAGCTGTCCATCAGAAGAAGCTACAGAAAAGTAAGTTTTCTTTATTCAGTCAACAAATATTTACTGAGTTCCCACTATAGGCCAGGCATACTCTGCTGGGCGCCGGGAAGAGAAAACACCTGCTCTCAGGAGGGAGAGCGACAGGGGTTACTGGCTCAAATCTGTGTGTGAGATTGAAGTTCTAAGGAAGGCTTTGACCTAATGTAGTGAGAAGAATAAAACACAAATAATTTATAGTAAATGAGGATGAGAGAGACCACAAAATTTAATGTTATTAAATTCTTCCTCATAAGGAGGAAGAAACAAGGCCTTTAAGAAAAACGTTGTAAGTTGTCATTGTTTTTTGTTTTTTGTTTTTTTTTTTGAGACGGAGTCTCGTTCTGTTGCCCAGGCTGGAGTGCAGTGGCATGATCTTGGCTCACTTCAAGCTCCACCTCCCGGGTTCACACCATTCTCCTGCCTCAGCCTCCCGAGTAGCTGGGACTACAGGTGCCCGCCATCACGCCTGGCTAATTTTTTGTATTTTTAGTAGAGACAGGGTTTCACCATGTTAGCCAGGATGGTCTCGATCTCCTGACCTCGTGATCCATCCGCCTCGGCCTCCCAAAGTGCTGGGATTACAAGCTTGAGCCACCGCTCCCAGCTGTTTTAAATAACGTAAAATAACAGTGCTGAGCAGTAAGAAAATGAGATCCAGCCCTTGTAACACACCCGACAAAGCCTCTCCAATTGGGCTTTTACTTTCCTCTCCAGTCTTCTTCTCACAACTCACTCCTGCCTCTTGCTCCAGACATTCCTTTTTTTCCCCCAAGTTCTTCAAATATATCTGGTTCTCTTTAACTCCAGGCTATGACACAAGTGATTACCTCTGTTTGAAATGATGTCTCAATTCCTCCTCTACCAACTATGCCTGGGCCATTCTCCCTTCAGGTCTCGACAGAAATCTCAGTTCCTCAGGCCAGGCACTGTGGCTCACTTGAGGTCAGGAGTTCGAGACTAGCCTGGCCAACATGGTGAAACCCTGTGTTTACTAAAAATACAAAATTAGCCAGGTGTGGTGGCGTTCACCTGTAATCCTAGCTACTTGGGAGGCTGAGGCAGGAGAATCGCTTGAACCCAGGAGGCAGAGTTTGCAGTGACCCGAGATCGTGCCATTGTACTCCAGCCTGGGCAACACGAGCGAAACTCTGTCTCAAAAAAAAAAAAAAGAAGAAAATAAGAAAATAAAATTCAGTGAGCAGTACACATGATTTTTGTACTTTTCTGTGTGTATATTCATCTTCAGTTTTAAAAAGGAGTACTTAGGAGAGTATGTGGCCAGGTGTCTAAAACACCAGGTGGCAAGAACGCAGATTTGAGGGCTTGTATATCCACAAATGGGAGACCTTTTTGTACTTCCAAATCTGACCAGAATGCGCCTAAATCCACAGAAGGACACTAGAAGGAACAGTATGATAGTGAAAATGAGGAAGCGGGTTGAAAATTTCTAGAGGGGCAAATGTTTACATAGACATGTTGCAGCAGAAAGCTTGGCTATACCACTGGCTTCCATGCAAGCTGAAACACTAGCTCACCAATTTCCACCACGCTGTCATCATTCAAAGTCTTGAAAAATGAGAGGACTCGGAGACAATGAAGCTGCTGACACTGCTGGATGATCAGTTTGGCCACTCGATAAATTCCATCCCCAGTAGGAAGGATCAATTCTTCCAGGTTACTAAGAGAACCTAAAATGTAGGCTGTCAGAAAAGACCAAAAAGCTATTCTCTTTGTACTTTTTGTTCCTATGCAACAGTAATCTGAAAATCATGTATGGTCTAAACATCATGCACAGTCCAGGAAGCAAGAGAAGGGCCAGCACATGCTTCCGTCTTCCTCGCTCCTCCAGACAATTCCTCCACCACACCCTACCAACCAATCTCTCCTGCACTAAAGTCCAGGCTGCCAATTAAATCTCCATTCCTCGTTTAGAATGAAGCTTTTCCTGACCTGCAGGTTCCTTTCCCAGCTCTGCAATGCCTTCAGCCACCTCCTTTCCCATTCCACCTCCCGCTGTCATGCTCAGTGATTCTGCACCGGCCTCCTGGCCCTAAAGCCTCACAGTCCACCACTCTTAGAACCTTCCTTTTCACTTCGACTCCTTCCTAGCATGGCACACGATAGATCATTTGATCATTAGAAAGGTAACTTCTGAGGCCTCACACATGGAAATATATTGAATAATTTCTAGCATAAATCAATGTCCCAGGCTTATCATTTTCTTTCCCTGTCTCAGTTCTTGAATCAGCCAATTTTGCAAGGACCCTGGTTCCTTTACGGAAGGACAGGATTTAGAAATCAGTATCTAGGCACTTGGTGTGTTCATTATTACTGCAGTGCCTTCTAGTCTCTCCATTGAGCTGAGAAATATGTATGTGTGTATCTATAGACATGTGGAGATCAATGTATATATATGGAGATCTCTATGTATGTTCATAGGTTAGAAAAAACCATGAGGCCAGACCAATATTTCCAATTCTAATCCAACACCTCAAAGCTCTTTCTAGCCTCACCTTTCAATATTTGTAAGTTCCTTTTCCAACTGTGAGGAAACGTGGCTCTCATTATACTCACTGTTTTGTTCGTTTGTTTGTTTTTGAGACAGAGTCTTGCTCTGCCACCCAGGCTGGAGTACAGTGACCTGATCTTGGCTCACTGCAATCTCTGCCTCCGAGGTTCGAGAGATTCTCCTGCCTCAGCCTCCCAAGTAGCTGGGACTACAGGCATGTGCCACCACGCCCAGCAAATTTTTGTATTTTTTAGTAGAGATGGGGTTTCACCATGTTGGCCAGGCTGGTCTTGAACTCCTGACCTCAGGTGATCCACCCACCTCGGCCTCCCAAAGTGCTGGGATTACAGGTGTGAGCCACTGCATCTGGCTATACTCACTGTATTATTTGCTTAATCAACCTATGATGTATGCCAGCCATCCCCTTGGCCCTGATCCTACCTCTGCCACCTCAGCCCCCACCCACCTAGCTGCCTCCAAGGAAGGGAAGAGGAGGATCCTGGCAATCTTTATGTACGCTTATGTTTGAGAAGCACTTTGAATAGCACAGCTCTACAGTCCCTATCTCCACTGCCTCCCTTTATTTTTTTTTTTTCCTGTTAGAATGTTTTCCATGAGCATACATTACTTTCATAATCGTTTTTTAAAAATCAAAAAGTATTTAAATTCTATAGCTATCATTTTATGAAATACACGTTTTCACGTATTGAGTTTTCCTAACCTTAAAAGATAGATTTTTACCTATATTCTAGTAACCTTTGAAACTATGAGGTCTTATATTTGGAACAGATACCTGACAATTATATTGCATAGTGCTATAATGACCAAATATGTACTCTAAGAAGTCATTCTGCTTTGAATGAGATCAAGTCTGCAGGTAAAACTGTAGTGAAGGCATTTGGTGGGTAGAAGTTGAGCATGACTATCACTTCGTTCTGGTAAGCAAGGGTAGCTAATGCATATCTTGCTTCCTTGTGGCTAATTCAGAATAGGAGAAAAAGGATTCTGGGCAGAAAGAGAATAAGAATACGTAAAAAGCACTATTTTGTAAACATACCAAATTTTTCTGATGTTTCCTCATCAGGAAATTGCTGGCCTTCAAGATTTAATATCTTCAGAGAAATAAAATTTGGCAAACTGGCAACTATGAAAGGGAAAATAAAAATTTAGTTATGTCAGCTACATCTCTCACAGCAAAGTGTAACATCTTTAAAATGAAGAAATTAGAAATTAATGTAATAATTCAGATTGAATTCATATGACTAAGTAGATAAAACAAATTTTTGCTCAGAAAATAATTCTGATAACTAGAAATGTTGTTAAAATTCTAGAAATTTCAAATCCAACTGAGCGTAAAGGTAAAAAAGAAAATTCTGGAAACACCTATACTTTATTATTTGAGAAACAATTTTTCTTTTCTTTCTTTCTTTTTTTAAAGAGACAAGGTCTGTGTCACCCAGGCTGGAGTGCAGTGATACCATCACAGCTCGCTGCAGCTTCAACCTTCTGGGCTCAAGTAATCTTCCTGCCTTAGCTTCCCTAGTAGCTGGGACTATAGGTACCACTGTGCCCGACTGATTTTTTTAAAGCTTTTTAGAGGTGGAGGGCTTGTTATGTTGCCCAGACTGGTCTCAAACCCCTGACCTCAAGCAAGCCTCCTGCCTCAGCTTCCCAAAGTGCTGGGATTACAGGCATGAGCCACCACACCCAGCCTCAAAATATGGCCCTTTTTAAAGAGTGCTTAATATGACTCTGTGTCCATAGAAACATTTTAAACCACCATTGTAATATTATAACTCTTACCAAATGGGACGGCTTGAAAAAATGAATCCGAAAACTTAATTTCTGTGAGTTTCTTACAGGAAACAAGCATAGTCATGAGAGACCCAAAATCCGAAAAGAAGTTACACTTCAGATGGAAAACATGAAGGTTTGGAGAATTTTGAATTAATTTTACTGTAAAAGATCAAGGATTTTCAGAAATTAGAAAATACTGCAAATTTCTATCAAAATTAGCCAAGTAGTTTATTATTTTGTTTCAATAATACTTAATTAAAACCAGGTACCACGATCTCATGATCTAAGAATCAGGTCACTGGGCTTGGGTTCAGGTTCTGCAACTAGCAAGTAATGTGAATTTTGACACATTATTGACCCTCTCTGGGTAACAGTTTTCTCTTCTATAAAATACAGGCATTGACTCAGTAGCATCACCTTCAGCTTTAACACCTAATAACTCTAAGTTTGTACATGACATTTACACAATAAGAATACAAAGAGGCCAGGTGCTGTGGCTCATGCCTGTAATCCCAGCACTTTGGGAGGCCGAGGCAGGTGGATCATCTGAGCTCAGGAGCTCGAGACCAGCCTGGCCAACATGGTGAAACCCTGTCTCTACTAAAAATACAAACATTTGCCAGGCGTGGGTGGCAGGCAGCTGTAATCCCAGCTACTCGGGAGGCCGAGGCAGGAGAATCGCTTGAACCCAGGAGGCAGAGGTTGCAGTGAGTGGATATTGCGCCACCAAACTCCAGCCTGGGCAACAGAGCAAGACTGCATCTCCAAAAAAAAAAAAAAAAAAAAGAATACTATACAAAGAAACAGCTGGGCATAGTGGCTCACGCCTGTAATCCTAGTACTTTGGGAGGCTGAGGTGGGCGGATCACCTGAGGTCAGGAGTTTGAGACTGGCCTGGCCAACATGGTGAAACCCCGTCTCTACTAAAAATATTAAAAAATTAGCCGGGCATGGTGATGGGCGCCTGTAATCCCAGCTACTTGGGAGGCTGAGGCAGGAGAATTGCTTGAACCCAGGAGACGGAGGTTGCAGTGAGCTGACAACGGTGCCACTGCACTCCAGCCTGGGTGACAGATTGAGACTCTGTCTCAAAAAAAAAAAAGAAACATAAAAGGAATGACAACTCTGAAGCAAAACCTAAATTTGTTGCAAAATTTGCTGACAAATATAACTACCACCTCCAGCTTCGGTGTATATATGTATGCACACACACACACACACACATATATATATATATATATTTTTTTTTTTTTTTTGAGACAGGGTCTTGCTCTATCACCTAGGCTGGAGTGCAGTGGCATGATCATAGCTTATTGCAAGCTTGAACTTCTGGACTCAAGTGATCCTACCAGCCTCCTGAGTAGCTAGGGACTATAGGTGCACACCATCATACTTGGCTAATTTTTTATTTTTTTAGTAGAGACGATGTCTTGCTATATTGCCCAGCCTGGTGCTGAACTCCTGCTCTCAGGCGATCCTCCCGCCTCGGCCACCCAAAGTGCTAAGATTACAGGTGTGAGTCACTGTGCCTGGCCAACAATGAAGCTTTTGCATGCAAGTCTTTATGTCAATTCCATAGAGTTGTATATTTCTTCAATCTTTAGTGTTCAGTGTTTACTAAGTTAAGGAATGATGGTGCCTAAGTCATTTAGCTAAATGATGTATTTAAGAAAGATGGCTGCACCATTTTCCATGAACTATTAGGATAGGCTGGTGAGAAACAGGGAAATACTTCCAATGACTACGGATTAGCAGATTTCCTTCCTGCTGAGCTGCCAGATCTGTAAGTTGCAATGTAAGACCAGCCTAACCAAAAACAAAATAAAATAACCCTACAAATTATTTTGGAGTGGCAACATTATATTAGGGATTTCTTTCTTTTTTTTTTTTTTTTTTTCTGAGATGGAGTTTTGCTCTTGTTCCCCATGGAGTTTTGCTCTTGTTCCCCATGGAGTTTTACTCTTGTTCCCCAGGCTGGAGTACAATGGCGCGATCTCGGCTCACATTGCAATCTCTGCCTCCCAGGTTCAGGTAATTCTCCTGCTTCAGCCTCTCAAGTAGCTGGGATTACAGGCATATGCCACCATGCCAGCAAATTTTTGCATTTTTAGTAGAGGCAGGGTTTCACCATGTTGGTCAGGCTGGTCTCGAACTCCTGACCTCAGGTGATCTGCCCTTCTCGGCCTCCCAAAGTGCTGGGATTACAGGTGTGAGTCACCAGGCCCGGCCTATATTAGGGATTAAGAACTCAGATTTTGGAGTCAAAATTCCTGTATTTGAGTCACAGATATACATTTCCTTAGCTGGATATTACGAATTACTTTATCTCTTTATGTCTCAGTTTTCCCAGCTACAAAATAGCATTAATAATAGTACTTTACTTTGGCCAGGCACGGTGGCTCATGCCTGTAATCCCAGCACTTTGGGAGGCCGAGGCGGGAAGATCATGAGGTCAGGAGATCGAGACCATCCTGGCTAACACGGTGAAACGCCGTCTCTACTAAAAATACAAAAAATTAGCTGGGCGTGGTGGCAGGCACCTGTAGTCCCAGCTACTTGGGAGGCTGAGGCAGGAGAATGGTGAACCTGAGAGGAGGAGCTTGCAGTGAGCCGAGATCGTGCCACTGCACTCCAGCCTGGGCGACAGCGCGAGACTGTCTCAAAAAAAAAAAAAAAATAATAATAATAATAATAATAATAGTACTTTACTTCATAGAGTGGGTATGAAGACTGAGTTCATATTTGTGAAGTGCTTAGAATACTTCCTAGTGTGTAGTAAAGGCTCAATAATTACAAACAGCACTCTGCTTTCTTAATGAGAAAGAGTGCTATTCCTCACAATTTACCATGGATACAGGCTACACCCTTAGAACCACAGGCACTTTAACTCTTAAATAAATTATTGGCCAAGTAGCTTTTCCAACTTACGTAAAAACAAGTATATTAAAGTGCCATCCTTACCTAGTTTGGAAGGATCATACTCAGCTGAAATTTGGATCAATAATTTCTCCATATGGTGGAAGTTTGGAAATTCTTCAGGAATGACTGAAAAAACATTTATATTGCCCTCCAGATCCACAGACAGTTCTTTCAGGCACAGGAACTTATCCAGATTAGGAAAGATTTGGTCTGGAAAGCAGCACAGTTTCCCATTATTAATCTAAAGAGTTCTGAATGGACATTTTAAAACTGTCATTTTGATTCATCCAGCTATTTTCACATGCAAACCTTCCACATACCATAAAACATTCTTTTTTTTTTTTAAAGAATACATATATGAAGATATTGCTTTTTGCAGCTTATGCACTGTATGGGAAGCCCTGTGCTACTCTTCAGACTCACAAAAAGAAATACAGCATCTCGGCTAGGCGCAGTGGCTCATGCCTGTAATCCCAGCACTTTGGGAGGCTGAGGCGGGCGGATCACGAGGTCAGGAGTTTGAGACCAGTCTGGCCAACATAGTGAAACCCCGTCTCTACTAAAAATACAAAAAAAAAATTAGCTGGGTATGGTGGTGTGCATCTGTAATCCCAGCTACTCAGGAGGCTGAGGCAGGAGAATCACATAAACCTGGGAGACGGAGGTTGCAGTGAGCCAAGATCGCGCCATTGCACTCCAGCCCAGGCTACAGTGTGAGACTCCGTCTCAAAAAAAAAAGAAGAGAAAAGAAATATAGCATCTCTTCAACAAACGGTTGGGGACAACTGGATTTGCACATGCGAAAGAATGAAGTTGGATTCCTATCCCTCACCATGTAAAAAAAATCAACTCAAAATGGATCAACGACCTAAATATAAAAGCTGAAATCACACAACTCTTAGAAAAAACATAGGAGTTAATCTTCATGACCTTGGATTTGGCAATGGATTCTTAGATAGGACACCAAAAGGACCAGCAATAAAAGAAAAAAACAGATAAATTGGACTTCGTCAAAATTTAAAACTTTCGTGCACAAAGGACATTATAAATAAAGTAAAATGACAACCTATGGAATGGGAAAAATATTTTCAAACTGTGTATCTGATAACAGGTTGAAATCCAGAATATACAAATAACTCTTACAATGCAACAAAAACAACAACAATTTTTAAATGAGCAAACATATTTTTTCAAAAAGTGAAAAGATACTTAACATCATTTTCATGATTTGCATTAGAGAAATGCAAATCAAAACCACAATGAGATACCACTTCACAACTACTAGAACGGCTTTATGATAATCACAAAACAAAATGGGCTGGGTGAGGTGGCTCATACCTGTAATCCCAGCACTTTGGAAGGCCAAGGTGGGTGGATCATTTGAGCCCAGGAGTTCAAGACCAGACTAGGGGCCAGGCACGGTGGCTCATGCCTGTAATCCCAGCACTTTGGGAGGCCGAGGTGGGTGGATCACCTGAGGTCAGGAGTTCAAGACCAGCCTGGCCAACATGGTGAAACCCCATCTCTACTAAAAATACAAAAATTAGCTGGGTGTGGTGGCGGGAGCTTGTAATCCCAGCTACTTGGGAGGCTGAGGCAAGAGAATGGCGTGAACCCAGGAGGCAGAGCTTGCAGTGAGCCGAGATTGCGCCACTGCACTCCAGCCTGGGGGACAGAGCGAGGCTCCATCTCAAAAAAAAAAAAGAAAGAAAAAGAAAAAAGACCAGACTAGGCAACATAGCAAGAATCTGTCTCTACAAAAAATAAAAAATTATCCAGGCACGGTGGTGCATGCTGGTAGTCTCAGCTACTCAGGAGGCTGAGGCAGGAGGATCACCTGAGCTCAAGAGGTTGAGGCTGCAGTGAGCCATGATTGCACCACAGCACTCCAGCTTGGGCAATAGAGCAAGACACTGTCTGAAAAACAACAATGAAAACAAAAACAGGTCGGGCACTGTGGCTCATGCCTGTAATCCTAGCACTTCGGGAGGCCAAGGTGGCTGGACTGCCTGAGCTCAGGAGTTCGAGACCGGCTTGGGCAACATGGCGAAACCCCATCTCTACTAAAAATACAAAAGTTAGCCAGGTATGGTGGTGCACACCTGTAGTCCCAGCTACTCAGGAGGCTGAGACAGGAGAATTGCTTGAACCCGAGAGGTGGAGGTTGCAGTGAGCCAAGATCTCGCCACTGCACTCCAGCCTGGGTGACAGAATTAGACTCTGTCTCCACAAAAACAAAAATTAACAAGTGCTGAAGAGGATGTGGAGTAATTGGAACCTTTGTACATGGATAGTGGGAATGTAAGATGGTGCAGCTACTGTGCAAGTTCCTCAAAAAGTTAAACATAGAACTACCATATGAATCAGCAATTCTGCTTCTAGGTATATACCCAAAATGATTAAAAGCAAGAACTTAAACCGATACTTATAATGCCAGTGTTCATTGCAGCATTATTTATGATAGCCAGAAGGTAGAAACAACCCAAGTGTCTCTCAGCAGCAGAATGGATAAACAAAATGTACTATATACATACCATGGAATATTAGCTATAAAAAGGATGAAGTTCCTTTTCAAAGTTGATACATAATAATTGTACATATTTATGGAGTACATGTGAAGGAATGAAATTCCAATATAGGCTACAACATGATGTACCTTGAACAGTATGCAAAGTGAAATAAGCCAGACAAGTGATAATGCTTATAAACAATATCTAGAAGAGGCAAATTCATAGAGACAGAAAATAGAAGAGAAGTTATCAGGGGCTGGTGGGAGGGAAGATTTTTTTTTTTTTTTTTTTTTTTGAGACGGAGTCTCACTCGGTAGCCCAAGCTGGAGTGCAGTGGCATGATCTGGGCTCACTGCAACCTCTGCCTCCCAGGCTTAAGTGATTCTCATGCCTCAGCCTCCCGAATAGCTGGGACTACAGGCGCATGCCACCACGCCCAGCTAATTTTTTGTATTTTAGTAGAGATGTGGTTTCACCATGTTGCCCAGGGTGGTCTCAAACTCCTGAGCTCTGGCGATCCACCCTCTTCGGCCTCCCAAAGTGCTGGGATTACAGGCGTGAGCCCCCGCGCCCGGCCCAATTTATTGTTTAATTGGGATGATGAAAAGGTTCTGGAGATGGATAGTGGTGATGGTTGTACAACATAGTGAATGCTTAATGCCACTGAGTTGTACACTTAAAATGATTAAAATGTAAGCTTTGTTACATGTATTTTACCATAATAAAACAGTACTTGAAAAAAG
Source organism: Homo sapiens (assembly GCF_000001405.40). Taxonomy (NCBI): domain Eukaryota; kingdom Metazoa; phylum Chordata; class Mammalia; order Primates; family Hominidae; genus Homo; species Homo sapiens. The sequence continues at coordinate 70,107,628 of NC_000005.10, forward strand.
ATGAAAAATTTTCTAAATTTGGTAAATGTCAACCCACACATTCCAAAAAAGTTCAGTGCACCTCAAGCAAGATACATACAAAGCAAAGCACACCTAGGCATATAACAGTCAAACTGCTTAAGACCAAAGCAATACTAGCAACAATTAGAAAATGAAAAAATATTTTTAATGACATTTACAATACTTTCAAAAGATATGAGTATCTAGGAATAAATTTAATGAAAGATGGGTTAAGTCTACACTGAAAACTATCAAATAGTGCTTAGAGGAGTTAAGACACAAATAGATGAAGATATTATTTCCCATTAATTTATTTATTTCCCAGGGACTACAGGCCTTTCTTCCTTTAGGCAGCTAGGGTGAAGGTAATTTCTAAGCATCATCTTACATATAGCTAATTCTTTTACTAATAACAGATAATTCATGTCTTTATTAAGAACCTTCAATAATTTAATATAAATATTTTATTCATTTTGTCTGAGTTATTTGAAAACCATTCTATTATTCAAGGACTTTTCACTAATTCATGCTACTGTCAAAAAAAATTAGTGAAGGTTTATTTTATATCTGTTCTATCAATGAGCATGCATGCTTTCATGGCCTCAGAAGTTTTCAACCACTTAAAGTAAGAAAAAGAAATTATACATCAGAATAGTCATCCAAAATATATACAGGTATACCTTGTGACTGGATTGTCCCTGAGACTTCAAGAGATTCCAGGGAAGGCAGGGTGAGAAGCAGTTCCTGTTCGGCTGCGCTGAGTTCCAACTTGCTTATGGAGCACTTGGTGACAGAGGCCTTAGACAGCTCAAGAGCTGGGCGGATGCTTTCTATAAAGCCTCTGCTGTGGTTTAAATGGAGTTCGATGCGCTGTGAAGCTGAGAAAACTGTCATTAGAATCTCAAGCATATCCTGGCCTACAACATCAATATCATTCACATCGACTTCTAGACAGGGAATCTTGTACTGCTTTGGAGAAAGTTTCCAATAGCCAGTACTAAGGTCTGGTGATGCCCTGCGCTGCATATCCATATAGCTCTTTACATTATCCTCTTTTTCAGCTAAATTTCGCTCCCATTCATTCATAGGTTCAAAGGCAGAAGCATAGTCCTGATCTATAGTTGGCACCTGTGATTTGTCAAAACATGTTTCCAGAACTGAAAAATGTGCTCTGGGTGATGTCTTATTTCCTCGTATTGGGAAGTGGATGCTCCTCAACAATGACAAGCTTTCTGGGTGGTCGAAAAAGTACTGTAAGTTAAGCGCACCCAAAGTCAGTGTTCTCCCTTGAAGGAATTGCAAAACAAATGGAGAACACGCAGCAACAGTGTTGCTTTGATAAGCAGTTTTCAGGGCAAGAACCAGTAAATGTTCTGAAACCATTGAAAAGTAAGCTTGTGGACAAATTTGCCACAATCCCCTAAGTAACTGCATCTGCAGTGAAATTTCTGGCTGGTGCTTTAAGTAGTCATCATTTTCAGATATATTCTCCAATGACTCTTTGTTATCCACTAAATGGAGCAAATGAGACACAATTTTGGGCCCTGCTTTTGTTGAAGGGAGGCTGGAGACATAGTTCAAAAAATTGTTGTAGGCGCTTACAGTCATCATGGGTGAGTTGATTTGTTTCAAATGATACAGTCCCAAATCTTGATGTTCCTGCCTATCTGAATCCAGGAGTTCAATCAGCCTCATCCCCGCAAGAAATTCTTGGAAGGCAGGACTTAAAAACCGGTAGAATGGTCTTAGTCTCTGGGCTGTAAATTTGCTCATCAAGCACATGGTTAGATCTTCATCTTCATCAACCCCTGCTTCTGCGAGATCATCATCATTAAACTCAAAGCAACATGAAAAAAACCCTTTCAAGGCCAGCTCACCACAGGAGGACACAGTTGCTTTGAGAATTTCAGCTGTCGCTTTGTTCCTTAAGGAAAGGCGTTCCATATAGGACTTGAAAACAGCCACATCATCAAAGGATGGGTCAAAAGGATACTGAAACCAATGAGCACAGATCGCCGCCACAAAGAGAGGAGTTTTCTGTATCTTCTGCAAACTTTGGTTCTTTCCAAAGTAAACCATAAACTTTCGCAGACGAGTCATATTATGTGAAAAGAGCTTCCGTAATATACAGACAGTATTATAAAAGGGAAATGCTTTGATCTCTAGAATGGTCTCTAGGT